>NC_000010.11:122245950-122871033 GCF_000001405.40 Homo sapiens | reverse complement strand
TTTCTAGATTTACAATCATGTCCTCTGCAAACAGGGACAATTTGACTTCCTCTTTTCCTAATTGAATGCCCTTTATTTCCTTCTTCTGCCTGATTGCCCTGGCCAAAGCTTCCAACACTATGTTGAATAGGAGTGGTGAGAGAGGGCATCCCTGTCTTGTGCCAGTTTTCAAAGGGAATGCTTCCAGTTTTTGTCCATTCAGTATGATATTGGCTATGGGTTTGTCATAGATAGCTCTTATTATTTTGAGATACGTCCCGTCAATACCTAATTTATTGAGAGTTTTTAGCATGAAGGTTGTTGAATTTTGTCAAAGGCCTTTTCTGCATCTATTGAGATAATCTTGTGGTTTTTGTCTTTGTTTCTGTTTATATGCTGGATTACGTTTATTGATTTGCATATGTTGAACCAGCCTTGCATCCCAGGGATGAAGCCCACTGGATCATGGTGGATAAGCTTTTTGATGTGCTGCTGGATTCAGTTTGCCAGTATTTTATTGAGGATTTTTGCATCAATGTTCATCAAGGATATTGGTCTAAAATTCTCTTTTTTGGTTGTGTCTCTGCCGGGCTTTGGTATCAGAATGATGCTGGCCTCATAAAATGAGTTAGGGAGGATTCCCTCTTTTTCTATTGATTGGAATAGTTTCAGAAGGAATGGTACCAGCTCCTCCTTGTACCTCTGGTAGAATTCGGCTGTGAATCCATCTGGTCCTGGACTTTTTTTGGTTGGTAAGCTATTAATTATTGCCTCAATTTCAGCACCTGTTATTGGTCTATTCAGAGATTCAACTTCTTTCTGGTTTAGTCTTGGGAGAGTGTATGTGTCGAGGAATTTTTCCATTTCTTCTAGATTTTCTAGTTTATTTGCATAGAGGTGTTTATAGTATTCTCTGATGGTAGTTTGTATTTCTGTGGGATCAGTGGTGATATCCCGTTTGTCATTTTTTATTGGGTCTATGTGATTCTTCTCTCTTTTCTTCTTTATTAGTCTTACTAGCGGTCTATCAATTTTGTTGATCTTTTCAAAAAACCAGCTCCTGGATTCATTGATTTTTTTGAAGGGCTTTTTGTGTCTCTATTTCCTTCAGTTCTGCTCTGATCTTAGTTGTTTCTTGCCTTCTGCTAGCTTTTGAATGTGTTTGCTTTTGCTTCTCTAGTTCTTTTAATTGTGATGTTAGGGTGTCAATTTTAGATCTTCCCTCCTTTCTCTTGTGGGCATTTAGTGCTATAAATTTCCCTCTACACACTGCTTTGAATGTGTCCCAGAGATTCTGGTATGCTGTGTCTTTGTTCTCGTTGGTTTCAAAGAACCTCTTTATTTCTGCCTTCATTTCGTTATGTACCCAGTAGTCATTCAGGAGCAGGTTGTTCAGTTTCCATGTAGTTGAGCGCTTTTGAGTGAGTTTCTTAATCCTGAGTTCTAGTTTGATTGCACTGTGGTCTGAGAGACAGTTTGTTATAATTTCTGTTCTTTTACATTTGCTGAGGAGTGCTTTACTTCCAAGTATGTGGTCAATTTTGGAATAGGTGTGGTGTGGTGCTTAAAAGAATGTGTATTCTGTTGATTTGGGGTGGAGAGTTCTGTAGATGTCTGTTAGGTCCACTTGGTGCAGAGTTGAGTTCAATTCCTGGATATCCTTGTTAACTTTCTGTCTGGTTGATCTGCCTAATGTTGACAGTGGGGTGTTAAAGTCTCCCATTATTATTGTGTGGGAGTCTAAGTCTCTTTGTAGGTCACTCAGGACTTGCTTTATGAATCTGGGTGCTCCTGTACTGGGTGCATATATATTTAGGATAGTTAGTTCTTCTTGTTGAATTGATCCCTTTACCATTATGTAATGGCCTTCTTTGTCTCTTTTGATCTTTGTTGGTTTAAAGTCTGTTTTATCAGAGACTAGGATTGCAACCCCTGCCTTTTTTTGTTTTCCATTTGCTTGGTAGATCTTCCTCCATCCCTTTATTTTGAGCCTATGTGTGTCTCTGCACGTGAGATGGGTTTCCTGAATACAGCACACTGATGGGTCTTGACTCTTTATCCAGTTTGCCAGTCTGTGCCTTTTAATTGGAGCATTTAGCCCATTTACCTTTAAGGTTAGTGTTGTTATGTGTGAATTTTATCCTGTCATTATGATGTTAGCTGGTTATTTTGCTCGATAGTTGATGCAGCTTCTTCCTAGCCTTGATGGTCTTTACAGTTTGGCATGTTTTTGTAATGGCTGGTACCAGTTGTTCCTTTCCATGTTTAGTGCTTCCTTCAGGAGGTCTTTTAGGGCAGGCCTGGTGGTGACAAAATCTCTCAGCATTTGCTTATCTGTAAAGGATTTTATTTCTCCTTCACTTATGAAGCTTAGTTTGGCTGGATATGAAATTCTGGGTTGAAAATTCTTTTCTTTAAGAATGTTGAATATTGGCCCCCACTCTCTTCTGGCTTGTAGAGTTTCTGCCGAGAGATCAGCTGTTAGTCTGATGGGCTTCCCTTTGTGGGTAACCCGACCTTTCTCTCTGGCTGCCCTTAACATTTTTTCCTTCATTTCAACTTTGGTGAATCTGACAATTATGTGTCTTGGAGTTGCTCTTCTCCAGGAGTATCTTTGTGGCGTTCTCTATATTTCCTGAATTTGAATGTTGGCCTGCCTTGCTAGATTGGGGAAGTTCTCCTGGATAATATCCTGCAGAGTGTTTTCCAACTTGGTTCCATTCTCCTCATCACTTTCAGGTACACCAATTAGACGTAGATTTGGTCTTTTCACATAGTCCCATATTTCTTGGAGGCTTTGTTCGTTTCTTTTTATTCTTTTTTCTCTAAAATTCTCTTCACGCTTCATTTCATCTTCCATCGCTGATACCCTTTCTTCCAGTTGATTGCATCAGTTACTGAGGCTTGTGCATTTATCACGTAGTTCTCGTGCCATGGTTTTCATCTCCATCAGGTCCTTTAAGGACTTCTCTGCATTGATTATTCTAGTTATATCCATTCATCTAATTTTTTTCAAAGTTTTTAACTTCTTTGCCATTGGTTTGAACTTCCTCCTTTAGCTCGGAGTAGTTTGATCTTCTGAAGCCTTCCTCTCTCAACTCGTCAAAGTCATTCTCCATCCAGCTTTGTTCCATTGCTAGTGAGGAGCTGCGTTCCTTTGGAGGAGGAGAGGCGCTCTGATTTTTAGAGTTTCCGGTTTTTCGGCTCTGTTTTTTCCCCATCTTTGTGGTTTTATCTACCTTTGGTCTTTGATGTTGGTGACGTACAGATGGGTTTTTGGTGTGGATGTCCTTTCTGTTTGTTAGTTTTCCTTCTAACTCTCAGGACCCTCAGCTGCAAGTCTGTTGGAGTTTACTGGAGGTCCACTCCAGACCCTGTTTGCCTGGGTATCAGCAGCGGTGGCTGCAGAACAGCGGATATTGGTGAACCGCAAATGCTGCTGCCTGTTCGTTTCTCTGGATGTTTTGTCTCAGAGGAGTACCCGGCCATGTGAGGTGTCAGTCCGCTCCTACTAGGGGGTGCCTCCCAGTTAGGCTACTCAGGGGTCAGGGACCCACTTGAGGAGGCAGTCTGCCTGTTCTCAGATCTCAAGCTGTGTGCTGGGAGAACCACTACTCTCTTCAAAGCTGTCAGACAGGGACATTTAAGTCTGCAGAGGTTATTGCTGTCTTTTGTTTGTCTGTGCCCTGCCCCCAGAGGTGGAGCCTACAGAGGCAGGCAGGCCTCCTTGAGCTGTGGTGGACTCCACCCAGTTCAATCTTCCCAGCTGCTTTGTTTACCTACTTAAGCCTGAGCAATGGTGGGCGTCCCTCCCCCAGCCTGGCTGCCACCTTCAATCTGTTCTTATGCAGCTTCCTTACCTTTCTTAGCTTTCACAGAATTGAAGAGAGTTAGGGCATTGCTCTGGATTAGGTTTTGGCTTGAGGGAATGTTGTGGCTGGTTTGATTTTCTATCCAGACCACTAAAACTTTATTCATATCAGCAATAAAGCTATTTTGTATCCTTATCTGTGTGTTCACTGGAGTAGCACTTTTAATTTCCTTTGAGAACTTTTCATTTGCATTCCAACTTGGTAACTGTTTCATGCAAGAGGCCTAGTTGTCAGCCTATCTGGGTTTTCAACATGCCTTACTCACTAAGCTTAATCATTTCTAGCTTTTGATTTAAAATATGACGTACATGACTCTTCCTTTCATTTGAACACTTAGAGACCATTGTAGGGGTATTAATTGTTATCATTTCGATATTTTTGTGTCTCAGGGAATAGGGAGGCCTGAGAATAGGGAGAGAGATGAGGGAATGGCAGTCAGTGGAGTACTCAGAACACAATTTGTTGATTAAGTCTGCCATGTTATAGGGTCATGATTCATGGTGGACCAAAACAATGGCAATAGTAACATCAAAGATTGCTGATCACAGATCACCATAACATATATAATAATAAAGCAAAAGTTTGAAATATTGTAAGAATTACCAAAATGTGACAGCAGAGACACAAGTAAGCACATGCTGTTGGAAAAATGGCACTGATAGACCTTCTTAATACAGGGTTGCCAGAAATCTTCAGTTTGCAAAAAATGCGGTATCTATGAGGCACAGTACAGTGAAGCACAGTAAAACAAGGTATGCCTGTATACCTAAAACAAGCAGAAGAGAAGACGTAATAAAAATCAGCAAAAATCAATGAAATTGACAAAGAAAAAACCAATGAAATCAAAAGCTGGTTCTTTGAAAAGATAGATAAAGTTGATAGGCCTCTGGTCAGACTAAAAAAGACACAAATTATTAATATTAGAAATGAAAGCAGGACCATTAGTATTGATTCCACAGGCATTAAAAGGATAAAAAAGGAGGTCGGGTGCAGTGGCTCATGCCTGTAATATCAGCACTTTGGGAGGCTGAGCTGGGCAGGTGACCTGAGGTCAGGAGTTAGAGACCAGCCTGGCCAACATGGTGAAACCCCATCTCTACTAAAAATAAAAAACTAACGAGGTGTGGTGGCATGCACCTGTAGTTCCAGCTACTCGGGAGGCTAGGGCAGGAGAATCGCTTGAACCCGGGAGGCAGAGGTTGCAGTGAGCCAAGATTGCACCACTGCACTCCAGCTGGGCAACAGAGACTCCATCTCAAAAAAAAAAAAAAGAATAATACAAACAGCTGTCTCCGAATTTGATAACAGATGAAATGGATCAATTTCCTGAAAGATACAATGTACCCAAACTTAGAAAGGAGAAATAGATAATCTAAATAGGCCTATATCTAGTAAAAAAAAAAATTAATAATTACTCTTCCAAAAAAATAAAGCACCAGGACCAGATGAGTTCACTTGTGAATTTTCCCAAACATTTGTGGCAAAAATAATACAAATTTTATGCAGTTTTATCCAGAAAATAGAAGCACAGAAACACTTCCTAATTCATTATATGAGGCCAGCATTACCCTAACACCAAAGCAAAATAAAATCATTAGGAGAATGGAAACATACAGACCAATACCTCTCATGAACACAGATGCAAAAATCCTCAACAAAATATCAAACAGAATCCAACAAGTAGAAAAAGTATTATATATCAACACCAAGTGGGAGTTACTCCAGGTGTGTAAGGTATTCTAGTATGTTTCTGGTTGAATATTGAAAACCAATTAGTGTAACCTATCACATAAAGAATAAAAGAATAAAAATCATATCAATAGATGCAGAAAAGAGGATTTGAGAAAATTCAACACCCCTTCATCATAAAAAAAATTCAGCAAACTAGAAATAGATGGAAACTTCTTCAGGTTAATAAAGAACATGTACAAACAACCTACAGCTAACATCATACTTAACAAGTATGTATTAGAATGGCTAAAATAAAAAAACAAAACCTGACAATCCAAATGATGCTGGTGGGTATGCACAGCACCAGGAATTCTTATTCACTGCTGGTTGGAATTTTAAATGGTACATAATGACTCAGCAGTTGGACTCCTAGTTATTTATCCAGCTGAGCTGAAAATCTATGGGTACACAAAAACCTGCATATGAATTTTTATAGTGGCTTTATTCATAATTGGCAAAAGCTGGAAGCAACTAAGATGTCCTTCAGTAGGTAACTAAAGAAACTGGTATTTTCATATAATGGAATATTATTCCGTGATAAAAATAAATGAGCTAGCAAGTAACAAAATGACATGGAGAAACCTTAAGTGTACATTGCCAGTTGAAACCAGTTAGCCTTAAAAGGCTACATACTATATGGTTCCAACTATGTGACATTCTGGATAAGGCAACACTACAGGGACAATTAAAAGAATGGTTGCCAGGGTCTGGCAGGGGGAAAGGAGAAGGGTAATGTTGAATAAGTGAAGCATGGGATTTTGGGGGCAAAATTAATCTGCATGTGATACTATAATGGTGGATATGTGCATTTGTCCAGACCTATAGGACTGTACACACAGAGTGAGAAAACTGAATATAAATTACCGAACTTAGTTAATATATTAATATTGTCCCATTAATTGTAACAAATGCACCACAGTAATACAAGATGTTTTTTCTTGTCAAAGTTACTTTTATTAGTAAAAGTGTAGTACCTAAATATGTATACAAAAGTTACTCAAAAAATCCATCATTTTTCCTTTGCTTGTGAAAAGTAGTACACGCAACAGACCTCAGTGATATTATGCAACAGTGACCCATGCTGGTGTAGAATTCTCACAGCTTTTTAGGAGAACTTTTAAAAAAGCAAGTGAAATATGTAATACCTGATTGTTTTAACTCCAGTAACTGTGGAAGTATGAAGAAGCTAAGGTTCTTCATTATTCATCAATGCCAAAAATAAAGGTGAAAACTTGAATTCCTATTTGGCTTTCTTGTATTAAATGGTCAGAATAAAATTACTGTAATGCTAAATTTTTTCAACAACTTCATGTTTTTCACTCTTGCTTTATACAGTGAACATGTGTTGTTTCAGTTTGCTCTGAAACAACACATGTTTTTCATGTGTTGTTTTGGGATGAGCTTCACCACTTATCCATTGTGATTGTGGCAGGAGTTATCAGTGACAGTGCATGTGACCCTGACCTGAACAAGATCATGGGCCCTTGTCCCTTTTTCCACAGGGACTGGTACAATTCAAGGGCAGGTGATCCAGGGAAGACCAAAGTCCTTTTGTAGGATTTGTGCCTGCTGGAAAAGGACATTATCTCTCTCCTTTTTAGATCATAGATCTTAAGGATGTGGGCTTGTAGCCGACACTGGCCCAGTATGTGGAGGGGGCCAGCCTGAAAATGGAAAAACAGTCAGGAGATGTTGGTAAAGAGCCCTGGCAACATCATCTGAGGCTACGCCTATGGATGGTAATGAAGTTTTGAGGTTGTTACTTCAGTGAATCAGTGTAAATGAAGTATTCACTAAGGAATTAAACAGAACTAAACAGGACAGATTGAATAAAATAAAATAACAGTGTATGTGAGCAGGGGAGAGGGACATATGGGAATTCTGTCCTATCTACTCAATTTAAAAATAAATAGAAAACTGTTCTAAAAAGACTTTTGAAAGCTCTGTAGCTGATTTGAATGCACATACAGTTTGCTAGCCACTAGTCTTGAGGTTTATAGCCTGCCTCTGGAACCAGATTTGCTGAGTTCAATTCCTGGCCCTTTTCCCTGCTAGCTGTATGGCCTTGGACAAATTCCTAACCTCCATATGTCCATGTTTTCCCATTTGTTATTGCCTCCATTAAGAAAATGGGGATGATAATAGTATTACCTACCTCATAGGGTCTCTTAAGAGAATGAAATATCTAAGAGCTAGTGCCAGGCATGAAGTCATCAATCAGTGTAATATCAGCTATTACTTTGTGATTGTGGATGTTACTGTTACCTGTAGGTAGGAGCAGCTGAATTCTTTCCACAGAGATTCTTCAACATGGCCAAAAAGCTACATGTCCTGGTGATAAGACCAAATGCCTTGGCTTAATGGAAGTGGGAAAGATGGTTCTGATGTCTCTGGTCTTTCCACTGTTCAGGAATGGTTCTCATTGAAATTGAGCTCAGATTCAATGCTTCATGGGTTTCCTTTAGCCTGTCCCCTCCCAAGCTGGCCCTTCTGCTTGATTTGCTTGATAGAGACTGCACTTGGTACTAAGAAGAGTTGGCCACACAGTGAGTGGGAATATACCTTCCACAGGTGATTCTTACACAGTCATTTAGCTAAATACCATCAGCAATTGGTTTCTCCCATTTGGACACCTGGAGAGAAAAGTAGTTATGATGTCTTTGTGTATAGTCCTTAAAAGAGCAAAGAAAATATAAGGCAGAAGGAACATTGTTATATTAGAAGAATTATTATTTGCATTTGTGTTAAAAAACCCAGTTTGTAATGAACCTGACTTATTCTTTATAATCTCCATATATAATGCAGGAACCATTTTGCTTATTATTGGCTGAAAAGTCCCTGAAAACAAAGGCCTTTTATTCATTTATTTTTCCTTAAAAATAACTCATTTGAAGAACAGTACATGTTTATTATAGAAAAATAAGAAATACACTGAAAAGAAAAATAATAAAATTCCACAATCCCAACCACGTATAGACAATCACTGTTAATAACTTCATGTATTTACTTTTCTTTTTTCTCTTCTTTCTCCTCCAGATTTCTAAAATGTGTATACTTACTGAGTCTTATTCTAGGGAATGTGAACATTGAAATGAACATGAGAGACGGTCCATGTTGTCATGGCATTTATATTCTAAATAGGAGAGACACACAGTAAATAAACCAAAATTAAATTATAATTGCTGTTTAGAATCTAATTAAACAAGGTGATAAGATAGAGGGTGTCTTGTAGGTGGGGGTTCAATAATATGGCCAAGGAATGCCATTTTGAGAAGGGGAAATTTTAGCAAAGACATAAAGAGGAATGCACTCAGGTGTGACATGTCTTGGGGAGGGGCTGGTGCATGTTAGGCAAAGAAACAGACAAGGGCTAAGGCCTTGAGGCAGGAAGCAACTGGGCATGTCTGCACAGTAAGGGAAGGAGGGCCATTGTGGCTTGAATGTCAGTGAAAGAAAGCAAGATGGGAGGTGGTGACAGAAAAGAGAGGCAGGTAAATGGTCAGATTATGAAGGTCCGTGTAGGTCAGATTATGAAGGTCTGTGTAGGTCAGATAAGGAGTTTGGATTTTACCCTAAGGTCAGTGGGTACTGTTAGAGCAGGAAAAATGATATGGCTGACTAGTTTTTAAAGAATGTCCCAGTGGCTCAGGATGTGAGCTCAGCAATGATGTCAATATATAAAAATTCACTGCTCATGTGTACCAGCAATGAACAATTGGAATTTGAAATTTGAAAATAATACTGTTTACAATAGCACTAAAAGTTAAAGAAGCATTTAGGTATAAATCTAATAAACTTTAGGTAGGATCTGTATTCTGAGTATTATAAAACATTGATGGAAATTAATCAAAGAATATCTAAATAAATGGCGATAGTCCATGTTTATGGATAGGAAAATCCACTATGAAGATGTCAATTCTCCCCAATTTGATCTACAGATTCAATGTAGAAAGTTTTTGTAGATA
Organism: Homo sapiens; assembly: GCF_000001405.40. NCBI lineage: Eukaryota > Metazoa > Chordata > Mammalia > Primates > Hominidae > Homo > Homo sapiens. Next base: position 122,861,486 of record NC_000010.11, on the reverse strand, counting down.
GCTACAAGTTTATTCTAAAATGTATACAAAGAGGCAAAGGAATTAGAATAGCCAAAACAAACTGAAAAATAACAAAGTTTAAGGACTCACACTATTAATTTTAAGACTTATTTTGAAGCTACAGTGATCAATGCAGTTTGACATAGATCAGTGGAACAGAATGGAGAGCCCAGAAATAGATCCACAAAAATAAGATGATTTTTGAAAAATTTTCAAAGGCAAAGTTTTTGTAAACCAGTTGGATGTTCGTGCACCAAAAAATGAACCTCAACATATACCTCATTTACAAAAACTAAAGCAATATGAATTGTAGACCTAAATGTAAAATATAAAACTATAAAACATACAGAAGAAAATAGGAGAAAATCTGTATGACAGTGGGTTTGGCAATGACATTTTAGATATGACAACAAAAATGTAATCAATGAATAAAAGGATAAATTGGAATTTATCTAATTAAAAATTTGCTTTATTGAAGACACACTTAAAAGAATGAAAAGAAAAGCCATAGACTAGGAGAAAATATTTGCAAATCACATATTTCATAAAGGGCTTAGATCCAGAGCATATAAAGAAGGAACTCTAAAAACTGAATAATAAAGTAAATACCTAATTTCAGGAAATAAGCAAAAGAGCTAAAAAGATACTTTATCAAGGAAGTTATCTACCAATAAGCATATGGATGGCAAATAAGCATATGAAAAGATGCTCAAAATTATTAGTAATAAATCAAATAATAACAGCCAGATACCACTTCAGATGTGTTAGAATGACAAGCAAGCAAACAAAAAAGTCCTCTGACATTATCAAATGCTGACAAATTAACATAGCTGCTAGAATTCAACTTCATTGCTAGTGAGAATAAAAAATGATACAAGCACTCTGTAAAACAGTTTGGCAGTTTTTTATAAAGTCAGACATACACTGAATACACAACCCAGCAATTCTACCCTTAGGTATTTACCAAATGAACTGAAAACTTACATTCACACAAAAACTGGTATGGGATGTATTATAGCAGCTTTTTTATAATTGTCAAAACCTGGAAATAAATCCACATGTCCTTCAATGTATGAATGGATAAACTGTGGTCCAGTCAAACAACAGAATAGTACTTCACCCTAAAAAACTATCGATATACAAATATTAAATGCATTTTCTTAAGTGCACAACGCCAGGTCCAAAAGGCTAAGTATAATATGATTTAGTTTATATGACAATCTGCAAACCCAAAACAAAAGGATGGAAAATTGATCCATGGTTGCCAAGTGGTGGCATATAGGGGAGAAGCTGACTGTAGGGGCCACAGAAGGGAACTTTTTAAGGTGATGGAACTGTTCTTTATGGTATTGTTGTGGACAAATACCTGATTCTGTGCATTTGTCAAAACCCATACTACTGTACATCACAAAGAGCGAACTTTACTGTGTGCAAGTTAAAAAAAAAAAGTCAGACCAAAATGTTGGTGGAAGGGGCTGTGCCAGGACAAAATACAAGCTGCCGGGAGTGTTGGCAGCTGATGGCTCTCAGTGCCACTGCTCTCCAGGAATTCAAGACAGTTGTCTTGAACAACTTCACAGGCCCTCCTTGAACAACTCCTCATCCAGTGACTAGTCAATATAGGCATATAAAGGTCTGAGCACACTGCCTCAATGGGGCATCTCGGAAGGGCCAGCCTAGCCTTAAACTCTCCAGGGAATTGGTGGGAACCTTTTATTGCAGCTGCTTCATAGTTCATTGACCCTTCAGTCCTGCTTCCCTCACCCCTCACAGGGGTGGATTTTGAATACACTCCCCAGGGAGCCTCCTGTACACAAGCCTCTGTGTCAGAGTTTGTTTTCTAGGTTCCTGACCTATGACAGTTGGTACAAGAGTATGTAAGGGAATGGCTCTGCCATTGCACCCTGGCAACCTTGCACCTTTCCACCTTTCTGGCCATGCAAGACAAGGTCTGAACCCTAGTTAATCTGAGGCTTGGTGGAATGCCTTTGATCCTCCAGGATCAAGAAGGATTTGAGAGGCTTGTAAGGAGCTGCAACAAGGCCATCTCTCACTCACCATCTTCTCTTCTCTGGGAGGCTCTCATGAGTCAGTTCGTAATGGCTGCCTCTGTTCTGATAAGGTATAAAGCTTTCTGCCATGCTTCCATCAGAATACAACTTTAGAATATTAAACCACTTAGCTTCAATATAGAATTGGCTCCTTAGCAACAGATTATCCCACAACTCACATCGCAGTCATCCAACGTGTTTTGTTTGGTGTCATCCTATTTGGAGTGTGGAACAGGGATTGGGGTGCCTTTGGCTAATCTCTCTTTCAGTGTCTGAGTACTAAACCATCTGAATCAAGAAGTGGATTACTGTGTCTTTACCAGTAGAATCAGTCAGTTCTTGCCTTGTCTTATGTGTGCTGTCCACTTCCATCCAAAAGATGCAGAGAGACCAAGGATGGGCAATTCTGTGGGAGCCTAGTTTCCTGAGTCCTGGAAGAGGAACCGCTGATGGAAACCTGAAGTCTGCAAGAAGAAAAAAGCATCTTTCCTAAGGAAATTTAATATATTGTCAGATCCCTAGAGGAACCGTGTTCAGATTTTGCTCACAGAAGTCTGTTGCATAACTGCCAGGGAGGGTGGGGTGCCCTGAAGCCTTAGCATGCTCCCTCTGTAGTCTCTGGGGAGCACCAGCCCAAGGGGTACTTCTCGCTGGTACTGGGACACCATGTTTAGAAGGATTCAGAGGCTCTGTGTGCCCCACAGACAGTGAGGGCTACCTGGGTAACCACTCTCTGTGGTCTTTCCCCAGTTCCTAGAACTTTCCTGCTTCAGGACCCGAAGGTGCACATTCAAGAATGCAGGAGGAGTGATCTCCTGCTGTGGGCACAGGTGTGTATGGGGAGGGATGCGCAGGGGCACAGTGACACTCTTTTTTTTTTATTATTACACTTTAAGTTCTAGGGTACATATGCACAACATGCAGGTTTGTTACATATGTATACATGTGCCATGTTGGTGTGCTGCACCCATTAACTCGTCATTTACATTAGGTATATCTCCTAATGCTATCCCTCCCCCCTCCCCTCACCCAACGATAGGCCCCGGTGTGTGATGTTCCCCTTCCTGTGTCCAAGTGTTCTCATCGTTCAGTTCCCGCCTATGAGTGAGAACATGAGGTGTTTGGTTTTTTGTCCTTGCGATAGTTTGCTGAGAATGATGGTTTCCAGCTTCATCCATGTCCCTACAAAGGACATGAATTCATCATTTTTTATGGCTGCATAGTATTCCATGGTGTATATGTGCCACATTTTCTTAATCCAGTCTATCATTGATGGACATTTGGGTTGGTTCCAAGTCTTTGCTATTGTGAATAGTGCCTCAATAAACCTATGTGTGTATGTGTCTTTATAGCAGCATGATTTATAATCCTTTGGGTATATACCCAGTAATGGGATGGCTGGGTCAAATGGTATTTCTAGCTCTAGATCCTTGAGGAAAGTTACACTCTTAAGTAGTCACCACATGTGAATCGTCAGAGCATTCAGAGCCAGCCTTGCCAGTGCCTGAGTAGTTGTCAGGTGGTCAGCAGGCACTGACACGCACTTCCAGCCCATTTGGGGGACATAAAAGTAAACTGATAATGTTTTCTTTTGTTCCTTTTCAAAGCTTCAGTTTGACAGTTTAAGGCCTAGAAATGTGAGTTTGAAGGGTTTGTACTTCCTCAAGAGTTTATAACATTCTTCTTGTCATTAAAGCCTCAAAACTTGACTGGAGGCAAGTTTGAATGATGAGTGCTTTGGAGAAAATGACAAAACTAGAGAAATACAAGGAAACAGATACATAAGTACCATAAATACACAAGTACAGCAAAACTGCCTTTGTGGAGCAGAGGTAAAGTTTCCCAGTGTTGTATTGATAATTTGAGTTTTATAAACGTATTTGAATGTAGTAAGAGAAATGACCAGTTGTGAAGTGTAAATGGATTAGACAGCAATTCAATATTTATTGCTTTAAAGACTGACTTATGTAATAGCAAGAAAGAATAGTGAAAATTGAATTGCAGCAAAGCTCGTTGGCTTCATGTTTTGGACCAAAATGGTTCCCTTTTATAAGTGGAACATAGTAACCTCATGGTAGGCAAAGTTCTCTGATGACCCCCAAGATTCCAGCTCCCCCATGCAGATATCCTGTATATTCTTATCCCCTAGAGGGTAGGCTGGACCAGCGAATATGATGGAATGTCACTCTTGTGTCTAGGTTACTAAACAGCTGACTTTGAGCTAATCAAAATAGAGATTATCTGGGTAGATCTGACCTTATTAGTTGAGCCCTTTTAAAGGTGGGTGGAGCATCAGAGAGAGGCTTTACTCCTAGCCTGGGAAGGAGAAGTAAACTGCTTTGGAGTGAGAGGGCCTGTGAGTGGGTGGCCTGTAGGAGCTGAGAGTGGCTTTGGGCCATTAGCCAGCAAGAAATAGGAACCTCATTCCTACAATCACAAACAACCAAATTCTGTTTGTCTCCATCCAATGAAATGTAAATGCAGGGCTGGGCCTGGCTCTGGGGGGCTGGCAGCTTAGGGACATCATGAGGCCACTGGTGTTTAAAGGTGGGAAGTGGAGGGAGGGATATAGTGGCTGAGGGAAGCAGCAGTAACCCAGGGTGATTTTTCTCAGTCCAAGTGAAATGAAGATCAATCTGTAATCACTGTCTACATCTCTTTGCAACATGCAATGGGTCTGTCCAGGGGAGAGGGGGCTGGAGAAGGAACCTTTGAGGCCAGTGAGGATGCTCTGCAGTCCTGATTTAGGCCCAGGGAAAGAAGAAGAGACCCCTGCAGACTCCCCAGCATGGCTAGACTGAGACTGAGGCCTCAGCACACTGGAAGTGGGAAAGATATTCAGATGCTTTTGCTGTCTGGTCGTTCCAGTGTCAAAGGCCGTTCTCATTGGGATTGAGCTGCAGAATCAGGGCTTTATGACCTCCCCCAGGCTGCCCCTTGAAGGCAGGCACCGCTGACTCCCCGCACTGACACTCTGCTTCAGCAGGGTCACTCCTTGCTGCAGCAGCCACAGATGGTTCAGGTCAAGAACAGCAGGACAGGTTGCTTGTTTGCTACACGGGGAACATAATTGGCACTGTCTGCTTAGCTCCTCATAGATGATATTTGGCTTTTCACAAAGTAAGCCACCACAAGTTGGGTGAGACTGCTGGTCTTGGGACAGAGATCGTAGTTGGTTTTGGTCTCTTCCTGGGTGCTGCCCCTGTGCTGATTGTGTCTCCTTGTAATGTGCCATGGCAAAGATGTGAGTCACTTAACAATGAGGGACATCCCTTCAAATGGGATACCTGGACACTCTCTGCTTCAGCAGGGGCATTCTTTGCTGTGGCAGCCACATATGGTTCAGGTCAAGAACAGCAGGAGAGGTTGAAAGGCAAAGGCATGTTTATGTACACTCTTGGCTTTTTTACCTTCTGTTTTGGGGCTGTGAGCTTGTAAATAAAATGTTCTCAGCCTGGTGGCTCTGTGCGTCAGCGCTGCCTTGTTGTCACTTTAAATAATTGAGTTTACTATCGGGTGTTTAACTCAGCATGTTAGCTGAGCTCTCCCTCTGTCTGAGGCACTGTAGACTGAAGAAACTGACAAGCTGAATGATCTCCCCTTTCCTGAGCTAGAGAGTACTTGAGCTGTTCTCTTTTCCCCTCTCCAGTTGCCTTAGAAGTGGTGAGATGGGAAGCTGCAGTTGGAAGACCCTGGAGGATGCCTGACAAGGGGATGTCTGACACATGATTGGAGCTCTTTTTGAAATGTTTCTTGCCCTTCCTGGAGCAGAGGAGCCATTATTTATGCAGGTAAAATAAGATGAACTGTTACTTCTCTTGAATCATGTGAGTATGAGAAGAATGCCTCCCAAGAAATGAGAGGTTGATTTGACAGACTCAGTCTTGTCACATTTTGTGGAAGTTAAGCCTGTGAGTTAGAGGGCAAATCCCAGAGCCCAGTGCGTGGCAGATTGTGATCTTCCTCATCGTGCCTGCACCGCCGGGGGATCTGCATGGATCACCTAGACAGGCACTGATAAGGTAGAACATGGTAATTCATCACTAAGTTTGCAGTTTTTTCTCTTTGGTTCTTTTAAAACTGATTTTACAGTCATAAAGTTTGGTGAGGGAAAGACTGGATGGGAATTTCGGAGATGGGAAGAGAGGTGTAATCTGGTTCTGGGACGTATAGTAAAATGTGCCATTTGGATTTTACAAAGACACAGAAACTGTCTTCAAACCTTGGCAGTTCATAAAATCCGATTGCATATTGTTCACCACAATCTTTATTTCTCTGAGAATAAAAGATTCAGTTAAGGAGATCCTCTCTCTGGGGCAAAACCCAACTCTTCTCATGGCATTTGCCAGGGCCATAGCAAGGTCCCCATCTGCACCAAGAGTCTGAAGGTAAAGATAAGTTTCCCGGGAGCGGAGCAGAAGGAGCTGTGGAGGAGGCACAGAGATGGGAACTGGGTCAAGTAGGGAGCTCACAGGCTTATGTAGTTTTGGATCCAGGATGCTTCTGTCACCAGAGATGCAATTTAGCAGGCATCGGGGTGTTTGCACCATTTGTTAGTGGTTAGTCACAGGTGTTAGTCACAGGATGGGCAGTTCGCAAATAACTGACTTGGGTGAAAGTCCTTGTGGATGTGTATTACAGAGAATTTCCATAGAGAAAAGGCCAGCCCCTGTATTGGGAATCGCATTTTGCAAAGTTGAACTCACTGATTCTGAGCACAGTTGCTGCCTACCTTTTGCCATCTGGAACACATGGCCCCATCCCTCTCAATACTCTTAAGCAGTCACCACATGTGAATCATCAGTGAGATATTGCTTCGAATGAAAACATCAACACAAAAATCAGCCCCTTCCTTAAATGAAATGCAACGGGATTTATTTGCAGATCTTTCAGCTGACAGCCAAAATCATGGCCTTTGAATAATAGAGTTGGGGGACTGGGAATGGGGAACAACACATCATTTCAGAAGGTTCAGGAAGGCTGGGGGTGGAAGAGCATTGGACTTGGGAAGCAGGAGATGGAGGGAAGGATTATAGAACTAGGTCCTAGTTTCTTTGCTGCCAGTGACTTGCTGTGTGACCCAAGGGAGTCACTTCCACTCTCTGAGCTTTAGTTTCCTCATCTTTCAAACAGAGGTTTTAGTTGTTGCCTCCTGGTTGCCTTCATTGCAACTCAGAAAGATATTACTAAAACACATTGGAAGTAGTTAAATGTTGGTGACTTACAAGCAATGTAGAAAGTATGCATTCTTTTTAATAAATGAAATAATATTGGTCAGGGTTTAACTGCTATGTCTGAGTCACTGCACTGTCTAAATTTAGAGGCTCAGTCAGAAAAAGTGAGTACCAGACTGACAAAATTCAGATTTCAGTCATTGATCATAACATGTGCCAGCACCTAATAGGTTCTAGGTTCTCTGATACCTAGGGTTGCAGAGCTCCTGCCCCCACAGAGCTCACAGACACCTTGAAAAAGCAAACTTTAAATGCACAAGCCCACAGACTATCAAACAGCAATCAGGTAACCACAGAAATAGAGGGAAACCGAGAGATGAAGTAGTCACCCCCATGGGGAGGGTCCACAGGGCCTAGCTCCTTAATGATGACTAAGCTTATTTAGGGTTATATCCCTCTGAACCCAAGTAGGGACTACAGACATCTGCTACCACACCTGGCTAATTTATTTTCACTTTCATTTTTAAAATTTTTTGTAGAGATGGGGTCTCACCATATTGCCAAGGCTGATCTCAAACTCCTGAGCTCAATCCAATCCTCTTGCCCTACCCTTCCAAAGTGCTGGGATTACAGGCATGAACCACTACACCTAGTCAACAATTCAAATTTCCATATAGGCACAAACAAAGGGCATGGATACATAGGGAGAGGAGCAATTAACACGGGAGGGAGAGAGGTGGAAATCAGTGAAGGTTTTATAAGGACATGGCATTTTATTGAAGTCTTGCAGGATTGGTGTTTCAGCAGATAGAGGAGGCGAGGGACAGGGAGGGCCATCTAACCAGGTCACAGGCATGAAAATACATGGGGTGTGGGATAATGGAGAGGGAGATGAGGCTGGAAAGATGTTATGTTGAGATATGGGCTGGATAACACATGCGAAGGGCCCAGGGTACAAAATGTAAGGAAACACTCATTTTCAGGATTGAGCAAGTGTAGGGTTGGTGCAGAGGCTGTGGCTTTTAAGCAGAGGACTGATTTAAAAATTTCCCATATAGGGGACTTCCACTTATGGGAAGAGATACTTTTTCTTATTCTTCCTAAGTACAACTAAAATCCATGGACATTATATATAAAACAAACATAAGACTTGAATAGGTGGAGAGAAGAAGGAAGGCTAGCTAGGGACCTTGGGATCAAAGTAATAGCATGGTAGTGAGTTCCCTAAGTTTTGCTTTTTGTCTCGGATTCCTAAACTTGGAGCTGAAGAAGTGAGCAACTTGGAAACACCAATGGGTTCAGACAAAAGAGCCCCACCAAGAAACTGGTTTTTCTGGCCAAAAGACCAGGAAATGGGCAACTCAACAAGACAGAAAACTTTTAGACAATAGCTTCTGCATTCTAGGCAAACACCATAGAAAAAGCTATGGCCCTATCCCAACTCCACCAGCGAAGACTGAGTAGAGAGCCTAGATGTCTACTGTTACCAAGCTGTAAAGAAGTGTCCCAAAGCACCCCTCCACCAGGGTGGTGTCAGAGAAGGCTGAATAAAGAGCAGAGACTCACCTCTGACCCCTGTGGTATCAGTGGAGACCCCTTGGGGAGTCTGGATTTCTTCTCTGACTCAATAGATAATGGGGCAACTTTCCACTTAACTTCTGGGGTGGCATCAGAGGAGGCCTGGTGAAATTTCATGACTTTTATTATCTCGCAGTGGTAATAAGGCCACCTCCACTGCAGTGTCAGTGGAGACTAAAACAGAAAGGAATTTTCCTGTTGTCTTCATTATAAGAACCTGGTGAGTTCCTGGAGATATGACTCATGAATGTGTGCCCCCACCCAACAAAACAAAACAAAACAAAATTGGGCCCTCAGGAGTTTTTAAATATTCCGCTAGTCCCTATTCATCATCCAGGAAGACATCAGTTACCATGTAAGTGTTCTTACCAGTTGCTGGCTCTGGCAATGGCTTCTGCTCCTAAGCTGGGATTCTCTGTATTCACCTCTCTCTTTAGTTTTGGGGGTGGCTGTTTGCCCTGTGACTTCAATTTTCTGGTTGACTTAAGAGTTGTTGATTCAGCTTTTATTCAGCCACTTTATTCAGCTTTTTACTTGTTGTGAGGATGGGAATGATGACTCCCAAGCCCTTCACATGTTTGTGCAGAAACCAGAAGTCCTGTGTTCACTTTTACCCATTTTTTTTTCTTTCTGTATTGCAGTTTGGATAATCTCAACTATCTTCAAGTTCACTGATTCTTCTGTCAATCCCAATCTGCTATGAAAGCCCTTCTAGTGAATTTTTCATTTCAGTTATTGTAGTTTCCAATGACATAATTTCTATTTGGTTATTTTGATAATTTTTATCTTTATTGGTATTTTTTATGATGAGACATTATTCTCATATTTTCCTTTAGTTTTTTGGACATGGATTCCTTTGAACATATTTAAAAGACTTTAAAAGTATTTTCTAGTAGGGCCAATGTCTGGGCTTCTTCCAGAAACAGTTTTTATTTATTGCTCCCCCACTCCTTTATGGGCCATACTTTCTTATAGGCTTTTTTGAAAACTGGACATTTAAAATAATATAACATAGCATCTCTGGGAATCAGACTCTTAACTAAAACTTTTCTCTGAGGGAAACAAAGCCTGAAAAGGGGAGATTGAGTATTCCATGGCTTAAGAGAGTATTTAGGCATATCTACTTCCATTGGTGCTAAAATATATCTGGAAGTGGAATGGAATTCAGAACTCCATGAAAGAGAGCTGGTGTCCAGAGCGTTGATGTCACACAGCGTGTGTCCTGATTGGCACAGAAGTTGGAACTAGATTGTGGATATCCATTCTGCTAGCTCTGCTGGAAGACTGCTTCTAAAAGCAAGCTCTTCAACTTTGGATGTTAATCATTAGAATTTTCTTTCTCAAATTAAAGGTTTGAGAAATTCGTGATGAGATGTCCTGTTCCCTAAAGTTTACTTTGATTGTAATTTTTTTTTACTGTTGGCTTTCATCCAGCCATGAGGAGTTAGAAGGTGGTAAGTATGCTTTGGCAATCAGATTGTTTATTCTTCTCCCCTGACTCACTTTTTCCCAGTTTCAGAAAGTTAAACTAATTTATTATCTCAAATTGGATTTCTTGGGAGAATTTAAGATTTAGGAGGAAAAATGCCAGTTGTCAGAGGAAGAATTGTAAAGTTCTTTTCCTAAAACATGCATCATTTACAAAATGGATTTGCATATTCTCAGTATTGTTGGGACAGTAACATTTGGAAACAGTCATTTCCACAGAAGAGCTTTGAGCCTGATATCCAGTGGGGGGTCATTTCTGACTCTGAAAATGAGTATAGCTCAGGAGGCCCAGGTGCTGGGGAGTGACGCCATCAGCTCCACTGCAGGCCTGCTTGTTATTTCCAGCCGCATATCACACCTGTGAAAGGGAAAGATTCTTCCCACTGTTTGTCCTTCTGATAGCCTTCTCTCTGGACTTTGCATTTCCATTCCTTTTCATTGACAAACTGACTTTTTTTATTTCTTTTTTTCCATCTCTGGGCCAGCTTGGGATCCTAGGCCGCCCTGGGAAGACATTTGTGTTTTACACACATAAGGATCTGTGTTTGGGGTTTCTTCTTCCTCCCCTGACATTGGCATTGCTTAGTGGTTGTGTGGGGAGGGAGACCACGTGGGCTCAGTGCTTGCTTGCACTTATCTGCCTAGGTACATCGAAGTCTTTTGACCTCCATACAGTGATTATGCCTGTCATCGCTGGTGGTATCCTGGCGGCCTTGCTCCTGCTGATAGTTGTCGTGCTCTGTCTTTACTTCAAAATACACAACGCGCTAAAGTGAGTCACAAGTTCAAAATAAACAACGTACTAAAGTGAGTCACATGGGGAAAAGGGGATAGCACTTCCTCAGTGGGATACCTGGGCTTCCTGTTGGAGCAAGGTCATTCCTTGCTGCTGTGGCCATACCCTGGGTGAAGTCAAGAAGAACAGGCAGCTTTGTAAAAGCAAAGACAGCTGAGTGTAGAATCTTATTTTTTTTCTTCCTGGCTGGGGTTGGTAGAATGTTCTCAGCTTTGGCCTGTGAGTGTCAGCGCTGCTTGGCTGTCACTGGACCTCACTAAGTTTACCATCAGGTGTTTAATTCAGCACCTTGGCCAAGACTCCCTCTGTCCTGGGCACTGTAGGCTGCAGATTCTGTGGGGGAGGCTGCATGAACGAGCTCTGCCTTGTGCTCATGTGGAGGACGGGCTGGATTGATCTCTTCTTGCCTGAATTGGGAGCTCTCAGGATATTCCTCCATTTGTTTCTGGAGGCCTTGGGGAAAATGACTGGGGCTCTAGATCTCAGGGACAGCTGAACCGTGTGAAAAACCTGGGGAACAGTGGACAAGGGAGGGTAGGTCAGATAAGATTGCATTTTGGGGAGAAGACCCTTTAAGTACCAGAGAGATTGGTTGTCAGATGCAATTGTGTCCCCATTCTAAGGAGTTCACAATGGCACATCCCGGAGCCTGGGACACAGCCAAATGCAGCACCTTCCCATCATTCCTGCATCTCGGGGGCCTGCAGTGACCAGTTGGGTGACCTTGCTTGCAAAATCACTCACTCTTGCTTTTGTAACCTCAGTTTACATTTATAGCAATCATAGAAGAGGAAAGGATTCGAGAGGAACTTGGGATGGGGGAGAGAGCTTTAATGTAGGGCTGGTGTTCATGTTTGACTGGCTTCAGCACTAAACTCCCCAGATACCCCCCAACAGTTCTAACAAAAGGGCTGAGAAGAAAAATTCTAAGCCTGTGCTTTGTGTGTGTCTTTTCTCAAGAGCTGCAAAGGAACCTGAAGCTGTGGCTGTAAAAAATCACAACCCAGACAAGGTGTGGTGGGCCAAGAACAGCCAGGCCAAAACCATTGCCACGGAGTCTTGTCCTGCCCTGCAGTGCTGTGAAGGATATAGAATGTGTGCCAGTTTTGATTCCCTGCCACCTTGCTGTTGCGACATAAATGAGGGCCTCTGAGTTAGGAAAGGTGGGCACAAAAATCTTCATGAGCAATACTTCTTAGTAGATTGTTTTGTTATTCAAATCAAGTTCTAGTGTTTTTATGTGAGATTATATAATTTACAGTGTTGTTTTATATACTTTTGAATAAATGTACACTATTAAAAATAATCCTCTTTGCTGCCAATATTTTTTGATTGTTGATTATAAACATCCTTTGTTTAAATATATTTATTACTCACTTTGGAATGTGGGGGGGGATTAGCTTGTAGCATTGCAATAGAAGAAAGAGAATTGGAATAAAAGTGTCCAGCACATCTCCCACCCGAGAAGGAAAATGCACACTGTTCTTAGGACACTTCCAATTTCAGCCCAGCTGATCTTGTCCAGCTGGAGTCGCTCGTTTAGCTCTCGTGAGGGCTTGGATGGTTGACATCCACCGCAGAAAATGGTGTCATGTCCTGATACCTGTCCTGTTGTCCTGTCCATTTATCCAAGACAGTGAGAGGAGCCAGGCAGGACCTCCCTGTGTTAAAGTTGTCTGACCTGTGTAAGATAGGCCTGAGCTCAGTGACCTCAAAAGGACCTTTTGAAAACCAGTTTCTTCCTACTGCAATCCCCAAATCTCCAGAGCATGTGGCTCCTGCGTGGATTACGGTAACAGTGATGTGTGTTGATCCAGCCATCAACATCTTCAACTGTAACACGAACCACCAGCCAAAGGCCAAAGCCCAGACTCCCTGACCACAACAGCAGGTGGCAGGAAGCACTCCTCCCCACTTTACTCCCAGCTGCCTTCTGTTCCAGCTCCTGCCCCTGAGCCTCCTGGAACCCCTTTCTAAGCATGATTCCCTATCTGTAACCGCCATGTCCACTCCTCTCATGAACTAAACCCTTGCTTGTGACCATCACATGTATACTGAATGTAAAGAATTATTAGCTAGTAACAGGTGGTAATCTACTAAAAGGGGGTAAAAAGGAAAACAGAAGTCGCAAATGAAGGAAACAGCTGTGACAGCTAGGCACAGAAACAGGCCAGATGTGGGTGGAGGAGCTGCCTGTAGACGCCGAGCACCTCCTGGAGGCTGAGCCTCCAGCCCCAGCATGCTTGGGAAGAGGCCAAGTCAGGGCAGCCTCCAGCTGGAGGTCACCTGTCCCCCTTAAGTTTCCGGGCACTGTCTCTGTCCCCTGCCTTTGATTTTCTCTTGTCACCAGCCAGCTCTGACAGATGGAGCACATACAAATCCCCTCTTACCCCACCCAGTGGGTGGCCCAGTGCCTGGATCCAGGACGCCTGTGCCAGGGCCTCCCCATGTGGGTGACTATACCTGGTGCAGGTATTGCGGGGGCCGTGAGGGAGGTGGGACAAAGGTCTTCAGGACACCCCCATTAGCAGGAGGACAGAGCACCGCACATGGGCTTTAGAGCCCTATGGAGCCGGTTCCCATCCCAATTCGGCCTTCACCAGGGGAAGTCCCTTGACTCATCTGAGCCTCTGTGTCCTTGATGTGAAGTGCGGACTTGCACAGGTGACAGAGAAGAAGCAATGAGATGATGCAGGGTGACCCCACAGCACCCCGTGGTCCCCAGGAAGTTGCCAGAGGCCTGAAGGGGGCTTCTCTCCTGACTGGATCTGGAAGCCTGGGTCCTTTGCCAGGGCCACCTAACAGAGTGTGGCCATGAAACTCTCGCACTCAGTGGAGATGGATTAGGGATGTTGGAGATCCCAGCCATGGGTGACAAAGAGGGGTTCAGAGGGAAAGCCCAGGGTGGGAGTGGGTATCCATGGACACAGCTGCAAGCGCTTAGTAACCAGAAGGGTCCCCCATCTCAAACACCTGTGGCCTGCTAACTCACCCCAGGACACCCAGTCCTGCCTCATCCACAGCCAGCCCGGGCAGATAGGAATGGAGCAGAGCAAGGCAGGGGCCTTGGGGTATGTCCAAGCTCCTCCTGAGCATCCCAGGTGCTGCCTTTCCCCTGCAAGGGTCCAACGAGGAATGGATCCCCTGGGTCACAACGTAGGACTGTGCTCTCCCTAGGGAGGCCTCCTGGGCTGCAGCACAGTCAGAACAACACAGAGGGGCTGACGGTAGCCAGAGGGTTTCACCCTAGGAGACTTAGCCTACACGAGCGTCAGACCTCCCCAGAGCTGCACAAAGGTTCTTCAGAAAGTAGCCAGTCCTGGCATTGTCCACTCAATATGTTCCACCTGAACTTAGAGTGAAAACCAGACTCATTTGCCCTATGGGTCCTTCCCCATCTGACCTTCACCTGCTCCTCTCCATCCTCCCCTCCCAGCTCACTCCTCCCACTCATGACCAGCCAGGCTGTTCTTTATTCCCTACTATTGTAGGTGTGCCCACCTGGTCTCTGCCTCGGGGCCTGTGCACTTGCCCTCTCTTTTGCCTAAGATGCAGCCCCCAAGCTCAGATCACCCATGAATGCCTCCCTCTTGTCTTTCTGCCTTTGTTCAGATTTCATCTCTCAAGATGCCCTCCTTCTCACTGTCATATTTCCTCCCCACCCCAAGGCAACCACCATCTATGCAGTCATCCTGTTTATTGTATCCTTAGCTCCTCTCACCAGTTGAATTCTTCATTTATTTTTGTTGTTTAACTCTCCACTTAGAATACAAGTTTCATGAGGGCAGGACTGTGTCTCTCACATTCAATTCTATATTGCTTAGGCCCTAGATCAATAAGTAATGTTTACTGACTGAATGAATGAAAAGAGGGCAGCCCCCACCCACCACCACTTGCTCCTCCCAATCTCAATGTGGACACTAGGATTTCTTTCTCTCAACTGCAAAACACCGTGCCCGAGAGACTAATTCACCTGCTTCAGTCTCTCCAGACATAACTGGTTAGAAATCGCTGTGGGGGAATCTGGATCTGCACTCTTTTTCTCTTCATCCTCTACCCTCTTCCCCTCCCCCACAGGGTCAGCCACCTGGCAGGGCATCTGAATGTCCCAGCTGGACCCAGATTTTGCCCAGGTGCTGCACCCCCTGCCTTGCCCCACAGGCCTTTGTTCTCCCACAGGCTCCCTTCTCAAAGCAGAGCCCTGAAGACTTCAATGATGTCAATGAGGCCACCTGTTTGTGATGTGCAGGCACAGAAGAAAGGCACAGCTCCCCATCAGTTTCATGGAAAATAACTCAGTGCCTGCTGGGAACCAGCTGCTGGAGATCCCTACAGAGAGCTTCCACTGGGGGCAACCCTTCCAGGAAGGAGTTGGGGAGAGAGAACCCTCACTGTGGGGAATGCTGATAAACCAGTCACACAGCTGCTCTATTCTCACACAAATCTACCCCTTGCGTGGCTGGAACTGACGTTTCCCTGGAGGTGTCCAGAAAGCTGATGTAACACAGAGCCTATAAAAGCTGTCGGTCCTTAAGGCTGCCCAGCGCCTTGCCAAAATGGAGCTTGTAAGAAGGCTCATGCCATTGACCCTCTTAATTCTCTCCTGTTTGGCGGAGCTGACAATGGCGGAGGCTGAAGGTAAGAAAATTGAACCAGATTTATTCACCAAAACAGAGAAGTTCTTCTCTTAAGAGGCCTCTTTCAAAATTTTTCAAAGTGTTTATATCTGTTGGCCCCAGTTCAGAGAAAAATGTACTCTAATGCTCTTGGAGGGGATTTTAAATTAGTTCTAATTTTATTTGGCTCATCTGACAATGTCCATAAAAATATCAAAAGTGTATAGAATTTTACTGAGTAATTTACTGCTAAGAGTTTATGTTTTGGAAATAAGCATAAAAGTGTCCAAAGATATATGTATAAATATGTGCACTTACATAATTGTAAACTACAACATGAATTTTCATTATTTCTTACGGTAAATCCATAAAATGGAACACTCTTTTTTGCAACTTAAAAAAAAATGATGGCTGGGGGCGGTGGCTCACGCCTGTAATCCCAGCACTTTGGGAGGCCAAGGTGGGTGGATCACGAGGTCAGGAGTTCGAGACCAGCCTGGCCAACATGGTGAAACCCCATCTCTACTAAAAATACAAAAATTAGCCAGGTGTGGTGATGCGTGCCTGTAGTCCCAGCTACTCGGGAGGCTGAGGCAGGAGAATCGCTTGAACCCGAGAGGTGGAGGTTGCAGTTAGCTGCGATCATGCCACTGCACTCCAGCCTGGGTGACAGAGCAAGACTCCGTCTCATAAAAAAAAAAAAAAAAGACTCTGATCTATAATGTGTCCATAGACCACATTAAGAGAAAAAAGAGATCTGAAGTTTGTGTACAATATGATGGTTCTTATGTTTGAAATATATACATTCAAGCATTTTAAATGTCTAGAAATAGAAGAGGAAAGGAAAAGGAGTGGAAGAATTTACACCAAGGTTTTAGTGATGATTGTTTCTGGATGGATGGGGTTATGGGAGTATATGGGAGAATAAATAAAAATAAAGCTTTGTTCCTATGTAGGTGGGGTTTTTGACCATTAGTCAAAATCTTGGTGGGATTTTGAATTAGTACTAATTTTATTTGGGCCCATCTGACAACATACATAAAAATATAAGAATTTACCAAATAATTTTTAAAAATTTTATAGAAAAAAATTTTCACTATGTTGCCCAGGCTGGTCTCGAACTCCTGAGCTCAAGTGATCCACCCGCTTTGGCCTCCCAAAGTGCTGGGATTACAGGTGTGAGTCACCACGCCCAGCCCCTTACCGGGTAATTTCACTGCTAACAGCTTATCTTTAGGATCCAGTTATTTTTCCTCTTCCCCTTTTCTCTTTCTTCTCTTCTTTCTCCTTTTTAATAACAGCTTTATTAAGATATGATTAACATACCATAAAATCCACCATTTTAAAGTATACAATTTAGTGTTTTTTAGTATATACACAGAATTGTGCAACAATCACCACTATCTAATTCCAGAACATATTCTTCACCCCCAAAAGAAACTGTCTCAGGCTCAGCATGATGGCTCAAGCCTACAATCCCAGCACTTTGGGGGGCTGACATGGGAGCATTGCTTGAGGCTGAGAGTTTGAGACCACCCTGAACGACGTAGTGAGACCTCGACTCTACAAAATTAAAAAAAAAATTTTTTTAGCCAGGCATGGTGGTACATGACTGTAGTCCCAGCTACTCTGGCGGCTGAGGTGGGAGGATCACTTGAGCCCAGTAGTTTGAGGCTGCAGTAAGCTATGATTGTGCCATCTCAATCCAGTATAGGTAACAGAGTGAGACTCTGTCTGTCCCTCTCTCTATATATATATATATTTATATATAGTCTCTCTATATATATAGTCTCTCTATAGTCTATATATAGTCTTTATATAGTCTATATATATAGTCTCTATATATAGACCAATGTTTTATATATATATAAATATATCTAACAATATATATAACTGTATATTATATATAGACTAATGTGATGAATATTAGTGTACAAGTTTCTGTGTGGACATATATATATATATATATATATGTATGTATATATATGTATGAAGAAAGTCTGTATTCACTACCATTCACTCTCCATTTCTCCTGATGTCTCCAGCACAAGGAAACCACTACTCTACTTTCTGTCTCTATAAATTTACTTATTCTGGATA
Source organism: Homo sapiens (assembly GCF_000001405.40). Taxonomy (NCBI): domain Eukaryota; kingdom Metazoa; phylum Chordata; class Mammalia; order Primates; family Hominidae; genus Homo; species Homo sapiens. The sequence continues at coordinate 122,843,683 of NC_000010.11, read as the reverse complement.
TTTCACATAAATGAAATCATGTAATATGTGGTATTTCACTTAGCATAATATTTTCAAGGTTCGTATGTATTGTAGCATGTATCAGTACAATCAGCCCTCAGTACCTGTGGGTTCAGCATTCATGGATTCAACCAACCATGAATTGAAAACATTTGAAAAAATAAGGGTTGGTTACAGAACATGTACAAACTTTTTTCCTTGCTGTTATTTCCTAAATAATATAGTAAACAACTATTTACACATCATTTACACTGTATTATAAATAATCTAGAGATGTTTTGAAGTGTACAGGATGTGTGTAGGTCACATGCAAACACTGTCATTTTACATAAGGGACTCCAACATCCATGGATTTTGGTATCCACAGGGGGTCCTGGAACCAATCATTCGTGGACACCAAGGGATGACTGTACCTCATTTCTTTTTATTGCTGAATAATATTCCAATGTATGGATAGACCATGTTTTATTTATTCATCAATTGATGAACATTTGGCTTATTATGACTAATGTTGCGATGAATATAGTATACAAGTTTTTATGTGGACATTTGTTTTTATTTCTTTTGGGGATATGCCTAGCAATAGAATTGCTGGGTTATGATAACTGTATGTTTACTCTTTTGAGGAACTGCCAGACTGTTTTCCATGGCAGCTGTACCACTTTACAATCCCATAAGCAGTGTATAAGCATTCCAGTTTCTCCATGTCCTTGTCAACACTTGCTGTTTTCTGTGTTTGACTCTAGCCATCCTAATGCATGTGAAGTGATATCTCGTTGTGGTTTTCATTTGTATTTCCCTGATGACTAATGATGCTGAATATATCTTTACATGCATATTGGCCATTTATAGATCTTCTTTGGAAAAATGTCTATTCTGGTTCTTTGTCCATTTTAAATTGGATTATTTGCCTTTTAGTTATTGAATTGTAAGAATTCTTTATACATTCTAGAAATCAAGTGTCTTTTAAAAACCATCCTTTTTTTCCCAGGTTGATCTATAAATTCAGTGCAATTCCAATACAAATCCCAGTAAGAATGTTAAATAGATACAGACATGCTGACTCTAAAATTTATTGAAAAAGCAAAGGAACTGGAATAGCCAAAAAAATTTTGCAAAAGAACAGTAAAGTTGGAACAGTCATGTTACCTACAGTAATAACATAAACTACAGTAATCAAGCAGGTGTGGTTTGCCAAAAGGATAGACAGAGAAAATTGAAATAGAATAGAGTTCAGAAATAGATCCACACAAATATGGTCCTTTGATTTTTGACAAAGGTGCAAAGGCAATTTAATGGAGAAAGGACAGCCTTTTCATCAAATGGTCTTGGAACAATTGGACACCCATATGCAAAAAATGAACTCAACCTAAGCCTCATTTCTTACACATAAATTAGTTCAAAATGGATCATAGATCTAAATGTAAAATGTAAAACTATAGTATTTTTAAAAAGAAAACATGGGAGAAATCTTTGTAACCTGGGGTTGAGCAAAGAGTTCTTAGACAAGACACCAAAAGCACAACCCATAAAAGAAACTATTACTAAATTGGACTTTATAAAAGATTTAAAACTTTTGTTTTGGGAAAGACACTGTTAAGAGGATGAAAAGACAAGATACAGATTGGGAGAAAATATTTTCAAATTGCAGATGCAACAAAGGACTTGTATTCAGCATATATAAAAAACTCTCAAAACCCAATCATGAAAACAAAAAGCCAAGTTAAAAAAAAAAGGGCAAAAGACTGAGAGATACTTACCAAAAAGGATATATAGAAGGCAAATAAGAACATGAAATGATGTTCAATGTCATTAGCCATTAGGGAAATGTAAGTTAAAACCATGATGGGATGCTGCTACACATCTGTTAGAATGGCTATACAAAGCAATACAAAAACCTGACAATAGTGTGTGTTGACAAGAATGTGGTGCAACTGGAACTCTCATACATCATTGGTTGGATTGTGAAATAGAACAGCTACTCTGGCAAATGGTTTGGCAGTTTCTTATGCAGTTAAATATACACTTAACATATGACCTGGTGATATCACTCCTAGGTATTTATGCTAGAGAAATAAAGACACATGTTCATATGGAAACCTATTAAAAATACAAACCATCCTTCTTCGGGTCCTAATATAGTCTCTATATGTAGAGAAGTTAAAAATACTTCTCCTCAAAGGGTTCAAGACGGAGAAATCAACTGCTTTTGACTTACTTTGGAGAAAGCTAAGTACCATCCACAATTAGCTGCCTACTTGTATGTATATTACATGTGAGAGGTAGATTCCTAATCTCTCAGGGAGGGGAAAGGGCCTGTTGACTTTCCTGAGTGCCATCTGTGATCTCTAACAGGCAATGCAAGCTGCACAGTCAGTCTAGGGGGTGCCAATATGGCAGAGACCCACAAAGCCATGATCCTGCAACTCAATCCCAGTGAGAACTGCACCTGGACAATAGAAAGACCAGAAAACAAAAGCATCAGAATTATCTTTTCCTATGTCCAGTAAGTAGAAGCTTTAGTTTCCTAATAAGGGATATCGAACTCTGACCACATTGGGGTGGGTAGGGGGACTCTCTGTAGAAAGAATTCAGCTGCTGCTAGAGGTGGTAGTGACACTGACAACCATCGTGATGATGATGGTGATGAGGATGATGGCTGATAGTCACTGATGATGGCTGTGTGCCCGGCACTGGCTCACAGAGGTCCTTCAAGGTCAGCACTATAATAGTACTACAAACACAACAAGGTTGAGAACTTGTCTGAGGTCACACAAATAGTGAATAGCATGACCAGAGTTAGAACCTAGCTGGTCTAGTTCCAGTTTCTTGGCCTTAAAACACTAAACTTTGGTTCCAAATTTTTCTATGCATTTGAATCAGTGGAGGAGCTTTCACACATCCAGACTCCCAGGCTGTACACCATATGATTAGATTATAATCTCTGGGGGTAGACTCCAGGCATCAATATTTTTTATTTTATAGATTTTATTTTGAAATAAGTATACATTTATAAGTGCTTTTTATAAGTGCCCAGGTGACCCCAGTGTGAGGCCAAGCTGAGAACATGACTCCGCCCTGCAGAGACGCTCAGTGTTTCCTATCTGCCTCTAGTTAATCCTCTCAACAACGCTCTGGGCAGATGCAGTCTAATCCCCATTCTATAGATAAGAAAACACAGAGAAGTCACCAGGTCCAAGACTAAAAAATAATAAAAATGGGATAGGAACTGAATCCAAGCAGCCTGGCTCCAGAGCCCCCCTCTTACGCCTGTCCCAGTGGTTCTTACACTTGACCATACATCAGAAGCCTGTGGCAAGCTTATTAAAACACAACTGCTGGGCCCCACCACCAAAGTCTCTATTGTCTTATTCAAATGGAGTGTGTGGGACCTGAGAATCTGCATAGCTAACAAATGCCCAGGTGATGTTGATGCTGCAGGTCCAAGTACCACACTTTTGAGAACCATAGCCCTGTACCACTGAAGTTGGAATTTACTTTATCCTTCAAAGAAGCAAAAGAGGCCTCAAATTTCCTGGAATGGTTGCTGAGAAACATATATGCTATTCTTGCTGTGTAAGAAGAGAGGGGAAGAGAAATTGTGGGAAGAGCAAGGGAGGCGAGAAATTAACATTTAACATCTATTGAACACCTATGTGCCAGGCCTGTGGCAGGTGCTTCATATTCAGAATATTATAAACTTCACACAGTAATGAGAAGTAGGCTGTGATATCCCCATTTTACAGATGAGAAAACTGAAGCCAAGAAAGGTTAAATCACTTATCTAAAGTTATACAGCAGGTAAGTGACTAAAGTGGAAAGAGAACCCAGATTTCTCTACCCTTGTCTTACTTCCTATAATTTTGGACATATGTCCTCTGAGGATATTTGGAGAGACCCTGTCAGAATGTGCAGCAAACTACAACCCTGGGCTGTCCTGTCCAGTGCAGGGCATGGGACTGTCCTTCAGAATGAGGAAGTGGTGATACAAGGGAAGGAAGGAGCAACTAGGGAGGTGCTAAGGTTTGCTTTTCCTTGGGAAAGGTGGCTATGGAAGAAGAAGAGTTGCTTCACCTTTCAACAGCCTTGGATATCAAGTGTCAATGGGAAACAATTCTAAATAAGAAGGTTCATCAAAGAGTTACATGGACATGGGGAACAGGAGAGATGGAAACAGGTAGAAGGAAAGGAATTCTGATTCCAGGCGCATCCTCATCATTTACTTGATACAAGACATAGGCAAAGCAGTTCATCTCCCTGAGCCCATTAAAGTTGACAGTTTGTGGTTTGATGTTGAGGATGGTGGGGTTGGTGATTGGTCTTGGAGAGGTTTAAATGAAAACAGATGTGCCACCACTTTGTAAATTTACATGCCTAGGTGAGCAATTGACTGCTCTGCAAACCCCCTTTGCTTGTGACACTTCTTCAGCCACAGTTGTGTTTTTTCCACAGGCTTGATCCAGATGGAAGCTGTGAAAGTGAAAACATTAAAGTCTTTGACGGAACCTCCAGCAATGGGCCTCTGCTAGGGCAAGTCTGCAGTAAAAACGACTATGTTCCTGTATTTGAATCATCATCCAGTACATTGACGTTTCAAATAGTTACTGACTCAGCAAGAATTCAAAGAACTGTCTTTGTCTTCTACTACTTCTTCTCTCCTAACATCTGTAAGTCCTCATTTACACAACCTTCACCCACATCTCCTACAAGCACAGGTTACACACTCTTCTGTCCGGGTTCTTATAATCTTCAGTCTGAGTATATTCCCTCAGAGTCTTCTCTATCTGAGAGAGCAGTAGTTCTCTAACTTACATGTGCATAAGAATCATCTGGAGAGCTTGTTAAATCACAGATCCTGGACCCCATCACAGATATTGTGATTCATTGGTTCTGGATGGAGCACATGATCTTGACTTTCTAACTAGCTCCCAGATGAGGCAGAGACAAGGGGCTGATCAGATGGCTACATATTGAGGGGTACTGTGTTAGAGCCCAAAGCGGAGATTCTGCATTCAGCCTGTTTAATAGTAACCCTGGTATCTTCTGCAATGCCTCTTCAGGGACTGCACCTCCCTATGCTCTGATTCCTTAGATCTTGGTTCGGGTTGTTGAACCTTCCTGTTTAACAAGTCCCCCGGATGATTCTGACAAAGAAGACTGGAGAGTGCATGCTGGGAATCTCTGGGCTCACCATTGAAATTTAAGACTGTCAGGTGATTGGAGGCTACATTTACAGGGCTCTGCATTCACAGCACCTACATTCCACTGTGATCCGAAGCAGAATGCCAAGAACATCTGCGAGTGGGTTCATGAGGAGAGCTCCACTGTGGATTTCTTTCCAAGGCCCAGAGCTGACCATGTCACTCTCCTGCTAAAACCACTGACTTCTTGGTACCAGCAGATCTCCAGAGTGCAGCAGTCAAGGTTTTCCCACGCTGGACCCAGGCCACCTTTTCAAGCCTTGCCTCTAGCTGCTGCCTGGCGTGCACCCTATGCTTCAGCCAATCTAAACCATTTTACAGCTCCAAAAAGAGCTCTCTGCATTGTTTCTCCACATTTCATCTGTCCAGCTGCTTCCTTATGTACTTACTGGGGAAAGGAGAGACCAAGGGCTGCTTCATGAAGGCTGTTTCTGAGCTGAGCTTTGAACAATAGCATGACGAGGGTAGGTGGAGGTGGGAGTCAGGGAAGAGGACTCACCTCTGCTGGAGCTGACAGCTGAGGAGTCATGGGAAGAAAGGGAGGATAGAACAGAAGGCCATGAAGTAGTGGCGGATGAGACTGGAAAGCTGAGCTGGTGAGAGTGAGGAAGAGCCTTCAAGGGAGGGTGTGACTTTATTTTCTATGGCGCAATTCAGGTAATGGGAGTCTCTCCAGATGCAACACATGTTACAGCACAACTTTAATATGATTCGTTTGGCAATAGTATAAAGATTCCCTCTCTGCCCTGCACCAGTGGACAGAAATTTCAATGATAAAAAAGGATGAAAACCTCAATATGTGACCCATGGGAAAGATAGAGATGGAATCATACTCAGGAGAGATGTGTTAAGCTCAATGCACAACACAGAAATTAAAAGCAGTCTCTATTTTGATGTTCATTCTTGACCACCTTCACATCCATTTCAGCTATTCCAAACTGTGGCGGTTACCTGGATACCTTGGAAGGATCCTTCACCAGCCCCAATTACCCAAAGCCGCATCCTGAGCTGGCTTATTGTGTGTGGCACATACAAGTGGAGAAAGATTACAAGATAAAACTAAACTTCAAAGAGATTTTGTAAGTACTGCTGCCCAATTCTGTTGGAACAAATGCAGTAAACCCACCTGGCAACTGGGGGATTTGGGGAAGAGAAATTATCATACGTAATTCTCATATATGGGCACTTTTCAAAGAATTGATGTAGAAAGGAAAACAGTGATACTATTCCATTGAACTAAGTTGACTATTTTTCTGAAGATTCTGAGGTCCTTGTCAGAGACTATCAAAACCCCAGGTTTGTCTTCGTAAACCTGAGATACCATTGAAGGAAAAAAAAAATCCATAATCACTTAAGAGTAGGATTGTTGGGATGTTAGAAAATAGAATTGAATTGGTTTGAAACTCTTTTTCACCAGAGGCCCTCATTCTCTAGCCTAGAAATAGACAAACAGTGCAAATTTGATTTTCTTGCCATCTATGATGGCCCCTCCACCAACTCTGGCCTGATTGGACAAGTCTGTGGCCGTGTGACTCCCACCTTCGAATCGTCATCAAACTCTCTGACTGTCGTGTTGTCTACAGATTATGCCAATTCTTACCGGGGATTTTCTGCTTCCTACACCTCAATTTATGCAGAAAACATCAACACTAGTAAGTCATGTTTTATATTCTTAGCTATTTTGAGCTCTTCGAAGATTGCATATGTAGAAATTGTTAATTTTTAGCCTACCTGTGGCTATTCCTATTTGCAAGCATGTCACATGTAGTTGGGAACATATTCATAATCTTAAGCTTGACAATCATTTCTGTGCATTGCTTAATGCAAGAGGAAATTAATGATTTTATTAACCTGAAAAAGATTTATGCAGATAATATGGACTGTTTCCCTTAATTCCTTCTGCAAAGACACAATTAAAAACATCAGGTTTGCAGATTCTAGCTCTAAACAAGGTCACAATGAACACAGTAAAAGGTGAATCAATTGCTTGGCTATCTCAAATTTATGATTACTGTTTAGGGCAAAATGGTTTTGACTTTTTATATATTTACTTGCACACGTAGCTCTTCAAGATCCAACATTCCTAGCTGGCATAAACATGACCATTCTTTTTTTTTTTTTTTTCCTGACAGCATCTTTAACTTGCTCTTCTGACAGGATGAGAGTTATTATAAGCAAATCCTACCTAGAGGCTTTTAACTCTAATGGGAATAACTTGCAACTAAAAGACCCAACTTGCAGACCAAAATTATCAAATGTTGTGGAATTTTCTGTCCCTCTTAATGGATGTGGTACAATCAGAAAGGTAAAGTGAAATACTGATAGCTGGATTTTGTCAAATGCTGAGTGCATGTTGAGCAATGCAGTCAGGGTAATGCTTGCTAGCTGCTGTAACAAACGACCCCCAAATTTTAGTGGCTTAACCACATGATAAGCATGTGAAGACATATAAGTGCACATACCCATTCATACATAGCTGCCAAATTGCTGCATTCATTTTCAGGATAAGTGGGGGATAGTTATCTTTCCCAGAAGGTAAAGAACTCTGAAAACTCACTAAAGAGAGTTCGAACATCTATATGCAGTTGGCTTAATAGCCTACCAGTAACACTTATGCAGAAAATGTTTACACCTTGTATTTAGTGAAAATCTAGCTAAATTTTTAGGATCTTCTTCTTTTCCTTTTAAAGACAGGAAAAAAAAACATTTAAAAAAACCCATTTAAACATGAAGGATATTACTGGAAGTTTGTGATTTGTTCTCCATTTTCTAGAAGTCCCATTCAAGATTTCAAACATTTTCAACCTTTGGTCTCTTTAGGATACATACTATAAAGTTTTCACTCAGACATTAAACAGTAACCTAATTGAAAAGAATGGGGGTTAATCCAGAGGAATTGATAAAGACAGAAGTAAATCATCGTATCTTGCCAAAAATGAACGCACAGTCTTTATTACACTGTGAACCCCCAGGGAAGGCAGCTAAGGGCCTTCCTCTTGCAGACCCTTGGTCTACATATATTTTGGAAACTGCCCAGTTAGCCACACTAACTTAAAGCTCTTTAAGGAAAGCAATATATAGTAAGGTGTAATGTCTTTTTAAGACTGGAAATTTGCAATCAAAATGGATTTTACTGTAACTGAAAAAAATTGTCTGATTCTATCTTCAGGTCTTTCTAATACAAGCTGTATTTCTCATCTCATACTTTCTTTCCTAGAATATTTCTTCAATGAAATACATTTAAGGTTTATAGTATTCTGACATGAAAGCTGTTACCTCGTGATTTAAGAAAATTATGTCTGTACCTGCAAATGTTATCCACATCTATGCTCTAAAATATTACTGGACTTAAAATATAAAAATTGAATTCTATCTCGTTCTGCAGGTAGAAGATCAGTCAATTACTTACACCAATATAATCACCTTTTCTGCATCCTCAACTTCTGAAGTGATCACCCGTCAGAAACAACTCCAGATTATTGTGAAGTGTGAAATGGGACATAATTCTACAGTGGAGATAATATACATAACAGAAGATGATGTAATACAAAGTCAAAATGCACTGGGCAAATATAACACCAGCATGGCTCTTTTTGAATCCAATTCATTTGAAAAGACTATACTTGAATCACCATATTATGTGGATTTGAACCAAACTCTTTTTGTTCAAGTTAGTCTGCACACCTCAGATCCAAATTTGGTGGTGTTTCTTGATACCTGTAGAGCCTCTCCCACCTCTGACTTTGCATCTCCAACCTACGACCTAATCAAGAGTGGGTATGTATTAATGTAACTGATGTATGTATGATATTCCTTCCTGTGGAATAATAATTTCAATAAAGTAATTTTTTGTGTTGTGTATATATACATTTTTCCTAGCACTACATGAAATTTCATTACATTTATTCTAATCATTTTATAAAATAGTTACTATGTACTAATTATGAATAATTTAAATTTAAACATTTATGCAGACACAGCTTATATCTAGAATTTTAAGTGTATTCACAAAATATTTGCTGGTAGAAACAAATTTATTTTCTGTTATAAAAGCTCTATTTGCGTTTTGGTTTTTGTACGTTTTGGTTATTTTCAACAAAAATCTAGAAGATTATTTCATGTGCGTTATCTTTAAAATATAACGCCATCAGTAAAACATATGTAGCATTCTTAAGAGAAAAAGTATAACGTTCTTATTTGAAAGGAACAATTTCCTTTTTTCCTTACAATTTGTTGGATTTTAACTACGTCATTCGTACTGATACATTAATGATAAGCACGTAAGGAAAGAAGTTTGACTTCCAATACGTAAGTATTGGTTTTCTGATTAAGTTATATGGACCAGGAATTTTAGAGCTAGAAAGAACCTTGCTATCTCACCCAGGAATCAGGTCTATAGTCTTAACTCACTGTAGTGTGAACTAGAGACAGTCTTTTGAGAGAGATTTTTGGATTCACAACTTAGTTGAGAGAAAACTTTTTAGTATGGAAAAGACTGAATTTGTCTGTATCTTCTAAACATGTTCATAAATTCTGTTCCAGATGTAGTCGAGATGAAACTTGTAAGGTGTATCCCTTATTTGGACACTATGGGAGATTCCAGTTTAATGCCTTTAAATTCTTGAGAAGTATGAGCTCTGTGTATCTGCAGTGTAAAGTTTTGATATGTGATAGCAGTGACCACCAGTCTCGCTGCAATCAAGGTTGTGTCTCCAGAAGCAAACGAGACATTTCTTCATATAAATGGAAAACAGATTCCATCATAGGACCCATTCGTCTGAAAAGGGATCGAAGTGCAAGTGGCAATTCAGGTAAGAAAAAAGCTATTCCATGATCCAAAAGCACATCATGGCTCATAAAATGCTGCTCAAATCCAGTAACTCTTAAGCATGTACAGTTTAGAGATTTATAATAGTAGCTTTAGCAAATAAGTTGAATTTTAAGTATATAGGATTAGTATTTATTTCCATCAGTTGATAATATGCATACCATGTACAGTGTAAGCAGATGATACACTGATAGTTTGCCATTATTCATTTGGATTTTGAGTATAAGTGTAATGTCCTCATCTCTAAAAACAAGTTTCTTTTAGTTTTCTGACTCCTTATTATAGATGGCATAGCAGATAATTGAATCAAAAGCAATGTGTTTTAACTCCTAAATGAGTAAAACAAAATGAACCAGCATTCCACATAATAGCCTATTTGAAAAAAAGTTATTAAAAAAAAAGACAAAGAATCTATTATATTAACATAGGCTAACCCTGCTTCTTTTGAAAGGCTTGAAACCTGAGATCTGCCCAGATGCATGAAAGGAATGATGGTAAATACTCAAGGAAGGTTCATAATTAAATGGCTTAAGATAAGCCTTAATGAAAGAAAAACTATAAGAAGTTATTTTAGTTGTAAATGGCATTAAAGGACCTTATGATCTCTGTATTTATTCATTTTTGTTAGCACTATAAAGGAGTATGGTTCTGGTTTGTAGCAAAATATTTCTATGGCAAAAACAGAAAAACAAAAGTTAAATTCAGTAATTTTATAAACGCATTCACTAGTGGCTTACATAGTGTATCTATAGACGCTGGTTTGAAATTAGTTGAAAATTTATAAATGGAAGTCATTATGGAAATACCATCAATATGAGAAAAGTATCTTTTTCCTATTTCAAGGGAATGAACAAATTTTTTTTTTCTGTTGACAAAATGTATTTTGGCAACAATGAGCAACAGTGACCATTAGTAAGTGAACCTGCATTTCCATTTGACTGTTATGCTTGAGTGTTACACGTTTTTCATGTGATACCGAGAAATCAAACCAAGTCAACAATTTGAAACAAGTTCAAAATTAAATATAAATATAAATAAATTCAACTATTTGATAATGGTTCCTCTATATTGTGTTGGCATTATGCATTATACATTAATTCATATATAAGATTCATAGGATATGTACAGGTATTATAAAAGCTACCAACATTTTATAATGTGAACACTTCTTAAAAAGTGATTTTCATCTTGTTTCCAATTTTAGGATTTCAGCATGAAACACATGCGGAAGAAACTCCAAACCAGCCTTTCAACAGTGTGCATCTGTTTTCCTTCATGGTTCTAGCTCTGAATGTGGTGACTGTAGCGACAATCACAGTGAGGCATTTTGTAAATCAACGGGCAGACTACAAATACCAGAAGCTGCAGAACTATTAACTAACAGGTCCAACCCTAAGTGAGACATGTTTCTCCAGGATGCCAAAGGAAATGCTACCTCGTGGCTACACATATTATGAATAAATGAGGAAGGGCCTGAAAGTGACACACAGGCCTGCATGTCACTGTGTCGGTGTGTTTCATTACAAGACGATGGAAATAAATACCACGTCAATTGGCTCTCATTTTACGAACTAAAGATACAAAAATATTACATGAGGCCAAGCGCAGTGGCTCATGCCTATAATCTCAGCACTTTGGGAGGCCAAGGTGGGTGGATCACCTGATGTCAGGAGTTGGAGACCAGCCTGACCAACATGGAGAAACCCCGTTTCTACTAAAAATACAGAAATTAGCTGGGTGTGGTGACACATGCCTGTAATCCCAGCTACTTGGTAGGCTGAGGCAGGAGAATCACTTGAACCTGGGAGGCAGAGGTTGCAGTGAGCCAAGATCACGCCATTGCACTCTGGCCTGGGCAACAAGAGTGAAACTCTGTAAAAAAAAAAAACAAAAAAAAAACAAAAAATTACACGAATTAACACCTCCTTTTATAAATACAAAACATTTTAACCAAATATTAGGTGAAAAGAAAAAGGTTATTTTTACTTAAGAAAAGTAGCCTTCAAAGATAGATGTGTTTACTTTTTAGATGCAAATATGCTACTCTTTGAAACATCAAAAGTTAGAATTTCTGAAACTAAAGTGTGAGAAGGAGAACCGCAGTCTCCTTGATTCACATGCCTTCCTGCTTTCATGCAGAGCCTCAGCATTTCTCACTGTAAGCATTTCAGGAAAGGGCTTTGGATAGACAAATGTGACTATAAAACGAGAGACTTCATACCGTTTCTGGGTTAATGAGATAAAAACATTTTTTTTCCCCCTTCACCATCAAGCACCTAAGCCAAAGGTTCATTGTCCTCAAGGAGTAGCCAGTTTGGGTTTACACTTTCCCATTTACTGTGACTGAACAAATACAATGAAAGACCCCAGTGTGCACTGATTTTACACATGAAAACATAGAATCTAATCACCCTAGATGATCAATCAACACAACTCTTTCTCATCATCTAACAACACACATAGTTTCAGGTTGTAACATGCATCCCAACAGGTAACCACATTCCCAAATGCCCAAAGGCATTTTTCCTTCTGAACATGCATTGCATCTACAGGATGCTGAAGAGAATACACGGGAGATGTGATAGAATCTCTGCCCTCACAGAACATGCCCTTAGGACACTGATTTTCCAGCTCCAAATCACAGCAGATCTTCCCCATTTTCTTTTCAATATCTCCATGTCAATCTCCTAAATATTAATACTTTGTCAGGCAGCCACACAGTGACTCTCTTCTATGTTCATCCAGGTAGCCTAAGTTGAACGACTGTAAAGTTATTTTTTAACCTAACGTGAAAACCCCTAAACATTTAATTAGAATGGGCAAATCAGGTTAAGTGCTTAAAAACAGTCTGGTCTGGTCACAGCCCTTCAGCCATCTCTCTATCCAGAACTGACTGGACATTCCCTGCTGGCCAACATGGTAGGGATTCCGATGCAGATCAGGCACAAAAGTGTAACACTACGAAAATGATCAAATATTGTGACTCACTAGATGGTGTAAAATCATATTACCATGAATCATAAGATCACTTGTAGTGGAGCTATTGAGGTATATCTGCAATATCAGTGCATATGCATTATCAATATGTATGCTACTATTTAAGTTTTCTTTGTTTAGAAAGGACTCCAGAGAAGTGATAAAAGTTCCTAGGTCTGGAGTGGGTGGCCCGGGTTCTAGTTCTTCTCACTTACCTGGTGGGTTACATGAGCTAGGTCACCTTCAGCCTTGGTCTCCATAATTTAAAACGGGTTGGTAAAATGTGGCACATATACACCATGGAATACTATGCAGCCATAAAAAATGATGAGTTCATGTCCTTTGTAGGGACATGGATGAAATTGGAAATCATCATTCTCAGTAAACTATCGCAAGAACAAAAAACCAAACACCGCATATTCTCACTCATAGGTGGGAATTGAACAATGAGATCACATGGTCACAGGAAGGGGAATATCACACTCTGGGGACTGTGGTGGGGTGGGGGGAGGGGGGAGGGATAGCACTGGGAGATATACCGAATGCTAGATGACGAGTTAGTGGGTGCAGCGCACCAGCATGGCACATGTATACATATGTAACTAACCTGCACAATGTGCACATGTACCCTAAAACTTAAAGTATAATAAAAAAAAATAAAAATAAAAAAATAAAAAAAATAAATAAAAATAAAATAAACGGGTTGGTAGCAGCTACCACCCCCCGGGGCTGTGGTGAGGATTAAAAAAGAGAGAATGTGTTTGTAGTCAGGAGCCATCCATGTTCCACTTACCATCAGTGAGAAGTTCTCACTGCCAGCTCCAAAATCCCGTTCTAGAATCTGCTTCTAATATGCTTGGGCCACACCTGGCATAGATTGGGTTCCTGAGAAACAGACTCTGACGCAGAGGCTGATGTACAGGAGGCTTCCTCAGGCGTGTGCTCGGGATCAGCCCCCGTGTCCTAGGAGGGAAGCAGAACCAAGCAGGGGAGTTGGCCCACAAAGAAGCAGCTGCAGCAGCAGCAGGGTCCAGCCACTCCCCCAGGGTGTCCTGGGGCCGCTCTGCCCTTCAGAGGTGCCCCACTGAGGCAAGGTGCTCAGACCTGTCTATGCTTCTGTGGATCAGTCGTTGCCTGAGGGCTGCCTGAGGACTGAGGGGCTGTGAACTTGGATTAGACAAAGCCTTGAGCTGAGGGAAATTCCTGGTGAGCGGTGGCACTGAGAGCCGCCAGCCGCCAACACTCCCAGCAGTCTGGATATGAGTGACTTTCTCTGAGGGGACATCTGGGTGTCACCCCTAGAGTGGTCATTCTACTCAACTCCTAAAAGGGATGGCTTTTCAGAATATTTTACAAAGTAACTGTACGTCGTATTCAAAAGACTTACCTAACAAAGTGTTTTGGAGAGGCTAAAAACGAAGGGATACGCAATGGAATACCAGGCACATGCAAACTAGAGGGGCGGGGTGGGGTGGAATCCAGGCTACCTCTGCTTTCCCAAGGCAGGGGGGGTCACCTCATTACTGCTGGGTTGGGGTGAAAGTCCTGGCTCTCCACTGGGCCTCCTCTAACCAGGATAGAATAAAAGGGTGCCTCATCTCTTCCAAGTAGGGGTAAAAATGGAAGTCTAGCCTCACTACCTGCTCTGCACCTGACATGAGGGCTGGAGGTGAGGGTCTCATTACTACCTGGAGGTGATGAGCATCCCAGTGCCCGCTTTGCCTTCTCTGACATCACTCAGGATGAGGGAGGGGAAGAGAAGGAGTGCTGGGGGAGGTCAGAAGTCTAGGCTCTCCACTCAACATTTGCTGGCTGGGATGAAGGTGGGGCCACAGTGTTTCCCATGGCAGTTAGCTAGAGTCGGACAGTTTTCATCTAAGTGTTTTCTGTCTTGCTAAGTTGCTCCTTTGCTGGTCCTTTGGCTAGAGAGAGCAGGCTTTTCTTGGTTCTTTTTGGTCTGTACCATTGGTGTTTCCTGATTGCAGGCTTTTCCCTGTGAAGTGCATTTTGATCCATGAGGTGTGGAAAACTGAACGGTGGCCATGGCTTTCAAACTTCAGCCTTTCTGAGAATCACCTGGAATGCTTTTGGAGAAGGTTGCTTCCTGGATCCCATCCTTTGAACCACACACCAAGAGGAACTGATCTGGAAGTTCGTTTGGACCCTTGTTTATTAAAATGTTAGTTCTTTCATTGTCAACACGTTTCATATTAGGGATTTATTAAAAGTCATAAAATGCTAGGTTTTGGTAGCTGTTATCTTCTACTTCCTCAACATGCTATGGGCTATGAATATATACAGTTAATAGGGAGATGACTTTGAAAGTAGAAACTCTAGCAGCCTACAATTACTTGGAAAAGCTCCTTTATTCATTTGAAGCACTTGCATGAAATACACATCAGATACTAAAATCATTGTTTCATGTGACTAAAGTTGGAGCTACTCAGGGACAAATAATTGACTCTGATTTAAAGATAGTATTTTCACCAAACTGGCCAGTAATCACATTTCATCAATTTCTGTGTATAAGCAGGGAACTTCATTAAAATAAATACCAGTATATTTTACCAAGACAGTTGTTGATGAAGGGAAAATTTGTAATGAAACAGATGTTCAGCTCACAGGCTACACACCTCCTTGGGTCATTTATCAGATTTTTAACCTTGAGGACCTCAGGGTTAGCTCCTAGGCTCTACCCAAAACTGCCCTCCTCCATGGGGGACTTGAAAATACTGTAGTCCCATCCTGTGCAGGTCATTTGTTGACAAAGAGGGGAACTAGTCCTTGGAGATGGGGACCTATCTTTTAAATATTGCTACTGAATATTTCTTGACAAGCAAAAATAAAAATCTGACTATGTTCAAGTCTGTTTTTTTAAAGACACCTTCAAGGATAGTGAGTCTAGCACAGGTCTCTTCCTGTTAAGGTAGAAAGTGAGATGAGAGTGGATGCTGCTCTCCTTCTCTGGGAGGATGCAGGAATAAGCTAAGCTTTCCTTGTTTGCTTTTCAGGTTTTATGTGTACTTTTCAAGTTTCCCAAATGCTTTGAGGATTTGGGAAACAGACTGAGAACATGGCCACACAAACACCTGGTAGTGAAGTAGGAGGCGGGTTTCAACTCTAGAGGAAGAGCTCAGGCACCGGACCAAATTGAGGACTAACTAAAACAGGGCTGGGGTGGAAGCAGCTTTCAATCAGACATGCCCACCAGTGTGCCATGTCAATTTACTGTTGCCACGGCAGCACCTGGGAGTTACTGCCCCTTTCCATGTCAATGACCCACTAACTCAAAAGTTACTACCCCTTGCCTAGAAATTTCTGCATAAACCAACCCTTAATCTGCATGCAATTAAAAGTAAGTATTAATATTAATATGACTGCAAAACTGCCCTGAGCTGCTACTTTTTGCCTACAGGGTAGCCCTGCTCTGCAGGAGCAGTCATAGAGCTGTAACACCGCTGGAGCTGTAACATTGCCTCTTTGATAAAGCTATTTTCTTCTACCTCCAGCTTGCTCTTGAATTCTTTCGTGGGCAAAGCCAAGAATCCTCGCAGGCTAAGCTCCACTTTGGGGCTCGCCTGCCCTGCATCAGCAGCTCAGACAGCAGATACATGGTTCCTGTGATTGCATTTCAGCCTTTCATTTGCAAGCTATAACCCAAACCCAACAAAGCCTAGGTCCAATTTATTCCCATCAAAACAAAATGATCAAAGCTTGTTGTGATGAGTGAATGACATGCTTGATTCAAGCAACCAGTTAGAGTTTTAAAAAATGAGTAGAGTTTAAAAAAATGAGTGGAGTTAAAAAAAATGAGTGACAGACACTTATTTTATTTTACCTAAGACTCTTGGCAAGAGTTGAAAATAAATCCTCGTACCGTCAGAGGATAAAAACAGAGATCCACTTAATAGCATCTGATGATTAAACAGTCAACTTAAAAAGACAATCTTTAAATTGACAATGCGGTATAGAGAGATAACCCTGCTCTTTGTAACATTTTGTACACTTTAAGACAAGAATTAGAAAATGTAGCATTTGTGGCAGCAAAGAGAGTAATTGCCTTAGAAGTTTAGTAATCAGAGAAGATTTGTTTAGTAACAAACCTCAGAGAAGCAATCCCCTCTGGCTGTTTCTTTGACCTGTCTCTATGCGGATAGCGTCTGATTGGTCAAACATTACTGAAGAGAAATAGACTTTGCTTTCTACAGATTTACATGAAAATTGCAGAAATCACTCAAGAGTCCTCCTCTGAGCAGTGACTTTGTGGATCTCCAGTGGCCCCACCATTTGGAAATGCTCAGTCTGCTTTTCCTTGGCCTCCATGGGGCCTGCACCTCTCCTACTCTGTCCTGTACAGCCCCAGGAGCAGAGAGAGGCATAATCCCCCACCTTGCACACTGCAACCTTACACTGCAGATATACCACATCATAGCTGTCAAGAAAGCTGAAGACATTGAACTTGAACTGAGCCATGTTCTTCTGGCGGGGATGGAGGTTGATGTAGGTATTGTCTTTGATGCACCTGATGGGGAGAAAAACCCCAGGACAAAAAGATTAACTTAAAGCACGATATGAGTTTACTGCAACCCAGATAATCAGGCATGGACCCAGATCTCTGATTTGCAAATAGAGTTCTTCCCACTACCCACTCTTTCTTTCATAAAGAAACTTTTTAACACTGCTATGAGTGGAAAAACCACTATTCCTGGACATAAATAGAAAGGAACTAGAAAATAAACACAATAAAACCAAAAAAAAAGTAATTAAATTCTAGGTAGAACTCTTGTCTTCAAAAGGCCTACTCTGTTTTGTCCAAAGAGAGATGAAAAGTGTTGGTGGTTTTATTTGAAGGCAAACTTGGATTATTTAAAAATGTACATCAGTAAACCCTAGGGAAACCACCAAAAAAAAAAAATTAAGAAGTGATGCATTCAGAGGAGAAAAAATGAGTCACATAAAATGCTCAATTAAAACTGGAGAAGGCAGCAAAAAGAGTGTGAGGAGACAAACAAGGAACAAATGCAACTAATAGAAAACAGTTACTGAGATGGTAGATTTTAATCCAATGATATCAAGAATCACTTTAAATATAAATGGTCTAAATATAGCAATTTAGAAGCAGAGTAGATTAAAAAACAAGTCCCAACTATTTATTGTCTACAAGGAACCCACTTTAAATATAAAGACACAGGTAAGTTAAAAGTAAAGAGATGAAGAAAGATATACCGTGCAAATACTAATCAAAAGAAAGGTGGAGTAGCTACATCAATTTCAGAAGAAAATAAACTTCAGAGCCAGGGTAATTATCAGGAAGCAAGAGGGGTATTATATGAAAACAAAGTGATCAGTCCTCCAAGAAGACACAATAATTTTTCTTATGTAAGCACGTAACACAGTTTTAGATAGAACTGCAAAGAAAATCAACAAATCCACTATAATAGCCAGATACTTCAAAACTCCTCCAACAGTAGTTGACAGATCCAGCATGAAGAAAATCAGTGAGGATATAGATGACCTAAACAGCACTCCCAATCCACTAGATCAAATTGACATTTATAGAGCCCTCCATCCAGCAACAGCAGAACACACATTCTTCTCGAGCCCACATGGAATATTCATCAGGACAGACCACATTCTGGGCCATAAAAGACACCTTAACAAATTTAAAAGAACAAAAATCACACAAAATACATTATCAGAATCGTGGAATTAAACTCAAAATTGAATAAGAACAATTCCTGGAAAATTCCCAAATGTTTGGAAATTAAACAAAACATTTCTAAATAACCCATGGGTCAAATAAATCTCAAAAGAGAAATTAAAAAATATTTTGAGCTAAGTGATAATGAATATACAAGTTATCAAAAATTTGTGGAATGCAGCTAAAGCAGTGCTTAGAGGGAAATTTATAAAACACATATTTTAGAAAAGAAGAAATATCTAAAATCTATAGTCTAAGCTTTGAAAACTAGAGGAAGAAGCACAAATTAAGGCTGAAGAAAGCAGAAGAAAAAAATGTCCGTTGTTAAATTCTGGCACCAAACAGAGCCTCTTGCCTGATATATTTATAAGTGGGGTTGAAAGGGAAGAGCTTTCTCACTCTGTGGCTCAATGCAGTTTAGTGCCACCTCTGTGCACCTCTCACACCATGGCTCACACTGCCTGTGGAAGATGCTGTGTCCTGTCCGTCCCCTGGCTTTTGGAAACAGGTACCACAGTGCTCTCCATGGACTTTAGGGTGCCGTGGTCCTCACCACTCTAAAACTGCCATTGAGTAGTAAGTGATGGATTTTTGTTGTTTTCAAACTTGTTGCGAACTGCCCATCTATAAGCACTTTGCCTCTGTTAGGGGACAAGAGAGCTATAAACGCAAACAACTGGCCGAAGTTCTAACTTGGCAAATCTTTTGGTTAACCAAAGGAGCCAGAATAAGTCTCACAAGTATAACTAAGATCTTAGCTTGGGATAACCTATTAGTTCATCAGTGTAGGCCAATGCCCCGAGGGCCTGCACTATGAATGGGGAGTCCAGTGAAGTCATACGGCTGGAAGGGGCTGGAAGGAAAGGAGGCATGGACATGAAAGGGTGAAGTGAGGCAGCAGAGCCCAGGGCAGCAAGAGCCCTCCCTAGGACTGTGGGGAGTTAAGGGAAGGTGTCTATAACTGCCTGCCTATAACTATTTGTCCCCACTTGTGATCAGATGATGTTGAGGGCCCCCACTGTGCCTGAGACACAGTGAGGAGTCTGCACAAAGTTCTGATGTAGGAATACCACTTGAGAAGCCACAGGTTCCCTAAAGGCACAGCAGGTGAATATAACAGTCCACCCCAGAGGGCCTTCCATCTTCCTTACCCCTGCCGGATCAAATCATACTTGATGGCTGTAAAATCATGGGGATCAGGAGAAGCCACACAGGTATCCACGAAGAGCATCAGGTTGGGATTGGGGCTGTGGAGGGTGGCTTGGAGGAAGACCTCTTTCCTCTGGCTGTCATAGTAGGGCACCATGCCTCCCACATGCTGGGACTCAGGGGACTGGAGGAAGGATATAGACACGGTGTAGCCAGCACCCTCTGTTGGGGCGTCATCCCCATGAATGATTTCAACTGTGGATGGGCCGTCCGCCCTACAGGTGAACTTCAGCTTGGGCACCTTGTGCCGCACAATGACTCGGCCAGGGTGGCCCCGTTTCCGGCCTCTGATGGAGTTAGAGTAGCTGAGGGAGCCAAGGTGCTCCTGTGAGGATGAGAGAAGAGTTGTGGGCAGCACTCTTGGCTCCCTGACAAGCACCTGCCTCCATGAGCTGAGACCTCTCCTTCCCACCCCACTTGGCACCAGCTTGCTGACCTGCAGGAGGGAAGACCTCCCGGGGCCAGACCTCTGTGATACTTAACACCACAAAGGGGTGACATGACATGTGGGGTGCACGCAGGGAGCCCCCAGTGGGCAAGTCTGGACTGTCCCTGCCATCCTGTGAGGATTAAGCTGTTGTGCTAGCTGTGAGCTGGGGTGGCAGGTCCAGCTGCTCTGAGCTCCCCTTCTGCTGAATTCCCCCACAAGCTCGATTCCTGCAGGCTCCCAAAGGCCAACCCCACCATCCCCAGAGCTCTTGTCCTCTCTTTGGTCTCTTCCTTGCCCTTGACTCCAGACCAGTACTGGCTCCATGTGAGCTGTGGGCCTGGCCCTGCTGAACTTCACTCCCAGCCTTCAAATCCAACAGGACTTGCAGGAGGTAAGGTTGTGCTGGGGCCAACAGGCAGGGGTCCCTGCCTCTCATGCCCTGTGTAGATGCCTAGAGGCTTAGCCTGCCCGGGAACATTTGTTCAAAGAAGCCTCAGCTTGTGGGACTCAGATCCTGTGACATTCTGCTTGGAAACTCCAAGAACTGCCCTGTCAGCTTAGACCAATGTTTGTCAACTTTCTTCCACCATGGTCCCACTAAGGAGCCTTTGTAGACATCTTACTCATCCTGGCCTCTCTCAAACCCTGACTATGAGTTGTAATACAAGTATAGTGTTTATATACCAGATGTGTATCTGTGCTTGAGCTAGAAAGAAAGATATTATAATTTTTGCCTCTAAGAACCAATATCTATCTTCCCTGCTGCCCATAAGGGTGACATTACCCTCCTTGAGAATCTCTGACTTAGAATAAAAGTCAAACTCCTCACCCACATGGTCCTGCCCTTCTTCCACTCTGATCTTGGGCTTCCTGGCCTCCAGTCTCTTCTTGAAAGCCCCAAGGCTGCGGCTGCCTCAGGACCTCAGCCCTGGCTGATCCCCACATCCTCTGCCTGGCTGCCCCACCCCAGGGCAGGCTCAGCTTCCCAGCCACCAGCCTATTCAACACGGCTTCCCTTCCACCCCAAATGACTCTTCTACCCCTCCCTTGTTTTACTGTCTTCGTAACCTCTTTTGGTATAAAAAGGACCCTGGTTTGGGTGTTTGGTCTGATCCTGTCCCCCTTTTCGTGAATGTAAGGGCCATGGACCAGGGGCTCTGTCAGTCTTGCGGCTGCTGTGTCCCCAGCACCTAGAAGGTGACCCATCCACTGACTCTGAAAGCAGACATGGACCTCTGTGCAGCAGTGTTTTCCTTATCAGTGCTCTCTGATCCTGCTGACTGCTACCCCAGCACCCTGGTCAGCTCATGGGGTTTTCAGGGGAAGCTGAGCCAGCCAGGCGAAAGAGAACATTTGCAGGGTCTTCCCTGATGGCCCAGAGGCTTCCCTGAGGGTGCCCACTTCCCAGACACAGGGGGCATGGATCCTGGGGCAGAAACTTCTGAGGTTAAAAAGTAGAATTGTCAAAGCAAAAAGGATAGGAATGACTACGATCTGTACAATGAAATAGATAAAATGTGAATGACTTCAACCTCTAACAATGCCAAGGGTTTCCTGGCCTCATGTTTGTGTCTAATCAGGGGATGTACAAGAATGGAGAAGCAGTATGGGGATCTTGCTTGGGAACAGGTTATCCTGTTTAAATACTGAGAAAAAAATATTCTGTGGTTATACACTCTCCCTATATCTCTCGTGTACTTGTTTCCTTAATTTCAATACCATTGTTTTGTGAAATAAACCAGTAGTCAAGGAAAACTAAATAAACATATATATGTCATGATTTATAAATGTCCTAAAGGTTTGCTTTCTTGATCATGGAATGCAGTTACCTGCTTAGAAACCTAGCAGTCAGATGGGCAAGTGGACAATCTGTCTTCCCTCATGCCTGTCACCATAGCTTGCACATGGTAGGTGTACACCAATGCTCAATCAAGAGGCATGTGTGGAAAATACATTGCCTCTGGAGTGAAAAGAATATACCATCCATCCATCCATCCATCCATCCACACATCCATCAGCCCATCAGCACTCAATACTTGTTATTGTGTATCCCAAATTCCCCAAAGGAAGGAAAGTTTCAGACAAACTAATGAGCTGCTCTCTGTCTTACCAAACTCAGAAATGAAGTTATGGTTTGCACTTTTCCTCTGTCCTTACACAGATTTTTAATAGGTGGTTGAATTTCCCAAATTTTTCACCTGGGCCTCATCTGCAGAAGGGTAGCACCACCTGGGAAGTGTCCTACCTGCTGGATAGTGCCACAGTGGCCATAGGGAATGTTGAAGATCAGGCAGCGTCCCATGACTTTGGGGCGACATAGCTCATCATTTAAGTGGATGTCCCAGGAGGAGTAGCCCAGCCTCCGGAGATAGCCTCGGTCAATGACGGCTTGGAAGAGGTGAGGCAAGCAGGATAGCTGGGCTGCAGGAGGGGAAGATGAAGAAATCCTCACAAAGAGAAACTGGTTCACTGGTCATGTAGGTCCTGGGTGCGTGTATATCTTTACTTCATTAAACTACCATGAACAATGCCCTGAGCTGGAGCTGGCTCAGCTCTCCTCATATCCCACCCTTGACTTGACTTTCATTAATTTTACTTATACCAACCCTTTTCCAAGAAGGCTTTGAGGTCACCCCACACCCATGGGGAATCCTACCCATAGCCCACATTCCATGCATGGCTCATTTCTCATGTTGAGAACTGTGCACCTGAACACGATCTATCTGGGTCTTTGTATGGAGGTAAGTTGAAGAAAGGGAGCCTGGGTGCAAAGGGGCTTTTTCCCAACCTCCTAAAACCCAGCGAGTGGGTGGAAATCCAGAGATCTCAGTGTAAACACAGAAGCGGGTCCCCATCACAGCCTGTTCTTTCTCCCCTGCTTGGCTGTTCTCTCAGCTCCCCCATCAGCATCCTTAGCCTCAGACGCTAGAGGGAAGACTTTACCATTGTCCTTAGGTACAAGAGAGTCAGCCAGACCTGGTGAGAGAAGGATGAAAACAAATGTCAACTGTGTTGGAACACTGCAAGAGGATAATGTAGCTGGTAGTAGACATGAAGTGTAGGGGAATGGGCTCATTTGATTTCGCTACTAAAGCTGGGGTACAGTGGCATGAGAATTTTCCAGAGCATGCAAAGGAAAGGAGGGCCCAGGGCCTCCTGAGGGAGCTGGAGCCTGGCATGTGTGAACTAGAGTTGAGAATACATATATCATCAATTCCAAGATTTATTGGAGCAAGAGAATAGTAGACACATGGCTTCTAAGGTTATAATGCTATCCTGTGTATGAACACTGATTGGTGTCCTTTCCCAAGCACGTGACACGCTTGGAGCCTCAAGCTGGGAAAGATGTAATTTGCAGATATCAAAGTCTTCTCCAGCTCAGAAGCAAGGCAGGACAGTACCCCAGAGCCAACACCCAGCCCAGGAAGCATGGCCAGCTAAGTTCACTTAACCCCTCAGTGAATGTCCAAAGGATCCACTTGGTATATAATCCAAGAATGGAAAATGGATCGTCATTTAGAATCGGTCCCCTGACAGCATCAGGAATAGCTGGAACCAGGAACTGACATAATCAAAACAAGGATCTGGAAGGTGAGGGCCCCATGACCCTAGCACACATTCATACTCCTTGGCTGGGTGTGATTCATGTCTGTCTTCAGGGGCCTCTGACAGCTTTTCTAGTTGGGTCCCATGTCTATGCAAAACAAGGCACCATCTACAAAGGCAAAAGCAATGGCAACAATTCCTTTGATTTACCCATAAAAAACTAAGAATGGAATAGACAAGTTGAGCTCAGACTTGTGTTTCAAATCTTAGAATTCCATAACTCCTTGACGTTTAGGGTAAGTTTAGGGCACATATAAAGAAGCACTGCTCCATACAGAAGGTAGTCAACCTCTTGAAGTCAGAATGCCCAGACAGATATTGGGTGACAAAATACATTCCAGGAAAGGTATAGGCCAAATCTTGGATGAAAGGGACATCAGAGGAGCCAGGGACACCCTGGGGTGTCTTTCTGACTTCTGAGGGTTAGGGCCAGGTGAGGAGGAGTGTCTAACCAGGACTATGCTCTTGAAGCCCTCCTCCGAGATGGAAAGAGGGACTGGACAAATCGTAGACAAACAGCAGCAAGTTCGACGGCCTTAGTCATTTTGTTACACCGCCACTCCTTCCTTTGACCCCATCATCGTTTAACTGTATTTCAGAACCAATACTGAGCTGAAGTGGAGTTGGACAAAAGTGACGAGTGCGCCCCCAAGCCTGGATGATTAAAACGTTTACCAGCAAGTGTACCTAACCAACATGCCCTCGGTACCATAGGATCTGGGACCCTGGCCGCACCTGATATCCCCAGGATGGTGAATTTGGACCCCAGGAATGTGAGGAGAGGAAAGGCAGGGTGGGCAGAGGACGCGATACCTGCGCACACCACGCCCGCGTCCTCGCGGTGCTGGCAGTTGTGCCGGGCCCAGCCCGAGTGGGTGCAGCGCTCCAGCGCGTTCTCGTGGCCGGTGCAGCGCACGTCGTCCAGCAGGATGGGCCCGGTGCCCTGGCCAAAGCGGCCGCGGCCCGGGGCGCCCAGAGCACGGCCGCAACCCAGGAGGCGGCACACCACACGGGCGTTCCTGATGTTCCAGTGGTCGTCGCACACCGTGCCCCACACGCCCTGGTGCCGCAGCTCTACCCGGCCCTCACAGCGGCTCCGCCCGCCCGCCAGGCGCAGGGGCGGCTCTGCATGGTGAGAGAAGCGGTCAGGTGGGAAGAAACTCGAGGTCAGGTTTCCATCCTGGACAGGATCGCAGGGTGCCACTTGCTATTTGCAATACGAACTGTTTCTGGTTTTGTTGTTCTCCAACACACACACACACACACACACACACACACACACACACACACACACACACACTTTCTCTCATACAGTAAAGCCTTAATTATCTGAAGCCCTCAAGGAATGGTCCTTGTGGGCAAGCCTAGTTTTCCAGGTACCTAAGAACTTAGTCTTCAAGCAAAAATATAAAAACCCAAAGAAAACAAAGCAAACAGGCAAAACAAAAAACCAAAACACTTCCAAATATTTAGGAGACAGTTGTTCTAAAATGAGGCACTGCCTTGACTCATCAAACATGTATCCAGTGAAATTACTTTTACTCTTGATGGTGAAGAGCTCATACGTTCGCTCTAAAAACCATATTGTACAACCCAGCTCTTCCATTTGGTATTTACTCAAGATGAACGAATGTGCATGTCCACAGAAAGATTTGGACACAGCAGAAGCCTCCACAACAGCCCAAATCCAGAAACCATCCAGGTGCCCATCTGCAGGAGAAGGGGTAAATCATAGTATAGGCACACAGTGGAATAACACTGCGCAGTAAAAAAAAGTCACAAATGACCAATACATTTGTTCCTTTATGGATCTGAAAAACATTTGAAGTGAAAGGAGTTAGAAACACGACAGCACATGTTATTTGATTCCATTTATATGACATTCTAGAAAAACAAACCTATTCTATAGTGACAGAAGGCAGATCAGTGTTTGCCTGGAGAAGGTGGGAGAGATTTACTGAGAAAGGGCATGAGGGAACTTCCTGGGATGATGGAAATGCTCTCTATCCTGATGGTGGTGGTCGCTACACAGTTGTGTATGTTAGACAAAACTCATGGATGCATGCAGTTTATTGTATAGAAATTATACTTCAAAAAGGTTGATTTGAAAAATAAAAAGAATAAAAAATAAAATCTATATTCTGTTGGTGGTATCATGCCCACAGACATGTGTAGAATGATTTGCCTTTATATCAGCCTGTGGTGACTGCATCTTTCAATTTTCTGCTCTGTTTGACACATAGAAGATGCTTAGTGAATGTTAAACACCACAGGCTTCTGTTTCTCTGTGACTGTAGTATGCTGGTCTAGGCTGGTCACTCTCCTCATCATATTTATTGCTGTAATATTGGAAGCAAGATAACCATGCTTGTTTGAACTATGAATAAGGGTAAATATCTTCTGGGTAAGGTTTTGGAAAGTGAATTTTGGGATTTCAACCCACAAAGTGCATGTGTATCCACACACACACCTGTGTCTGCACATACACACCTACAAGCTCATAAAATTTTCCTGTAAAGAGTAAGGAAGTTAAATGAAAAATAAATATGATCCTAACAGTATTAATAGAGTTATGATCATTTTAGTGTTTAGAGACAAAAATTACCAAGTACAGGGACCATCTTTTCATCAACTGAAATTTTAACTGTAAATAAGAAAAAAAATAAACTTCAAAAATATGTGTTCATATTTATATTCAAACCTGAAAAAGAACCAAACATTTTCTGTAATTTCAGATAGCAATACATTGTTTAAGTTCCTACTTTAGTTTGGGTGCAGAAATATTATCCATTAAGTTTTACTTTTTTTGCCATCAAAATGTATTAAATGGCTAGGTGCCTGCGCTCACACCTGTAATCCCAGCACTTTGGGAGGCTGAGGTGGGAGAATCACTTGCATCCGGGAGCTCAAGACCAGCCTGGGCGATATGGCGAGATCCAGTATGTATTAAAAAAATGTAAAAAAATAGCTACAGGGTGGTGCACACCTGTGTTCCTAGCTACTCGGGAGGCTGAGGTGGGAGGATCACTTGAGCACAAGAGGTCAAGGCTGCAGTGATTGCACCACCGCACTCCAGCCTTGGCAACAGAGCAAGACCCTATCCCAAAATAAATAAATAAATAAATAAATAAATAAATAAATAAATAAATAAATGTAATAAGCAGTGCTGTATCCTGTTTATTCTCCAGATATAAAATAATGTATTCAATGGTCAGAAAAAAGCTTTATAAATATATTGAATTTTGAAAGGAAGAATTAAAAAAACATATTTTGTAGAAAACATTTTTATAGGGGCTGAAAATGAAGCCAAGAAAATCAAGTTAGTTTCCTCTGAAATATTTTTAGATAAGAAAAAGGTCATATCTGAGAGATGTAATTCCATAGTAACATATACAGAGGAAAGCCTGGTAGAAAAATTAGCAATGGATTTTATGAAAGAATATAGTAGTGCAAATAATAAAATGAAGCATTAATCTAGCAACAGACATAAGATCGTTACAGAGTGATGGTGTCACTTTGGTCGAAATTAGATCTGTGGCTTCAAAAAAAATATTCTCTTGAAAAGAAAGCATTAAAATTTGGCTTCATTGAAATTTTACACTGTAGACTATAAATGTATGAAAACGAGCCTATTTCATCTGTGATATGCAGTAGAAATCCACCGCGTGCACTGATCTTGTGGATTTACACATTCAGGCATAAACTGGAGTACGAGAGGCTGGCATTTTGTGAGGGAGACTGACAATTCTTATTTTGAACATCTACAATGTGTCAGATAATTTGCATCTCTGGTCCTCATGACAATTATTTTAGAGATGAGGAAATGGAGACTCAGGGGTTTTATAGCATGCTCAGGTTATCCACAATTCAAGCCCATGAGGCTCCAAAGCATGTATTCTAAGCACTTTGCCTTTCAGGAGTATAACATGTGGGAGTCGCATTCACCCGGGCTCCATGTGGTTAATCAGGGATGAAGGGGAAGGAAGGTAAGGGTTTAATGGCCACCACACCTTTTCTCCCACTCCAAGGTGGCCCTTCCCGAGCAAACAGGAAGTGATTTCGCTGTCATGCCTTCACAAAGGAAGTAAAACCCTCTGAGTGTCACCTAATCTGTGACCAAAGCAACCCAATTACCGTCAACCAGATCCACAGAGAAAAGGTTGCCTCATGTGATGTCAAGAGCCAGTGAGAATTACAAGCAAAGGAATCTTCTGGCAAAAGTGGAGTCATGGTGTGGGTGAGAAGGAAGGAAGTGAGGAAATGAGGGATGGAGGTAGGAGGAAAGCGAAGGAGGGAGGGAGAAAGAAAGGAAGGAAAAGGAAGGAAGGAAGGAGGGAAGGAAGGAAGGAAGGAAGGAGGGAGGGAGGGAGGGAGGGCAGGCAGGCAGGCAAGAAGGCAGGCCGGCCATACTTAAACATAGGTGAAAAGAAAGTGCTGAACTTTGGTTTCATTGAATTTTACCCCCATATGTCTTCAAAGTACCCAGGACTTGGGGGAAAAAAGAAAATAAATAAAAGAGAAGAAAGCAGCAGAGCCTTGTTACTGAAGACGTCAATGTCATAGGGATTTGGGAGAATCACACAGATGGATTCATCAGCAGAGCATGAGAGCAGAAAGGACTTTGGATAGGAGTCAGGACACCTGGCTCTGCCTTGCCCTAGCTCTGTGACTTTAGGCAAATCTTTTCCTTCTTTGGGCCTCATTTTCCTCCAAAATGAGGGTGGTGGTTCAACACCTTACTCCCCCAACCGGGTCCATGACCGGCAGCAGCGGCATCACCTGGGAGCCTCTTAGAAAAGCTCCACCCAGAGCCACTGAATTTGCATTTCACAAGTTCCACATGAGGCTCACACACATATAAGCATTTGGGAATCCCTACTCTAGACTTGAGATTTTAAGCTATTTTATCCTATTTATCCTGTCCCCAGCATCCACCTTCACTGCGTGCAGTTTCATGACTAGTGATAGGGGAGTGGCCTGGAATCCTCTGGGGAGTTGAGTGGCCTCCCCTGACTTCTCCTCTCTTCTCCCCTGACCTCACCTGGAGAAACAGAAGTGTTTATTCTGGGTGTGTAAACTCTTGCTGGGCTGAGCATTCTGAGAAAGCCACTCATGAGGGCTGTTGCAAGGAGCAGAGAGCATACCTGGTGAAGAAGGGGCTTCAGCTGCAGTGGGAGTCGTATCTGCAAATGCAGAGGAATGTTTTGGTTTGACCAACTACATGGTGGAAAACAGAAGGGCAGATGGATAGAACTAACACTATCACAACCCAGTTTTTTCATGTTTGTGTTCAGGTGTGCTTGCTGGGTCAAAGCATCACCTGAAACATGACACATATGGCCAAGCAGGAGAGGTGCAGACCCCCAGCCCTGGCCTCCATGAGCACATCTGATCAAGACCAGTGCATGATACACACAGGCCAAGCAGGAGAGATGGGGACCCCCGGCCCTGGCCTCCCATGGGCACATCTGATCAAGACCAGTGCATGACACACAGGCCAAGCAGGAGAGATGTGGACCCCCGGCCCTGGCCTCCCATGGACACATCTGATCAAGACCAGGGCATGACACACACAGGCCAAGCAGGAGAGGTGCGGGCCCCCAGCCCTGGCCTCCCATGGGCACATCTGATCAAGACCAGTGCATGACACACACAGGCCAAGCAGGAGAGGTGCGGGCCCCCAGCCCTGGCCTCCCATGGGCACATCTGATCAAGACCAGTGCATGACACACACAGGCCAAGCAGGAGAGGTGCGGACCCCCAGCCCTGGCCTCCCGTGGGCACATCTGATCAAGACCAGTGCATGACACACACAGGCCAAGCAGGAGAAGTGTGAACCCCTAGCCCTGGCCTCCCATGGGCACATCTGATCAAAACCAGTACAGCAAGCAGAAGGTGTGCCCTGGTGCGGGGGCCACTTTTGTGTCTATGGATGAAGAGAACATGAACCTCAGTTTCTGTGAAAAGGATGCTGGGGTTTCTGTTTACACTGAGGCTCATACCATAGACAGAATAGCCAGTACCTATATATGTTGATTTGCCACAGAGAAAGGGAAAAAGTTGATCATATTGAACTTTGGAAATATGACAGGCAGAAAACATTACCAGAGGGCGTGTCCGCTTCTGCTGAGATTGAAGATGCATCTGTGTATTAACAAAGAGAGCAGGATACAAACATGAGTGGAAGAAGGCCAGCTGTGTCTTTTCATTGAGTTTTACTCTGCAGTAAAAATGATCATAACTGAGGCTTATTTTCTGAATAGAACATGACACATACGAAGCCAGTCTCATTAACTTAAACAGTACCACAAAGGAGACTTTACCAGGTGGAAAGGTCACTTCTGCTGAGGTTGAAGAGATCTCTAGAGATAAAAGGAAGAAGAGACATACACCAGTGGAGGGGACTCCTGGGTTTCTGTTTTTACTGAGGCTATGTTGGGGACAAAATTTTTGAGTTTCATTTTGATAAACAGATCTCCAAGAAGAGGCACTGATGGGATAGCAGACAGAGTGTTCTACCTGGTGTGGAGGTCACGGGAGTGGAGATGGAAGCTGCAGGTGAACACAAAGGACAAGGGAGCAATAAGACCGTCTCGTCAGGCACACATGCCTCTACAAGATGCAGGAGACAGGAAGGTGGTGTCCTGGATCAGTGACTGCCAGGCTTGTCCTCCTGCTCTGCAGCCAGGAGCCGTGGCAAGGCATCTCCAGACCCCCCACTGCCTCCAAGCCAGCCCTCCATTCCTTCTTGTGGGTCTCCATTCCTCTTGCCAACATGTTACTTCTTCCCATGGAGGTAGAGGTGACTGTCTGGGGGGGGCCACAGCCATGGGCCAGGTTTCTCAGTGGCATGGAGTTAATCTAACAAAGATTCTGTGAGTGGGTACTTGCTTTCCCGGCCTTTCTCCTCCTTTCAAATGATTGGTGGCAGTGACCCAGGAAAGGGTCAGCTCTGCAGACTGGAACTTTCCCTAGTGGGCTGTCCTAAGATCTAGCTGAGAGTGGGGAGGGGTGGCAGGTCCATTTGTCTTTTGTACTGTTTCCCGCCAATCCAGCTTTATCAGTAATAAAGGCTTCATTTTGCTGCTGAATCTGATGTTTTATACCTCATTTGCTTCAACACCTAGAGCAGGGAAGACCACCCTCTTATTATCCCCCTTCCCTCACAAAAAAAAAAAAAACCCACAAATCCCTCTACACTCTACTTGTGAAGTTCTCGAACCCAGAGTCACATTAGAAACTCCTCAGATAATTCCAACCAGCATCACTCCAAATCTGTTGTATAAGAGGCAAGTTACTTGCTGTCTTGGTCAACTCTGCATCTCTTACTGCCTTGGCCATCCTCACTGAATGCTGGCAAACGTCAAGGAGGATCAGGGAAAACCATGGCTTGACTTCTTTCCATTCTGGAAACACCACTTGGTGGCTGGTCTCCAGGAGAAGTTCTCTCCACAGACTCAAGTAGGTGATTACCTTAGACCAGTGGTCCCCAACCTTTTTGACACCAGGGATTGTTTTGTGGAAGACAAATTTTCCACAGATGGCGGGGAGGATGGTGGATGGTTTCAAGATCAAACTGTTCTACCTCAGATCATCAGGCATTAGTCAGATTCTCATAAGGTACACTCAACCTAGATCCCTCACACGTGCAGTTCACAACAGGGTTGTGCTCCTGTGAGAATCTAATGCTGCCACTGATCTGGCAGGAGGCAGAGCTCAGGTGGTAATGCTCACTTGCTCATCATTCACCTCTTGCTGTGTGGCCCAGTTCCTAACAGGCTATAGAGCCCTACTGGTCTGTGACCTGGGGGTTGAGGATCCCTGCCTTAGACTACCAGTCAGTGAATGTCTTCATGGATTCAACTTGGCCTAATGGGTTGAACAAATTTTTCCCTTGGCTTATGCATTGAGCTGAGTTGCCCAGAATTCACTGATCATCATCAGGGGATCAGAGATGGCCTTTAAGAGTAAGGTTAATATAAACATATTTTAAAACTCAAAAGATGACTAAAAATGAAAGAATTTGACCAGGACATAAAAAGTTGTTTAATCAATTCACTGGAAAACCAAACAAAAAAAATTATAGCAAGCCAGATGGAACCCAAAATAACACTTAAATTACCTTTTGAGGTGGTTAGAGCAGTATTCAAAGACACTGGAAATGAGAAAAGGTAATTGGTCAAAACCTACCAAATGGCAAACAAATTTTGTTTCATAGTTAATTTGTTTTCTTCTCTGTGTCCCTAGAACACGGAAATCATGGTCTTCATTGATTTAATTAACAAATATTGACTGCCCACTCCTCTGTGCCAGGGACTGTGCCAGGGCTGGAGTAAAACAGCCAACAAAACTACATAGGTTCTTTCTGTCCTCAAAGACAGGACTGTGTCATGGGAAATTCAGATGAGGTCAAGTGATTATACAAATAAATGTAAAATTGCAATTGTAGCAAGTGCTATGAAGGAGAGAGGCACGATGGTACCAGAGCCCATGGCAGGTGATCGAACCTAGCCAGGAAAGTCCTCTCTCTATCTTACCATCCTCCAACCACCACCTCATGCCAGGCAGAGGGTCTGGCCTGGATGAGGCACCCTGCTCAAAGACGATGATAACTTGATACCACACCGCCCCCAAGCCTGCCTAGTCTTGGCCCCAGTGGTGGACAGAGGTGATCCTGGTGTCCCATTTGCATACATTTGTAGTGCAGTGGGCAGAGGGCATTACCAGGTGAAGGAGTTACTTCTTCTGAAGTGGAAATTATGCCTGAATATGAAACATGAGCAGAAATGTTAGTCAATTGATCAGAAAATTTTTATTCATTTTCTGATTATACACAGTTCTGCCTTTACTTTGGTCTCATTTACTAGGAGGCTTTGTTGTCAGAAAAATTCACCTATGATGACTAGTTGTTTTCCACCCTCTCAAATTCCCATCTTCCTGAATTAAAAACATATGCACGTTATAAATTAAATCCTTCCTGAACTGAAACATGCTTTCCTGTTCTTTTAAATAAAAGATGCTTTAGTTCTGCTCTGATTTTAGTTATTTCTTGCCTTCTGCTAGCTTTTGAATGTGTTTGCTCTTGCTTTTCTAGTTCTTTTAATTGTGATGTTAGGGTGTCAATTTTGGATCTTTCCTGCTTTCTCTTGTGGGCATTAAGTGCTGTAAATTTCCCTCTACACACTGCTCTGAATGTGTCCCAGAGATTCTGGTATGTTGTGTCTTTGTTCTCGTTGGTTTCAAAGAACATCTTTATTTCTGCCTTCATTTCATTATGTACCCAGTAGTCATTCAGGAGCAGGTTGTTCAGTTTCCATGTAGTTGAGTGGTTTTGAGTGAGTTTCTTAATCCTGAGTTCTAGTTTGATTGCACTGTGGTCTGAGAGACAGTTTGTTATAATTTCTGTTCTTTTACATTTGCTGAGGAGAGCTTTACTTCCAACTATGTTGTCAATTTTGGAATAGGTGTGGTGTGGTGCTGAAAAAAATGTATATTCTGTTGATTTGGGGTGGAGAGTTCTGCAGATGTCTATTAGATCCGCTTGGTGCAGAGCTGAGTTCAATTCCTGGGTATCCTTGTTAACTTTCTGTCTCGTTGATCTGTCTAATGTTGACAGTGGGGTGTTAAAGCCTCCCATTATTATTGTGTGGGAGTCTAAGTCTCTTTGTAGGTCACTAAGGACTTGCTTTATGAATCTGGGTGCTCCTGTATTGGGTGCATATATATTTAGGATAGTTAGCTCTTCTTGTTGAATTGATCCCTTTACCATTATGCAATGGCCTTCTTTGTCTCTTTTGATCTTTGTTGGTTTAAAGTCTGTTTTATCCGAGACTAGGATTGCAACTCCTGCCTTTTTTTGTTTTCCATTTGCTTGGTAGATCTTCCTCCATCCTTTTATTTTGAGCTTATGTGTGTCTCTGCACGTGAGATGTGTTTCCTGAATACAGCACACTGATGGGTCTTGACTCTTTATCCAATTTGCCAGTCTGTGTCTTTTGATTGGAGCATTTAGTCCATTTACATTTAAAGTTAATATTGTTATGTGTGAATTTGATCCTGTGATTAGAGACACAAAAAACCCTTCAAAAAATTAATGAATCCAGGAGCTGGTTTTTTGAAAGGATCAACAAAATTGATAGACCGCTAGCAAGACTAATAAAGAAGAAAAGAGAGAAGAATCAAATAGACACAATAAAAAATGATAAAGGGGATATCACCACCGATCCCACAGAAATACAAACTACCATCACAGAATACTACAAACACCTCTACGCAAATAAACTAGAAAATCTAGAAGAAATGGATAAATTCCTCGACACATACATCCTCCCAAGACTAAACCAGGAAGAAGTTGAATCTCTGAATAGACCAATAACAGGCTCTGAAATTGTGGCAATAATCAATAGCTTACCAACCAAAAAGAGTCCAGGACCAGATGGATTCACAGCCGAATTCTACCAGAGGTACAAGGAGGAACTGGTACCATTCCTTCTGAAACTATTCCAATCAATAGAAAAAGAGGGAATCCTCCCTAACTCATTTTATGAGGCCAGCATCATTCTGATACCAAAGCCGGGCAGAGACACAACCAAAAAAGAGAATTTTAGACCAATATCCTTGATGAACATTGATGCAAAAATCCTCAATAAAATACTGGCAAACCAAATGCAGCAGCACATCAAAAAGCTTATCCACCATGATCAAGTGGGCTTCATCCCTGGGATTCAAGGCTGGTTCAATATAAGCAAATCAATAAATGTAATCCAGCATATAAATAGAACCAATGACAAAAACCACATGATTATCTCCATAGATGCAGAAAAGGCCTTTGACAAAATTCAACAACCCTTCATGCTAAAAACTCTCAATAAATTACGTATTGATGGGATGTATCTCAAAATAATAAGAACTATTTATGACAAACCCACAGCCAATATCATACTGAATGGGCAAAAACTGGAAGCATTCCCTTTGAAAACTGGCACAAGACAGGGATGCCCTCTCTCACCACTCCTATTCAACATAGTGTTGGAAGTTCTGGCCAGGGCAATCAGGCAGGAGAAGGAAATAAAGGGCATTCAATTAGGAAAAGAGGAAGTCAAATTGTCCCTGTTTGCAGATGACATGATTGTATATCTAGAAAACCCCATTGTCTCAGCCCAAAATCTCCTTAAGCTGATAAACAACTTCAGCAAAGTCTCAGGATACCAAATCAATGTACAAAAATCACAAGCATTCTTATACACCAATAACAGACAAACAGAGAGCCAAATCATGAGTGAACTCCCATTCACAATTGCTTCAAAGAGAATAAAATACCTAGGAATCCACCTTACAAGGGACTTGAAGGACCTATTCAAGGAGAACTACAAACCACTGCTCAAGGAAATAAAAGAGGATACAAACAAATGGAAGAACATTCCATGCTCATGGGTAGGAAGAATCAATATCGTGAAAATGACCATACTGCCCAAGGTAATTTACAGATTCAATGCCATCCCCATCAAGCTACCAATGACTTTCTTCACAGAACTGGAAAAAACTACTTTAAAGTTCATATGGAACCAAAAAAGAGCCCGCATTGCCAAGTCAATCCTAAGCCAAAAGAACAAAGCTGGAGGCATCACACTACCTGACTTCAAACTATACTACAAGGCTACAGTAACCAAAACAGCATGGTACTGGTACCAAAACAGAGATATACATCAATGGAACAGAACAGAGCCCTCAGAAATAATGCCACATATCTACAACTGTCTGATCTTTGACAAACCTGAGAAAAACAAGCAATGGGGAAAGGATTCCCTATTTAATAAATGGTGCTGGGAAAACTGGCTAGCCATATGTAGAAAGCTGAAACTGGATCCCTTCCTTACACCTTATACAAAAATCAATTCAAGATGGATTAAAGATTTAAACGTTAGACCTAAAACCATAAAAACCCTAGAAGAAAACCCAGGCATTACCATTCAGGACATAGGCATGGGCAAGGACTTCATGTCCAAAACACCAAAAGCAATGGCAACAAAAGCCAAAATTGACAAATGGGATCTAATTAAACTAAAGAGCTTCTGCACAGCAAAAGAAACCACCATCAGAGTGAACAGGCAACCTACAAAATGGGAGAAAATTTTTGCAACCTACTCATCTGACAAAGGGCTAATATCCAGAATCTACAATGAACTCAAACAAATTTACAAGAAAAAAACAAACAACCCCATCAAAAAGTGGGTGAAGGACATGAACAGACACTTCTCAAAAGAAGACATTTATGCAGCCAAAAAACACATGAAAAAATGCTCATCATCACTGGCCATCAGAGAAATGCAAATCAAAACCACAATGAGATACCACCTCACACCAGTTAGAATGGCAATCATTAAAAAGTCAGGAAACAACAGGTGCTGGAGAGGATGTGGAGAAATAGGAACACTTTTACACTGTTGGTGGGACTGTAAACTAGTTCAACCATTGTGGAAGTCAGTGTGGCGATTCCTCAGGGATCTAGAACTAGAAATACCATTTGACCCAGCCATCCCATTACTGGGTATATACCCCAATGACCATAAATCATGCTGCTCTAAAGACACATGCACACTTATGTTTATTGCGGCATTATTCACAATAGCAAAGACTTGGAACCAACCCAAATGTCCAACAATGATAGACTGGATTAAGAAAATGTGGCACATATACACCATGGAATACTATGCAGCCATAAAAAAGGATGAGTTCATGTCCTTTGTAGGGACATGGATGAAATTGGAAATCATCATTCTCAGTAAACTATCGCAAGGACAAAAAACCAAACACCGCATGTTCTCACTCATAGGTGGGAATTGAACAATGAGAACACATGGACACAGGAAGGGGAACATCACACTCTGGGGACTGTTGTGGGGTGGGGGGAGTGGGGAGGGATAGCATTAGGGGATATACCTAATGCTAAATGACAACTTAACGGGTGCAGCACACCAGCATGGCACATGTATACATATGTAACTAATCAGCACATTGTGCACATGTACCCTAAAACTTAAAGTATAATAATAATAAAATAAAAATTAAAAAAAGAAAAAAAAAGATACTGATCATACTTGAACTTGCATGAACTTGGACTCATTAGGAAGAGTATCATTGTTGT
This sequence comes from Homo sapiens, assembly GCF_000001405.40. NCBI lineage: Eukaryota > Metazoa > Chordata > Mammalia > Primates > Hominidae > Homo > Homo sapiens. The sequence goes on along the minus strand of NC_000010.11, from coordinate 122,806,588 downwards.
TCCAGGATTCAATACAGAGCTCTCTCAAAGGATGCTGAGATAAGTGGGCATTTTTGCTCCATTTAGAAAGTGACACTGAATGCTTTTTTTTTTTTTTGAACCCTTCTATGGCTATCAGAGCATCTGCTAGCATTTCCTGCCATTGCCAATGTAGCTTCTCTATTAGGTCTATACCTCCTAGCACCCTGCACTCCCTCCCCAGCCTGTTGTCTCTACTAATATATAGTCAGCAGGGAGACCAGATAGCCAGATGTTATGAGTGTGTAGAAAGTAAGAACAAGCTCTCAGTAACAGGCTCTGTGGTATACCTCTGTAGGTATTCAAACACTTGAGCTTGAATGCTAGGATCTCAGTTTGGGCGCATGAGGCACTCTGTCTATTTCTGGGTTCTAGTCTATTTTCCAGGGGATTAATTTAGCCAAGTGACTCCTGGACAAATAGTGGTATAATTGTACTAGCTAGGTAAATTTCAACATAGCAATATCCCTAATATAGGTAATAAAGGACATACTAGGAAAAAACTTGTTACCAGGTGTAAGGGCAAAATCTGTGGCTGAAATTGAAGCAGGAACTGTCAAGACAAGCAAAAGTTAAGAGAAAATTATAGTTAAATGCCATCCTTGTCAATCAAGTTTATTGGTAAAGATTTTTTTTAAATCACACTGTTTACAAATTATGCCCCAGCCATGTTCCTGTTTCATTCTCCTATTCTCTGTTTATTAAGCTAAGGGGATTAATAATGGGGCAGGTGGGTCGTGGGGCTAGGACTCAAGAGACTTGGGTTCTAGTCTCTAGTCTTTGTGGAACAGAGTATGTGACCTTGGACAAGCTCCTTTGCATCTCTGAGCTTCAGCTACTACATCTGAAGGGCTAGTCCGTGGAGGAGTAGCATCTGTATCACCTTGTTAGAAATATGGGCTCTCAGGATCCACTAGAACCAGAATCTGTATTTTAACAAGATCTCCATGACAGCTATGTACACATTAAGGTTTGAGAAGCACCAAGCGTGCAAACGGAGATGTCTATAGGCTTAGACATGCACGGCGGCCAGGAAGAAATGGGAGAAAGAGCATGTGCCATATAAAGGAGGCAGTCATTTCCTGCTCAGCCCCAACCAATTGGTGCCCTGCTGAAATTCACGTTGACCATTCTCAGATTTTTCAATCAAAGCTGAAAATCTGGATTTTTGTAGGATATATTCCATTATTAAGAGGTGGGATTAAAAATAATGTAAACATGCATAGGTAAAACTGAGTTGTCTGCATCCAAACACATGGCAGGCCAAAACTGCCCACTTGTGACTTGCAGTATGAGCAACCTCTAAGCTTTCTTCCAACTTTTAGAAAAATGTTACACTGTGATGGTGCCATATGACTTGTTCTTGCCTGAAAGAACTGGTGGACAATTTTCACAGATCCAATCACCAAAAGAGCAGCATGTTTCCTTGTTTGATTTTCCTTAGAGGTTAGTGTGTATCAATTCTGGCAGAAGGCTTTGAGATTTTTGGAAATAAGGACCATGGAAATATGGACAGTTCAGAGAAAACTTGAGTTGAGCTGACTTGAATTGATTTGGTATTTCACTCACTTATTTAGCCAAACAGTGGTTAACTTAAGCCTTAGGATGATCCCCAAAGTGTCCAGAGGAAGGAATTTTATAAAAGGACACATGGGTTGCTTACATTAGGGAGCCAAGCCGGAACTCAGCAGGCGGCAGCACACACATCCCTAAGGAGGTGACTGTGAAGCTCCCATCACCGTGTTCTTACACAAGTGTGACCTGACCACTCAGTCCCCAGGACAAGCTTCCGAGGTGGCTGTTTTCATCCTCTTGTTCTACACATGAAGAAACTGAGGCTCTGAAAGGTGAGGAGATTTGACTGCTGTGACCTAATTGGTTAAGGCTGGAGCCAGAACGTAATCCCAGGTTCTCTGGCTCCAAATCCTGCGAGGAGGCTGCATTGCCACTCGAAAGTCTTCAGTGGTCAAAGAAGTTTGAGAATCATTGGATTAAACCAAGTTTTTTTTTGTTTTTTTTAAAGATCCCTTACTACAGGTCTTGTCAGAGACTTTAATGTGTTAATAGGCAGTGAATCTTCAAGAGAGGGATATGGCATTTCCCTAACTTACTTAGCTGTGTGAATCCTTCTTTAAAATTTGCATATCAATAGATTAATGTACTGTAATGTGGAACACACGAGAGATGTGGTACTCCATTATTTTCTGAAAATGCAGATTAAGGTAGTTTTGCCTGAGATATCTGAAGTCCTGTGGTTTGGGGGTTAAAAAAAACCCAGACTCACTGGACACCCAAATGTATGGACACTGATGAGGATGTAAGTGAAGCCAGTCACTAAAACTTGATTTCAAAGACCAGCTGTTGCACCAAAGAGGGAGGAAACAAACTAGACATATTATGTGCTATGTATGGAAGGCACACAATCTCTGTCAATGTACTCCTTCATTTAATGAATATATAAGCAACTTATACATTGACATGAGCTGATATTTAATTTTATATGAGATATAAACTCCAACCCTAACCATATGCAAAACAATCTACACATATCTGATTTATAGAAAGCAAGAAAGAAACTAAAATTACCAGGTGAAGTGGTTATTTCTGTAGCTGATGCTGAAATTGCAAAACAAACAGGAATTTAGGTTTGTTTAATTTTAAAAATTTATATCTCAGATACATTAAAATTAGATACAGAACAACTTTTGAGATGTAAAATTAAAAATGACAAAGGTTTCTTTGTTAAGACTGAAAGAGTGACAGGGATGCAAAAGGCAGAAAGTGAGAAACACCTATTGGTTGTGAGAACCCCCTGGGATGGATCAGAGAGGCTGTTTCACTGAAGCACTGAAGAGGACATCATTTCTAGAATGGCAAAGTACTAGGAGCCTTCCTAATTCTGACTTTAGGTTTCTAATGTTGATTTCCCATTTTCACCAAATTATAACACAATACTAAGTTGTCTGAGCACTAAAGGAAAGTGATTCCTTAACATAATAAAGCATATTATGACCCTTGATTCAGTATTCATTTACTTTTGTTAATTATCCATTACAGTTTAAATGCACAAATGACTCTAACCCTCCCACTGGAATGCAAGCTCCATGAGGGCAGGATTGTCTGTTGTGTTCATTGCTACATTCTCAGCACCTAGAATTGTGCCTGGCACATATGAAGTGCTCAATAAATATTTGTTAAATAAATGGATGAATTCAATCCTTTTAGTGTAGTCTTTGTCCTATAAAATTAAGATAAGCTAAGCAGTGAATATTACATTTCATTTCCTTTTCTATTTTGCTTTTTTGGCAAGAGAAAGAAACATAGATAATGCACAAACTGGGCTGATTTTTTTTTTAAAGGAAACTATCTCAAACCAGAGAGGCCAAAAGAAGATAGTGTTGAAGCTTTCACACAGTATGTAGATGGGAAGATCTGGGTTTTGTTCATGGAATTTCCTGGAGCAGCACTGCAAAGTCAGCTTTAAAGCTCAAAACAGACAACTTTGGGACAAAGTCTAGGAAGTGCCATTACCCTAGTGAATAGTTCACAGAAAGGATCTGGTAATTCCTTGAAGACTGCAGAGACAGAGGGACCTAAGGTGAACTCATTAGGCCTTGAGTCAAACACTGGGTAGATCAACAAATTAAGGGAAGCTGAGAATAGCCAAGAGGCCTCCGGAACCAAGATCAGGGCAGGATGTGGGGCTGAGGGACTTGGGGCTGACCCAGGGTTGTATTATATGTCATTATGTATCCTTTGCCCCAGGGAGCTCAGTGTTGAGAGTGGACCTTGGGCATTTGTTTAGAGGATGCCAGTGAGACCCAAACTTCCTCACATTGGTTTCCAGGTCCCCCACTGAGAGTCATGGCTCTGGCAGCCTCAGGAGAAAGCTGGAAGTCAGTATCTGTGCAGATGAGCCCAGCATCCTCATGGTGGCCACAGTTGTGGATGGACAGACCCAGATAGCCACGCTGGCCTAGTGTGGTCTCCATGCCTTGACACTGCCCATCGTCCAGGAGGATGTGTCCCACGCCGCCACCCCCCACCCCTGCAACCAAGTGGCCATTCCCTGGGGTGGCCAACACCCTTCCCACAACCCAGCTGCTGGCACACCATGTGGGCAGCGTTGACGCCCCAGAGGTTGTCGCACACAGTCCCCCATGTGCCATTGTGGTAGACTTCAATGTGCCCTTTGCATTGGCTCCTCTCATCTGCCAACTTGACAATGGGCAAGGCTGGGGGAGACCCAGAGGTTATCACTGGAATGTGATCAGCTCTTCTGGCAGACACTAGTGGGACTTTTCTTTAGTTCTTAAAATAATACACACTCTAAATTCCAAAACTCTAGACACTCTTGCTTCCTGCTTCTGGGTCCCATAGGACTAAGTCAAACTAGTGCTTGCAAATTCCTTAACTGACTTTTTGAGGCTATTTGTGATTTCCAATATTTTGTTCCCTCATTCTCATCTTTGGATTAGAAACATGGCAATTACACGGATAAGGATAAATATCTGTTTTGAAGCTGAGCCATCAAACTGATAGGCAATAGCATGGGGATATGTCAAACTCAACCTTTCATTATTTCATTATTACTGGGGCCCAGGTTCACAGTTAAAAACATTTTTCAGGATCCAGAGATTAGACAAGTGGCAGTCACCTCTGTAACCTCTCCCTCTGTATCAGCTCTGTATTTTCTCAGTCCTGGAGAGACATGAATCTGGGTGGGCACTGACATTACAGGGAGTCCCCTAGACAGATTCAATAATTAGGAAGTTTGAGGGAAGCAATCAAAGGATTACCAATGCTGGGGCCCATTTCTGTCAATGCTGGGGCAACTTCAACAGCTGAAAGGGAAAACCAAGCCATCATCACAAGCACATCAGCACTTTAAAAGATTAACCCCACACTACACAATGTCTCTGCACCACTTTTCCCTCCCATGGTGGTGACCCTCACTGTCTGACAGTAATTGGAAGCATCTGTCTGAACTTTGTCAGGGTAGCATCACTGATGGTCACCTGGGGGATTTGAAGCTACAAGGATGGATGATGAACATTTGATGCCACTTTAACTCAGAGTTGTTTTGCTGACACACCATGACTTGTTTGAAACACTGAACACTAAGTCTTCAGATTAAAAAAAAAAAAAGCGTCATTTTCCAGGTGGTTTTTCTAAAAATTCCAAGAAATAGAGTTGAATGCTTGGAGCTCAGATTTTGCATTCCTAACTCAGGTCTCTCCAAGAACATTATGAAATTCTTGGTACAAAATTAATTTTGCTTTACTTGAATTTAGAAAATTGTAAAGTATGGATTGAGAAATGATGAAGGTGGTTGGGATTGGAAAATCAAGCAGCAGAAGATAGAACATCACTGTGACAAGCAAGTAAAAAATTGACCAAGTGAAACGGACCCCTGCGCCCAAAGCAGATGAAGCTGACTCTCAGGATCTGCATCCCCAGGAACTGGGGCTGGTTCCCGAGGCCCCTGTAGAAGGACCTGCAGGAGCAGTAGCCTGCTGCTGCTGTTGCTGCAGAGGGCGGTGGCTGAGTGGGCTCTCTTCTTGGAAAGACACCTACTCCACGAGAATCCTCCATGTCACCAGCTTGCCTCTCATGAGCACAGTTCTTATTGCACACAGCACCAGGGCCAGGGAAATCGCATTTGCTACATTTCCATTAGTCACAAATGGTCAGACCCTCAGCCTCAGAAAAACTGTTACAAAATATAAGAATGGGGAAAGTACCTCTTAGATGAAAATCGCTTGGGTGCTCCCCAGGAGTTGAAGAAGCTATGGCGTAAAAAAGAAAAATAGTTAGCATAATTACATTCCAAACACACACAATGATATTTAATACTCTTCTCAAATATCATCTAAATCACATGTATGAGTCTGCCTTTAAACAACCCTATCCAGGCTCTTATCTAATAGCTACCACTTAAAATTTGATAGCACCCTGTACATGGGTGTGTATTATTCTGATTAAGAATAAGAAAATAAAAGAAATAACATTCATGTTGGGATTGTGAACATTTGGCCCCATAGACAGGGGTGCCTTGTCAGAATCACAGAGTTCAGCAGCTGCTGCTGGGACCCAGGTGGGGCTGCAGGTAGAGGAGCAGCTCCTGTCCCCAGCCCTTCCTGCCCCCAGGCTCCCCTGCCCCCAGGCTCTACTGCCCCCAGGCTCTCCTACCCCCAGGCCTTCCTGCCCCCAGGCCCTCCTGCCCCCAGGGTCTCCTGCTCCCAGCCCTTCCTGCCCCCAGGCTCTCCTGCCCCCAGGCCCTCCTGCCCCCAAGCCCTTCCTGCCCCCAGGCCCTCCTGCCCCCAGCCCTTCCTGCCCCCAGGCTCTCCTGCCCCCAGGGTCTCCTGCCCCCAGGGTCTCCTGCCCCCAGTCCCTCCTGCCCCCAGTCCCTCCTGCCCCCAGCCCTTTTGCCCACAGGGTCTCCTGCCCCCAGGCCTTCCTGCCCCCAGGCTCTCCTGCCCCAGGCTCTCCTGCCCCCAGGCCCTTCTGCCCCAGGTCTCCTTCCCCTATGGCCGCCTGCCTTCTCTGGATTGTCATGGCGTCTGTTGCATGAACCAACCCTTTGGTTCAAGTATCTTAGAGTCCTGTTGAAATGCTCTCATCTGTGGAAGGGATGACACATCAACCTGCTGACATCCAGCCAAGGGAATGGGAAACAGCCCTGGGTCTTCACCTTCTGGGAGGGTGAAAGGGTCTGGAGCTCAGAGCATTGTCAAGGAAAGTTAAAGCTCATAAGGGAGACCCAGCATAGGCTGGGGTTGGGAGACCAATTAGAGGTGACGGCTAGCCACCAGTCAGCAAATAAAATGGACACAAACTCATAGATACCTGGATGTCCAGCAGCTGCAGAATCTGCAGAGATAAAGGAAATGAGGGTGGTTTAATAATAGAAATTGGAATGGCAGAGTGGTTTAAAGATCATTGTTTCAGTTTAAATGTGACTCAAGGAAGCTGGGTATAAACAACCAGTCTTAAGCATCCAGGCCTCTCCCCTCTGGGTTTATACAGCCAGGTGTAGGTTGTGGGATGTCTAACCTGGCTACAAACTTTGAGGTAGTGATGCTGATAGAATTTGCCTTAGTAACTAAAACACCAACAAAATGGTAATATTTTTGTGTATTTATGGTTTGTCTGATGCTTGACTAAATGTTCTACATGGGTTGCCTCAATTAATCCTCCCAATAACTCCGTGGAATAAATGCCATGATTTTCTTTCTTTTACAATTAATTGAACTTTGCAGGTACTCAAGTTGAATGGGACCTTACCATGTATTGAACAGCTGGTCATATTTTCCAGAGTCTGAGCAGAAATCCACTGTTCTGCATGTGGGGAAAGGTTTAAGGCACAGAGGCATTTTCAGACTCTATCTGAGGATCTCGGGCTTGGTCCAGGCAGCTGCAAGACTGGCCCAGGGCGGACCTTCACTCACCTAAGCAGATGACGCCAGCATCTTCATGGTGCCCACAGTTGTGGGTGTACCAACCTCTGTGAGGGCACTGCCCCAGGGAGGACTCCCTTCCCGTGCAGTTGACGTCATCAAGGAGGATGCTGCCTGATCCAGGGCTGAAGCTGGCTCCTGGGAGGGCAGACACGGCCAGGCCACAGCCCAGCTGCCTGCAGACCACGTGGGCATCCTCTATAGACCAGCTGTCATCACACACGGTGCCCCAGGCATTGGCATGGTAGACCTCGACTCGGCCCTCACATCTGCTGGACCCGTTCACCAGCCGCAGTCCCAGACCTTGCAGACATTCCAAAGAACAACCTCATGAAGTCACATCCACAAAGGCCACCAGAGAAGCCACAATTTCCTGGGAATTGTGCACTGATAATTGAGGATAATGAATCCCACTCCCTCCTTTATTTCATTTTGTTCATGTTTGCCTTGGTACTACTCTGTGTATTTTTTGTGATTGGTTAAGAAATGGTTGTTCCTCGCCATTGGCTGGACCTGGCCTGCCCAAAGGCATAACTGTTCTTTCCCTGTGTGTGGTGAAGTCTTGGTTTCTGACATTCACAGGGTGTGTTGGATTTTTCACAAGAAGCTGTCGTGCATACACTGTGTGTGTGTGTATGTGTGTGTGTATATGTGTGTGGGTGTGAGTTTCTATGTGCCCTTGCACACGTTGATCAAGAGACGGTAACAATACCTCCCATCTCTGTTATTCCTGGGATCAGGCATAACCTATGTGTGAAGACATTCCAGGGATTGGAAAGAGCCATCATTGCAGGCTGCCTCCTATGTTCAAAGGACAATGTTATAAAAGGGAGCAGAAGCTGGTTGTGCTTGCAACACAGATAAGGTGAGCCCACAGGTGGGGATGTGTGGAGATTTGGGGTGAGCAGGCAACCTGGCCTTCCTGGGGGCCTCTTCCAAACCAGCCCCCAAGAGCCATTCTTACATCTCACAGCCTCTTCTTTCCTGTCACTTTCCAATCACAGATTTTCCAGGTGAACCTGGACATTGCCAGCAGTTCCTCCGGCAGCCTGAGGCCATGGAGGAGGGTGGAAGTCAGGACGCTTCCTCCCCGGTGCTGGGATGTTTGTGAATTCAAACTGCATAGAGGGAGGGCCAGAGAAGTGAGAAGAAACGGTTACCTGTCCATGTGGGCACCTCTGTTGGCTTTGGAAAAGATGCTGCAAAAGGGGAAAATTATACATCTTAGGTAAACGTCAAACATCGAACTTTCAGTCCATCGTGGGTGGGCTGTCCGCTCTGTGGATTATCTACAGACACCTTCTGGTTCTGAATGGGATTTCCTTCTCATGGCCTTTCTCTGTGGGCAGTACTCCTTCCATCACCCAACTGGCATGTTAGGAAATATAAGCTCAGGAAAACCGTGGCTTGGTGGCTGATCTTTTTTTTTTAATACATATATTTTAATTTTATTTTTATTTTTTTTGAGATGAAATCTTGCTCTGCTGCTCAGGCTGGAGTGCAGTGGCATGATCTCAGCTCACTGCAACCTCCATCTCCCGGGTTCAAGCAATTTTCCTGCCTCAGCCTCCTGAGTAGCTGGGATTACAGACATGCCCCACCAAGCCCAGCTAATTTTTGTATTTTTAGTAGAGACGGGGTTTCACCATGTTGGCCAGGCTGGTCTCAAACTCCTGACCTCAGGTGATCAGCCCACCTCAGCTTCCGAAAGTGCTGGGATTACAGGCGTGAGTCACTGCACCTGGCCAATAGATATGTTTTAAATTCAAGAAAACATCCTTTGGGGGCCTGTGTTGTTCAGTATAAGCTACCCTGGTGCTACTTCTAAGTGCTTGGGGTCATTTCTCTCTTTCCTAGCTCCTCTCTGCATATTGTACTTTACTCTTCTAAGGGCCTGTCGTGGAAGAGCTGCTGGCTGAATTGAATTGGAAGTGTAAAGACTACTGGCCAAATAGAGCTGGGAGCAAACTATAACTTGATGCTTTCAGCTTCTCCATTCTTAACAATTCTGTCAAGAAGAAGGCAGTACCCAGAGATAAACCCCTGCCAGGCTTTGACATTGGATGAGGTGAGGGTCAGAGATAGTGGCTGACTCTGCGAGTAGTATGCCCCGCCCACTACTGGGCAAGGGCTGCCCTGGATATTCACACAGTGAAACCCCCTGGATTTCCTCATCCTCATCCAGGGGAGAAAATGTAGGCAGGAAGCAGCTCAGAGATTTGCTAGAGGCCTCACAGACAGTAAATGAAGAGGCTGGGAAGATAAGCCCAGGGCATTTGGACCCTAAATAACTACCCTACTGCCTAGGGGGCTTTGCTGGGGCAAGTTATAGCTCATCAATTCAAAACAACACAAATTACCTGAGGTTGGGTAACTCACAGCAGCAGATGCTCCTAGGTAAGGCAGAGAGGCAGTGGAAGACATAGAAGGTGTGGGTAGCTCATCTCTCTTCAGTTCTCCTAAGCCTGAGAGAGAGGTAGACTTGCTTACTTCAGTCAGAAAGGTACCACGTCTTGTTTGGCGGAGAACCTGCACACAATCTGGCATCTAAAAATGGCCCTGAGTTACTTTGGTTACAACTACTAGATGCCCTGGATCACCATGCTTGTGTCTGTTCTGTTGCCAGACGTGATGTCATCTCTTTTCTTCCTTCTTATTCTTTCTTCTTCCTTCTCTCTCCTCCTTCTCTTTTCCTTCTCTCTCTCTTCCTCTCCCTCTCTCTCCTTCCTTCCTCTCCCTCTCTCTCCTTCCTTCCTCTCCCTCACTCTCCTTCCTTCCTCTCCCTCACTCTCCTTCCTTCTTTCCCTTCCTTCCTTCCTTCCCTTCCCTCCCTTTCCCTCCTTCCTATCTTTTTTGTTTTTGGCAAACTGTGGCTCCAGGGACGGCCCCTGGCATGGAGCAGTTGGTTTGGTTTTCTAATTCTTCCTGGGTGTATGTGTGAGTCTCGCCTCTGAGTAAGTGTCAGCTCATAAAGGGCAGAACCGCATTTATCTCAAGGACATACACCAGTCACCTCAGTGCAAGGAGGGAGCCAAAAGGCCCCTGAATGGGCCGTGGAGCTGGGCCAGGAGCTGAGGGCCAGGATGAAAAAAGGCTCAGAGCTTCTGCTTGGTGGTCCATCCGGGCACCTGTGACCCACTGCCATGCTCTGCCCAGGGCCCTGGTTCCAAACCTCACAGCCCTTATAGCCCCAGCCCTGTCCTCTGATGTCACTCGGCATGTGGCACACAGCTTCTAAGTGTTATAGGTGGTTTTTGTATTAAATTCAGCTTGAAGCAGGTGGCTAGTTGAGATAGTTTTGTCCCAGAATGATTTTTCTATTGCATTTTCCTTTACTTCTTTGGAGAAGAAGGGGGCTGTCTTTTGGATCCATCTACACACACAGTCGATGCAAACTATGAGATTTCAGGCCATCTGTTTCTTCAGCCAGGATGCTTTGGTGGAGAAAAGTGACAGGGAGTGGCAGAGCAGGGTTAGAGTGAGGTGGGGAGCTTTTAGTGTCTGCATGGATGTCACTCCAGATGTCATTAATGAGGGCCAGATTTAGAAAGCATCTTCTCTCTTAAAAGGAAAGATCATATATCAGATCTAACTTCCTCCCATGGTATGTGTTAGAGTACCTACCGTTCTCCCTTTCATCTTGCTGAACGGTGTTGTACAGAGCATAAAACCCTGTGTTGGTGATCATGGCGTTGCTTCTGAACACTGTGGTCATGATGTTTGAAGAAGAAAGGAACGTGAGCTCTGTCCCAGCACAAAACCTGCCCATGGAGAGTGAGGCAGCCTGTTGTCCATCGAACACTTCGATAAAGTCGTAAGGACACCCATAGATGTCCTCTAATCTGAGGACATGAAGACAAAATTAATATCTCCAAGGAAATCTGCAAGATGTTTTAGAGTCATCTTTTGCATAGCATCCCGCCAAAAACTGCAGTCATCACTGCTACACCCCCTACTCATCATTTGACCTATTGAATCTGCCCTCCTGTCCTTTCCTACTGGGACTGCCCCAGGTCTGTTGGGTTCTCATCTTCTACCCAGTCTATTTCAGTAACTTCTGGTATTCTGGCCTTCAGTCTCTCCTATCCTCTTCCTCTCTACCTCGAGTGTCTCCTCAAGTGTCCCCCAACTCTTTAATTCAAATCTTGCCACTCTCTGGGGTGGTGGCAAATATCTAACAGTGCCTCATTGAGTTAAACTCTCCAGGAGACCCAGAGCAGGCAGAAATGGTGACAGTTGTAAGAGCTCCAAGGGTCTGTTGACTCCTCCCACCAATGCTCCGACCTGCCCTGTTCAAACCAAGTGTTTCGTGAATGTTTCATCCAACCTGGATGATCAGAGAAGCTGACCCTGGCCATCCTACCTGTTGCTGTCTTCTCCTTCTTTATTTTCTATCCTATTATCATGTATGTATATTTTTTTCTTCATAGCATTTTTCAATTTATCACTAGTTGAAATTGTCCATTGAGTCATTGGTTTATCTGAGTACCATTTGTCTCATCATCTAGAATATAAACTCTGTGAGGGTAGAGATCTCGTCTTTCTTGGTTGGCACTATGAGTCTGATTCTAGTCCAGGGCCTGCTCAATAAATTGAGTAGAGGCTTAATAAATACATGTTGAAAGAACATCAACATTGATCTAACATGATACAAGTATGAGAGATACATATTTGGATTTAAACAATAGTAAGCAGCCTTTGATGCCTATATGATACATTCTCATTGCATGATATATACAAGATAGACATAATTACAGTTGTACACAAACTAAATACTGCATTTGAAAACCTGCTTATTGCAGAACACATCTGTTCCAGTGAAGTAAAAGCCAAGTACCTTAAAATAACCCATTTTTATTTTTGTTTTCTTAAAGTAAGTGATCACATTTGTGTGTAAGGTGACAACAGTGTGGCAGTAACAGCTGACACTGCAACCTGAGAAATCATTTCATCAGAAAACAGGACATGCTTTAATTAGCAAGAATAAAACAGCATTAAGAGTAACGTCAAAACCTGCAGTTACTTTTGCCCCTACCTAATAGTTTAAATATGGATATAATTTTTACAAATTGAGCGTGAAGCAAGGTCCTGTAGGTGCTGAACTATTTTAAAAAATGAAAGTAAGAGTCAGGGTAAGTCGGGGTTTTTCAATCTCAGCAGTATTGATATTTGGTGCTGGATAATTCTTTTCTGGACAAGGAGTTGGGGGAGCTGTCTTGTTCACTGCAGGACACTTAGCTGCATCTCTGGCCTCCACCCACTAGCTGACAGTGGTGCCTTCTAATTGTAACAGTAAAAAATGTCTCCAGACCTAGCCAAATGTCTTGTAAGGGTATATAATCACTTCCAGTTGAGAACTGGAATAACAATAAATAGTAAATGATAACCAACTTTATCTTCTGAGTAACAAAAAAGCAAATTTCAATAAATCTAGGCTTTTAACATCAAAATTCAGAAATCAGCCACTATGGTCTGGTTTTGGGCAACACCTTAAAAACTCCTTAATTTGTGCACTCCAAAATTATAGTACGAAACTTATGTTAGAACAATAACTTTGACATTACAGGGGATGTGGGCCATTACAACTGTTTGGAATCACCATTTCCCAGAAGTGATAAAATTAAACTATGCCCTAAAACATTAGAACTGTGAATTTCATAGATCTGAAATACATGGTACCAACTCTTCTCACATTGCTTTCAACAGATAAATGTATGTTGAACAAAGGAATAAATGTATGTTGAATCAATGAATGATAAATGCATTTTGCTCCTACTGCATAATGTCCCCTGACATTAGCTTATGTCTTTTCTATCAAAAAATATGTAGCTACCAAGTAAAGCCAATGAAGTTCGCCCCTCCGCCACCGAGTACCATTTTACATTTTTAAAAGCAGCATTTAACCATTCAGATTCTCAAATGCTGTGGTCAATGACGACAGATGGAAAGCAGTGGCAGAGGTCTGGGGCATACTGTGGGACAAAGTAAGGAAGAGAGAATGACCTAGGTGCAGTAGAGCAAGATGAAACCGGGGTTAAACATTATCAGGAAAAGTAATATTTTTGTTTAAATGTTCCTCATGTATATGTATGCATATATGAAAATGTGTGTGTGTGTATATACACCTACATGCATATAAATGTACATTAAAATAGGATACATTCCTTAAAAATGAGTGACAGTTAAAGAAAGAAGTAGGAAGAACAAGGTGCATAATGGGGGAATGAATTAACTGTTTAATCTGTACAAGAAAATTCTTGGTAAGGACGTGATAGAAATTCTTGAAGAGAACAGGAAGCAGATTTGTGTAGCATCAGAGGGAAGAATGAAGATCAGACCATGAGGATGAAGAAGAACAGATCTGGGTTCAGATGGAGGAGGAAGCCTGTGTCTCAAACGGAACTGGTTAAAAGTGATGGGGTGAGGTCTTCATGTGTGGGTTGCCCCAGCTACAGCTCAACGGGCTGGTGTCAGGGAGGCCCATGGAGTGTTCTCTTATTGCACAGGAAGTTGAGCTAACTGATTAAATAACTCTCCACAGCTCAGATGATCAGAGCAATTCTCGCCTAAAATGTGAAAGGATTTATCCCACAAAAGCCTACCTCATTGAGGAAAGTATGGATTCAAATCTAAACTGGCCTTAAAAGTAAAGAAAGAAAATGTTGCTTACTTCAGGCTTGGGATCATCAGTTCTATGTGGAATTTCTCAGCCACGTGTATCACCCAGACGCACTCCAAGTTGGTGGGGTAGTTTGTAGGGTACCAAGGGCTGGAGAAGGAACCTGAGAGACTTGAAATCACTCCTCCACAAGAGTTACTTCCTCCTGTAAAAGCAGATGAGAGACCCATGGTTGGTTTCACTAGGCTTGCACGTTGCATTTTTCCAGATGTAGAATCCAGAATTCCATCAAGCTCAGCAGTGGAGTCACTAAATGGGGAGTGATCATGCTGGTGTAGACACAGTTGTGGTTTGGCTGGTGTGAGTGACTGTGCCACTGAGAGGGCATGAGGGAGGATGGAAGATGCATGACAGACAGGCACGACCCTACAATTGATTGTAAGCGATATTGGAAATGGGATTTGACACATGCATGTAGCATGTGTATAGTGAGGGCAGCCTGTATTTCTTTGATGCTCTCCCCAAGTCTCCTGCCATGCAAACCAGCTCAGCTCAGATGTGGATAACCCACCCATTTGTGAGGGCTCCATCCCACCCATTGCCCCTGTGGTAGCCAGTGCGCACAGAAGTCCATTCTGCTTTTATGAATTACAAAAATAATTCTCTGCAACTTAATACTGTATAGGTTACACTTTCAATGAAAGAGAGTTACCTTGTGGTATAGGGGCTGGAGGAATGATATCTGCAAAAACCAAAACCAAAGAAAATCAGGAGAGAGCTTAGCATCATAAACCATCTTATACTTAAGCACAAATGAATGAGCCTATTATTACCCTTGAGTTTTAATAAATGGTGTAGATGCTCATTTGTCTTTTCTCCCTGATCTGGAATGGAGCCTCTGCCCTTCTTTCAGCTGATTCATGAGGAAATCACCAACCACACACAGTTACATGACTTGTTTTCTCTCATATGCTAGGTTCCACACTCCACAGGTTATACTTGGGTTGACCAGTTACTAGGAATTACAGTGACATCACTGGGCTTATGACCATACCACTAAGCCTATAGAAATTTACTAAGCACTGAAATTCAGAAAACTAAAAACCAGAAATCTGAGAGCCAGGGTGGAGAAAGGCAGGTTGGATAAGTGTTCCATTGGAGAAATACGGACCTTAATGGGGAGGTCCAATGAGTGTTTAAGGTCCCTTCTTTTTCCTTTATTGTTTCCTCTTGGCTTTGATTTCTATGTGGCATACACAGTTGTCCCTCAATGTCTATGGGGGATTGGTTCCAAGACTCCCCAAGGATATCAAAATCTGCGGATCCTCAAGTCTCATATACAACATAGGAGTATTTGCATAGAACCTATGCTCATCCTCCATTATACTTTAAATAATCTCTGGATGACTTATAATACCTAATACAATGTATTATAACACTATGTAAATAGTAGTTACACTGTATTGTCCAGGGAATAAAGACAAGAAAAAAAGTCTGTACATGTTCAATACAGATGTAACTATTGATTCTTCTTCCTGAATATTTTTGATCCACAGTTGGTTGAATCCACAGATGTGGGATCATGGATACAGAAGGCCTGCTGCACGTCTATATTCTATGTGTGTCCTCAATACCCCCTGCATAGCAGGTGCTGAGGGGAGGGCAGCTATGAAAGCCTGATCATGAGAATGCTGTTAAATGTTTGGATTTTACACCAAGGGTTTATTGGGGGAGGAATTTGAAGCAAACATGTCAGATGTACTTGAGAATTCCTTTATCCCCATTGTTTTGCTCCTTGGCCAGCACTGCAGCAATGTGCAGAGCAGTGAAAGTGATGGACACGGTCAACTTAACCTGTCATCAGTCCTTTGCCTGAAGAAGTGCACTATATCACTGGAATACATTTTCACTAACTTAAAGTGGCTCAGAAGCAATTTTCTTTTGTTAAAATGCTTGATATGTGATATTTATCTCAGAGTATTAAATGGCAAAAGCCTTATATTTTTGTGTCTTGGTAGGTATATAATGTTCTATCAATAAGAATTTTTTTTGATTCATGCTTACAGTGGGATACTATTTAGACATAAGTGGTTGTATTTCCCTCCATAGTTTCCTTAATCCCATGACCCCTTCTTTTTTCCAGCCAGCTATGCACCTCTGCCTCAGAAAATGGATATTACAGCAGAAAGAAGACAGAAAGGCTTTCTGAGGTTTGAAACCCCAGGCTCCAAGGGGACTTGGGCCTAGAGCTGTTGATGAACTGAAAACCATCCCCTCTCCTCCTGCTGTCTTTTCCTCCTTCCAGGGCCCAGGCCAGAACAGACTCCTCACTGGGGAAGAGGAAGAAAGCCAGAGGGAATCAAAGAGAGTGTAGCTGCTTGTTAAACCCGAGAAGGGGTTCTGTGCACTCTGCCTCCCCTCCAGAGCAGCTACATAATTTGTGAGTCTCAGTGCAAAATGAAAATGTGGGGCCCTGGCCAGGGGTGGGGAAACCACTTTCCCCTTCCTACAGGTTACTGCCCTGACCCATGGCAGCTGGGCAACCCACAAGGAATGGAGGTCTCCATCTTGGGACGTACTTGGGACCTGGACTGGAATGGGCAAGAGACCTCCACAGAGTGTCCTGGCAAATGTGCCATGGTTCTGCCAGCCCAGGGTACGGACAGCTGCCATCTACCTTGTTGGGCCCCGAAATGCCACAAAATGCACCCCTGATCCCAATAGCTTCCTAGTGTCCAGGCCCCTGCTGGGGACAGAGTGTGGCATCAGTCACTGGGCAGGGTTAGGGAAGAGGCTGGGCAGGGCCCAGGGGCCCAGGGAGCAGAGAAGGGGGCAGCTGAGAACCCATCCCTGGGAAGCAGGAGGCTGCAGGAGGCAGGACCCCACATACTTCAGAATCTTGAGTTCGGGAGAAGGTCACTGCTGCACACTGACTTTGAGTAGTTTACCAGTAAGTCCACTCTGTTGTGTTGGCTAAGCCAGGAGGGCCACGGAAGAGCCCTAAATGGTTTACTTCTCATCAGCAGTCTGCTCTTGACTCACTGGGAGACAGTTTGACACTCGATGTATCTTTTCTTTCCTGCATACTTTCATTTTCTAACCCATGTACCTAAGAGACAACCTTTCCAGGGTCTCTCTTCTCCCTATCGACCTTCTTCTCAGCCATAGTGACTCAGTCTTTCTCCTCCTGCCCTCCCTTGCTCTGCCACCAGAAGAGAGTTTTGAATGTGATTCCATTTGGGAAATATGGCTCTTAGCTCCTTGCCTAAGCACTAGTTCTCAACCTTGGCTGCACATTGGAATGACACAGGGAGCTTCAAATATCACTGATGTCTGGGAGTGACCTCAGAGACTCTAAGGTGACAGGTCAGGGATGCAGCCTGGGCACCAGGAATTTCAAAAGCTTGCTGAGTGATTCTGGTGTGCAGCCAGAATTGGGAATCACCAGCCTAGTCATTGTTGACCAGTGTCTAGGTCAGGAGAGAGGTTACTTTTTTTTTAACTTTGCCAAGATAGTGCAAATTTAGTGTTGGACTTACCTGGGGGTGGAGGAATCACATCTGGAGCCCAGTCCCCAGCATCTGCATGCATACAAGAAAAATTTAGAAAAATCTAAATTACATTCTATGAAGACAAAGAAATGGTGGCTTTCTAGTGTGGGCAGTTCTCAAGCAGGCAGGTCGTATGTTACATAAACAAAAACGAGGGCATGGTTAGACCTGGAAAAGCAGTTCCAGAAATGGGAGAGGTGCAGAGAACAGAAGCAGCCAATTGTGTGGCTCTGCTGTGTTTGTCCTCAGAATGGAGCCAGGCTCACAGCATTCTCTGTCTACCTGGCCAAAGGGACATTCATCTGTTGGGCCACTGTCCCAAAATTCCCTGGCCCCACTTCATGCATGGCCTTCATCCATCACTAGGATGTCTTTGGGTGAAAGATCAGAAGGAATCTATCATGGAAGGAGAGGCCACCTGAGCAGACAACATTGGCATCCTCATGGTGGCCACGGTTGTGGTCTGACCAGCCGGAGCTGGGCCACTGGCCAAGGTGGTTCTCACTTCCTGAACACTGAATGTTGTCTAGAAGGATGTCTCCAGAACCTGGGCCAAAGTGGGCCTTTCCAGGAGCAGCAATGGCCTTACCACACCCGAGCTGCTGGCACACAACCTCAGCTTCATTCAGATCCCACAGGTCATCACACACAGTGCCCCAGGAGCCCTTGTGTAGGACCTCCCCATGTCCTGAGCACTGGCCAGAGCCACCCACCAGCCGCAACTCTGGTCCATCTTCTAAACAGAGCAAAATTTTATTTTTGAGTTTGATAAGTTTTAAGTAGCAAGTGATTTCTGGCTTCTGTGTTTGTGGCTAAGGCAACCACAAGAGCAAAACCTTAAAGCCAACTGATTTAATCAGGCTTAAGGGATTCAGAGTGAGATAGGAAGTGGGTTTGAATCCTTGTTCTATGGCTTCCTAGTTGTGTAAATTTTGATAAGTGACTGTCTCCCTGACCCTCAGTTTTATCACCTGTAAAATAAGGACTCTAGCAGCATCTGGAGGAGATGCTACCAATGAGAGTGTGCTCAGCACCCAGCACGTCAGGGTTACTGCAGAACTTGACATATGGTTTTTGTGTCACAATGCTGGGTTACAGGAGAGCAGGTTCCCAGCTGCTTTTTTATATGTGTCTTGAATAAGGGTAGATTTAATCCCCTGAAACGCACCTGGACCACAAGGGTGACTGTGACTTCATAGAACACAGTGGCAATGCTCTATCTGGACTGAAGGGCTGTGGCCGATTAGAATTATCTGCTATCTTGGCCGGGCGCGGTGGCTCACGCCTGTAATCCCAGCACTTTGGGAGGCCGAGACGGGCGGATCACGAGGTCAGGAGATCGAGACCATCCTGGCTAACACGGTGAAACCCCGTCTCTACTAAAAATACAAAAATTAGCCGGGCATGGTGGCGCGCGCCTGTAGTCCCAGCTACACGGGAGGCTGAGGCAGGAGAATGGCGTGAACCCGGGAGGCGGAGCTTGCAGTGAGTCGAGATCGCGCCACTGCACTCCAGCCTGGGCGACAGAGCGAAACTCCGTCTCAAAAAAAAAAAAAAAAAAAAAAAAGAATTATCTGCTATCTCTGGAGGCACTGTAAGGACAGCCTTCCCTTACTGTGTCCACTGGCTCTGTCACTTTGGCCTTCTTTCTGTTGCTTCAACATGCCCAAGTCTTTCCTCCACCTGTAATGCTTTTCTTTGTCATTCATCACATGCCACGTCTTCAGAGATACCATCCATTCTCATCCAGCCCATAGTAGCACCTACTCTACTCAGGCACCCTCTATTCTCCCACCTGACTCCTTATTCCCAGCCTTCACCTCTGTCCTTTATCATCCTTACCCCAAAACCAGTTTGTTTATTTCCTTGTTTCTTGTGTTTTGATCCTCTCTCACTTACCCACGTCCACACTAGAGTATAAACTCCATGAGGGCACGGAGCTGTACCATGCTCCCACACTTACAACTGGACCTGGTATATAATAGGACCTCTGTAACTATTGTTAAATGGCTAAATGGTGGTCTTGAGTTAATGAGTGTCTGGATTTCAAATGTTGGAGCTTACCTTGCTTTGCCAGGGCAGAGTTTCGAACATTGCTTTAGGGGTGAAATATACAAGAAATTCCCTTACTCCGATACAAGCAAACCCCAAACCACATCCAGGGACTTACTATCTGGCTTTCTGGTGGCCTAAAAGAATTTCTGGGGTTTCTGTAGGGGCCTCTCAGCATCAGAAGTCTCACACTTGGCAGGCAGTGTGCTTGCAGGGTGCAAATTGGACCTGGCTTTGGAATGACTGCCTGCAGGGTCATGACTGCCTGCAGGGTCATGGCTAACAGGAATCCCCAAGGCTCTCATTTGGGTGAGACTAGGTTTCAATGTATGCAAGGTATAAAATGGGCCAGCTCGTGGAGGAAGTGGAGTCTTGTCATACGAGTGTTGAACTTCCACATTTCAGCACTCTGGACAGTTACCAAGAGGCTGTGGAGGGTGGATGCAGCCCCAGGACGGTTCATAGCACCCAGCTTTTCCCTGCAGGCAGTAGCAGCCTGGCCACTCACACACAGAATGCACATGACTGCCTCATTGTAGCTTCCCATGTGGCCTTCATGGTGGGAAAATCTAGCAGCTATGGAGCAGGGTTAATGAAGCTAGTGTGGGGGTCTTAAAAGACTGAATCCTAGGGCTCTACTGGCAAAGGAGACTCTGAAGTTAGAATCTGTTCTGTCTTTTAACCACCAAAAACTACTTGAAGTTTCCTACCTGACTCCCTTTCACCCTGAGGAATGGCATTGAAAAGAGCATAAAAGCCAGTGTTGGTTTTCATAGAATCACTTTGGAACACCACTGTCATGATGTGTGAGGAGGAGAAGAATATCACAGTTTCAGGGGCACAGAACTTCCCCATGGAGAGCGAGGCAATCCTGGGACCATTGAAGATTTCAACGGAGTCATAGGGACATCCAAGGATATCTTCCAACCTGGGGTGAATAGACATGGAGGGGTAGTGGCAGATTAGAAACTTCCTAAAATTTAATGCTAAAAAAGTGTGACAATCATAGAGATTACATATTTGGATTATATTTAAATTGCACACTGAAATGTAAAATACTAATTAATTTTTTCAGATGACCTATCACAACTCTATTTTCTTTGGCTAAGGAATGTGTGGGGCTTTCAGCTACAATCTCATAACAGAAGTTTAAAAATTATAATGGTTTTGGCCAATCACAACCTACATAGGACATTAGGAAATACTAATTTACTCTGCAACTAAATTCATAACAGTCAGATCACCCCAAAGATCAGCATGTAACAGACATCACGGCCAGATTTTTCCTACTTCTGTGTTTCACAATAATTGCCATACTCGAATTCTTGGGTAGGAAAAAACTTGATTTTAAAATAAAAGTGGTGGCAGGATATAGAAGAATAGTATGGCAATTATTCACGAGAAAGGTAAGGGGAAGCAATTTTGAAGGAACAGACAATGGATAACATAATAGAATTTGGAGGTGTGGGTTCAAGGTCCTTACCTCATTGTGGCTAATTGTGTCCCTAAAGTTTTAGTCAACAAATATATCCTGAGGCATTTTTGGCTTAGTGCATGTCTGAATCCATGGTTGTGGTACAGTCATGATGGAACGCAATTCAGTGCATGCCTGGAGCTAATGATCATGGAATTCTACAGTCTTGCTGTGTTTGTAACACGATGTGTGTCATGCACAAGAAGAAGGGCTTCATGCAGACTCTTTTACAGACCCACATATTGGTGAACAGATGGGTCATTGACATCAGACAGATCTAGATGGGTTGGCCTTGGGCAAATTAGTTATCCTCTCTGAGCCTCAGACTCCTCATCTCTAATGGAGATGACAAAGACGTCTATCTTTGGACTGTATAACCCTGGAATATGACAAAGCATACAAAGTCTGGGCTAGCATTAAAACATCAGCTGTTATTTTATGTCATAGAGATAAAAATGTCAGTGACTTTCGAACATTTATTCTCTTTATGTCAGAGATAAGGCAATGACATTAATGTCTCCTCTTACTTTGCAAAACATTTAGAAGATGCAGGACCCAAAGCTGGAGTAGTTGGCTAATGTGTGTATGAAAATTCTCTTACCGTTTAAAATTTGGATTCAAATAAGAAAGTCTAAGAGGACAAATATTGATACCCAGTGTACAATAAGGGCAAAACTGTTGAGGATTTTTGTGACATTTTTAGAAAAAAAAGAAACACTATCAAAATATGTTAATAAATCACTTACTGAATTTTTCAACTAAGAAGTAACTCATTGGATAGTGCTACAAAGCTAACCCAAAATTTGACTTGGAAAAACTATAGAATGTTGGGTGCTTCTGCTTTCACTCTTAAATGTTTCCCACTAAAAGAAATACCTTTAATATGATTTCACAAATCAATATTCTTATTTACATAGAACGTTCTCTTTAAAAGTTTTCTTACTTCAAACTTGGAATTATGAGTTCTATGTGAAATTTTGCACCCATGTGGATCTCCCAAACACACTGGATATCTGTTGGGTAGTTTTCTGGATACTGTGGACTAGAAAATGAGCCAGAGAGACTAGAAATGACCCCTCCACAAGAGTTACTTCCTCCTGAAACAACAGGAAAAATGGTGTCAGAATGTGTCCATTTGGCATCATTGTGTAATCCTAATAAAGACCAGTTTACATGCAGTGGTCTGGTAGAATTGGGCGCCAATCGGCCTGGGTGGGCATGCACAGGCTGTCTGAGCAGACCTTTAGCTTAAATGTTTCTTGGGAAGGAGAGTCTATTAAATCTAATTCTGATGAAGCAAAAAGTATTAATGTGTGAATGTTCCCTGCTTTTCCCTCTCTCTCAGCACCTGATAAAGAAAATGTGCAATTTGTCCTTTCTGCTTACAGTTTTCTCCCCCTCTCTAAAGTAGGGGTTCTGCTTGCTGGGGAGGGACAGAGTAATGAGAGACTGGAAGGAGAGATGAAGAAACAGAGGCCACATGTGCTTGGGAAAGGGGAGAGTTTGGGGAGGTTTGGGGAGCAAGAGGTTCTAGAACAACTTTGGGTTCTGATGAATTGTAGGTAAAGGGAAAAGGACACTGATCTGTCAGGGGATGTTATGACCAGCACCTTCTTTAAGTACTCTGCCTCACTTTTGCTGGGTAGATTATGTTTCCTTTAACTCAGATATTTAGTCTGAGACTGGAACTTGCAGGATTTTGGATTTATAAGGGTTAAACAAGGTAACAGTGAAATCTAATAGTTTCATGTATGTTGTCATATTAGCATAGATAGATACACACACATACATGTATGTATTTAAAACAGGATTTCACACAAAGAAAGCAGATTTCACACAAAATTATTTTGGAGGAAATGTGAAAGTACAATATTCTTTATTGACCTTGTCCCTAAAATATGAAGTTGCTTAATTTTTCTACTTTCTGTTCCTCTTGGACAACTTGTGATCCTCCCAGAATCCCACAGATTCCTCGTCTTTCCTGAGATGGACAGCAGGAAGCGATGATGCTCCTGGTCATCTGGTAGTTTTATCACTGACCACATTTATAAGCTACAATAATGAGGCCAGGTCAGGCTGACACTGAAACCTCTGGGAGTTGGACCTTCTGAAATCTCTACACGTGGCAAGGGATAATGGGCTGGTTCCTTCTATAGGACTGTACCCAAAGAGGGAAGGCTGAGTATGGGCCAGATGTCTGACCTGGGCAGATACACATCCCCCTTCCCAGTCTGATCCTTTTGTTGTAAAGTCAGTATTTTTTACAGACTATATTACACAGAGTGGCAGCAGAGAAGCAGACCCCTTGCCCACACTGTGCCAGGCTCTGTTGTGCTATGTCCTGGGCATACTGCCCAGCATTTGCCACAATAGTTCTCTTGACATGGAATGAGCATTTCAATTTAAAATAAAAGGCTACCTTTTATGTGATCCTGAGAAGCTGTAGAAGAATCTGAAAGGGAAAAAAGGCAGAAAATGATGACATCCAGATGAAAATATTTAGTCTTATCTATAAGTCAGTAAAATGTAAAGGGTTTCCTTAGAAACATCAATGTACTTAGTGCAAACTGAGAAGAGTCTGCACTGAAGGTGCTGAGTCAATATTTTCTATGGTTCTGTGGCAGGTTAGAGAAGGCCACAAATTCTTAGACATGCCTCCTGTCACAAGGTGGGGTCTAGGTAACCTCCCTTGAACCTGGGTGGGTTCTGTGACTGCTCTGACCAACAGAATATGGTGGCAGTGGCTCTGCACCTTAAGAGACTGGTGGCTTCCACCTCCCATCTCTGGGAACACTGGCTCGCTCATGGAGCCCTAACCCACCTTACAAGAAGTCTGAGTGTGGCCAGGTGCAGTGGTTCACGCCTGTATTCCTAGCACTTTGGGAGGCTGAGGCAGGTGGATCACCTGAGACCAGCCTGGCCAACATGGTGAAACCCTGTCTCTACTAAAAATACAAAAATTAGCAGGGCATGGTGCCTATAATCCCAGCTACTCTGGAAGCTGAGGCATGAGAATTGCTTGAACCTGGGGGGCGGAGGTTGCAGTAAGCAGAGATAGCACCACTCCACTCCAGCCTTGGCGAAAGAGTGAAACTCTGTCTCAAAAACAAACAAACAAACAAACAAAAAGAAGTCTGAGTGTGCATGGTCTCTCAGCATGGTAGTCAGACTTCTTGTAACCTGAGACCACCTAAAAAGGAAGAGGGCTGTGGCTGAGCCTTTCCTTCCAGCTGATCCCACCAAGGCACCAACTATATGAGTGAAGCTGTCTTGAATTCTCCAGACCAGTCATCAGATGAAATCCATTGAGCAACCCTGCTCAATGCTCTGTGGAGCAGAAGGGTCTCCCAGCTGAGCCCTGCCTGAATTCCTGACCCTCAAAGACATAACATACATCTAAATGGTGGTTACTTTATATTGCTAAGTTTCGGTGAGCAATAGATAACCAGAATGGCTCCTTTCACTCAATCTCATTTTTCTCATTTCCCTGCTGTCCATAAAATGAGAAAACTACAGATGATCTTCATTGGAATATCCACTGCCCTTGACCCTAACCATGGCCCTTTAACTTTAGGCAGTCCCTCCCTTCTCACTCATGGTACCAATGGGTAAAGCTGGCCTTCCTTCAAGAACACCAGGACACATCGAGGTCTTCTCCAGGCAAGTGCCCAAGAGAGATGCTTCTGCCAATGGATGATGGCTTATCTGTGTTCACTGAGGCTGTGTAGGGGACAGCCAGGTGCATTCAAAGGGTGAGAGATGGCTTTGTAAATTCCAGTCCTGCC
Organism: Homo sapiens; assembly: GCF_000001405.40. Classification (NCBI taxonomy): domain Eukaryota; kingdom Metazoa; phylum Chordata; class Mammalia; order Primates; family Hominidae; genus Homo; species Homo sapiens. The sequence goes on along the minus strand of NC_000010.11, from coordinate 122,781,629 downwards.
ACTTTCTAATCAAGTTATCTTCGGTAGGTTTTTTGATCTCCCTAATCCTCAGCTGTGAAATCACCTTTCAATCACCTTCAGCATCATTTCAGAATTCACAGTGCATGTAGTTGGTCTGATTTTTCTAATATTTGGTTTTTATTACAGATGAATATTAGTCAATAATTCATTTGTAAGATCTTTGAAAAGAGGTAAAAGTCATAAGATCCCTAAGAGCATGACTTTGGGGCCAGACTGATCAGTGTCAAAATTTGGGTCATTAACTTACTGAGTGATCCTGAGAAAGTTACTTAACCTTTCTGTGTCTCAATTTTCTCTTCTGTAAAATATAATAGATAATGCCTTTTGGCAGGATTGTCCTGATGATTAGCAATGATCTGAGCAAAACGTCTCCCCACATTTACTCGAGTTTTCCCTGGTCTTTGTGTAGCTGAGCCAAGGAATGGGTAAATAAGGCTAATGGCCAAGAGCATCGACAGCTTGGGTTCAGATACCCTGGCTAGCCCTGGGCACCTTGCTAACTTTCAATGTCTCAGGTTATCTGGAAAATATGAATAATCCAAGAACCTGTCTCAAGGGGCTATTGAGGGGATTGAAAGAGTTATATATGTGAAGGGCTCAGAACAGTGCCTGGTTCTTACTTATTACTTATTACAGCAAATACTTATAAGTATTTGCTGCTTTTATGAGTAGTAGTAGTAGTAGTAAGTTGCCTGAATTAGAAAAACATATGGACATACCTGGAGGTGTGGGTGGAGGTAGGTCTTCCGCATCTGAATGCATAAAGGTGACAGGTTACTCTATTTGGGGTGACAAGGTATAGGAAACCAGAATACTGGAATTACCCCTTGGGCTACTTCAACCCTCCTCTGGCAGGGTCCTTGGCCTAGGAGGCTGGGGGACAGCAGCTGGGTCAACTCTGTCCCATAGCAGCCAGGGCTGGATTGCCTTTGTCCCTTCTTATGCAGAATCCCTGAACCACTTGTTAAGATGCAGATTCCAGAGACTTTTTCCTACTTAGTCATAATCTCTGGAGGTGGGACCCTAGAATCTACATTGTAATGCCCAGATGGTGCTCATGCCAAGTAATTAGTAATTTCCTGTGCAACCAGAGCTGCCCATGGCGTCTCAAGGAGATGCTTCAGAAACGGGCAGACACATGGATGGATGGATGAAAATGCCACCCAGGATGCAGAATTTCAAAATGTCACAATTGCAGCATCAGAAATCACTGGCTGAGAGGGGATATGTTACCTGAGCAGATGACACTGGCATCCTCGTGGTGGCCACAGTTGTGCTCTGACCAGCCCAAGTGGGTACACTGGCCCAGGTAGTGCTCTACCCGAGTGCACTGGAGGTTGTCCAGGAAGATGTCTCCTGAGCCTGGGCCAAAGTGGGCCTCGCCAGGGCCAGAAACAGCCTGCCCACACCCCAACTGCCGGCACACAACCTTGGCTTCATTCAGGTCCCACAGGTCGTCGCACACGGTGCCCCAGGCACCCTGGTGGAGAATCTCCACGCGCCCCAAGCACCGGCCTGAGCCGCCCATCAGCCTCAGCTCCGGCCAGCCCTCTGCAGACAGAGACACAGCATGTGATTTCCCAAAAGACCCCGCCTGGGTCCACCAGTGCCAGCTCAGAGAGGGTTAGGGAGGGACATTCCCCAGTCTTGAGCCTTGGGGCTTTTTCCTCAGATTTCTCACGTGTTCCTGAGTTGCAGGTTGTGGGGTCTTCAGACAATTTAATTTCATTTTAAGTACTTATTGATTGTCTTTTATGTTAGGCACTGATGATACAGCTCTAAACCAGGGATGTGATTTCTGTCCTCAGGGAGCCTGGAGTCTATTTATTAGTCAAATGCAGGCACTGCCACAGTGCATCATTGCATACTGTGATAAATGGGCCAAAGAGGGGAAAAACAGGATGCTATGAAGGGGACAATAGAGAGGAAAGGGCTGGAGGACACCTCTTTAAAAACTGAGAAGGAGCTAGTCAGGGGAAGAGCTGAAAAAGTGCCCTGAGCCAGAGGAATAGTGTATGCGAAAAGGCCATGAAACACCGTTTCACTCTGCATGCATCTCCAAAAAATATAGACTTCACACACACACACACACACACACACACACATCATCATCATCATCACATGTAAAAAATCAAAAGTATTTTTAAATAAGACTTTCTAATAGAATATCAGTGGTGTGAAAAACCCTGCAGTTTAGATAAAGAGTGAACTTAAAACTGAAAAAACAAATAGCTTAAGGACAAAATCAAGAACAGCTGATATTTAACTCCCGTCAACAAAAGGTGTGACTGACCTGGACTGTTAGCAAGTGATTCTTCAGCATCTGTTTGTAGAGAGAATAAGTATATCAGTATTTTTTGGAAATCCTGACTTTAATAACTGAAGATGAAGGTTTTAGTTCCATCGTTATACGCATTTATTAATCTGATGTGGGAAAAATTAGTCCTTTTAAAAAACATAGTACTGGGAGAAGCAGATTCATCTGTAGATAATGAAAGTAAGTTTCTCTCTGGTTGTTGGTTTGTACCAAGTTATGTAAAAATGGCCGGATGCAAAGGTACATTTGGGATGATCTGACTTAAACCATCAATTTTGCAGCAGGTGTTTCACTTTTGGTGTCTCTGGGGGGACCTCAGATTTAGACAATCATCCTCTGGAAGATTGAGACGTGGGAATAACATATACCCAGGAGGCTGTCACTAGGATACATGTCACCCATGATAAGATGTCACAAGGTAAATAGACAAATGAATGCACCAACACATAAGACAATGTCTTTAAGTATGCACTTCAAATTACAGGTCACGGTTAGCAGGTACTGACATGCAATTGAGTTGCTTCTCATGTGGGCAACTCTGTGCAACAAACCCTCCTCCTTTGAGTTATGATTACTGATTTTTTCAAATCACATCAGCTATTACAGCTGTTAGTTTACCAAAAGGCATCTCATTATCAGAAAGGATTATTGATAGACATTCCAGAGGTGGCTAACTTACTCGTAGCTGTTTATACACAAGAAAATTCAGAAAATATTTTAAAAATTGTCACAAGCCAATTGAAATAAGTCAGGTTAGTGCACAGATTTCCTTGGTGTGGTGATTGAGTGAGGACATGGCAATAAGAGTTACCAATATGTTTAAGAGAGAGTTTAAGTGTTGCTCACATACAGTCTGTGTGTCAGCACAGGCTCTGGAAGCCAGATTCAAGTCTTCCTAGCTCTAAAGTCTCCCCTAGCCTGGCTACTGCAGGCTGCCTCTTTCAATGAGCTCCTTATTCCCATCATTAAAAAATTCTCACCATTAAACATGTTATTTGCATATTTCAGTAAAGCACACACACCTTTGGTAATACTTGCTACCAAATTAGAAAACGAGGTTTTATATTGGAGGCTAGCGGATAAAACCTCATCTATTTAACCAAGTTAGAAAAGCTACAGCAAAAATCAAATGCTAAATGTTTGAGGATTCTGTTTTTGTTCCAGGCTGACTCTGAACACTGGCAGGGAGATTTTGAAGCACTCTAGGACTGGCAGTGCCCATATTAGAGGGGAGAAGATACCTGAGCAGATGACACTGGCATCCTCGTGGTGGCCAGTTGTGCTCTGACCAGCCCGAGTGGGTGCACTGGCCCAGGTAGCGCTCCACACCAGCGCACTGGAGGTTGTCCAGGAAGATGTCTCCTGAGCCGGGGCCAAAGTGGGCCTTTCCAAGGGCAGACATGGCTCGACCACACCCAAGCTGCCGGCACACAACCTCAGCTTCGTTCAGGTCCCACAGGTCATCACACACGGTGCCCCAGGCGCCCTGGTGGAGAATCTCCACGCGTCCTGAGCACCGGCCAGAGCCACCCACCAGCTGCAGCTCCGGCCAGTCCCCTGCAGAGAGAGATCTGGTGACTGTTGTCCTCTGGGGGCACTGCACCCTTCCCATGAGTGTTGAGCTCCCCACCCCATACTACTACTAGTGGAGAACCTTGTACTTGGTCAACTATTCAACCTCTTAGTTGGAAGTTGCAAAGCCATTAGGATTGTCTGTAGCACTAAAAGTCCATTAATTGAGTATCTATTTTTCCAGAGGTATGTGCCCATTTGTTTTGGCTAAGTGCAGAAAAACAAATAATTTGCACAGTGATTTGTGATTTTAGAAAGTGTGGTGTGTGTGTGTGTGTGTGTGTTCACCTCCACCTTTATCATAACTCAGGAAGGTAAACAGAAGAGTATTGGTGTACCAATTTTATCTATGAGGAAACTGAAAGTTGGAGAAGCAAAGTGATTCACTCCCAATCCCACAACTGGTAAGCAGCAGATCTAAAGTCCGGTCTCCTGGTTCCAAAGTTCACAATTTTTTCTCTGCTATTCTATCTCACTGCCTCTGAAATGGCTCTGACACTCCACTTACTTTGCTAAAGTCTATTGGTGATGAGGATGGGGAGCTAACCATGATCAGTACTGGTCATAAGGTGGAAAGATAGAACCCCACTAGAAAGTACTTGTAAGCTGCTCAAGCTTTGATGACTCTGAAAGGTACCAAAAAATGAAGTTTACTCATCCTGGGATGCTAGAGCCAAAAGATCCCAAAAGTTTTGAATGTCTCTAAAAGTTTGGGCAGAATCAAATGTCCCATTTGCAAATAGATGCACTATTTGCAGTTGGTCCAGTTTCTGTGCATGAAGCAGATACAGGTGAGGATACAAATGCAGGTGCTGAGAGGAAAGGACACAGTCAGTAAATGAATAAATGCATTTCAGGGCTTACCTGCTCTTGCTGTTACTGTTCTGGGTGTTGCTGTCGGGATGGCTGTGGATACAAGAAGACTCCCATAATTAAGAAGGGACGACTTGGGCAAGTCAAGAGGGCAGCATTCTGGGATCAGTCTTCAGTAAATGCCAAGATTCTGGCTGATTCTTTTTCCCTGTAATCTTTGTAACATGTGATCTCCCAAATCAAACTCTGTTTTCACGTGTGTCTTTATGTTTCTCAGGTATGTGGGGTCAAAAAAAAAATTCTCTTTTTCTGCTCAGTTACCATAAATATAACAATATTTAGATTGTGCTATTCTATGCAAAAATGCAAACATTCACTATCAGTGTCCTGGGGAAAACAGCTGTTTCTTCTGCTTGCTTCTGCTTTGTTAACTTTCCCTAAAAGTGAGTATCTGATTAAGTGAGTCACTGGCTTTGATAAACACAAAAAAGGAGATCAAATAAAAAATTATCAATATGCAAAGACTCAATCGTTGATAGGCATAACTTGGTTCCAGTGTAAATGGGCATCATATTTGTGCAGAAACTGTGCAGACAGAATCTCTCATCTACAGAAGATTTATACAGGGAATTTGGAATCATCTATGAGAGACAGAGCAAATAATGAGAGTAAAAGCACTGGGAGAGGGGACACAAGAAGAAATTAGGGGTGAAATTTGAGTAACAGCATGAACGTGACTCACTGATTAGATGTGGGGTCTGCAACACTGCCTCTGCAAGTACAAGGAAATACATCGTCAATAGCCATTTAACATCAATTACGGTGATTTTTCATGATCTACTTTGGTGCACAGAGCATCTCCTTTGTGTTTTATAGCATGTTTCCAAAGCTTGCTTAGTGAGTCAACCTGGCACTTGGTAAAATACAAGAGACTGTTTTGAACAATGTCTTGGAAAAAGTGGATACTAGTTATTTGCAGTTTCATGAGCTCTGCCCGTTTTCTTTTAGTGGTGAATAATGTAGAACCTTGGATAATTACTGAACCTCATAAGTCTCAGTTTCCTCATCTGTAAAAGGGGAAGAACCATGGGTCTGTGTGAGGATAGCATATGTGAAGTGCTTAAAATGCTGCCTGGCATGTAATAGGGACTCAGTAAATGTTAGCTGATATTTTGAGCATTTTGATCACTGTTGTTGTTATTATTGCCTAACCCTGAGTACCCAGCACTTCAACAGGCACCTTTGGCTTAGTCCATCTGCCTTCTTGCCACACACTTTATATATCCTATCTCTAGGCCATGCTGTTACCTCACCTGATGTGCTATCTCGCTTTCTCTACCTATAGCCTAGCCAGCTTTAGAAGCCGTTTCCCCTCAATGTTTCCTTAATACTTGTAACCTATATAGCACTCTCTCTCTTTCCTAATGTCTTTTGCACAGGTGCATGCATATGTCAATTTAGTATATTCTCGTATATTTATCTGTTCTATTGTTTGCCTTCTTCTAGTGTTTCTATTTGTCCTCTATGCATACCCCTTGTGTTTGCCTTAAACTTCCTCTTGGTTGTACATGAGCCTCTCTCAGGCTGAGACTATGATTTCTTCTGCAGGTCCTAAAACACCTACCTAGTACTAGATTCAGAATAACTTCAGAAATGACTTTCTAATGGGCTGACTGTGATGAGATGTTCATGTAAAAGGAAAAAGCTCATGATAAAGCAGCCCATTATCAAGCATTTATGACGTGCCATCACTTTGCAAAGTGTTTTACTTACCTCATTGCATGTAACCCTTACAATAAACCTAGAAAGTAAGGGTTCCTTGTTGTCCCCATTATGCAGGAAAGGAATTGAGGCTGGGAGAGGTCAAGTTGCTTGCCCAAGGTCACAGAGTAAGTGATAGGACTGTGACTCGCTCCTAGCCAGAGAGTCCAGCTCTGGAACTGTTGCTCTTTACCACTATTCTTACCTTTGGGTGCAGAGTAATAATAAGCAATGAAGTTTTATCCTAGGTTGTTGAAGCTTCGGAAATACACGAGGGTCATTGAGCTGGAGGAGGAGATGTAGGTGTGTTGGAAGCCAGAGCAGGTCCTCCCCAATGACTTTACTGAGGATGGTGGACCGTCCAGGATTTCAAAATATTCATTGGTGCAGTCAAGGCTGGGGAAGCAAACACCATGGATGCCTCTCAGTTTCCTCATTAGAAGACATTTGAGGCATGCTGTGAGACAGATACTTCACTTTGTTACTACAAAGATGTTGGCGATAGAGTAAAAGCGTGGCAGTCATTTAAACATAGCATGGGTTCCTTTGATCCTACTTTTTCTAAGAGACATTGCTTTAAGGGAATGGGATTTTAATTGGAAGAGGAAAGAGGAGGCTGGCACGAAATGTGCTCCTGGAAGCAGCCCAAGATGGCAGAGTACTTCACAGCCTAGGGCCAAGGGAAGGGCCTGGGAAATCAAGGCAGTTTCACCATGTGGTGATTGAGGGGCCCGGGAAAAGGGAGAGGCTGCTTGCTTCTCATGGGCCTGCCAGTAGGATGTGGTTCCAAGTTGTAAATAATGCATTTACAAGTGTTTGGCAGTAGACCCACCCAGAGGAAAGTGGGTACCACTTGCTCTGTGGAAGTTATCTGATTTTGTCAGCTACTGTTTTTTACTCTGATGTTTTGTTCAGATGTTCCCAGTGCTAGAATCCAAAAACCACTTTCATGCTTCAATCTGATGAGCCATCTGTTCCAAGCCATATTTCGATTAAACAAAATTCAAGCATAATAAATAATTTAACTTGTTCGTAGGGGCTGATTTCCACAAAAAATTCACCATGAATTTGTCATCAGTGAATTACCATTTAAAACATTAAAATCTAAAATTTCCTGATTTATTACGTCTGGGGTACCCTAGAATTTATATCTGTAACCAGCAGTCCAGAATACACACACACACACACTCTCTCTCTCTTTCTCTATCTCTCTTTCTCTGCTCTTTTTCTCTCTCATGCACACACACTTATCCGAAGAATAAAAGGTCAATTTCATTTTAATTAAAAATTCATGAAAACTCATAAAAATCATTGTATTTCTCTATACTAGCAACAAACATGTGGACACTAAAATGGAAAACACAGTGTCATTTATAATCACCCCAAAAAATAAAAAATAAAAGAAATACCTAAGTATAAATTCATAAAAGATACATAGGATTTGAATGATGCAAATTACAAATAGCTAAAATATAATACCCCATACTAGCTATCAAAGATGTGGAGAAACTGGATCTCTCATATGTTGTTGGTGAGAATTTGTAATGGTCGTCACTCAGGAAAATAGTTTGGTATGTTCTTAAAAAGCTAAATGTGTACTTACTGTACAACCTAGCAATTGTACTCTTGGGATTTATCCTAGAGAAACAAAAGCTTATATTCACACAAAAAACTGTGTATGAACATTCATAGAAGACTGATTTGTAAAAGTGAAAGACTATAAACAACACAAGTGTCCTTCAGTGGGGAAATGATCAAACTAACCCTGGTACATCCACACAAATGGAATACTTCTCAATAACAAAAAGGAACAAGCTGTTGATACAACAGTTGTTGGAACAACAACAACAACAACAAACCAAATAACTCTATTACAAAATGGGCAAAGGACATGAATGGACATTTCTCAAAAGGAGACATAGAAATGGCTAATGAGTATATGAAAAAAATGCCCAACATTACTAATCATGAGTGAAATGCAAATTAAAACCAAAATGAGATATCACCACAGCTGTCAGAATGGCTATTATAAAAAGAGAAGAAAGATAAATGTTGTCAATGATGTGGAGAAAAGGGAATCTTTACACACTGCTGATGGAAACGTCAATTAGTATAGCCATTATGGAAAACAGCTTGGACGTTCCTCAAAAAACTAAAAATAGACCTACCACATCATTCAGCAATCCCAGTTCTGGGTACAAATCCAAAGGAATTAAAATCGGTATGTCAAAAAGGTATCTGTACTCCCAAGCTTACTGCAGTATTACTCACAATAGCCAAGATATGGGAACAATCTATGTGTTCATCAATGGATGAATGGATAAAGGAAATGTGGTGTATATGCCTGTGGAATACTATTCAGCCTCAAAAAAGAAGGATGTTCTGTCATTTGCAACATGGGTGAATCTAGAGGACATTATGTTAAGTGAAATATGCCAGGCATGGAAAGACAAACACTGCATGATCTCACTTTTAGGCAGAATCTAGAAAGCTAAACTCATAAAAATAGAGGGTAGAATGATGGTTAACAGAGCCTGGGGGTAAGGGTGGAGGTGCATGGAGAGACAGAATTTGGTCAAAGGGTACAAAGTTTCAGTTAGATAGGAGGAATAAGTTTAACAGATACATTGCATGTCATGGTGACTGTAGTTAGCAATGGTAATGTATTGTATGTTCCAAAATTGCTAGAAAAGTAGAATTTAACTGTTCTTTTCACAAAGAAATGGTAAGTATGTGAGGCAATGGGTATGTTAATTAGACTGACTTAATCATTCTGCAATGTATACATGTGTCACAACACACATCCTACCCTATACATATATATAATTATTATCTGTCAAAAACAAAATAAGAAAGTTAAAAAGCTACACAAAGTACATTAGTAACAGCTTATGACTTACTCAAGATGTGGAAATGCCAGCAGTATATGATCAGATGCATTTGCCTTGATTTCCCACACACAAGTGATGTTGTCATGCATTTCATTCTGTGGGGGATTCCTAATCGCTCCAGATGAGTTGGTAATAATGCCACCACACCGAGATTTTTCTAAATGCAGAAATATATTTTAGAATTTCGATTGTTTGATTGTTCAGTTTACTAATTTTGTAATTCACATCTTTTTTTAAAAAAACTCTTTTTCCAAAAAGGATTTTACTGGTCATTACTTTGTGATTATGTCTTAGGACATATCAGAAGTTATCAACTAGTCTAAAAAGCCTTGCAAACTTAGAAATTAAGGGATAAATGCATCTGAATTTTGAAACATTTCTCATCTCTTTTGAGAATTCTGCCATCTACATGGGCTTGCTGGAAAGAGCTCTTTTTTTTCCTTTTTTTTTTTAGACACAGTCTCACTCTGTCACCAGGCTAAAGTGCAATCACATGATCTTGGCTCCGCCTCCTGGGTTCAAGTTATTCTCCTGCCTCAGCCTTCTGAGTAGCTGGAACTACAGGCACGCGCCACCATGCCCAGCCAATTTTTGTATTTTGAGTAGAGACGGGGTTTCACCATGTTGGCCATGATGGTCTTGCTCTCTTGACCTCATGATCCACCCACCGCGGCCTCCCAAGTGCTGGGATTACAGGCGTGAGCCACCGCGCCTGGCCTGGAAAGAGCTCTTACGCGATATCAGCCAGAACGTTTTTCTCTGGCTAGTTGTGGGCTCTGTAGCTTTGACTTTTGCCCAGTCACTAGTAGTAATGAGTAAAGTACTGCTTCAGTTTTCCCAATTAATCTGAGCCAACGTGGAGCTTCTGTGTATATGAAGATGACAGAGTCCATCCACTATCAGTTGTAATTTATTCAAATTGCATTCTTAAAAACTCACTGTTAAGTACAAAGAAGTTGCCATTAGTCATCCACTCCTGGAATACCCCTAATACTGATAAGATTTTGTATCTACCTGTCTGCCTACCTGTCCGTTTGTTTCTCAACCCGCTTGTCTGTCTGTTCTGCCTCTCTGTCTATCCATCATTGTCAAATGAATGAAGTTTTTCAGAAGGCATAATACAAAAAGACACAGCTCTACCTGGTGGTGCAGAAGACGGTGGGTGTTGAGCCACTGATATCACCAATGATGTGGGGAGCAGGTTCTCATGGGCTAGTGGTGGGCAAAAAGGAAGGACTGTCATCAGGGAACATCACAACATGGGGAGAGGATACAGTTGCTTCAAGGGGATGCCCATCCCCTCCCAGGATTCAGCAGGAATAATGGTGAGGGGGCATTCTGAGGCCCATGAGCTCAGATCCCTGAGGTCTCCTTTTAGGGCAGAACATGACATTGCTACTGTGGATGAACTAATGTGCACCCTGTGGCAATCAGCAAAAGCGAAGCTCATAGGCCGTTGGCCCCAGGGGGCTGGCTGTCTAGAGGCCATCCATTGGCCAGCACCTCTCTCTCTGTTGCCTCCTCCCTACATATGCCACTGTCATGACTTGGAATCTGCTCTGAATTGGCATGAGGAAGCCTTGCACGGCATGGGAACTGTTTTTGACTGTGGTAGTAGTTACACAACTGGATACAATTACCACAATTCACCAAACTGGACCTTAAAATGGGCACATTTTATGGTATATAATCAAACTTTAATAAAAAATGAGATGGATCGATGTATGAATGCAGAAATGAAAGATGAATTTATAGACTCATCATGGAATCTAGGTAGGAGTTCCTTGTTAAATTCTTCAAACTTTGTTGTATATTTAAAAATTTCCATAATAAAATGTTGTAGGGGAGGAAGTCTCCCTTAATTCCTATTACAAATCCTATGTCTCTGGTTTTTGGCAACAATTTCTTGCTTTCCACAGTGGCACAGGCATTATGTAGCTAGACCATGTAGCTGCTTACTCTCTCCTTATTAGTCACAGAAAGCCAAAGGATTAGAATTTTAGGGAACATAGAATCCAACAAGCCTGTTCTAATGATGAGGAGACTGAAGGCTAAGGTCATTCATCCAGTGAGAGGCCAGCCTGGATCAAATTCCTGCAGGCCAGACCCTTACCATCCCTCACACCTACTTCCTTAGGTCCACATGTGCCCAAAACAAGCAGCCATTGCTGCATAAGTGCTGCTGGGTAACAGGTACCCTTAGGCATTGCCCTATTCATGCCCTTATTCAAAGCTCTTTACTGTCCCTACTTCCATGAAGAGGAAAATAGGATGAGAGATAACATAACTTGGCTGAGGTTATGTAACTGAGGGTGATTATATATCACATGTATCTCTCCTGTTGGAGTATAAACCCCATTAAAAAAATAAACAGGGGGCCAGGCGTGGTGGCTCATGCCTATAATCCCAGCATTTTGGGAGGCCAAGGTGGGCAGATCAGGAGGCCCGACGTCAGGAGTTTGAAAGCAGCCTGGCCAACGCTGAAACTCCATCTCTACTAAAAACACGAAAATTTGCCAGGCGTGGTCGTGGGCACCTGTAATCCCAGCTACTTGGGAGGCTGAGGCAGGGAGAATTGCTTGAACCCGGGAGAGAAAGGTTGCAGTAAGCTGAGATAGTACTGCTGTACTCCAGCCTGGGCAACAGAGCAAGACTCTATCTCAAAATAAAAAAAAAAAAAAAGAAGAGAAGAAGAAGAAACAGGGCAGTTTTGACCACCGCTGTATCCCCATCCCCAGTGCTTGGCACAGAAGTTGGCACAGGGTAGACACCCAGCCAATATCTGTTGCATGAATAAATGATGCTGGGAATCAAATAAAGATCTGATTCTAAACCTCACAGTCTTTTTTACATCAGGGTAAGTCTAGTATTTGACACTGAATGTGACATGCAGTCCTACCTGTAGGCAGAGCAGCTGTGGAATCAGCACCTGTCAACATAAAGAAGAATTGTGCATGTTATCTTGTCTTCATTGGCAAAGGTTTATTGGGAACTTCCTACATTTAGGGAGCTTAGGGCAATGGAAAGGAGAAAGAGGCAGAGGCTTTGCTCTTGAGGATTTTGGCATTTCCTGAGGATTTGAGACAGGACATTGGGCAGCAAATGTTGACTGTCCCAGGATAGCCAGTACTTCCCCAGGGGCCTCAGGTGCTGAGGAAGGCCCCATACTCCACAGAGGGGATGTGGCTCAGGATGAGCCAGATTCAACCTGCAGAGCTTGTCATTCATAGAGACATTATTCCAGCTGCAAGCAGGAGAGGACCAGAAAAGACTAGGGAGGACCAGGGGGACAGATTGGTGTGGGAACCTTGGTAGGCTAGGAACATGGAGGTCCTGAACACCAGCTGATTGTTTTGGCTTGTTACCTGGATGCCACAAGCTCAAAAGTTTCTGAGGATCATGCAGGTAAGCTAAATAGAGTGGCGGGGAGGTGTGTGCTGTGAAAACTGCAAAGATATTCCATGTCCAAAGGAACAGCTCTTTCTCAGATCCAGCCAGTTAATGTAGTGAAAGGATGCATTGTTCTGTGCCTGAAATTCTGCTTTCACTTATTTATTGTTACAACATGTAAGAATTTGAATTTTTACGTCAAATGTTTTGATTTTTAAATTCATGTTCATCCTGATTTTCAAACTGAAGAGGTTTACCTCTGAGCCTGGGTGCAGCCTGTGAGTCATACTTACAGATCATTGCAGTCAAGGAGATGGTCAGGCTTATGTAGAACTTTGAAAGGCTGTAGGCAGTACCAGTTACCTGCCTGGCTCCACTATGTTCCTGGACTAAGCTGTGGGGTGTGGTTTGTGTGTGTAGAGGAGAGAGGAGTGAAGGAACTAGAAGCAGCCCTCCAAATGAAGATTGACAACCAGACCCTCACCTGCACAGATGACACTGGCATCCTCCAGGTGCCCACAGTTGTGCCTGGCCCAGCCCCTGTGCACGCACCGCCCCAGGTGGCTCTTGCTGCCCACACACTGCATGTCATCCAGCAGGACTTTCCCAGAGCTTGCCCCGAAGTGGGCTGCCATGGCCTGGCCACATTGCAGCTGGCGGCACACAACGGCGGCCTCGGCCAGGTTCCAGAAGTGGTCACACACCGTCCCCCACGTGCCCTGGATGAGAACCTCCACGCGGCCTAAGCACCTCCCTGTGCCATTCAGCAGCCTCACCTCCATGCAGGCTCCTGCAGCTGGTAACTGATGGTGGAATTTTAGAAGATGTTGGTGCCTTTGATATAAAAACGCTTTCTCCCTGAGGTTATCCAAGTTGCTGGGCTGCCTGTTTCCCTGAAATGGCAGCAGCTGCCCACCAGAGTGAAATGCTGGTGGGCAGAAATTCTCCTCTTTTCTCCTCCCATAGGGAATCAGTTCAGCTTAGACATGACTCCCTGGACTCTGGAGTCAGACTGCCTGCATTTGCATTCCACACCCATTGCTTTCTAACTGTGTGGTGTGGTCCTGGGCAAGTTCCTCTTCCTGCCTGATTTCTCCTCTGCAAACATGGTGATAGCAATAATGCTCATTTAGTAGAGTTGCTCTGAGGACTAAATGGGGTAATGCATATAAAATGCTAACATAGCATAGCATGTGCATAATCAGTGTTTAATGAATATTACCACTCTTGTTCTCTGGGACAAGTGAGAAAACATGGTAGGAATTGAGTTATAGTCAGACCAATGATACCTGTGGAACGAACTCAAGACTTAAGGCTCAGGGGCCCTCCCTGTGCTCATATGTCCTTTAAGATCTGAGGAATATGGGTAAAATGAGAGTGTCCAACAGATAATCAACGCAGCAAAGTCAAATCCTAGATTACCTCTTTCCTGCCTATTCAGAGGAAGACACGGAATAACCAATGAGCTGTGGGGTCTCCTGTGAGTGTGATGGGATGCATGCACCTCAAGCACCCTCACAAGGTACTTACAGGACCCCTGGCTGTAAATCGTTCCTTCAAGCATTGTCCTTCTCTTTGCTCCTAGAAGCTGTTGCTATCCCCAGGACCACAGGCTAAAATTCTATCCATCCTACAGCTCTCCTCCCCTTGCCACCTCCATCGACCCTTCCTGGAATCCCCCAGTTGTAATCCTCTCCCTTCTATGTTCTGTATACCTTTCATGGCACTTCCCATCATCTACATTGATGGTGGTGGCCTAGTGTGTGTCTGACATCCTTACTGGATAATAGACACATTTGGGGCAGGGACCAACAGATGGAGTGGGTAAGAGCATCAGTTTTAGAGTTAGAACAGGACAAGTTATGCAAGCTCCCTAAGCCTCAGGTGCCTAGCTTGTAAAACAGGAATAATAACCAAGAGGAACAAATAAGATAATGCATGATATAAGCTTGACATAGGGCCTGGTGCATAGTAAGTACTCAGTTAATGTTAGGTGCCATTGCTGCTGCTGCTGTCCCTGTGTCTGACTTCTTTCTGTGCTCTCTCACCACGCCTGGCACATGTGTAAGTGCTCACTAAATGGCCATGGTAAAAATCTGACTACCTCAGTGAATGGAATAATTAAGTTTGTCTCTGTGCGCACGTGTGTGTGTGTATGTGTGTGTGAATATGCACACACGCGCCAGGATAGTCAGGGGACTGGTTGCTAAGAACTTTACATATAGTAACCTATGTAATCCCTAACTACTCTTTTAGGTATTTCACTTAGCTAAGTGATAACATTCAAGTGCAATATACAGATGTCTCACAGTCTATGACTTGGGCAGATATTGCAGAGAGGACTCAGACACTCAATGGGTTCAGGCTGATGTTGGGGACATGGGGGTAGGGTGAGGTCAGAAGAGGTAGACCAGATGTTCATGAAAGTCCTCTCCAGCCCAATGCTCTAGCACTTTAAGTCCAGGTGTTTGTGTGCCTTGTGGTAGGGGCTTACCATAAATTGTGGGTTTTGTTGCCCCAGGAGCAGCAAATGACTCAGGAGCTGTAACGGAGACAAAACAAGACGGTAGCTAGGATCGCATTTATCATATGCTATCTCTTTGCCAGACACTAGGTCAAATGCTCTGCCTGGGTGACCTTGTTTTAACTTCTTGACCACCAAGTAAGGGATGGACTATTTCCTCCTATTTTACAAATGCAGAAACCAAGACTCAGGGAGAGTGAGTTGCTTGCCCAGAAGCTCAGTGCTTGGAAGTGTCTGAACTGGGATATGAAGCCAGGTCTACTTGTTTTCAAAGATCCTAACCCTAACCAGCTCATTTCTTACTGAAACAAGATTCAGGTAAAATAAGGTAACTGTATGAAGTCTACATTTTTATTGCTCATTTTGTCTTCTTTTCTGATGTAAAAATATGGGAATAAGGAGGAAATTAAACTCAGAATTTTTGCTGTACGTTCTTAAGTATCCATCCAAATTTAAACTTTATATGTCTTTGATTCTGTACAAAGACACACATCAGGGACCACCATGATTGGTGTTTATTAGCCAAATTATCTCAGGAGTGAAGTACTATGGACAGAAAGTGTCCCCAGGTGAAAAATATGAAAGTACTGACTTTATTATCTGTGTGACATTTCTCAGAAGACTGATATCACACTTATTTGAACATGTGGTTTAGAATCTGGCAGCAATCAGCCTGATGATTTATTACCAAGCATAAATGTTGCATGGCTTGTATCGACTTCCCATTTTTCAATTCCATGTCAGGTAGTTGGATGTTTGAAATACCGGGATAAACATTGGCACCATTTACTGAACAACTACTATGTGTCAATATGTTTTCTAAAGGAGTACAGCAGATAAGATGTAAGAAAAACAAATAAAGCTCTTTTGCTTCTTTGAGCCTTAGTTTTATCATCTGAGAAATGGAGATAGTCTCTGTGTTGGCAACTTCACTGGATATTGTGAGGATCAAATTAAATCACGTGTATGGTGGCAGTTTGTAAATATCAAGTGTCCTGAATCACAGAGTATTATTTTCTTAAATTGACTAACTAGGTTCAATCACGTGTTAATGATGTGGTTTCATTGCCTGGAAGCTAGCAATTCAGGTGTTACAGATGCCAAAGAAAGGTGATGTTGATCATTCTTCTATACCTTTCAACTCACATATGCAGTAAAGGGCAAGAAAATGGAACTAGTCCTAACACAGACGAGGACTAATATATTCAAGGTGACTTTTATTTTCTTTCCTGATGTACAGAGGTTCCTGCAGGCTTGTACCACTTAGGGAGCTTGGATGCTGCTCTTTGTTCGTAAGAAGCTGTGCATGCCAGTCCCTGCAGTTTGAGCCTGCAGGTTAAGAAGGCTCTGTGGAGGCAATCGCAGAGTACATTGCTTTCCTCAGGGAGGTCAGCTGGATATCTTGCAAGATGAACTAGAAAGAAGACTTGTAAGATGAGGTAGGAGGTGATCTTTGGCTCTTGGTTAAGATCAGTAGAAAATATCCACAAGTGTTTCATCTAGTTAACAAAGGGAAGTTGGTCCTACCTGTTGGAGAAGTGATTGAAGACTTGGCACCTACCAGTAAAGAGAGAACATCTATCATCTATATACTCTCATGTGTGAGCTATCTGCAGCACTGCCAATTCTGTAGAAAGATCCTGGGGAATAATATTTTACATCTAAGTGAGGACTGAGAGCCATTCCTTCACTTGTGCAGATGATGCTGGCATTCTCCAGGTGCCCACAATTGTGCCTGGTCCAGCTCCTGTTCACACACTGCCCCAGGTGGCTCTCACTGCCCACATGCTGAAAGTCATCTAGCAGGATCTTCCTGGAGCCTGACCAAAAGTGGGCCCTTATGCGGGCTGCCATAGCCTGGCCATATTGCAGCTGGTGGCACACAATGGTGGCCTCAGCCAGATCTCAGAGATCACCACATGCGGTCCCCTGTGTGCCCTAAATGAGAGCCTCCACAAGGCTTGAGCATCTCCTCATGCCATTCAGCAGCCTCACCTCCCTCCAGGTTCTTTGTGGGGGCACAAGGGGAAGGGGACTGGGGACTGGGCTCCTTGTGTCAGGATATTGCCTTGATCCTGTTATATTGAGCTCTTATACTACTAGTTATATATATATTAATATCTTTCATATACCACAAAATAGTCATGATAATGATAATAACAATACTAATATTTCATAGGGTTTACCACCTTATAGACACCATAAGAGTGCTTTACAAGTTTAATCTTACTTGACCCTCACAATGAGTCTTTGATATTGCTTTAATTATTTTTTCCTTTTTGCTAATAAAGAAACTGCAACTCAGGGAGTTCAAGTAATCTGCTCAAGGTCATACATTTCTATGTGGCCTTCTCAAATTTGAACACAAGCATTCCAATATGGAACTTTAAATTTTAAATTAAGAAAATGAGACTTTACTTGCTACTGAGGAATGAAACATGTTGGTAGAAGAGCTGAGGCAGGACTGGCTTGTCTGTCATAATATAAGAGTCTTAGAAGATGTCCAGGGTCCAGGGTCTAAAACTCCTTGTGGCCTTTGGAACACCAAGCTCTGTGCCAAAGGGTGGAAGGCTGCCCTGCCACACCACAAATCTAAGCCCAGGGCATAAAACCCCTCGTGGCTTGGATGGAATCCAGGGCTCAGGGCATAAAACCCCTCATGGCCTCTGGAATGTGCACAGACTTATTGGTTGCTCTCCCAGGCTCGTAAACATGTTCTCCATCATCTCAAGCAGCTATATGCATCAAAGAAAATGCGAAACCGACACAGCTACACTTGATGCACCACTACCTTTCTACCCCCACATCCGCACGTCCTCACCATCTGTTTCTTTGTTGATCACCAGTAAATAGTGTAGGCTCCCAGAGCTTGGGGGCCTTTGCAGCCTCCATACCAGCACTGGCCCCCTGGACCCACCTTATGTACTCTTAACCTGTCTTTTCTCATTCCTTTGACTCTGCTGGACTCTGTAGCCCCCACGGCCTGGTGTCAGGTCTGATCACCCCAACAGAAACAGGCACCATAATTTGCAGAATGAAGTAAACTAATTTGTAAAACAGATAAGTTGTATTATACAAAACTACAACATGCAAGACAAATGATCTAAACAGCTTTATAGTCCCATCTATTCCATGATAAAACTATAAACAAGCTGCTTTTAAATAGTATCTTTGCATGGATTTGTGTTTTAAGGACACGACCACTGACTCTTCTAATAACTCACCTGGTTTCCAATACTGGTCAATCACTACCATGCTAAAAAGGGTTGTTGGTTGAAAATCTGTAGAAGGGTTTTTTATTTTTTTCCCCGCTCACAGCCAGGGAATTTATTCTCTGGAGAAATTAAATCCCGAAGGTCCATTCTTGCAGACATCAGGTGAACTGAGGGTAGAGCTGAGATCTGGACGTGTTAGCTGTCTTTCCCCATTCTGCTGCTGGAAAACCAGCAGAGAGACATCACCTAACTTGCATCAGCTCCTTAGTGCCTCATTCTTAAATGCAAACAGATAGCCAGGAATGCCTGGATCTTTAAGAAAAGTATCCAGCCTAAGAGGCATAAATTAGAACAACTAGAAAAACAGAGAAAAGAAACAGGGACAACAAAAGGAGAAAAAAGTTTTGAGTAGAGTTATAATACGTATACTGAGACAGTTAGAAAAGGTACTGCATCTGTGAAACAAGAACAGAAAGTTATGAAAAAGGAAAAGCCAGGCAATAAGAAAATGCACTTGGAAATTAAAAAATACAATGGCTGAATTTTCTTTAAAAACCAAACACTTAAAGGATAATGTTGAATAAAACTTTAATACACAGCAAAAGATCTTAAAATGCAAAATTAAAAACAAATAAATTACAAAATTTAGCTGATCAATATAGGAAATCCAACATCTGTCTAAGGGATTTCAAGGCGGAAAACAGACAAGAGGAAATTATCAAACAAATAATTCAAGAAAATTTGCGAGAACTGAGGAATATGCATCTCTAGACTAAAAGCTTAAATGGAGTATGTAGAATAATGTGTGAAAAAAGACTCAGACCAAGGTAAAACATCATGGAAGCTCAAGACACAAGAACAGAGAAAGGTCCTAAAAGGTTTCAGAGAAAACAAAAGACAACACACAGACGATCTGAAAGACATCAGACTTTACAATTTCTGAATTAAGGTCTTGATGTATCTGGGTCTTAGCAATTAGGTCTGCCGGAAGTTTCTGTCCCTCTAGCATTGTCTCCCTCAGAAGCTTTGGCCAAGTAGAGGTATATGGGATTGGGACCTGAGAGTATGTGCTCAAATCCTTACTCTACCATTTTCTAGTCAATTAATCCTAGGTAAATTAATTTTCCTCTGTCTTTCTATGTAAAAAAATGAGGGTGGGTCAGGAGTAACTTTACTTGTAGGTTTGTGTGAGCATAAAATGAGATGTTAGTTAAGTGAAAGCATCTACTTCTCTGCTTATCACATCATGGTTGTTTCATAAATGTTAGCTACTTCACCCATTTTCCAAAAGACTTACCTGCTGGGGGCATGGGTGTGGATGGCAGGGTCATGGCTGTCGTGGCTATGGTTGCAGATAATCCATCACCTGTCATAAGGACAAACAGAAGCATCCCTAATAGTTAGAACATCCTCTAAACCCAACTTTAGAAAGATGAAGATTTGAAAATAGACACAGCCTGAAGGTCACCGTCAAATAGGCAGCATCAGCTCCTGAGTTAGCTTCTCAGAGGCAAGGAGAATTTGCAGGAGTATGATCACACCCAGTGTGGCTTTAGATCTGGGAAGGGACAAGCCTAGGGCTTGGAACACGGTTCCCTTTCCCCATTCCCCACAGAACAAATGCCAACTGACCTGTTGGAAAGGGGGTTGAGGGAAGCACAGCAGGCTTTGTGGTGGGCACAGCTAATAACAGTGCTTGACCTGTGAGTATAAAACAAAGAGAGGCCTTGTTCACTGCTAGATACCTCCTAGCTACACACAGAAGGGAAAACTTCTGACAACAAGCCCAAAGAGAATGACTGGGCTCAAATGTGTCCAGTCAGTGTTTTGGTTGGCTCCCCAAGAGGCAGATTCAGGTAGGGAGGATCATCCACTCTCCCTTCTCTACCACATTCATCTATCGCTAGTTAGAGCATAATGGGATGGAAAATCCAGTACGTTTAGAACTCTCACCTAGTTAGCACATTCTAACCCTTTAAACACCCATAAAATAAATTCTGAAAGGAAAAATTCCTTTTAGGAACAAACCAGATATATTTAGTTAAATGGCTAAAGCTTTTGGTTTATTTCTAGATGTTTGCTGAATTTATTTGAACTCTTAGTAGCTTAAACCATGGGAGGCTCACATAACAAAATAAGCCTCCATTTGTATCCTATTAACTCATAAAATATCATTTAATTACTGTATTGTTTTATTAAAAATCTAAAATAATTATAATAAATATTAATATTTGATAGAATCTACTAGTGAGTATTCAATTGTTCATTACACTATTCTTGACGTATTCATTGGTTTTAATACATTTTATAATAAAATAAACTGACTTCGATTTCCATCTCAGATGTAGTAACTGGTGTGGGAGGTTAAATATTGACTTCCTTAAGCTGTCTATGTTTTACTCCCTGGAATCTGCAAATAGGTTACATGATATGGCAGAAGAGACTTTGCAGATGTGATTAAGGTGACAGGTCACAAAATGGGAGATTATCTTGGATTTTCTGGGTGCATCCAATCTAATTCTCTCTTACAAGCAGAGAATCTTTTCTGGCTGAAATAGAGAGGTATGGCAGAAGAAGAGGCAGGAGATATTTAAAAAGCATGAAAATGACTTGACTCACTGATGCAAGCTTTAAGATGAAGGGGTCATGAGCTAGGGAATGTGAGTGGTTTCTAAAATCTGAGAACAACCCCCACCCAGCAGTCAGCAGGGAAACAGGGACCTCAGTTGTACAACTGCATGTAACTGAATTCTGCCAACAACCCCAATAAGCCTGGAAATAGATTCTCCTTCAGATTTCTACTGGCATCTTAATTTTTCCTTTCAAGACTTGAAACAGAACAGCTAAGCCCGCTGGACTTATGACTTACAGAATTATAAAAATGACGCATTGATAATGTTTAGAGCTGCTAAGTTTGTAGCAGTTTGTTATGGCAGCAACAGAAAACTACCATAATTGGGTACAGATTTACCATTCTACAACTAAGAAATCAGAAAAAATACATTAAATTATGGCTTTCTGATCTTGGACAACAGGCAGCACAGGAGAGCAATCACTAAGAGAGAGTGAATGAGCATGGGGAGTCCTATAATTACCCTAGGTTATTAATTAGAGTTCCAGAGCACAACAGAGTGAAGAGGAACCCAGGTGGATCCTGGCAGACTCCTTCAAAAGATAGATCTGAAAATTCAGGGAAAACAAAGTGGCTAGAGTTCACTGGGAAGTACTGGAGGTTGCTCACCTCTCTGCCTACAGAGAGAGCTCCAGAGATTTTCAGAGAGTCTCTCTCAAGTTTTTATCTAAGTACTAATCAGCAGACGTGTGTGGAGCAAATATCTAAGACCAAGGTAAGAACTGCCTAAAAGGAGTAGAGGGAACAATCTTTGGTGATTGCACAGGGATGGGAATAGTTCCTTTTCCTACCAGCCAGAGTGAAACCAGGCAATACATGAGGCATTCGGTATGGTAATCAGAAGGGTATTTCCCAGTAGTGGGGAAAATTAGCTCCATACTAAAGTTCTCTCTACTCTTGCCTGACAAAACTTAATCACAAGGCTTAAATGGACCAAACTGTTTCCAAGTAACTTGAGTGATTTAAAGTAAGATTGAAAATAAACAATAACTCATACTCAAAATGGTAAATGGCAACATCTGGCATCCAATAGAAAATTGCCAAGGCTGTAAAGAAACAGAAAACTATGACCCATGATGGGAAGAATAAATCAGTGGAAACAGACCAATAAATGGTAAAAATAATATAATTTTTACACTAGAGAATGAAAACAATAATTATATCATACAATCAAGAAGGTAGAGGAAAGATGGAACATGAAAAGTATAGATATGGAAGATATAAAAAAGACCCAAATTAAACTTCTCAAGAAGAAAACAATAATGCCTGAGATGAAAAATACACTGGATATGATTAACAGCAGATTAGATACTGCAGAGAAAAAAGTAAGTGAACTTGAAGACATATCCAAAGCTAAATGCCATGGGGAAAAAAAAAAACTAAAAAAAAAATGAGCAGAGCACCAGGGAATTGTGAGACAACTTCAAGTAACCTAATGTATGTTTAATTGGAGTTCATAAAGGAGAGAAGAAAAGATGGGAACAAAATATTTGAAGAGATAAACTTCTAAATTTGATTCAAAAAAACCCTGTGAACCACAGATTCATGAACGTCAATGACCTCTAACCAGAAGAAACATGAAGAAAACTATCCCAAGGTACGTTATAACCAAATAGATTAGAATTCATATAAATAGAATATCTTAAAAGCAGCCAGAAATGAAACATTGTATACAGAGAAAAAAGGTGATAATGACAATAGACTTCTTGACAGAAAGAATGAAATTCTGACAACAGTGAAATAACATATTTAAAGCATTGAAACAAAAAGGTCAACCTAGATTTCTATACCCAGGAAAATTATCTTTAAAAAAATGAAGATGACATAAAGATGCTTTCAGGCACAGAAAAGGTGAAATAATTTGTCACCAGTAGACCCTCACTACAGGATGTATTAAAGGTAGTCTTTCAGGCAGAAGAAACAGGATGCCACATAGAAAAGATGTTTATTATAAATCCTAAAGTAACCACTTAAAATGCAATTATACCTAGCAGACAAAAAAGTAGACAAAATGGAACAATAAATTCCAAAAAAAGAAGACAAAAACGTGGTAAAAAAGAACAGGTAGAATGAATAGAAAACAACTGGCAAAATGGTAAATTTAAACAAATATCACAATGGTAGATTTAAACTTAACAGTGGTGATTTTTAAAATATACTCATAAATTATTTGATATTCCTTCCTTCAAGAGCTAGGGTTTGATTTCCCTCCCTGTGTTTTGGATTGGACTTAATAACTTACTTTTGATCAATAGTATAGAGCAAAAATTATGACTTGTCACTTCTGAGATTGAATTATAAGACTGTGGGTCCTGTCTTGAGCTCTCTCTCTGTCTCTCTCTCATCACTTGCTATGGTGGAAGTCAGCCTCTATTTTGTTCATGGCCCTATGGACAGGCCCATGGGGCAAGGAATTCAGAGAAGCCTACAGTTAGAAGCCATCAAGAAACTCAAGTCCTAAGTAAAAGAGCACATGAGGAATAGAAGACACCAATAAACCATGTGAGTGAGCTCAGAAAAAAGCCTATTCTTAACTGTACCGCTGGCCGACTGCTTGACTATAACCTCATGAAAGACCCTGAGCCAGGACCACCCAGCTAAGCTAATAAGATATGTGACCCACAGGAACTGAGCTAATAAATATCTGTCATTCTAAAATAAAAATTTTGTGTAATTTGTTATACAACAATGGATAATTAGTAAGCTGTATCTGCCAGTCATCATATTAAATATAAATGGT
Organism: Homo sapiens; assembly: GCF_000001405.40. Classification (NCBI taxonomy): domain Eukaryota; kingdom Metazoa; phylum Chordata; class Mammalia; order Primates; family Hominidae; genus Homo; species Homo sapiens. Next base: position 122,757,753 of record NC_000010.11, on the reverse strand, counting down.
CTAAACACCACAAATAAAAGGCAGAGATTTCAAATAGGGTTTTTAATAAGCAAAACCCAAGTATATCCTACCTAAAAGAACTCTACTTTAAATTTAAAGATATGGCTGGGTGCAGTGGCTCATGCCTGTAATCCCAGCAATTTGGGAGGCTGAAATGAGTGGATCACTTGAGGCCAGGACTTCGAGACCAGCTAGCTAAATGGCAAAACCCCATCTCTACTAACAATACAAAAAATTAGCCAGGCGTTGTGGTGTGCACCTGTAGTCCCAGCTGCTCGGGAGGCTGAAGCAAGAGAACTGCTTGAACCCGGGAGGCAGAGGTTGCAGTGAGCTGAGTTCACGCTGCTGCACTCCAGTCTGGACAACAGAGCAAGACTCCATCTCAATAAATAAATAAATAAATTTAAAGACACAGATAGGTTAAAAGTAACACCATGCTCTATCAGGCCGTGCTATCCTGGCTTATGCAAGAGACAGAAATCTTTGCTTGGTTCTTTTGCTTTGGCAAAGATTGAACCAACCTGATGGTGTGTATGATGAAGTGACAGCTTCAGGCTCTGTGGTTGGAGCGAGACCTGGTGAATTGCCAGCACCTGATGATCAAAAGAAAAATCAACATGCTAACATTTACAGTGCCATTTATAATATAATGCTTAGTAAAATCAATCATTAAGTATTATTCGAAGGGAAAACAAAGAAGTGACTTCTTGTTAAGAAAACAGCCCCTTACCTGTGCAGATGACACTGGCATCCTCCAGGTGCCCACAGTTGTGCCTGGCCTGGTCCCCACGCATGCATTGACCCAGATGGCTCTCACTGCCCACACACTGCATGTCATCCAGTAAGATCTTCCCAGAGCCTGCCCGAAAGTGGGCCCCTGTGGGGGCTGCCACAGCCTGGCCACACTGCAGCTGGCGGCACACGACAGTGGCCTCAGCCAGGTCCCAGAGATCATCACACACGGTCCCCCACGTGCCCTGGACGAGAACTTCCACACGGCCTGAGCACCTTCCTGTGCCGTTCAGCAGCCTCACCTCCATCCAGGCTCCTGGGGAGGCACAAGAAGTAGGGACACTGGGGAGTGGCCTTTGGTGTCAGGACATTGCCTTAGTCTTATTATGTTGTGCTGATATATTGCTGATGTCATAATACTTATATCTTCCATATGATATTATTTCATAGGAAGAATAATAGTAAGAATAATAATCATAAATTCTACCACTCACATTTCATGGGTGATTACCAATAGCAGGTGCCATCCTAGGTTCTTTATAAGCTTGATCTTATTTGACCATTACATCTCTCTTTTGGGTCTATTATTACCTCTGTTTTTCACATGAAGAAAGTGAGACTCAGAAAGTCCAAGTTAGCTTTCTCAGGGCCAAAGTGGCAATGTGAATTGGAACTGGGTAGTTTGATTAGTATTTTGTACAGCTTTCTAAGGCCAGTGAACTTTTTTATATGTATTTCCCTCCCTGAAGTTACCCTTCTCCTTCCTTCTCTCAAGCTGAGCCCTGTGCCTCAGGTTACATACAGAGTAGAGAGCTGATATAGCCTGTAGGATGTTCTGGCTTTGGTTTCAAAGACCTGAGATCAAGGAAGAGAATAAGGTTTGAGGGAGAGAAGTGCTTATTCTACCTTTATGTGTAACTAAAAGGGTATTTCCTCTGGGTTAGGCAGACAGAAATTTCTATGGGTCTTGGAAAATCTGGGCTGGAACTCCTACTCCCTGGAAGTGCCTCAAGGAGGCCAGAAGACCCTGGTGAGCAGTTGCATTAGACATCTAGAGAGGTAATGCTAGATCCCTGGGCTCCCAACTTACACATGTCGCCTAAGCCTACACATGGCACAAGAACTCCAGAGGACCCCTGACCTGGGGGGGGAGTCCTCTCAGCCATGCCCCAGTGGACGCTTGCTAGTCTTTCTGTGGAAGTCGCCTTGCTATGGGGGAATGTCCCAGACTGGAGATTACAGCGCATTCTTTCTAGCACTAAAGACATTTCTTTTCTTTGCTGCCAACACAGTTATACTTTAAACCACAGAATATTCACTTAATGCCTATTATGTGCAAGGCTCTATAAGGAAGAGTTTACACCTTAAGGGCTTTAATCAGTGATAGGATGGAGAAAACAAAGGAGAAATCATCTCAGATTATTTCTATGTCTAGTGAAAGTAATTGTTAAACCTCTCAAAAATCTGGAATTCTGATGGTTGTTTTATTTAGTAATTCAGTGCCCTGATCATGATATTTATATTGACATTCTGTGTTCTAGAATTTTCTAGAAACACTGGTGAGGCTTTTTTCTTAAGCCAACAGGAGAAGTAAAAAATAGAACCTACTACTCCATTAGATTTCTTAAACAAAAAGTTTGAGAGTCTGTGTCTCATTATATTAACAGTGCTCTAGCTTACAAAATAGGAGTGGTAGTACAATACAATACAATATTACATAACGTCAATAATCCAATGCAGAAATATTTTTCATATCTAACATATGGGTTGTTTTGAGACCAAGTTAGAAAATATATGTGAGGAAAAATGTAGTGGAAATGTGAGTCGTTATGATAATCATAAGTAGATTATGCTCAGAAGGGAAGGGAAGGTTTTCCGAGAGATTCTAGGTCAATCCCCCCTTTACAGGCTCCAGTTCTTCTGAGCCAGCAGCCTCCATTTCATAAACAACCCACTCCTACTTGCATTATTCAGTGTGACCATTAACTACTGTTCTCAACTCAACCCTGCCAGGAACTATGCATAAAAAATGAACCTCTTTTCTCAACAAAGCTCCTGCGAGCAACCTGTGTCTGAAAATGGGGCCAGCTCTCTGTGCAGCACTATCGACAGGGCAGACTGCCTATGGCTTAGCCCTAAGGAGGGCATAAGGTTAGGACAGCTCTTACCACAGTCCATCGGTTCTACCCCGAGGAGGTTATGAAATAAATCAGAATCCTCCCCCACACCCTGATTTGAAGCAGTCTCAAATCAGGGGAAATGCATCGTATTCTTCCTCCCGAAATGTCCTTGTGGTGCTGGAGTCTAGCGGGTCTGCACGTGTTCATTACTTGGAAGAACACAGAAGAGCAGGACAGATGCCTCAATCAGATGTGGCAGGCACAGTGACTGGGGTCCACGTGACTTTTAAGGGCTCCCAAACCTGCCTTCATTTGTTTTAAAATCAGAAGAAATGACTACAATATAGTCTTTATACCAACACAACCATAAAATAGAAGATACACATACATATCTGTGTGTATATAAATATACTTTTTTTTTAACGGAGGTAGGGGTCCCTGAAGGCAAAAGTTCCTAGGGGCCCAGAATGTCAAAAAGTGGCCCAAGTGAAGGCCTGAAACAGAGGAGAGACCTCTGCCTGCTGTGTAGTGTTTTTTGAGGAGGTAGCAGAATGACTGTAAGGCTAGCTTAGTACATCTACACAGCCTTAAACTTCCACCATAGTATTTATTCAAAACACAGACATGCACACACACCATTAGGCTTGGCCTAGACAAATTGAGTTACTACTGATGTGAGTTACTGCAGAACCAGGCTTAAAGTGTCAGAATGCTACAACAAACTTTCTTTCTTTGTAAAGCAGATGTATAGATGTTTCCTGCCCACCTAGAAGGAAAGAACTGGGATTTGGGTTTACACCTGATATACAGTATCAGGTAAACTAAAAGGATAAGTCTTGCCTAATTATCACAGTGGAAAATATAAATTAGGAATTTTATATTAAAAGCTATAGAGTAGGTGACAACTCGCAGCCGACTCCCTGATTTCCTAGTTATAGTCTTGATGTACCTGGGACATAGCAATTAGGCTTGCAAGCATGTTCTCTTCCCATTAGCCCAAAGGTAGCTTTGGAGAATACTGTCCCACCATGAAAGGTAACTGGCTAAGCAGAGTCATATGGGTTTGGAGTCAGACATATTTGTGCCCAAATCTTGGCTCTACCACATTCTAGTCGGGTGACACTAGGAAAATTTTCTGTGTCTCATTTTATGAAACAGTGAGGTGAGGTGGGGGGAAGGGTAACACTTGTAGGTGGTTTGAGCATAGACTAGTGACAGCGTCTGATTCTTTGCTTATCATATTATGGTTGTTTCATAAGTGTGAGCTCCTTCCCCCATTTTCCCAAGCACTTACCTGCCAGGGGCATGGGTGTGGATGGCAGGGACACAGGCTCTGTTGTGGCTATGGTTGCAGATAACCCAGCACCTGTCACAGGGACAAACAGAAGCAGACCTAATTGTTAGGACATCCCCTAAAACCAACTTTAGAAAGACAAAAGTTTGAAGATACACACGGCCTGGGCCAGCTGTGGTGGCTCACGCCTGTAATCCCAGGACTTTGGGAGGCCGAGGCGGGTGGATCATGAGGTCAGGAGATCGACACCAACCTGGCTAACATGGTGAAACCCAGTCTTTACTAAAAATACAAAAAAAAAAAAAAAAATTAGCTGGGTGTGGTGGCAGGTGCCTGTAGTCCCAGCTACTCAGGAGGCTGAGGCAGGAGAATGGTGTGAACCTGGGAGGCGGAGCTTGCAGTGAGTCGAGATCACACCGCTGCACTCTAGCCTGGGTGACAGAGCGAGACTCCGTCTCAAAAAAAAAAAATTAAAAAAAGAAAATACACATGGCCTGAAGGTCACAGTCAAATATGCAGCATCAGTTCCTGACTCAGCTCCTCCAGAGGCAAGGAGAATTTGCAGGAGTATGGTTAGCACTTAGCGTGGCTTCAGCTCTGGGAAGGCACCAGGCCAGTGCTGGGCACATGGTTCCCTTTCTCCATAAAACAAATGCCAACTGACCTGTTGGAGGAGTTGGGGGAAGCACAGTGGGCTCTGTGGTAGTTAATGACAGTGCTTGACCTGTGAATGCAAAACAAAGAGAGCCCTTGTTCACTGCTAGACACCTCCTGGCTATACATGGGAGTGTGAACTTCTGACTATAAGCCCAAAGAGAACTTCTTGTTCCAAAGGTGTCCCATCAGGGTTCTGGTGGCCCCTGTATCTCCTTCCTGCCACCTCATTCAACACTAGATATCAGATGCCACAGTGAAATGAAAAGTGCTAATACTTTGAGGACACACCATTGGTTTGTACACTGTAGCTTGTGAAGTGCCCACAAAACCATTTGTGGATGGTTTCCTCTTTTTCTTTTTGGAGCAATCCATGGACATGGCAGTCAATGAAATGGCCGAATGTTTTGGTTTCCATCTAGATCTTTGGTGGCTGTATCTGGACTCTGAGTAGCTAAGCCACGTGAGGCTTTCACGGAGCATTAAGACACCTCTTTTCATCTTATTAACTCCTAAATAGCAGTCAGGTATTGTGTTGTTTCTTTTTAAAAAGGATCTCAAACAATTAGGGCAAATATTAGGATTTCATAAAACTCAGTAGTTGATACACTGGGGCTCATTGTACTATTTTCAGCATCTGTCAGTGAGTTTGATACTTTTCATAATAGTCTTTATATATGTATGTAAATCAAAACGATTGAATACCCTCTCTATTATTGTGATCATTTAAAATAGTTTGGGAGTAGACTGTCCAGAAGTGGTTAAATCATCAAACTGGTTGTTTAAAGTGGGTTGGAGTAGAAAAAGAAATAATCATGTAATTTATTTTTTTCAGTTGGTCATATAATACAATGTAAAATCAATCTTAATATGTCAGAAATGTACAGAGTTGACGGGGTGCGGTGGATCACGCCTGTAATCTCAGCACTATGGGAGGCCAAGGTGGGTGGATCACCTGAGGTCAGGAGTTTGAGACCAGCCTGGCCAACATGGGGAAGGCCTGTCGCTACTAAACATACAAAAATTAGCCAAGCATGGTGGCAGGCGCCTGTAGTCCCAGCCACTTGAGAAACTGAGGCAGGAGAATCATTTGAACCCAGGAGGTGGATGTTGCAGTGAGCCGAGATCACACCACTGCACTCCAACCTGGGTGACAGAGTGAGACTCTGTCTCAAAAAAAAAAAAAAAAAAAAGAAAGAAATGTACAGAGTTTTTTCCTGAAAGTGAAGCAGCTGGCAGTCAGCTCTGGTCTGGGCCAAGAAGGTACTACTGTGAGTGTGTGGCCCCCACCGTGGGAATTTCACTAACCATCGTTCTGTTCTGTTGTCCATGTTATCGTGTGCTGGAGGGAATGGGCTTCATTGCTCTCCTATCAAATACCTACAGAGGGAGGAACGATGTGTTTTTGTTTCCTGCATCCTCTTCTAACCACTTATTTCTGCTTTTTTCAGATTCTCAAAATTAAGAGGATGCTACATAATAATGATGCAAATATTTACCAATTTGGGAATCTATAAGCAGTTTTTTAATACCTGGTCTGAACACTATATGTATCTCTTGGGGGATATTAATCCAATCCTAACTTATTTTGTTTCAATTGACTGAGCTCCTAAACCATTTGGAGACAACTAAAATTTCCAATGCACAGGCATAGTTTGGGCAAGTTCAGGAATTATTTAAGAAATCTAGGTGATGGAATGAATGAGAAACTTGTTTCCCTTCTGCTCTGTGCCCCTCTGTATGGTGTGCTGTGATGTGGAATGATTGTTAACTATCTTAACCCTAGAGTGACTCAACCATGTAGGACCACCTAGCTCCATGACCCCAGGGACCACCATTCCCTCATGGCATGTGACCATGTGCATGAGGATGCAATGCGCAATGCGTTCTAGCAAGGTGGAGCCCTGGAAGTTGTGCAGTACAAAGGCCCTGCCATCTTGGCTTAAGAAAGAGACATTCTATGGAGGAAAAGCTACAATGCGAAAGAACCAAGCAAAGATTGGACCAACCTGATGGTGTGTATGATGGCGTGGCAGCTTCAGAATCTGTGGTTGGAGTGGGACCTGATGAATTGCCAGCACCTGATGATCAAAGAAATCAACATGCTATGGTTTACAGTGCTATTACAATATTATGCTAAATGACTTCCGAGAATATGAGTTGAATATTTCTGAAAAGACACAGAAGCGGTGACATCCAGGAGAGGTAACAGCCTCACACCAGTGCAGACAATCCTAGGGTTTCATGAATTAGATTAGAGCTCATGAATTATTTGGGAACAATTGATATTTTCTAACAATAACTCTTGGCAAAAAATCATTGAGAAATTCTAATGGGATTTATTTGATGCAACAAATATTCCACTGCCTAAATATCTCCATTATTTGTTTATTCTTATCTCCAGACTTGTCATGAACAGGTCCCTCCGACTGTGAAGTGGAAGAGGACTAGAGGACTCTAGCCCTGGAGGAGCTCTACCATGACTTAATAAAACGACTTTTAGAAAGAAAAGTATACTCAAAGCAAACTACCCAAAGATTAGACCTATCTGGGAGCATGTCCAATATAGAAGCTGCTTCAGCCCCTGTGGTGCGGGTGGGGGCTGGAGAACCATCAGCATCTAATCAAGAGATCAAAATCTATGAGGTTATTTATAATGTATTGTCCAGTAGTTTCTATTAGTGTTGGCTGCCTGTGACAATAGTGAAGTCCTGGGAGGTGACAGCCCTCACCTGAACAGATGACACTGGCATCCTCCAGGTGCCCACAGTTGTGCCTGGCCCGGCCCCCATGCACGCACTGCCCCAGGTGGCTCTCGCTCCCCACACACTGCACGTCATCCAGCAGGATTTTCCCAGAGCCTGCCCCGAAGTGAGCCCCTGTTGGGGCTGCCACAGCCCGTCCACACTGTAGCTGGCGGCACACGACAGTGGCCTTGGCCAGATTCCAGAGGTCGTCACGCAACACACGGTCCTCCATGTGCCCTGGACAAGAACCTCCACGCGGCCTGAGCACCTCCCTGTGCCATTCAGCAGCCTCACCTCCATCCAGGCTACTGGGAAGGCACAAAGAGGAGAAGTACTGGGACTGGCCTCTGGTGACAGAGATATTTCTCTCATCCTTTTTGGATCTAAGTCTGTTTATCACATAAGCTTGTGTTGCACATGTGGCCAGGACAGCAAGACATAATCACCTTCAGTTTCAAATGACCAATCTTTGTTATAAGCCTCCCCTCAGAAAAAGGTGGTTTTATCTTGAATTCTATATTAGAAGTTTCTGGAAGGATCCATGGGTTTGTAAGGATCCATTCTATATTAGAAGTTTCTGGAAGGATCCCATACAAGGCCATATTATTCATAAAGTAATTTTATTCTACGAAACTCATGGACAGAGATACGTAAAATATAAAGAGATTTATGGCAACGCATACAAGGCTTAACTGCACGTTTACAGGTAATAGTTACTTCCTGATATCCAGAATGTTCATAACCATATTGGCGTTAAGATTTTCTAATACATCGACTCTCAGAACTATAATTTGTGAATTTATGATATTGGAGAGAGCTAAACATAAACATGTGCCTAGAATTCAACCATTCACTTCTTGTATATTAGTTCTCTCATTTTTTAAGGTATTCAACCACCATGCTGAAAAGGGGTACTGCACCTGATTTAGAAAAGGAAACTGACTCAGGTAGAACACCTAAATTGCTCAAGATCACACACCTTGAAACTGAAAGAATTTACAGCTCTTTCTATTATACAGAGCTACCTCCCAAAGTGACCCTATGCCTTTTCACCTAGCTTGGACTGATGCTGGGGACCTCAGCATCCATATCTCCTGGTTTCCCAGGCAAGTCTTTACCTGTTGATGGAAGTGTGGAGGACACAGGGGTTATGGCCAGTGAAGTCTCCGAAGTGACCCCAACTATATGGAACAACAAAAAAGTCATTATAAATAACAATGTAACATTAAAAAATATAAATAAAAAATAGTGAAAATTTCTTCAAGAATTCAACCCACAGCTTAATAGCCATCTTATTTGGAAAATTATGTTTTCATCTAAGTCTCCATCATCTCTGTTACCTTGAGGATTCTGTATTCAGGGCATTTCTTACCATAAAAGAAACTGGTCCTACAGAGCTGTCCTGATTTCATGCCAGGGCCAACTGCAGAAGAACAAGTCCTTAATGGCCTTGGCCAGCCCAGGTCTTCACCCCTCCTGCTATAGTTCTCAGAATAACTGCAGAATGTGCTGAGACTGCAATATCCTGGGACAAGAAGGAACTGTCTGGGACAGCTTGGGCTTTGTCCTCATCCTAGAGCCGGATGCTCCTCCTAGAACAGTATGCTCTGCAACATGAGCCAAGTGGCCCCCAGCAATATCAAACCCTGAGTGGAATGCTTTCAGGGTCCCTCGCTGTGTTGTGAAGTGGAGCACATGCAGATGAGACTCCATCCACCCTGGGCAGCTTTCCTTATCCTTGGGGGACCACCTCCCCATGGTCCTAGGCTTCTGAGGATCCCTGCTGCCTGTCTGTGAGTAATCGAGTTGTTTAGTTGACTTGTGCCAGTGCTCGTCTCACTGCACTAAACCTAGGAATTCAAGTGTAGAGGCGGGACTGCTGTGGTGACTGAGTCTTCTTTCAGCTCCTGCCACAGTCGAGAACCCTTGCACCAACCAGCTAATGTTAAGTTGAATTGTTTATCAAACTAAGACATTAAAAAACCACAAAGTTAAGTTTCTCAAACCCACTACTGTGTAGTAAGCTATCTACCCAACATTAATAATGTTTTGCATCACTTCTGTTAGTAAGGATGTTTAGTCAATCAAATAGGACCTGTAGAATATGCAATTTGTTTACTGAAATAAGAGTCCCTGCAAACAATAGGTTTGTAATTAAGTTGGGGACTAGTAGAAACATCCAGATAGCTCTGCTATTAATAACAGAAGAGGTAAAATGCTAGAAAAGTATGCAAATGATACTCTGAGGCAGAGAAAAGACTCCGCTGATGGTGGAGCTCAGGAAAGTCCTTCTACAACCGGGCCCAGAAGCAAGCATAGGATTTCACAGGGAGACACAATCTGGACATGATGGAAATGGGGGCATTTCAGGCAGAGGGAGGGAGAAAGAAAAGTTCTTACCCTTAGGATGTATTGTTTAACAGAATCATCAGGATGAGAGTCGGGGCCCAAAGGTCATAAGGAAACTTAATTACTCAAGGGGATAAGGTCACTTAAAACAGTTTGATTAGGTATTTAACAACTATTAATGGCATGTTCTAAGCACTTGGAGTTCAGCATTATTTAAACTCATTTTTGTAGACACTAGTCCCAATCTCAGTGAGCAGTAGGAGCTTTGCAGTCAGGTAAAGCTAGGAAAACCTGGTATAACATAGTCCCCTCTTACAGAATGCTCGTGTCCACTAGTAGAGAAAGGGCTCTGATAAGTCCTGCAGTGTTTCAGTGTGTGTAAAATACCTGTGAACATCATAAAGCATGCACAAGGGGAGCATTACTAATACTTAACAGCCCTTTCCTGGAATAAAGGTTGTCAAATATAGTCATTTAATTAACTCATAAAGCAGATTATTATACTTTTCTTTTAAGTCTTATTTTTAGTATATTTAAACATAAAAATATGTAAGATATAAAGACAAGTCTTACGAATATTTACTTTTAGAATTATTATCATTATATGGATATGGATGATGAAAATACTAACTCAATAGCTGGTGTCAAAGGAAACACACTCAACATTGATAAAAAGCTACCTTTAACAGGTTAAAAATAGGTTACAACAAAAAGATATCTAATTCTTAAGGTGGATGCTTAGTCTTGCTTGGTGGCACAAGCACATAGGTTAGGATATACACAAAATTTAAGAGTGTTTGTGAGGAAGGACAGAGAAAAGACTGAGACTGAGGACTATTGGGAGCTTCAAATTTAACCATGTTTTATTTCTTGATTGATAGGACAGGAAAACCAATATAACCAAATGCAAGCATCGGTCATATTTAGATAAGACAGGCATGGTTATTCGCTTTCTTATTCTCTGTATTTTCTGAACTTTAAAATGTTTCCCTGGAACAGCAGCAAGTGAGGATGCTGTCTGGGAGGCCCAATGAATCGGCCCCAGTCCTGGAGGTCGAGGTCCTCTCAGGATTGTGCTTCCCCTTTACGCCAAAGAGGCTGCAAACGGTGCTGCTCCCCCAGGCTCCTCCCTCATTGGGATGAGCCCACCTTCACTCTGTGGTTTGGAGAGCAAAAAGGTATCCTCAGGAAGGTTGCTCACCTGAAGGGCTGGGCCCAGGCACGTTGGCCCTACGGCTGGCAGATGCTGAGTCAGCCACAGGTAGCACTGGAACAACATGGAAATGGGGGTTAGGACCGGCTGAACACAGAATAGATCAGATAAGAACTCAACTAGCAGCTGGTGAAGCACCCCCAGCCATGCCACACCTTAACCAAAGCATTTGGACTAGCCACAAGCTGCCAATGAGCTGCCAGATTTCTTCTGATGAGGTTGGAGTCAAGTTCAGGTTAAGCTCCTCAGTGTGACCCTGCTGTCCCCAAATACCCATATGACTCCCCCCTTTAACTCTGCATCAGCCCCAGGTTCTGCAGGAGGCACTCAGCAGTAGTAAAATAAGTCATTGATGAATTGGGAAAAGTTTGTAAAAATCATTGCATTCATAAGGATGCTGATTATCTTAGATGACCCCATGGAAGACATCACACAACCTAGTGATCCACCTGCCTGGATGTCCCCTCTGGATGGTAAGGCCTCCCATCCACAGGATGAATGATAGAATCATTGCTTACCTGCTAGGGTAGTTGGTAACTTTTCATTATCTGCTGACACTGAAAAATATAAATATTTGTTAGATCTGACTTCACTAGTTTGCTATGATACTAACTTCTCTTTGAGGCAGGATATTTGTACAAATAGGGGCTGCTGGTGTTTCTCAGAGTGATACCTGTGTCTCTTGAGTGGAGAGATTTGCCTCCACTATACACTGTCTACCAGGATTGTTCTTGGCTGAGGCCAAAGCTGCCTCAAGAGGGGTCCAACAGCCTGCCCACCATGCAACACCTGCACATTTGTTTATTCTTTCAATAAACATTTATTGTGTGTCTATAATATATTAAGCATTGGGATAGGGGCTAGGGATACAGTAACAAGCAAGACAGATAAAAGCCTTGCCTCATGGAGCTTCAAATGTGGTGCTGCAAGTGACATTGGGCATTACACACATGGTCCTTAGATTCCTTGGTAGTATATCTCCCCTGGCCCTAAACAACAATTCAACCTTTCATCAATGCATCACACCCATTTTTGTTGTTTTAACTAGCAGCTCATTGACCTACCTGATGATATGGTTGGGTGGTTAACATCTTCCGGGGTGGTGGAAGCTGACAGAACTGCTGGAAAAAACAATACAAAGAAAATGACCAGGCTGGGCATGGTGGCTTACGCCTGCAATCCCAGCACTTTGGGAGGCCAAGGAAGGCAGATCACTTGAGGTCAGGAGTTCTAGACCAGCCTGGACAACATGGTGAAACCCCATCTCTACTAAAAGAAAAAAAATATATAAAAATTACCTGGGCATGGTGGCATGCACCTGTAATCCCAGCTACTTGGGAGGCTGAGGCAGGAGAATCACTTGAATCCAGGAGGTGGATGTTGCAGTGAGCCGAGATTGTGACACTGCACTTCAGCCTGGGCAACAGAGTGAGACTCCTTCTCAAAAAAGAAAATAAAAATTAAAAATAAACAAGAAAATGATCCCTGATATTTAACGTTGAATAGAAAGAGGGACCCTTTATTTCAACTACCTTTATACAAGCTCATTCAAAATGGATAATTTTTAAAGGAACCAGCAGCCTCAAAAACATTATGCTGGCCAGGCGCGGTGGCTCACGCCTGTAATCCCAGCACTTTGGGAGGTCAAGGCGGGCGGATCACGAGATCAGAAGATTGAGAAACATCCTGGCTAATACGGTGAAACCCCGTCTCTACTAAAAAATACAAAAAATTAGCCGGGTGTGGTAGCAGGCGCCTGTAGTCCCAGCTACTCGGGAGGCTGAGGCAGGAGAATGGCATGAACCTGGGAGGTGGAGCTTGCAGTGAGCCGAGATGGCCCCACTGCACTCCAGCTTGGGCAACAGAGCGAGACTCCGTCTCAAAACAAAGAGAAAAAAAAAAAGAAACATTATGCTAGGCAGGAAAGGCCACATGTGGTATGATGCCATTTATATGAAATATCCAGGATAGGTAAATCCGTAGCGACAGACAGCAGACTGGTGGTTTCCAGGGGCTGGAGGAGGAACTATGATAAAATGACCTGGCTACAGCAGAGAGCAGAAATGCCATGCCCTTTTCACCTGGCCTAGCCACTACAGGGCAGAAGCCCCTCCTTGTGAAAAACAGCATCCCACAGGACATTCCTCCAGGCACGGAAGGAGGGCACACTCCCTGTGTACCTACCATGCTCCAGGCTGCCTGCTAAGTGCTTTACACCGATTCAGTGACTTAATCCTCAGAACTCTTTGAAATCAGTGGCTATTGTTTCCACTTCTCAGATGAGGTAACAGAAGCACAAAGGGGTAAAGAAACATCATGAGGGTCTCATAAATGGCAGGTAGAAGAGAGTAGATCCTAATCCAGTAGGTGGCTGTGAGCACTGCACTGTCAAGTAAGTGGAATATGCCACTTAACGTGCAAAAATGTCCGTATTTAGTCATGTAGACACTAGAGCTAGGAATTTAACGTGTTTTTTCTCTTTGTTGTTCATGTTTAGAAGTGGACATAAATATGCAAACTGGCAAAAGCCAAATGACATTCATTTATTCAAGCATTTATTCATTTATTTATTTAACCACCACTGAATGCCTGCCCATCAGAGAGCAGACATGCTGACATTGTCCTCAAGATATCTGTGTGTATGTGTGCACATGCACGTGCTGCGGGCAATGTTGAAAATGAGAAAGATGGATTCTGCCCTCATGTCACTGGGGAAGCAAGTGGATACATATGCAACTGGATGAGAGAGGAATAAGAGCTAAAGTGAGGACAGATAAAAAGCTGTGAGAATCTAGAAGAGGGAGCCACTCCCGCCAGGGCAGCTTGGAGAGGGATGGGGAGGATTGGACCAGGCAGGGCAGGGGACTGGCACTGGTGTTGCAGTGGCCACCCAATGCGCAATGGATATGTGAGTTTGGGAGAGGCAAGGGTAAAAGTACAAAAATTAAACGCAGACCCAGCTCAGAGATGAACTCTTCAGTCTCAGCTTTTGTCATCTCAAATAGACTCCTTGTTTCTGAATAGGCAATGTGCCTTGTCAATATTTTTTAGAATAGGATTTTAATGTGGTTTAGAGAGTTTAGAATAGTTCAGAGATTAAGCTTTAGGGCTCTGAAGTCAGATTGTGTTATCTTTCCACCAACCTTGAGGACAATATTTAACCTATCCGAACATAAGTTTCTTCATTTTGAAAATTGAGGTGTTAGAAGTCCCCTCATCCAGCTCTTGGAAGGATTAGACAAGAAAATCCATATAAGACGTTCAACATATGTGATTGTCTCAGTGGAAGGCAATGCTGTTTATTATAAATTAAGTGCAAACTACATATGAAATTTCAGATTTTCTGGTTGCTGATGGAATTAGTTTTAATAATATATCTTATTTAATCTGATGTATCCAAAATATTATCATTTCAATGTAATAGTTTAAAATATAAATACAAAATGTAATCCATATAAAAAAGTCAATGAGCAATTTTGCTTTTTTTTTTTTTGGTGGGGGGGATAGAGTCTTGCTCTGTCACCAGCAATCTTGGCTCACTGCAACCTCCGCCTCCTGGGTTCAAGTGATTCCCCTGCCTCAGCCTCCTGAGTAGCTGGGATTACAGGCATGCGCCATGGCCCCCAGCTAATTTTTATAGTTTTTAGTAGAGATGAGGTTTCACCATATTGGCCAGGCTGGTCTCAATCTCCTGACCTTGTGATCCACTCCCCTCAGCCTCCCAAAGTGCTGGGATTACAGGCGTGAGCCACCGTGCCTGGCCTGCATTCTTTTAATAGTATTGTCTTTCTTAAAACAATTTTTGAGGTATAATTGATAGACCAAAACACTGTGCATGTTTAATGTGTATAGCTTGATGTGTTTGGATACAAGCACACACCTGTGATACTATCACTACAGCCAAGGTAATAAACAAATCCATCACCTCCAAAAGTTTCCTTATGTCTCTTTCGGGTGTGTGGTAAGAACGCTTGACATGAAATCTACCCACAACAAATTTTGAAGTGCACAGTACGGTGTGTTAACTATAGGCATGATGTTGCACAGCAGATCTCTAGAACCTATTCATGTTGCATAACTGAAAGCTTATACCCATTGAACAACAAGTACCCATTTTCCTGATTCTTTGAAAGATCCAGTGTGTATTTAACAGACACAGCACATCTCAGTAAGCACATGGATAGTACAGGCTTAAGGACTTACTAAAGATGATTATTAGCATTGTCAGAATGTGAATTATATGATGGTGTAATTGAAATATCAGCAGTTACAGGTGATGCAGAAGTGGAGACAGAATCAACTAGCATGGTCAAGTGAAAATGGATTATAATGGTGATCACTGAGATGTAATTTGGACATCTCTAAGTTGGATAATTCCCAGACATAAGGCCAAGTGCTGTAGTTTATTTCTTAAAATCAAAAGATATGAGGAGACTCTTTAATAATCTTTTTCTCTAACACACACTTCCCCCATCTCTTTTCTTCTTACTCTGCATTTGTGAAAGCATGTGAAATGAGAAGACTTGCGTTATCATGTTTTTTGTTGGTAAAATTATAGGTGATCAAACACAAAGTGAAATTCAGACCATCTCAGGGTCCTCTTGTTCCTTTCCTCTCAAATCATTTGATCTCAAGTGATCTTTTAGCAATACCTAGTGAGGGTGCAGAACCACCGACTATCATTCATGCAACTTAGAAGCTATGGTGAATTTACCATGGCAGAGGAGCTGGTAGTGTCCTACCTGACGATGCCGAATGTGCAGCAGTTGTAGGAGAGAGTTGAGTTGAGATGGCAGCAGGTAGAACTGTAATAAAGAAGCACCTGTGAACAATAAGTAACTTGAGGGAGGGGTGTTTGGCCAGGGGCTCCCTGTGATTTCACAAGGTGTGGTTCTGCCTCAACTCTGAAGTGACCTCTGAGTAAGTGACAGAAATGCTAAATCACCTCTTAGCCATCTGATCTTCAATCCCATTAGGCTCAATCATCCCCGGCCTGTCTCTCTCCCAGATTCGATGTCCAAGTGCAGTTATTTGGTGTTTTGTGATGATAGTTTTGTGTTCTGGGTCTTAATATTCCTCCTAAGAGTTGGCCTGTGGTCTAGATCATGAGGACGCTCTGGTAATTTTATGTGCGTGTTCTGCATGTTTTATTCCTAAGCCTGTTTTGTTCCCAACATTTCTGTTGCCGTTGTGCTAGCAAAAAACCTCTCTATGGCTCCACGGTCCCCTATTCTCTCCTGCTCTACAGACCTAACTTCATGCCATGTCTGGCCGTGGGAATTACTTACAATGTCCATAAGGAACATTGACAGAGGCAACTGCAGGAGATGGAGAACAATTGCTTCTCTTTTTGGATTGACTTGGGTAGATGCTCCCCCTCTTCTGTCGTACCTTTCTTCTCTCTACTTCCTGTTTGGTCACCATATTTTAATGTATGTTCTGAATAACGTGTCCATTTCTGCGCCACTGAGCAGCAGTAACTACAAAATTGATTTCATAAACAAGTACAGAAGGCTGAGTATTGGCCCCCCCAAAGATATCCACATTCTAATCGCTGGAACCTGAGCATATGTTAGGTCACGCAGCAAAGGGGTGAATTAAGATTGCTGGTGAAACTACGGTTGTTAATCAGTTGCCTTAACATTAGGAGATTATCCTGCATTATCAGGTGGGCCCAATGGCATCACAAGGGTCCTTAAAAGTGGAAGCAGAAGGCAAAAGAGAGTCAGAGAGAGATTGGAAAATGCTAATCTCTCTGCTGGCTTTAAAGATGGAGGCCTGGCCACCAGCCAAGGAATGCAGGTCACCACTAAAAACTGGAAAAGACAGGAAATGGATCCTCTTTTTCCAGAGCTTCTAGAATGAACACAGCCTACCTGATACTACTCTTAGCTGAGACCCATTTTGGATTTCTGACCCCTAGAACTACAAGATCATAAATTTGTGTTGTTTAAGCCACTAAGTTATGGCACTTTGTTAGAGCAGCGATGGGGAAATTATACAATAAGTAAACATTACATGCAATCAGATGATTATTCCTCCAAAAAATGAAACATTTCCTTTATAAAAATTAAGAGAGTTTGGATACTCCCAGAGAAGCTGGCCAAACTGAAAAATTAAATACTTACAAAACCTATGTTCCAAATGTTTCCAGTATTTTTTAAATAGTATTGTTAGCTCTCTTTTTTTAAGAGGTTAGTGAATCTTTTGGAGTGATGTCCTGAAAATCATCTCCATCCAAGCTCAGTTATAAGGGGCAGGTTATAATAAGTCACTGAGTAAAATAACTCAATAGCCACGCTTCCACATACTTCCCTCCTGTATCGGGTGGGAAAACAGAAAAGTCCCAGGGGAAAACAGCACAAACAAGTTATCTTACCTGATAATATGATTGCTGAATTTCTGTCACCTATTGGTAAGAATAAATTGACATAGTTCTTATTCTATTAAATTGAATAACTTTTACTTGACCTACTTACTGGTTTTCAACAAATCTTTAATGTGACAGGTCTAAAATACAAAATGTAAAATATCATGAATTCCTGGTGAAATCAGCCCCTGGGACTCAACAGGCTTTCAGAAGTCCTGTATTTGCTGATTTGATTGCTTTTAACACAGCCTAGAAAGAAAAGCCTTAACATATAATACTGGCTCTTCAGAATGCCCACACACTGACAGCAAGCCAGTCACCAGTGGCACTCTGGGCCACCTGCCTGTCCTGGGCAGTGGTTACCCGCTAGCAGCAAAGTAAGATGGCCATGGCATGTCCACATATGAGCTGTCTTCTCAGCTTGTGCCTCCGTCAGAGCCCAGGGGCCATCATCTGGTTCCTCCTGGACCCTTTGCGGACATTTCTATTAATCCTATATATGTCATTAATTATTATACATACTATTATTATATATTACACATTATAATATGTAATATACAACACAATATTATAATAATATCTTTATATACTATAATACATCACAATTATATATTACATTAGATTATTTTATTTTGTTGAATATTGTGTTATAATTATTGATATAATTTAATATGTAATAATTATATATGTATATGTTCTGCTACAAATTTCAAGTGACAGTAAAATACATATATCTGCATAGCAAGACCAGAAAAATAGAAATATAAGATTAACAAGCATACGAATGAAAGGAAAATACATGGAAAAATTACCAACCAACCAAAAAAAATCCTTGGCTATTGCTAGTATTGATCATTCAATTAAGCTCTGAACTTCCTGGAGTTTGAAGGCAGATGAAAATCCTGGTGCATAATGGAATTCTCACTGCCTGATAAGTGGTATCCTCCTAAAAAAGTCATTGTCTTTGTTCATTGAGTATTTTAATACCTAGTATAATGTTTTCAACAGCAATTTATGGAAGTGGCAGAATGTTATATATGTCTATTTTTTCACTCAAATATTTATTTAGAACCTATTATGTATCAGGAACTCTCCTTGGCTCTGAGATAAACAAGATTGCCAAAGTTCCTACTCTCACAAAACCCACACTCTGGGGAGTGGTGCAGGAGGACACAGATGAGCAGGACAACGACAAAAGAGTACAAAGACTATCTTGGGCTGGCTGTGGTGGCTCATGCCTGTAATCCTAGCACTTTGGGAGGCTGAGGTGGGCAGATCACTTGAGCTCAGGAGTTCAAAGACCAGCCTGGCCAACATGGTGAAACCCATCTCTACTAAAACTACAAAAAATTAGCCAGGTGTGGTGGCACACGCCTGTAATTCCAGCTACTCGGGAGGCTGAGGCAGGAGAATTGCTTGAACCTGAGAATTGGAGGTTGCAGTGAGCAGAGATGGCACCACTGCACTCCAGCCTGGGTGACAGAGCAAGACTCCATTTCAGAAAAAAATAAGAAAAAAAAGAGGCTATCTTGAATGGTGTGAGTACTATGAAGAGAAAAACAACAGGCTGATCAAATAGAATGTGATTGAGAGGAAGTCTTTCTGGATTGTGTATTCAGGGGAAACCTCTCTGAGGGACTGACATTTTACCTGAGGCCTGATTACGAGGAATGAGCTGAAGAAAAGTCTGGGAGAAGAGCATTTCAGGCAGAGGGAAGTACCCCCTACAAAGGCCCTAAGGTGGAAGCTACCTTGTGAGTTTGAAGGGATGGAAAAAAGACTCGGGGAACACAGTGCAAGAGGTGTGTTCTCAAGGATCAGAGACATGAGCAAGGCATAGGTCATGCAGGGTCTGAAAGACCATGGTACCAGATTTGGATGTTATTTTAAATACAACGGAAAGCTTTTGGAGAATTTTGAGTGAAAAGGAATGATCTAATTTACAATTACCAGCCTGCTCTAGTTTCTGTGATGAGAATAGATTGTGTATATGTTGGGGGAGGAAAGGGAGGAGGTAGAGGACTATTTGGAAAATTGTTGCTATAGTGACGATGAACAATGATGGGGCTTTGGATGACTGCAGTATTAGTGGAGTTGGGAGATGCTAATGGGTTTAGCATATATTTTAGAAGTAGACAGAATTTTCTGATGCATTGGTTGGGTGAAGTGAGTAGAGAGAGGAGGAATAAGATTTGGCTCTATATTTTTCATGATTTGAGAAACTAAACAGGAGAAATATATCTATTTTTAACATCAACTCTCCGTAAAAGTCAAGCAAGGTATCATAATAAAAGTTGATTAATTTTTCTATGCTTCAGTTTCATCCTCAGTAAAATAGGGATTACAGTCATACCTACCTCATCAGGTCATTGTAAAAACTAAATGTCATTCATGCAGTGTTTAGAATTAATTAATTTATTAGAGCAAGGTTCAGGAAACTAGGGCCTGTGGTTCAACCCTAGCTGAGTGCCTGTTTTTGCAAATGAAATGTTACTAAAACATAGACATGTTCATGAGTTTATGAATTGTCTGTGGCCGCTTTCATGCCACCGAAGCAGAGTCTAATAAATGCAACGAGACCACCTGGCCTCTGAAGCCTAAAATATTTGCTATGTGGCCCTTTACAGAAAAAGTTTGCCAGTCCTTAAGGGACTTACCTGTGTAATTACCCATTATTTAACTATTTAACTTATTAATTAAATAACTTATTAAATAATGGGTAATTATGCAGGAAAAGTCCTTAGAAAAGTACCTGGGACATGGTAAACACTCTATAAAAGTTGGCTCTAGTTACCATTCCATCTATATGATCTCGTTTAACTTAGATGGAGCACTGCAAAGTTGGTGTTTTTATCCCCCCTTTATAAAGGTGTTAGTGAGTTGCCCAAGGTTACACTAAATAAGTGGCTGAGATGGAACTTACACTCAGAACTTCTGCTGCCAAACCCATGCCTTTCCCTCATCTCCAAGCTCAGCCTTGGCTAGTGCACAAGCCTGTCTTGAACATGCTCCCGTTGCATTTTCTAGTTGTAGGACACATCAGTTTCCTTACATACTAGGAAATTGATCCAAATATGGTATGCATAGAATATGTAGTGTATTCTCCTCTCCAAATTCAGCTGAGCAGGTGCAATGAAAATTTTTTGGTTTTTAAACCAAAAGAAAACTGTACCAAGTAAGGACTAACTGCAAATGCAGCATGAAAATACCTACTACCCCTAATGCTAAATGACTAGTTAATGGGTGCAGCACACCAACATGGCACATGTATACATATGTAACAAACCTGCACGTTGTGCACATGTACCCTAAAACTTGAAGTATAATAATAATAAAATAAATAAATAAATAAATAAAAAGAAAAAGAAAGAAAAAGAAAAAAGAAAATACCTCCTACCTTAGGGCATTTGCAGTGAGTCTTCAGCATTCTCTGCAGGGAGACAGGTTGGGAATTTGGTGGCATTAGAACATAAGAGTGAAGTACAGGCAGGGACTTCCCTTCCCCAGCCACACTGAGCCCCACATGACAGGAAAGAACATATGCTAAACGGTAACGAAAGAAACACAATTTACCAAGCTTTTTCCTTAAAAATCTTGGTGATAGGAATCATGCTTTTAACTGCTATTCCACTGGAAAAATGAAAATAGCAATGCTAGAGAATAACCAAAACCCTCATGACTGAAGTGAAAATAAAGCTCATTCTTGCGGAACAAAGAAAGCAGTCCAATGACATTTTCAACTTAATGAAAGGATTATCTTAATGGCCCAGGAATGCAGAAATAAAAAATAATGACTGTCAAAATATGGCAAGCTGATCCCTCCCACCTTTTATTCCATTTGTCTCTTTATTATCTGTCTATTACCTGCCCAGGTAGCTTCTAGAATAAAAAAATGTCAAGTTGGTAAAACAAAAGCATGAACTTACCTGATGTGGGCTTTAAGTACTCAGCCTCTGTTAACATACAGGAAAAGATCTACCTTAGAAAAGGGTTGCTGCCTCTAGAGATGCTTTAAATAAACATTAATTTTAAAATGAAGAAGAAATAAAAGCATTGACCCTCCCTGCCTTAGTTCAGGTGACTTTAATTAACCATGAAATGTATTAATTTTTTAGCATAGTGTGTCTAATAACACATATTCAATTCAACTGTGGCTCTACTGTGTCCACTGTGCAAACCCTATAATGCCTCCAAAGAGGAGAGAACACTAATTATACACACGAAACTGTTAGGTGGAACGCAGTAGCTTTATAGACTAGATTGCTTTGATGGAATTCTATGCCAAAACTCCAAATAATTTTTAAAAATAAAAAAGATGGAAAAAAAAAACTAAAGCTAAATGAAAAAACAAACCAAAACTTACACACACACACGCGCACACACACACACACACACACATACACATACACACACTATTTGAGCTGTTTGAATGGACTTAAGAGGCTAGTTAATGACATTAGTATCAATTAGATAAAGTCTTTCTGGTTTAATACAATTAGAAATGTTGGCAAGTGACAAGTTTACTGCTTGGTCAGACCTGCTAAATTATTTGCTTTTTGGCTGGGTGCAGTGGCTCACGCCTGTGATCCCAGCACTTTGGGAGGCCGAGGTGGGCAGATCACGAGGTGAGGAGATCAAGACCATCCTGGCTAACATGGTGAAACCCCGTCTCTACTAAAAATACAAAAAATTAGCCTGGCGTGGTGGCGGGCGCCTGTAGTCCGAGCTACTCAGGAGGCTGAGGCAGGAGAATGGTGTGAACCCAGGAGGCAGACCTTGCAGTGAGCCGAGATCGCGCCACTGCACTCCAGCCTGGGTGACAGAGGGAGACTCCATCTCAAAAAAAAAATATATATATTTGCTTTTTTCCCCACTGGCACATAAATTTATGCCGTTAGCACTGGTAGTATGCTAAATTAGCCACATGTTTGGTGGAAATTTGTTTGTATATCCAGACCAGTGGTTCTCAGGGACAATTTACTCCCCCAAAGGACACTTAGCAATAGTGTCAGGAGTAGGAGTGCTACTGTTATTAGTGGGTAGAGGTCAGGGATACTGCAAAATAGCCTACAATGCACAGGACAGTCCACCTACAACAGAGAGTGATCTAAACCCTGTCCTAGACTGATCATGATGATGACTATTTGGTTAAAGACTTGTGATTGGCAGTCATGGCCTGAGCTCCCAATCAAGACAAGCTATTGCTATTCTAATTTACAAACTCCTTGTTTTGTCACCCTCAGTTGACTGCAAATTTTTAGTGGGAAAAACCTTTGTCTCTTAGTTCACCACAGTGACCTGAAGAAAGAAAGAACACACCCAGAAAGTGAGTCACATCACTGTTGACTCCTGTTGTCTTTCACCATTCATTTTGACATCTAGGCTTTGACATGGAACCACCAATATCTTCCACTATTTTTCTCTGTGAAAAATCCATTTCAACATCTTGTGGCTAATAAATTCCTGAGCTCAAGTTGAAGTTCTCAAATTACCACTGTGCCTTTACTTTTGGCTCACCCAAGTGGCAGATGGTCAATTACATAGGTGGAAGCACTGCCAGTGGGGTGAGTGGAGATGTAGTGAGCGGCATTGTGGAGGGAGAGGTGGCCATTACCTGCGCAGATGATGCTGGCATCTTCTCTGGGGCCACAGTTATGCAGGCCCCAGCCGGCATGAGGACATTGTCCCAAAAAACTCTCTTTCCCAGTACAGTCCACATCATCCAGTAGAAATTCGCCTCTGCCTTCGCCAAATTGGGCCTCAGCAGGGGCTGCGAGGGCACACCCACAGTGCAGCTGCCGGCACACCACGTCAGCTTCATTCATGTCCCGCTGGTCGTCGCAAACCCTGCCCCACTGGCCATGGTGGAAAACTTCCACATGCCCCGAACACCTACCTGAGCCATTCACTAGTTGCAATTGTGGCCAGTCTTTTGGGGAAATACAAAAATACTGCATGTTAGCAGAAGGCACATATTCTTCATTAACCCATTTGTTTCACCTTGCAACAAGCATTTATTGAGCACACACCAGGGCCGAATAGATAGCACTGTGGATACTGTGGTTAAACTAACAGATCCAACTCTGGCTGTCACAGAGTTTGGAGTCTAGTTTGCAAGTCTGGAGGAGGCAGTCATGTTAATCTAAAATTACACGGAGATTTGCAACTATGCCAAGTGCTAGGAAGCAGTATAATCTCTTGATGTTTTGAGAGTATATAATGGAGTGGGGTGGGATTTGGGGATGTCTTCCCTAAGAGATGACAATGGATCTGAGGCTTGAAAGAGGAGTAGGAAGAAGTTACATAGACAAAGAAGGATGGGGAGAAGGACAGAGCCTTATTCTGTGCATTAACACAAAACAAAAAACAAAAAAACCTGTAGAGATTTATGAGTGAAGCGAAAGCACTGGGATCCTGAGATGAAACCATTCTGTTTGGTAGTGTTTGTAGGGTTGGAGATA
Source organism: Homo sapiens (assembly GCF_000001405.40). Lineage (NCBI taxonomy): Eukaryota > Metazoa > Chordata > Mammalia > Primates > Hominidae > Homo > Homo sapiens. Next base: position 122,733,813 of record NC_000010.11, on the reverse strand, counting down.
CAACCATCACTTTAGCAGCAAATGACCCACCAAGATGTATCAGCCAGGAAGTTAGAAAATCTTGACTTACCACCAGGAAATGGCGTTAGGATCTCAGCATCTAAGAGCAGAGAGAAATAAATGAGGTATCATTGTCATGCAAAATAGTCTACCCAAGTTTACTGGGCAAGCGTCAGCATGTATGTGATTCCAGGAGCAGATGTTGAGCTAATGGCATGCTTTGAGAAATAAATCCAGTAGGTTCTGATCAGTGACAAGTGAGAAATTTATTGTGCATCTGAGTCATGTACAGATTGATCTTTTAAATTGGATTATTTGTGCAAATGCATCTTCTGCCAGAAAGATAAAATACTTATGGAACTATATTCCTGAGGCACTCATAAAGGAGAATGCTGAAGGACTCAGGTTAACAATAAAGGCTGTGCTTTTCTCATTAATCTCTGAATTTGCCAAACAGAGATGGAAAGGGACTCTGTTCTGAGGCCATAGTCACTGCCTTTCCAACCTTAGAGGCATTATTTGGGTGTCCAAAGTTAGGATTTTCTTTAGTCTGAGTTTAATAACATTTTTGCATGATAATTTACTAAACCATATTCATGTCCTCACTCCAGGATTTTCTAAAATACATTTAGACAACAGTTTGGGGAGCAAAGATTTCTGCATGGTTAAAGGCAAGGAAGCTACCTGTTTTTTCTCTTTCCTTGTTGAGTCTTTTTGATTAAATTCAGTTTTGTTTTGTTTTTTTCTGCCACTCCCCAACCTCTTGTAAGGCATTATGCTGGTAAATACAATCAAAGGATTAGGGGCATTAGTGGACATTCTGTTAAAGACATAGTAAAGTGTGATTCTTACCAAAAGATTGCAAGCGCTCATTTTCATACTCTATGAGAAAAAAAGAAAGTTAAATGTAAACTGAGTCTATTAGAGATGATAAAAATTCTGGAATGCCCTGTACTTGCTAGAAGGATCTGCTGTTGCCCCATTACTAAGACCCCAGTCAAAAACTTCAGCCTGGAATTTTCCTTATATGTGATTACTTCAAAAAGGCTTAGGGCATATCTGGGAAGGAAAGATCTTTTGACTCTTTTCAGTATTCATTGAAATGCACACATTTTAGTGTAAACTCCACTCAGGAAGAGCCCACTATCTGCAACTAGGGTTGGGTTTCTTAGTTTCTCACCATGAGATGGGGTAGAAGACCCCACAGGATAAATAGGTGCATCTTCCTAAGGGACTGAGGGTACCTGATGTTGTTGAGTGTTTACAACTTTGTTTTTGTATTAAAATAAATATGGCTTAATTGTAACTTGTAAGTAAAACTGGGTGACTTTTTAAAGTAAGTAAAGGATTTCAAAGAGAGTCTGCTTAGGGCATGGAAACCTGGGCCATGCTGTTTGGGGGTATTTGAAAAACAGCAGAACTGACTAATGCATTCACATCCAGTCCTCTCACTCACGTAGTTAATTACTTATTTCCCCAATTAACATTCATTGACTTTCTCTCAACATCACTGGAGGTGGAGGGGAAGAGCACTTAAGGAAATGGAACTGGGGGAAGTGTGATCCTCAAGGATGGAAGAAGGTGGGTCCCAGCTCCTGTTTAAGTAAATTAGGGCAGTTCAGCACAGAGGTTCCCTGCACCTGGGGAGCTTGACAGGATTTAGGGGGTGTGAGTGTGTTGCGGAGGCCTGACGTAGGTAAGGAGGGTGAGGCTACTGGCAGAGCATCAAAGACAACTCTGAACATTTGAACATTTTTGCCTAGGTGCAGGGCAATTTTTCCAGAGTGTCGACATTTGGCGCAGGAGACTGAGGACTGGATTTGGAATCCAGAGACCTAAATATTTGCTGTGGGACTTTGGTCAAGGCATTTAACTTTGACCTTGCTTAACCTTGTCTCTGAACCCCAGTTTCCCTATTTGCAATGCAAGGCTCATAAAACAAGCCCCCCGAATTGCTGTAAGGGTGGAATGGGATAATGAACAGGAGGTACTCAGGAAACACGACAGTGCTCAGTGGCTGACATCAGGGTTATGCTTTGAGACAGTCTCTTAGGCGACACCACTCGGAGACCTGTCATGCTTGGAGCACATGACCTGTGAAGGCTACAATAATGATTCAGTGAATCTGCTCAAGATTCACTTGGGATGAGATTATCCCCCTCAAAAATGACAGGATACATTTAATTAACTGTAATCAGTAGAGGGGACAATCAGAGGAAATGACTGGAAAAGAAACTAGACTAAGGCTAACGCTTGGGGAAGAAACAATAGATAACTTTGCTTTCATTACTGATGCAACTGTTAATTAATCAATGATCAGTTAATTAATAAATAGTTATTACAATCAGTAAATTCAACTGCACATGCTTGATTCTGAAGCAGGGTTTCTTAACCTCACACTATTGACATTTGGGCTGGAAAGTTCTGCGGTGGGAACTGTCCTGTGCATTGCAGGATATTTAGTAGCATCTCTGGCTTTTGCCCACACAGGCTAGTAGCACCTTAGTTGTAACAATCAAGAATGTCTCCAGACATTGCCAAATATCCCCTGGAGGGCAAAATCATGGAAAGTGTTTTTAAATTGCCTGAAGCAAGATTTATACTTACAATACTTTGCTAACTAGATTGTTCTCAGCCCCTGTCTCCCACCTTCCCTCCCAAGGGGCCTGGTGCAGGACTTGCTGCCCAAGAGAGTGGCAGAGTCCTCTTTCTGCCCACCCAGGCGGCCTGGAGCACCCCCATGAGGCAAAGGTAAATTCCACACAGGCCTGCTGAGGACTCACCTGAAGGGCTTTGGACAGTGTCCCACTTGGTTCAATCATAAGGCAGGACCTAGTGGTCTAGGAGGTAGGAGGGCCTGGGGCCACCTTTGCCCTGCAGGCTGGTGAGAGGCCTTGGGAATGATGGTTTAATGGACTGGAGTTCTCCTCTGACCCCTTAACTGCTGTCGAGATGAAGCTGCCTGCAGTGGGAAAGGTCCCAGCCACAACAGGCCCTTGTCTTTGCAGTCGGCAGGAGAGGCGAGGTACCTGCTAGCTGGCAGTCACCTATAAGTCCATCCCACGGAATGGGGACGTTGTATTCACTGCTGCATCTCTACAGCCTTTGGCAGTAAATATTGTTGAATGCTTAGCTCCTGGCCACTTGGTGATGGAGCTAATCCTGCTTCCTAGCATGTTGGGTTTGGGAGGAATTGGCAGGGGAGTAGGGGAGAGAAAGACACCCCCTCTGACTCCACGATTGTCTGCAGCTGAGCAGCAAGGAGGAGCCTTCCTGTTCCCCCTCCTCCTGATTCTACACCTTGCCCCATCACCCATAGTCGGTTTATCAGAGACACAGCTGCTCACTCTCTAGAGGGTTGATTTCCTCAAAAAGCAGAAGTATCAACACAGCCTTGTGGGCAGCCTGCTTTTCAGGCTGTGGAATGACAAGACAGTGGATCAGAACTGACAGACGCCTCGTCCTCACAGCAGTACAGTAAAAGGCATTGTCATGATTGTCGTGATGATCATTCTCAACTTGTTAGGTAAGGAGAAAATGATGTGCAAAATGCCACGTTAAACTCAAGGGGGCAGGAGGTTTGGGGAGAGGGAATCATAGAGGAATATTCATTGGGGTAAGCCTCAACCAGGTCCCATGGGCCCTGCCCTTCCATTGACGCTCTGCTGTCTCTGTCTTGAAATTCTTAACACTTTTTGAAAAGGGGGCCCACATTTTTGTTTTGTATCAGGATCCACAAACCATGTACCTTTCCTGCAGCTGGACTAAGCCTTTTCATTTCAAATCTAGCATTCTTCCCGATATGATTATCTTTGACTTCTCAAATAGACACAGACGATTGGGGTTAGAGTTAGAGTGTTCAGCTGTTTTATAAATATCATAGAGGAGTCAGCTTCAGAGTGAGTGTCTTTCTTGGGAAGAATGGTTGAGGACCTGGGTGGACAGGGAGTTTCATACTAATGAAATGATATGTTACAAAGGCATTCTCTCATGTCAGGGAGAAACGAGGAGCCTCAGGGATTGATCAGAAAAAAATGAAAAATCAACTTTCAGAAAAGATAGAAATTTACCTGAGCAGATGACACCAGCGTCTTCCCCGTGCCCACAGTTGTGGGTGGACCAGCCAGCATGGGAGCACTCCTCCAGGTAGTCCTCAATCCCGGAACACTGCACATCGTCCAGAAGAATGGGGCCGGAGCCCTGGCCAAAGTGGGCCTCTCCAGGGGCAGAGATGGCTGCCCCACAGCCCAGCTGCCGGCACACCACCTGCACTTCCTTCTCATCCCACAGGTCATCGCACACCATGCCCCACACGCCTTCAAAATACACCTCGACTCGTCCTGAACACCTTCCAGAACCTTCCACGAGTTGCACAGCAATCCAGTCTTTGGAAGAAAGGCAGCCCCCCAACCCCCACTTAAGTGTTGGTGAAGGGAGTCATCTTCCCCACCATCTCCTCATGGTCGCAGTAACAACTGCTATTTACTGAGCACCATCTGTGCTCCTGGCACTGGGCTCAGCCCTGTAGAGCTGACATCTTTTTAAGGCTCACGACTCCCTTGTAGGGTGTTATTGTCCCCATGTTACCAGGGAGGAGATAGGATACTGACAATGGCAGCAGCTTGCCGAAGGTCATGCTGTTAGTTAGGGGGCAGAAGGGGAACACTGTCGGATCTCCTAGGGCCCTCCTGTTCTGGGTGGGGTCATCCATGGGACCATGTTAGGTTTGCCCTGTGATGAGATGTCAGGCTTGGCTTTGCTCTTTTTAGAAGTGCCCACCCTGGCAAGAATATCTGCACCTAAGAAGATAGAAGCCCTCGGGCTCTGGGCTTCTTGATATTTCAGCTTAGAAAGTCTCTCTTGGATTCTTGGATAATTTCTACCATGTCATTGTCAGTGTTGAGTGTTGAGTGTGGGTGAAGTGCAAGTGCACAGCAGATACTAGCATTGTATTTTTTTTTTCCAAAGATGCTGCTGCCCTCTCCTGTCACCTGGCACCTGCAGTTCCCCTCTCTTAGTACTTTGATGGGCATGATCCAACTGGCTACCCACAGGAGTCTCCGGGGATAGCGAGGCACCTAGGATGGTCGGGCTTCAGAGTGTGAGTGCCACAGCCGGCCTCTGGGTTTGCGTCTCAGCTCTCCCACATGCTAGCTATGCAATTCGCATGGGCCACTTGAGCCCTCACTTTCCTCATCTGTCAGAGATCACTGTACCTGCCTCAAAGGGGATTCATGAAACAAATACAGGTAAAATGCCTGGCACAGAGGGAACACTTTGGAGCTGGCAATTTTTATTACCTTCATGTTAAGAGCCAGTAATAAGGGAGACAGAAGCAAATGCCCAAGGCTTACTGCTGAGGGACAGCAGGGGACTGGTGGATCTCCTGCTGTCTCTCCCTTCCCAGTGGCCACAGGGCAGTGCTTCTCAAAGTGTGACCCTCACACAAGCTGCAGAGACATTTGAATCTCTAGGAGGGCTTGCTAATTATCCAGATTCCTGGAGTGCATCCCATGTCTGGGAATGGGGGCCAGGATTTTGCATGTTCAATAAGCTCTTGGGGTGGTTATCATACATCCATCATTTAAGAACTCCTGAAATAGAGACCCTTAAGTCAGGTATTTTTGTTTGTTTGTTTGTTTGTTTTTGAGACAGAGTCTCACTCTGTCACCCAGGCTGGAGTGTAGTGGCGCAATCTCGGCTCATTGCAACCTCTCCTTCCGGGGTTCAAGTGATTTTCCTTCCTGAGACTCTCAAGTAGCTGGGATTATAAGCACGCACCACCACACCAGGCAAATTTTTTTTTTCTTGTATTTTTAGTAGAGATGGGGTTTCACCATGTTGGCCAGGCTGGTCTTGAACTCCTGACCTCAAGTGATTCGCCAGCCTCGGCCTACCAAAGTGTTGGGATTACAGATGTGAGCCATGATGCCCGGCCAAAGTCAGTCTTTAATGTATAAGAACCATGAAGTTAAACAAAGATCTGAGGGCATCCTTGTCTTGTTAAGCAGAAATAAAACTGGGATGTCATTCTTTGTGGAGATGTGTGACTTGCCTGGCTGGGTGGGGACTGTCCATTCCTGGGGACAGTCACACCCTCTGCCCTTCAGGTCCCACCTGCCCGCGGCCCCTCCTCCTCAAGGCCAAGGGGAATGTCTGGCTGTGACTCACCTTCTTGCTGAGTCGCAGGTGTACCTTGGACAGTGCTTCTCTCAGAGCATGGGTTCCACAGCCTTCCTCTGGATCCTCCCACATTTTTCCTGTAGCAAACTGAGATGCATCAGACACGTTACAACCCAGCAGGGATCCTGAGTGTGGCCTAAGACAGTGGCCTCACGGGCCCCACCCCAAACCCACTGGCTCACAGCTGCAGCAGAGGGGGCCTGGGAATCTGAATGGTCGACAGTCCACGGGATTCTGTTGTGCAGCTGAGCTTGGAAACCCATGTCCTGCAATCACTTCTTCTTAAGATCTTGCCTTGGTGTGTAGTTGGTTTTATGACTCTTCCTTTTAATCAAGTATATGTTTGTACCAGTTTTTCCAATTTTATGTCAGCCTGTATACTTTATTACACATCTTTAGCTATCTGTACTTAATCATGGCATTTGCTTTAAGTAAGCTACAATTTACACATAAATTCAACCATGCTTTTTAGTTCATTTGATGTGTTCTAATATCGCATGGGTTTGTCCTTTTTCAGGCATTTTTCCCTTTTTGTGTTTTTTCCTGTTTTTATTTTTATTATGTATTTTTTTCTTTTGGGGGGTTATTTAAGTAAAATTAATTAATTTTACATTTTTGGATTTGTGCTTTAGAGGTAACTTTGGTGAGAGAGGAGGTATTTGGCTAGTGCACATAAACACAGCATAAACATAACCACTTTTAAAAACTGGTTTCCAACTCTTTCTGGTTAGATACAAGAGCTTTCATCTGACCATTGTCACTGCCACAGGGCCAAGGGAGAGTGAGGGTCTGGGCACAGGGACAGCTGTCAGTGTGGCCTGCTGTGGGGGAGCTGACAAGACAGAGGCTGCTGATGCCACTGGATTGGCAATCAAAGGCCAGTACCATTGTGTCTTAAAAAGAGCAGCTTCAGGCTGGGTGTGATGGCTCACACCTGTAATCCCAGCACTTTGGGAGGCCGAGACAGGCGGATCACGAGGTCAGGAAATTGAGACCATCCTGGCTAACATGGTGAAACCCCATCTCCACTAAAAATACAAAAAAATTAGCCAGGCGTGGTGGTGGGCGCATGTAGTCCCAGCTACTCGGGAGGCTGAGGCAGGAGAATGACGTGAACCTGGGAGGCAGAACTTACAGTGAGCCGAGATCGCACCACTGCACTCCAGCCTGGGTGACAGAGCAAGACTCAGTCTCAAAAAAAAAGAGCAGCTTCAGAAAGGAGTTGAAGTGAAACCAGGGTGACTGGGTTAGGAAGTAAGGGGTGAGAATAAGAAGTCAGGACCAACTCCGCTAGAAATCTTGGATGTGAAGCAAGCGGAATTTCCATGAGGGGCTTGGCAGGGTGACTGAAACCCAACTCCTGGTCTTTGATGTAGAAAGTCAACCTCTTCTCAATCTGGAGTAAGCTGAGATGCAGACACACTGCCCATGTATCCCCCAGGGCTGAAGTCACTCTCCCTCCCAGGCTGCTGCAGTGCACCCTGCGGAATGTCCAGGGTGGCCTCAGGTAGGGAGGTGGTGTCGGGTGCTGGGCAGGTGGTCTGAGGGAGCGTTTGGTCTGTTTTGTAGTGTTCAGGGGAATATTTACAATAAGAGATAAGGAGCCAGGAATTAGGGAAGATTTAAGACTAGGCAAGGAGATAACTGGTAGCTCAGTCAGGAGAGGGCAGCACTGAGGGCAGGGGCTGAGGAGGGCAGGGCTTTGGGATAGGATCAAGGAGGCGGAGTGAATGAAACAGGTTGGTCGTATGTGGTGAGTGTGTGTGTGTGTGTGAGACATTGTGAATAAATGTGTGAGAGTGTATGTGAATGAATGTGAGTGGTGAGTGTGTGTGAGTGGTGAGTGTAAGTGTGTATGTGAATGAATGTGACTGGTGAGTGTGATGGGTGTGTGTGTATGTGAATGAATGTGAGTGGTATGAAAGACAGTGTGTGTGTGTGCGTGCGAATAAATGTGAGTGATGTGTGTGAGTGTGTGTGAATGGTGTATGTGTATGTGAATGAATGTGAGTGGTGGGTGTGAGTGTGAGTGAGTGGTGTGTGTATGTGAATGAATGTGAGTGGTGAGTGTGTGAGTGGTGTGTGTGAATGTGAGTGGTAGGTGTGAGTGTGAGTGCTGTGTGTGTGAATGAATGTGAGTGGTGGGTGCGAATGTGAGTGGTGTGTGTGTATGTGAATGAATGTGAGTGGTGAGTGTGTGAGTGGTGTGTGTGTATGTGAATGAATGTGAGTGGTGAGTGTGAGTGTGAGTGGTGGGTGTGTGAATGAATGTGAGTGGTAGGTGCGAGTGTGTGTGAATGGTGTGTATGTGAATGAATGTGAGTGATGGGTGTGAGTGTGAGTGGTGTGTGTGTATGTGAATGAATGTGAGTGGTGAGTGTGTGAGTGGTGTGTGTGAATGTGAATGAATGTGAATGGTGAGTGTGAGTGGTGCATGTGTGAATAAATGTGAGTGGTAGGTGTGAGTGTGAGTGGTGTGTGTGAATGAATGTGAGTTGTAGGTGTGAGTGTGTGTGAATGGTGTGTATGTGAATGAAAGTGAGTGGTGGGTGTGAGTGTGAGTGGTGTGTGTGTATATGAATGAATATGAGTGGTGTGAGTGTGTGGTGTGTGTATGTGAATGAGAGTGGTGAGTGTGTGAGTGGTGGGTGTGTGAGTGAGTGGTGTGTGTATGTGAATGAATGTGAGTGGTGTGTGTGGTGTGTGTGTATGTGAATGAATGTGAGTGGTGAGTGTGAGTGTGAGTGGTGTGTGCGTGAATGAATGTGAGTGGTGGGTGTGAGTGTGAGTGAGTGGTGTGTGTGTATGTGAATGAATGTGAGTGGTGGGTGTGAGTGTGAGTGAATGGTGTGTGTGTATGTGAATGAATGTGAGTGGTGGGTGTGAGTGAGAGGTGTATTTGTGTGAGTGTGTGTATGTGAACGAATGTGAGTGGTGGGTGTGAGTGTGCATGTGTACAGAGTGGCTCTCAGGGCTGCAGGCCTTGCAACAGGGCTAGGCGGTGTGCTTTCTGCTGAGCATTTGGCCAGAGGTGCTTGGGATCACAGGGCAGTTCTGCAGATCCAGCTGTGATCTGACACCTGGAATTTCCAGCTGACCTTGGTGCCAGGGCTGGGAGTCCCTGTCTGAGGAGGCAGCGGCAGGGCTGAGAGCCTGGGTGGGGTCTGTGGGGGTGAGAAAAGGAGGGGTTGTGGTCAGTGTGGGGTCCAGGCAGAGCAGTGCACACAGCTGAATGGATTGTAAATTGATCATAATGGGGTTTATAGAGACTTTTTAATGATTTCACTAGGATTGTGTTGATTAGATAAATTCTGTGCCAGGGAACAATTGCGTTATCAGAAATTGTCTTTCTCTCTCTGGTGGTCAACAAGTTCCCCCTTTGTCCTCACTTTTCATGTGAATCACCCTAATATCAACTGCACTCCAATAGTCTGCCAGTTCCACAAATCTCTTCTAGTATCAAAGTGACCTGCATGGAACTGCAGTGGTGTCCCTGGGTGGTTGTTTCCAGATGGTCTCACTGGCCCCATTGTCTGTAAGACTCTTGTGCAATCAGCACCAGGAGCCTAGAAAAGCCTATTGGGTCATATCGTATCACTAATCCATGAGTTCCTGGAAGCTGAAGAGCACCCCCTCCATAAACTCTGGGGCAATGTCCGCATCTTGGGGGAGAGGTGCAGTGACAGTACAGGTGGGCACAAAAGGGTTGGAAAAGGGGCAAAGATGAAGGAGGCACCAGGAAGCTGGCAAGAAAATGGCCCCACTGATAACTGAGACTTGCCAATGGTGTCTGTAAGATTACCTGAGCCTCTCAAATATCCCTAGATTTGCAGCCACTCGGGGGAAAAAGCCTCATAATCCTGTTGTTGTTATTTTGAAAAGGATCTCACAAGTGGAGATCAGCTAACGGTGTGATGTTCTCGCTCATTGTGTTTTGTTCATTTTTTCAAACTAGTGATGGAGCGTTCTCTACTCTGCCAACCACTGTGCTAAGTAATGGGCCCAGAGCAGAGCAGCATGTGCCCTCAGCCTGGGAAATGCTCTGGTATTTGGTGGTAAGCTTGCAAATTTCAAAGAAAGCAGAATAAGGCAGGGAAGAGGAGAGCTGAATATTGTTGGAACTGGATTATGAAAGTGCCCAGTGTAATAGCAGTCCTCATTTGGACCCTTTTTCCATTGGGAATTGGATTTTCACAGTGATGTGAGGGAGAAGGGATTCGGGACAGCTGGGACCAGAATGAGGCTGATGTTTGCTTCAAGGGACCCTTTCTCTGCTGTTCCCAATAGATTAGTAGTTATCAGGGTGTAGCCTTAAGAGAAACACTGAATTTGGGGGTGGTTTTCTTTCCGGCTCCCAGAAATCATTAAACTCATTGCAGATTGAGAATTGTCTATTTTGGGTCCTTCCGTCTGTCTAAAATCCTCTGGGAACTTGATTCCAAAGAAATTAAATCATAGACTGATTCCACTTCCCAAGAGTAGCAATACATTTCAGGTAAGGGAAGGAGCCTGGGAGAGCGGGGCAGAGATGACCGAGGTTCATTCTGAATTGGTCCAGGGTCACTTTCTCCCATGGCCTACAATTACATCCCCAAAGCTGACACTTTGTCACTCTGAGCACCATCAAACTAGAATCATCTTTGCCACAAGTGGCACAAATATGATGAATGTGAATTTTGAATTCTCTCAGAAATTTCCAAATTTTTGCTATGCTTCAGAAAACGATCAATTTCCATACATGTTTGGTATAGCCCACACATCCCCAAGTACTAACCTGCATAGTGTTGATCTACTGGAAGACAAGAACTTCTTTCCTGCTATATGTTTTTAAAATATTGAATCCATTACTCAAAACCTGTTACTGAAACGTCGAAAGGGGAAAATATCTTGGTTTCCCGAGGAATTGATGTATCATGGTAAAATGTCATATTCTGAATCTGATAATCTGTATTTTCATCTCTTCTCCGTTTAAAATATCTATAGTTTATAATTTACAGTGTCTATAATAACAGTTAACATTGACTGAACATTTTCTATGCCTGAAGCAGTCTTCCAAGTATTTTACAAACATTTCATTAAATCCCCCAAACAATCCTGTGAATTATATTCTTTTTACTTGAGAGAAATAGCAGCACAGAGAGATTTAAAAACTTGTCCAAGTTCACTGGGCCAAAAAGTGCCCAGTTAGCACTTGAATGTTCCAGATCTTTCTGCCCTAAACCCCATATTCCCAAGCCGAAACTTCATTGGACAAATGGATAAGAAACAAGGCTTAGAAACTCAAAAGATTAAAAAAAATTATTGAAATCCTTCCTAACAACCTAGTATGTTTTAATAAATGTTTAAATGTTGGGTATAAACATACTCATACAATTACGTGCAGAACAAAAAAAAAGAGTTTGAGCATATTACAAACTTTAAAGTCAATTGCTATTGTGTGGTGGGTGAGTTATGTTTTTCCTTTATAGTTAATAAGAATTATATTCAAACTACTTGCTGGTCAAGGGTATTTCCAAATTTTCGTTTGTTAGTACAAGTAAGACAGTAATGTTTTCCCCCAAAGTCACAAAATAATGATAAAAATAATTGAAGTTATGTAGATATTTTAAATTAGTTTAGTTCCAAGTTAAATTTAAAATTTCCTTAAGAGGACTAGATGTAGAATACACATTAAAAGCAATAATATCAAATCAATCTATCTATTTTTATAGAAAGGTACAGTTTTTCAGATTAGAAGGCATCATGAATCAAGCCCAGATAATTTTATGTCATGTCAAGTATTTCAAGCTAAGATTTTTTAATAGTAGGTTTTATACCTCCATTCAGCAACAATAAAAAAAATCATGACTGTCATTCAATACTCCTAGTGCTGAATATCAATACATAAGCCAAAGAACATTTTAAGAACCCGTATTGGATTATACCATAGCCAAGTATTCTTTCTTTGTCTATTTCTATCCAGAATCTCACAATAGAGGTATGATTTTAAAGAGCAATAAATTGGCTAATGCTTTGCTCACAGAAAACAAATCTTACAGAAAATATTCAATCAAACTTTCCTAAAATTAGTTATGATTATGCATTCAGCTATAATCACAGCAATATCTCATCAGTGGCTGGATTACATTAAGCGGAGTAAAAGCTCTATCTGCATTTAATTTTAAGCTGTTGTGCTGGTGGCCTATGTGCAAATAACCATACTTTGCCTTTCAAGCTTGTGACAAGGCATGAGAAAAATGAACCTGTGCATCAGCTGTAGTACCTGCTTCAGGTAGAATAACGGCATGGAAGAACAGCAGCCAAAGCGGGAGGGCTTGGCAGCCCATGTTGGGAGAGCTTCTAGCTACAGCAAAACCTGGAGTTTCAGCTTTATATACTCTCCAAGTTCCCCTGCTGGAGGTGGGTCAGTGCAGCTTACCCTCTTCTCAGGCTTGGATTGGCAGGCACTCAGACCAGCAGACTCATTTGCTTTGGCATATTGTGTGTATTTGATATGGGAGAAAGGGTGATTCTACCTGTGAGAGGCATTCCATGGAATAGTTGGAAGTTAAAATCATAGAGAAGAAAAGTCAAACCATGTGCTAGTACCTGGCTAAGCAGCTGGGGCCCTCCTGACCCTTCTGTCCTGGGGAAAGAGGTCACCAGGAGCCCTGGATCTCATGGAGGGCATCACTTCTTTTTGCATGTGGCTGTTCCCAGTAGACGCTGCTGAAATTCTACTCGTCTTTCAATGCCCACACACTGCCCCTCCTCCTTTCTTGAAGTCTTCCTCTTCTTTCCCAACTACATGTGTTTGCACCCTTCTCTAATTCTACGACGTCCACTTGGCACGGCTTTTATATTCTGCCTTGATTGTAATTAATACCTTAATACATTCTTAATCACTCTTAATAAATTCTGCCTTGATCGTCATTACTAGGGTTTTAGTCTGATTCCTTCCATTATCTTGTAAACTTTGAGGGCAAAACTTCTCTTTATATTGTTTATAGCCTCACTTATAATATTGCTTACTTATGGCAGGCTTAGCGTGATGCCTTTCTACTTAAATCTTTGTTGAATTGAACTTTGCAGTACACAGGGATATCTGACGTTCTACAAATTATTACTTCCCTAACACATATTTTTCTCTTGACTTAGATTATTGTTTTATATAACAAACTATCCCATAATCTCAAATAATTCTTAGTCTTCTAATAGAGGAACCCACCTTCTCTAGCATATGTCTAACTCCATATTCCTGTGAATGAAATGAAAATACAAGGTTTTTTAGACCCAGTGGGTTCCGGGTTGTGAGGAGGAGTTGCAAAAAAATATTTTTCCAATCTGAATACTCTAATTTTGTTTATCAGGATCACTTGGCAATTTGGGTAAATCCAATGTGTTGGTCACTACATCCAGCAGGAATGGCTTCCTGGCTTCTCCTGTGTGTGGAATATCAAAGATTGGAAAGGTCCACACTTGGTCACGATCGCAAAAACAGGGTCATGGGTGAAGTAGAAGAGGGGTGAGAGTTGGGGCTTGGGTTTGAAGGGCCTGCATCTTGTTCCCTCCATTGTGATTTGGGGCAATCCACTAAGCTTCACTGAGCCTTAGTTTCCTCATCTAAAAAGTGAGATAATACTATCTGCTCTGCTTACTTTAGCGGGTTCCTTGGAAAATAAAATTAGGCATATATAGGAGATTTATACATTATACGACCAAGAGGACTTCTCAATAGATATCTTTATGACAGAGATTTTGAGCTTTTCTGACAGTCCCAATATTAAGTTGTAAAGTAAATTCAGCCAAATTTAGCCAACGTAGGAAAAAAAAGGCATAGAAGGAGAGAGGGTATGACACAGACAAAAATAACTGTAGCTGATACATCTCACAGACCAAAAGTGAATATTTTCCCATAACTTAACCTTTCCTTGGAAATCCCATTCAGCTAGAGGCACACTATAGAATGACAAGTCAAAATGAGTCCCAACCATTTCAGGTTTATTCTTGGTAAATCCACATGTTCCCTTTCCTCCTTGTGCCTAAAAGCATAAAGTACGTTGTGGCCCTTGGCAGAGGAGAATGCTGGTTGCTGCATGTTGGCTTCCTTCACGTTGCTGTCCTCTGAGATAGATGCTAGTTTTGTTGCATCCTCAGACATGGTCATCCCTCCACCCTGGTACTTGCTGAGGTGTCAGTGGCTCTATCTGGTCTCAGGTTGCAGGGTCCTCACTGCTTTGTTCAGCATTATCTCCAGCTCCCTTGCTTACACATCTTCCTTCTCTCTCCTCTAACTTCTGCAACCCTTTTGGGGAGATGAGCCACTCCAGGGGCTACCTTTAGCCTTTTGTCTTTGACAAGCCACCCAGCCCTCTCTCCTCTCACCATCCAGAGGATGGGAGGGATGTAAATCTCTTTCTTCAGATCCCACAGTCCCCCAAATTATCTGAGCATTCTGTTGTCCTCTGGGCATCAGAGACCCACCAGTAACCTCCTGCTTCACTTCTGTCCCCTTGAGACTTCAGAGGACTTCTAATGGGGTACAGCTTCTTCCAGATATTCCCTAGTTTACATCTTTTGACTAAAATATCAATAACATGACCTTTTTTACCTTCTAGTGCCATTGTTCTGGGAAGTGATGGGGGACAGAGGGAGGTGGGAGAAAGACCATAGACAAATACTCCACAATATTGTCTCATCATACAATGGAGCAGCTGAATCCTCCACTCAGAAACCCCCCTGCTGTGAAATGGACTGAGCTTTGAAGCCAGAGCAGAGGCTGATTGCAGTTTCTCCTAGCTGTACTGTTTCAGCTCTCGGCAACTTTGCTGTCTTATGTAGGAATAGACATGTAGCTCACAGGGTTGCTGTAAATAATCAAGAATAAATCCCAGCACTTTGGGAGGCCAAGGCAGGCAGATCATGAGGTCAGGAGATCAAGACCATCCTGGCTAACACAGTGAAACTCCATCTCTACTAAAAATACAAAAAAAAAAATTAGCCGGGCGTGGTGGCAGGCACCTGTAGTCCCAGCTACTCGGGAGGCTGAGGCAGGAGAATGGCGTGAACCCGGGAGGCGGAGCTTGCAGTGAGCTGAGATTGTGCCACTGCACTCGAGCCTGGGGAACTGAGCAAGACTCCATCTCCAAAACAAAAAAAAACAAAACAACAAAAAAAAGATGTCTGAAGACCGCCCAGGAGAAAGCCTGGAACATTAATGATAGGTGCTGTTCCTAATTGTTATTGTTAAGAACTATTGTCTCTAACTTCCCGTGGAGTTGATATAAAACTACTGGAGATATGTGTGCAAGGGATTTGGGGTATTTTTATTATAGTAAGTATTGAGAAGTTGAATTGTATAAATAATAAAGCGACCTGAGTCTTGGACGTTTCAACCACTAATATTAGCATTTTGGATAACTTGGATCAGAACAAAAGCTTATTAGAGGTGGCACTCTACCACACTGAATATTCACATACTGTGGTGAGTAGTAAATTGTTTTATTAAGACCCAGTTTCAAATGGGCTTCTGTGAAAGGCAGGCAGCTTTCCCTTCAGAAACTCTAAAGGCACTCAGCTGACATCGGCCTGCAAATACAGTATCTACGTGCCTGCATGTTCACATGCCACTGCTGTAGTGTGCTAGTTTGGCCTGGTTTCTCAGAACTTAACCTAGGAAAGCACAGACTTAGAGAAGGGCAGGAAGGACGCACCTTCCAAGCCTTCTGGGAAGGCTCAGCAGTTTCCTGGAAGTGGCTCTAGGATGGCAACGGTGAGCAGTGAGCCGTGATGATGACATGCTGCTATTTATTGCTGGGGTAATGGAGGTAAGGCGGGGGAATCCTACCCATACCTTCCTCCTTCCTTCACTTCAATAAATACCTACTGAGCAACTGCTATGTGCCAGGCCCCATTCTAGGCACGAGGATGTATCAGTGAACAAGACAGAACACGTCCCCTGTCCCTGGAAGCAATGTGTTCTAGTTGGCCAAGACGGAGAATACAAACCAGGCAAATATACAGCATCTTTATGCTTGGAGAACGATCGAACAGGAAAGTGGGGAGAGAATATGGGGAGGGGAGAAAGCTCCTGGAAGCTGGATAATCCAGGCAGCCTCCTTGAGAAGGCAACATTTGAGCAGAGATATTTGGACAAGGTGGCTGAGGGAACCTTCTCAACATGAGAGATGAGCAGCGGAGCAGTTGCAGCCTGGACCACCCCGGTGCCTGTGTTCTAAATGCCCTCCTGGGGCCAGGTCAGGCCGGGGGCTAAGATGCAGCTGAACCAGCTTGGGATCGCAAACCAAAGAATGGCATAGAGCAAGGAGACATGAAATCACAGTGGGTGTCCAGGGGCCTGGAAATTCAGGATCTAGTATTCTTTGTAATACTGACATTGAACTGTCCATTTTAATGAAATGTCAAAAGACTTGCAATTTTCTCCTTTTCAATATTGCATTAGCCCAGGGAGAATATAAATTTTAGCTTTAGTAAGTTGTCGAAAATACTAACATAACATAACATAACATAACATAGCATAGAACACTATCATCATAGTAAGAAAATCTGAGTCCTAGTCTACTAGTCTGCTATTTGTTGCTTGTGTGACCTTGGGCAAGTGCCTTACTCTCTCTCAGGTGCAACTTTTGTAGAATAGTGATGATAATAGTGTAGCTGCCTGAGGCAGAAGGAGGGCCACATAAATAACTCTTGGGATCCTCTCCAGGACTAAACTGGGCCTTACCTTTTTTACCAACACAATATAACGTTGCAAAGGAACACAGTTTAAAAAAATCAGGATTGAATTCCATCAAAAGCTGATCATCTATTTTGTAACTTTTATTCGTTAACATGATGAAAGTAATATTCACTAAAGAAAATTATAAAGTACATGAAAATCTGCAGAAGGAAATAAAACCAGTACCCCTATGTTACACACTGTTAGTATATTTCCTTTAAAGCTTTCAAACAAAATGTATATATGCCTTTTGTTGTTGCTGCTGTTAGTTCATCACTAATTTTGGACTTGCATCTTATGGTGGTATGCTTCTGTGCACTGTGTTTTTCAAACTTCTCATTACGTAATGAGACATTTCCAGTTTAAATGTTTTTTAAAACATAACTATGATTCTGGACAGATGCATAATATTTCACTGATAGAATGCTGCATAATTCATTCCACTCTGCTTCTGTTGTCGGCTACTGGCATTGTTTCCAGCATTTGAATGAATTAAATGCATTTTAAAGAAAAAGATTGTTGAAGATCAGCAAATTGTTTCCAAGTAGCCTCTGCTGCATTCTGAGGCTTGCACTGGTCCCTGCACAGCTGGCTCCACATCCATTTCACTTCGGCTTCTCCCTGGAGCCTCTCGATTCTTCTCCTGTCTTTGCTGGAGCCTGTGTCTCTAAGGAGCAGGTTGCTTTTAGTACTGATGGGGTGCAGGAGATACATCAGTGGAGAAGCTGCTTCTGAAAAGTGATAAGAATTAACAGGAAACTCCTACTTTCTGGCTGTTTACCATGCATAGAAACAATAGATTCTTTCACTGGAATAAAATGCAGTCAGGTTGTATTATGTGGACATTTAAAGAAATTGAGACTCCTTGTTTTTCATGAGTGTTCAAAAGAAAACATTCATTTCATCGGTTCCCATTTCAGCCCAAAGCCCCATTTATTCCGCTAGGTTTGTGCCCAACTTGCAAAACTTCGCTGGTCATTCAGGAAGTTAGATCCAGGTAGAAGGAAGAGGTTATGGATGAAATCCTGCAGGGATTGGTCGGCCTCTTGGTTCCCGGGTCTCAGGTTGTCTGACGAGGACTGTCTGCTCAGGGGCTAACCTGGAACTGCTGACAGTTACTGAGTGCTCCCTGCGGCTCCCGACTGTGCTTGGTGTTTTACACACACATCACTCAGCCCTCCCCAACCTCTAGGAGGAGGACATGGTGCATTGCCCAGGTGTTGCCGATGTGGGGATTGTAAAGCTGACTTGGTAGGGTGCTGGTTTGTCATTGCCTCCTTGATGTCTAGATCGGTGGGACTCAAATTAAGATTTATTTTTAAAAATGAACTTGCAGAAGTTCACACAGCTTGCTAGAGGTGCAGGCCAGATTTTAACCCAGGGATCCTGACTCCTGCCGGTAGAAGGCAAACAAATTGTTTGGTTGCATCAGCACTAGCTGCAGCCTACGGTTGGAAAAAATACCCACCCTGCAAGATGGTGGTCAGGGGTAAGATGATGGTGCATGGAGAATACATCTTTTACCTGAGATAACTGGGACTGAGTTTATTATACCATTATTTATATTTATGTCACCTTCCAGAAAAAGAATCAAAAGCTTTGATAAAAGTGCAAACAATCTAAAAAGATGTATTTTTTAAAGCCACTAGGTGAGGAAATGGGGAAAACAAAAATAAATAAAAGCAGGAGAAATAAATGGAAGCCAAGTAAATAAAAGCAGGAGAAATAAATGGAAGTCAAATGTAGAAGCGAGAAGCAGGAAAACTGATTAAAAGAATAAACTACATTTGAAAGGGGGCATTTGCTACAGGAATAAAGTAAACAAGGGTTCTATAACTCCTTACATTTGCCTAGTATTTATTTACTGCTCTGAGTGTTTCACATTCATTATTTCAATTTTCTAAATAGTTCTGTAGGTAAGCAGAACATATAGTCTTACCTTCATTTTATAGATGTGAAAATGGAGACAGGGAGAAGCTGACTAAGCCCAAGGTCAGCTGCTGAGAGAGTGAAGCTGTGGAATAAGAACTCAGGTTGGCTGGTTCTCATGCTCTCCATCTCTGTATCATTTTTTTTTTTTTTTAGTTTGTGTTTTTTCAGAAAGCCACAGGAGACACAGTATCTCTTGAGGATAAAAAGCCAGTGAGTATTCTTTCTCTCTAAGGTAGATTGTAACTTTATTATAATTTCTGGTATTAGTTTTAACGTTAGGTGTGTAACACTAGGTAAGAGATTATTGTTGTATCTATGATGGTCATTGTTACATAGCTCCACCAAGCCAGCCACTTACCTTTTCCCCTTGTACAAAATGTGGCCCGCCTGGCCTGTGAAGCAGATGCCAGCTCTCTTTCCTAGACCAACTGTATAAAGGGATGGCACTGGATCTGTTTTTTTTTTAAATAATGTGATAAATATTTTAATCCTCAAGTGACAAAAAGATAATCTTAAGTATACTTCTGTCATATAAACCAGCCAACAGCTAATATTATAAAATGTGGTCCTGCTAGAAATTTTAAACTTTTATTACTGATAAGTCATCAAAATCAAATAGATTTATCTCCTTGCTAGAATAGAGGTTGCATTTCTATGACAAAGGCACAGCAAAGGCAAGCTAGCCTAGAAACTACTTTAACTGGTTCTTGTGAACAATTTTTTCTAAGTAAATAGTGATCTCAGATGACAATTCTGATAAAACTCACAACTCTAGTCCTATTCCTACATGACAAAGCCATTCACAAGATGTAAATTATAGTGCCAATAAATATACAGAATTGGCGGCATCCTATAGACTGAGTTCAAAGTACATGATTGTAATTCAAAGTGGAATAAATTGGTTTGCTTTTTTAAAACTTATTTTTTTAAGAAAATCCTTTTTAAACAAGAAAAATTGAATGCACAAGATTTTAAGCCATGGAAAATTATATTTTAGTCTATAATATTCAAGATTTTCCCCAAAGATTCACACAAACTGATTCATTATGACTTGCAGTCTGCTGGGTATGAATAGATGTTTGTTCTTCTTCTTCTTCCTCCTGTTTTTCTGAGCTGCATTTTCTGCTTTGCCATCACCAGCATCTTGAGCTTCTGTATCACAGTTATCTTTGTAATCTTCTCTTATGAAGTAGCTATTGATTATGGCACTATACAGTCATCGAGAAAGTGCCCCTATGTGTAATCTGCAGCAAAGACAGCTTTGAAGGCATTGAAGTCTCCACTCGCAAGAATAACTTAAAAAAGAATCAACAGAAGCTGGTTTGTTCACTCTTCAAATATTTCCCTGCCCCGTGCATTTTTACAGCTTCCTTTTGTAGTAGCATTCTTTTCTTTTCTCCTGGGTAGGCTCACATACCACTCAGCCTGGCACGTCTGCTCCACTGGAGAAAAGGAGACCAGAATTGTCTGAGGATTATCTTATTGCGTATCTCAACATCTCATTTGTGAAATATTCAGTTCAAACAGAAAGTCCACTGTAAAACTCGCAGGCTCACCAACATCTGAAACTTCACTCTGGAATATTTCAGGAGCTCTAGAACATGGTTCAGAACTGTATTTAGGAGCCAGATAACATTTTTCAACACAGTTCACCAAAAATGAGGAACTCTCTAGGCAGTGGTTCTCTACCTTGGCTGCACAATGGAATCCCCTGGGGACCGTTGCAAAATACTGATATCTGGGTCCCATACCCAGAGCTTCTGATGTAATTAATGTAGGATATTGCATGAGTATCAGGAGTTATAAAAAGCCTTCTCCATAACCACCTCCCCAGGTGAATCCAACATCAACCAAGGTTGAATCTCAGTCAAGGTTGAGAACCATTGCTTCTGGATCATCTTTTCTTTCACACTTTTCCCCTCTCCAAGTTTTGCCTTCTTTTCATTCCTTCAGGCAAGTCCCTCTGCAAATACCTGGTTTCTTTTCACTTCATCTTCTTTAGGGTCTTCTGCTACAATGAAGACTTTCTATCTCTTATCTAACAGAGGTTGATGGAGACCAGCATACATTTTTTTCAAGATTAATAATTTCCTTATAGAATGTTAATTTTCTTTGGGCAGATTCTGCTGGAAAGATTGTGATGATGTATTAGTTTGCTAGGGCTGCTGTAACAAAGTACTATAAAGTGTGAGGCTTAAACAACAGAAATGTATTGTTTCACAGTTCTGCAGGCTAGAAGTCTGAAAAAGTTGTGGCAAGGTTGATTTCTTCTGAGGACGGTGAGAAAGAATCTGTTCCATGCCTCTCCCCTAGATTCTGGTGGTTTTCTGGTGTTCCTTGACATGTAGAAGCATCTCTGCCTTCATCCTTACTTGGCATTCTCCCTCTGTGCATGCCTGCCTCCAAATTTCTCCATTTTTATAAGCACACTAGTCACATTGAATTAATACCCACCCCAAAGACCTTTGAACTTGATTACCTCTGTAAGGATACTATTTCTAAATAAGATCACATCCTGAGGGTTATGATTTCAACATATGAATTTTGGGGGAGACAATTCCATTCATAACATATAGCATTAACTGAATGCTCAGTCACCACAGGCAGGCTGAAATCTTTATCTTTATTGACAAAGTCAGCAGGTGTAGTTGCAAAAGTCCTCAGTCACAAAGTGAAAGCCATCAAAATGGAGAGCTCCAAGTCACACTCTGCTCCCTCATTGCCAAGTCCTGTCTCTTCATCCCTAATCCCACCGTGGCCTCCCCATGTCCCTCTCCTGAGGTGTGTTTGGCCTCTGCAGGATCATCAGCGCACTAAGCTACTTCAATATCGACGCACAGTACTTTGATGTCTCTATTCTCAACACTGCCCCCTCCATTCTCCTTATCCTTTATGCCCCACAGCTAGTTGGATTCCTTGGTCAAATGTTTCCACTTCCTTGTTGCAAGAATGCCTAACACCTCAATTGCCCAACCACAGTGACTACAGTTGGGATGCAGTGACAGCAAGGACAGAAAAGATGAGAGTGGCTGCTGCTGAGGTGATACAACTGACAGAGGTGGCAGGGCTAAGGTGAGAGTGCTGGTGGAGGCTGCCTCAGGGAGACCACGGTGGGTGATACTGGCTAACGTGGCTGTAGCTACAAGAACCAGTAACCTTGCCTGGGACTGAAAGGGTGAGAAGCCCAAGCACAGGACAGATGGTCAACTCAGTAGCTGCTGTCAGGCTCCAGAGATCGCTTTTTGTTTTGAACACTACTATTAAAAATGTTAACAATGGATTCCCCGTTTAAAGAATCAATGGACTCCTGAACAAAAGAGAGGCAAAGAACTGCCTGAAGTAAGCAAGAGCCCAGCCAGCCATTTGGAGATTCTTAACACTAAACATTAGGGCTCTTCCCAGGACTCTGTTTCAAGGCACACAGTTGGAAGATCATGACAATGTACTCTTCTTGATGTTAGATTGCAAATAAGATATACGGTGACTCCTTCCACTTACCCACAAAAGTTCCAGTACCTGTAGGAGATTCTTTGCCAACAAGGTGTTAAGATAAGATGGTTTCATGTTTGCACGTGGTAATTCATATGATCTTTTTATGCATGCTCAGTTAGGTTCAGCTTTCTTGAAAAAACACAAATCCTCCCCAGGGTGAGCCCAGATAGGAGTGAGGGGTGTACAGGGAAAGTTCAAAGTTATTTGCATCATCCTCTCATGATACAGAGAAAACTTCATGTCCTTAATAACAACTCTTAAACTCCACCTCAATTGGCAGAAAAGGCCAGGGTCTCACACAGGAATTGGCAAATTCTGGGAAAGCAAGCAGGGTTACTTCCAGACAGAGGACACACCACACATTTCCAGGCAGGGAGAGATAATCAGGGGGGAACACTTTGTATTTTGTTAAACATATAGGAGGCTTTGCTGCAAGATTATGGTGACACTTGGCAAAGTTTCCTGAAAAAGGAAGGGTGAGTCAGGATTGACACCTGTCAGTAGGGCTGCTATTTGACCAGTACAGATTGCTATGGATGTACCACTATAGAAAGATTGTAAATCTTTCTAACTGGTGGGCAATGACTCCCTGAGTGTCCTCTATAACCACTTGGAGCCCCAGCCCCTTCCCTGATCCAGAACCTAACATCAAGCATGAACACAGCATTAAATCCAGTCAGTGGCCCACGCTGTGCCCTGTGCCAGGCTCCAGTATTTCTAACCTCACCCTGCTTATCAAAGCAGATTACTGAAGCTGTTAATCAGGTTTGTTTTGGAAGCAGTTGCCTTCCAAGAACCTTTATTACTATTGTTTAAATATGTGTATATTTAAATGGGTTATGGCAGGTACAGCTGATAGACTGGTGCCTGCTTACAGTAAATGTTCAAAGAATATTAGTTGGTGTTATTATTAATTTTGATGGCATTCCTTGTTTCAGACCAAACATGTCATTTAAAGGTGGTAACAGTGGGAACTGCTACACCCTTGATGCTCAATATTTTTCTTTGTGAATTTCACCAGCCTCATATTCCATCTCAATCTTCTTATCAGACTGATTGGCATCGTTCAGTCACCACACCATTTCCTGGGGAATCTGACCTCAGATTACTTTGGGATTGGTGGGTTTTTTTTTGTTTTGTTTTGTTTTTTCTAATTTTAAGTAGTATGACCTTGGGAAAATCACTGAAACTTTCCTTCAGTACATTGGCTTCTTTGTCTGCAAAAGTCTGCAAACCAGATCTCCCGAGAGAGAATGAGTAGGAGGGGTGCGTAGGAACCCCTGCCTTGGCAGGGCTATTCTATGGGGAGGGACAGTCCTGGCTCCAACCAACGCAGGCTCAGCTGTGATCAGGAAGTGACCTGTCCTTCACACAGGTTACCCAGGTACTGGCAGCTTCTGTGGATTCTCCTCTCCAATTTTCTCCAACATCTGACATCTTCTTTTACAGATTCATAGATTGGACCTCCTGGAGGCACAAATGCTATAAATGCAAAATCGCCCTTTTTATTCATAATCCTTTCTTGCAGGATGGGGAGAGAAGGAATTTTTTTTTCTCTTGAGCAGTCTCTGTCCTTGTAGTTTGATTCTAATACAGTTTCCCCAATCAGTTCTTCCCTGCTGTGTCTTAGCCACCTCTCTCTTTGTCTTGTGTAAATTCCCATAGATGGGGAACAACAGAGCTGGGACTTGAACCCATACCACTCCCTTTACTGGGAGGCTATCATTTTCTTCTCAAAATGAAAAAGCCTGGACTCTTTCTCTTCCTTCTTCCACCACCGTGTCTCATTTGTGGGAATTGCTCTCGGTACAACCCAGGCCTCTGAGCTGACTTGTTGAGTGTCTAGGTCACATGATCATATTAGCAACATGGGGTTACTACTGCTGGAGTGCACACCACCTAGTTAAGAGAACTAAAATGATTTGCTTTTCTTATTTTTGCTTAAAGTTAATCACCTCCCCTTCTCCTCACTTTTCTTTAAGCTAGCTTGTGCCTGTGGGTTTGGTCTGTAAAACACATCATCTTTTATTTCCACTTTCTGGAATACTATATCTTAATTAGACATTAGAGAGAAATAGGTATAGGTCTTAAGAATTAGAAGAAAGCTTTATTCTGAAGCACTGTGTGTCAAGTCTTGGCAGAATAGAGAACAAGGTCTCTATCCCAAGGGCAAGTTACCTGGGTTGCCCTCTCACTGGCTTCTAGCTTCCCGTGCTCCATCTGGATTTGGTAAACAGGTTCCATATCACTTTCCAATATTATGTTTTAAGTTTTATTGAAAAATCAAGCATTTGAAAGTCTACTTGGAGTTGTAGAAACTCTTTCTAAAGTATTTGCGGAATCGGAGCAACTGAAATTGTAGAATGACGAGCCTTCTCAATCTTTGTCAATGGCAAAATGTCTGTAATTTAAGGTGCAGTAACTGCACATGAGAACCTAAACAAAAACTTGTACCAAAATACTTTAAGTCTAGCTAAAATCTGACAGAATCAGGTAAAGTCACTGTTTATTTTTCCCATGTACTTAAAAGAAAAAAACATGTATTTCTTTAACTGGCCTAAAACCAAGATTCTTAAAACTGTAAATGACCTTTTCAATATCTGAGAAGAAATTTGCTAAATTTTACAAACCAAAAACATTTGTATAAATTATGAAAGTTTATAGAACACCTCCTATGTATATTTCTTGGCATAAGATGAGCAAACATCCTTTACTGCTTCCTTATTTAAAAAAAAAAGTTGAAGAATATTTTCCCCTAATAATTGCCACTCATGTTATAGTATGGATAAGTATATATTCTTCAATAATCCTGTAAAAAATAAATGATAACTACAAACTTCCTTAAGAAGAGGAATGTCTTGGTAACTTTTTGATGGCTTTTACATCGAAAGAAGGTTTATTTTTTTTTTCATGCTTAATCATCCTACTAGTTGCTTATGATTAGGCTATCCTAAAGCCATAATCTATATTTACAGGTGTAGTTGTTTTTCAATCCATATTCCAAGAACCTTTATGACTATTGTTTTAAATATATGTATATTTAAATGAGTTACCAAGCTGGTACACTGGTGCCTGCTTGCAAGCAGAAAGGAACATTCCAAATATGGAGAGGCTCCCATCCCCCTTGTCCCCTGCCCTGTCTTGTTTGGTGGGACTAGCAGAATCACAGTTTGGTTTGCCTGGCGCCATCTTCATGCCAGGCTAATACAGGAAGTTGTTATTTAAAGATAAGAGAAACCACAGTTAACACCCTTCCTCCATAATCTAATGGCGTCTTGGAACGGCTAAATCATTTGTGCATTGGCCTATGGAGACTTAAGAGGATCTCCGGCCTGATTGTTCAGGGAAGTTGTGAAGACATGAGGAGCAGTGCTGTTTAAAATCATAGTCTCTCTACGACACCATCGGCTCAGGGCACACCACATTCCGGAAAGTGTCTTCTAGGTCAGTGCTTCTCAAACGCTAAAGTGCATATAAATCTCCTGGAGATCCTGTGGAAATGCAGAGTCTGATTCTGCAGGTCTGGGCTAGGACCTGCACCTCAAACAAATTCCCAGATGAGCCCAACGCTGCTGGCCCAAGAGAAACAAAGTTGCGACTCTCTGTGTGGGTCACTCAATAAGAGGTGCTCCTCAAATCATGTCTTTGGACCAGTGGCGGCAGCAGCAGCATCACCCAAGATATGCAGACTCTCAGGCCCCACCCAGAACTACTGAGTCACAATCTGCATCTCAACAAGTTCCCGAGTGAATAGCAGGCGTGGTACAGAGTGAAAGGAAGCTGGCCTGGGCAACGCCCTCAGCTGCTGCCTGTGAAGGATCAGAGGAGGCACAGCCTACATCAGAGGGATGAGACGATGCACAGCCTCCACATATATAGCGTGGGGTACTTTGTCGATTAATCTAAAAATATTCCAAATCAAAAAGTTTATTTTTTAGAAGGAGTACACACTGTGTGATTCCATTTATTAAAAATTATAGAAAATGGAAAGTAATCTATAGTGACAAAAAACAGATCAGTGGTTGTGGGACAGAGGTGAGGGGAGAGAGCGATTACAAAGGGCATGAAAAAGCTTTGGAGGATGATGGATATATTCATTATCTTATTGTGAGGATGGTTGTTTATATACATAAAGCCCATCAGATTCTATATCTAAATATGTGTAATTTATTTTGTATCAATTATACCTCAATGAAACTACAAAAAGAAATTTAAAATGTTAGAAATATTTGTCCTTAGATATAAATAATCTGTCCCTAAAATAAAAATAACCTATTAGACTCATCACTGGCTCCAGAAACCTACTACAAGTCCAGCCCACCAGCTCCCCAGGGAGGACGAATGCCCCCTTGGGGTTAGAATGTTTTAGATAGATGAAAGTTGTCGAAGAGACTAAGCAGATATTGTCTGCCTTGCCAGAAACAAGGCTACGCTAAGACAAACCTCGTCCAGTTTGTCAGAAGACACAACAGGATTGTCAAGAATAAATTCCACTTGAGAGCAGGAACTCAACAAGAGTTCCTTGGAGAGGGTAGAGACAATGGTGGACTCCACCCTTTCTTGGACCAAAATGTTTGTTTGTGACGATTGGAGTGATGCAATGAATATTCAGAGACTAGTATTTGCCACAATCCAGGACCCTCAAGCTCTTTATTGAGCATTTCCATGAATGTAACTTCTCACTTCATCTTCCCAACTACCCTCTAAGACAGGTCATATTACTATCCTAGTTGTACATATGAAACAGAGGCTTCCCAGTTTACATGACTCCCTAGAGACAGTAAGCTGTGTACACTGCTGGTGGGAATGTAAGCTAGTTCAGCCTTTGTGGAAAGCAGTCTGGAGATTCCTCAAAGAACTGAAAACAAAATTACCATTTGACCTGACAATCCCGTGATTCAGTATATAGCTATGTCATTCTATGATAAAAACACATGCTTACATATGTCCGTCACAGCATTATTCACAATAGCAAAGACATGGAGTCAACCTAAAAGAATAAACCCATTCTCCTATGTGAATTAATGCAGGAACAGAAAACCAAATATCACATGTTTTCACCTGTAAGTGGGAGCTAAGCATTGGGTACAAACAGACACAAAGAAAGGAACAATAGACACCAGGGCCTACTGGGAGGACAGTGAGGATTAAAACACTACTGATTGGATACTATGCTTATTACCTGGGCAATAAAATAATCTGTACACCAAACCCCTGTGACACATAATTTATCCGTATAACAAACCCACACATACCCCCTGAATCTGAAATAAAAGTTGGAAGGAAAAGAATGACATAGGCATTAATGTTAAAAAGAAAAAGAGATAGTAAGCTGGCAAGTAGCGAGAGGCACCCCTCTGCTCACATCCCCCCCCAGAAATAGGGTTGCCTGATAATAACAGGATACCCAATTAAATTTGAATTTTCAATAAAAATGAAAAATTCTTTGTATAAGTAAATGAGACATATCTGAAATTCAAATTTAACAGATGCCCTGTATTTTTATTTGCTACATTTGTCAACTTCATTCAGAGAGCCGGTTGTTAACATTTACTAGCACGCCAGTGACTTCATACCCATGCTGTTGACCATCATACTCTAGTATCTCTTTATTAGGATCATGGCATCAAAACCCATCAGAAAAGTCAACTAATACCTCAGGGTTTTATTCTGTGCCCTCAACTGACCACATTTCTAAAGAGAAAATTCAGGCATCTAGAGACATATTTTTTGGAGCTTTTTTTTTTTTTCTTTGAGACAGAGTCTTGCTCTGTTGCCAGGCTGGAGTGTAGTGGCATGATCTCGGCTCACTGCAACCTCCACCTCCGGGGTTCAAGCGACTCCCTTACCTCAACCTCCCGAGTAGCTGGGACTACAGGTGCCTGCCACCACGCCTGACTAATTTTTTGTATTTTAGTAGAGACGGGGTTTCAACATGTTGGTCAAGATGGTCTCGATCTCCTGTTCTCGTGATCCACCTGCCTCGGCCTACCAAAATGCTGGGATTACAGGCATGAGCCACCGTGCCTGGCCGAGCCTATTGGCTCTTAAAATGTGCATCTATTGGCCTTACCGTGAAGATGAACGCCTACCATATTACCTCTCCAAATTCAAGAACCCAAGCCCTCCTGTACTTCAAAAAAGAATTCCTCATGCCCTTCAGTGGATTTTAATAGCAGCAGAGGCAACCACAGGGGGATTCCCAAGGTCTCCTTTCAGAAAGATAATATGGTGTTGGACAATGATCTCCATTTAATTGGCCAAGGGAGGCTAGAGAAGATCTCTCCTCATGAGCCCTGATGCTGTTTTTCATCTGCTTGGCCCCCACTGGGACAGACTCCATCTCAGAGGGAAAGTGCTTGTTGGTAGGGCCTGCAAAGAACCCAGCAGAAATTCTGGGGGAAAATAAAAGACACATGTGGGCAGGAATGTCAGCATTGTTGACTAGAATCTGAAGTTTGATGAAAATCACCCTTTTAGGGTTTTGACTTCCCCAGTTAATAATCTGCTCCCCTAAGAGAGACAGAAGAAGCAAAGATCAAGCTTATGACACCTCATTGTGGCTGAAACCACTCCCAGAGGGCTAAATGAGAATTGGCCTCTCCTGCTCCTGGGTCTCACTCTTCTGGGTGAACCTCTCAAAAGAGGCTCCTCAAAGAGGCACAGCTGACCCCATTCCTAGGTAATGGTTTGGAACAAGGCTGACTGAGCCAGGTCTCCTCAACCCTTGTGCCGAAAGGAAGGAGACTGAGGAAACTAGGCATCAAAGGACCCTTTCATGCCAAGAAGGGTGAAGGCTCAGCCTGGAAACCGGGACGTCTGAGGCACTTTGCTGTGGAACCCATAGAATTCTGTCCACAGGTGCTCTGCACAGGCTGTCCATTGTCTGATCCTTCACAGGCAGCAGATGAGAACATTGCCCGGGCCAGATTCCTTTCACACTTTACCACGCCTGCCATTCACCCGGGAACTGGCTGAGATGCAGATTGTGACTCAGTAGTTCTGTATGGGGCCTGACAGTCTGCATGTCTTGGGTGATGCTGCTGCTGCCACCGCTGGCCCAGGGACATGCTTTGAGGATCACCTCTTATTGAGTGACCTACACAGAGAGTCACAACTTTGCTTCTCTTGGGAACTTGTTAGAGGTGCAGGTCCTGGCCCAGACCTGCAGAATCAGACTCCGCATTTCCACAAGACCTCCAGGAGATTCACACGCACATTAATGTTTGAGAAGCACTGACCTAGAGGACACTTCCCAGAATGTGGTGTGCCCTGAGCTGGTGGTTTTGTAGAGGAGACTACGATTTTAAAGAGCACAGCTCCTTATACAAGGTGTGGATCTCATGCAATGTTAAGAAGGAGCACCATTTCCACGCTTCAAGGCGGCTACCTGCATAGACTCAGCCTTGGAGAGAGGGAGATGGCCGATGGGTCTTTGGAGAGCCAGCCTCTGCAAGATCCACCAGAGGGAGCCAGAGCCCAGGGATGGCTGCAGGGGCAGCTGCCAGAGGGTGAGGAGTCCCCAGGGTTTTGTGTATGACTTATTCACACACCGTCACACTTTTTGATAGCCATTATAAAAATAAGTTGCAAAATATGCTTAAAAGAAAATAAGGTGGAAAAATAAAGTTAATAAAATGAGGATAAGACGTTAACAAACTTCAAAAGAAAAAAATATCAAAGGTTTTAGAGAGTGACATAGGAGAATATCACTGTGTGAATGTGTGTATGTGTCTCTGGGTGTGTGTATGTGTATGTGTGTGTGTTTATGTGTCTCTGTGTGTATGTGTATGTATGTGTATATGTGTGTGTATATGTGTCTGTGTGTGTGTTTGTGTGTGTGTGTATATGTGTGTATATGTATGTGTATGTGTATGTATGCATTTGTGTATGTGTGTGTGTATCTCTCTGTGTGTATGTGTCTGTGTGTATGTATTTGCATGTGTGTATGTGTATCTATGTGTGTGTATGTGTATGTGTATATGTGTGTGTATAATATGTGAGAGTATCATGAGGTAGGAGATGATTTTTTAAACAAGACATGAAAGCACTAACCATAAAGGGAAAGGCTGATAAATTAGAGTGCAGCTAGTATAAAAATAAGGACTTCCATTCATCAAAAGACACCTTAAAGACAGTAAAAAGGTGAATTGCAGAGTAGGAGTGGGTATATGCAACACATTTAACTGACAAAGGGCCTATATCAAGAACATATAAAGAAATCTAACATATCAATAAGAAAACAAAAACTAGAAAATAGTGAGCAAAAGACTTGAATAGACATTTCACAAAGAATAATCTCAATGGCCAATAGAAAAAGTGTTCAATTTTATTTCTAACCAGAAAAATGTAAATGAAAACCATCCAAGATACCATAACCAATCTACCTGTATCGGCAAGATGAGTATCCACAGGGATTCTCATACACTACTGGTGGGAATGTGAATTGGTAGAGAAAAGCATGCACGTAATCCCAAGGAGACATGTAGAAGAATGCTCCCCAAATCGGAAACCACCCAACTGTAAGCAACAGATGACTGATAAATAAATCATAGCATCATCATGCTAAACAACAATAAAAAGGAATGTACAAGCATATCAGTAAGAGAATTGTAACTTTTTTTTCATAAGAAGGGGCACAAAGCAGACACAAAGGAACACATACTATGTGAATCTGTTAATATAAAGTTCAATAATGGGTAAAATTATGTATAGAAACGAAAAGCCTGATATTTTAAAACTATAATACATTTAAACAAATTATTAAAAACCTATGAACTATAAGTAGGTGTCATGGTTAATTTTATATGCCAACTCGATTAGGCCATGGGGCCCAGGTATTTGGTATGATGTATTATTCTGAATGTTTCTGGGACAGTGTTTTGGGATGAGATTAACATTTAAATCGGTGGAGTTTGAGCAAAGCAAATTGCCTTGCATTGTGTGGATGAGCCTCACAAAGGCCTGAATAGAACAAAAGACTGACTTTTCCTGAGCAAGAAGCAATTCTGCCATCAGATGGCCTTTGGACTTGAACTGAAACACTGACTTCTTCCTGGGCCTCTAGCCTGCCAGCCTACCCTGCAGATTTTGCACTTGCTAGCCTCTGTAATCATGTAAGCTAATTCCCTAAAATAAATAATAGATAATAAATCTCTCTCTCATATGATTAGTATATATGTATATGTGTATATATATTTATATATATGTGTGTATGTGTGTGTGTACAAATATTAATTATAAATATTAAGAATAAATGAAATATGTATAAAAGATAAAGTCTACAAGACAAAGAAATAAAGAAAACATGAAGTAAAAGATGAAAGACAGATGTGAAAGGCAGTTCAAGAGAATTTGAAAATGGACCAGGAGATGAGATTGATGTCTATGAATACAAGTCAGGACAAAACCAGGTAAAAGTCAAGAATAAAACCTAATGTAAAAACAATTGAGGGGAAATATCTGTAAAAGAAAACAAAAGCAAAAAGCCTGGGAATGACAATGAAAGAGAAGGAGAGAAGGAAGTGAGCTAAAAGCAGAAGTTTGTGGAACCAGGTGTGAGAAAAGCAGACTTTCCCACAGTATAGAGCCTCATGGCTGTGGTGACACCCCGCCCAGGTGTATCCTTTCTCACCCTCGTTTTCTCTGAAGTCTGGAGGAGCTGGACCCTGACAATGACACCTTTACCTGTCTGTACCTGCTGTGGCAGGGCAATAACTTTTCCATCTAAATATCTGGAGTTGACCAGGCTGCTGATGCACCATCAGCCCTGGAATATCCCCACAAGCCCATAGCCTGAAGTAACCTTAGTATCACTGTGTATTTCCTTTTGGTCTTTTTTTCCTCTTGCATATTTGTATTTTTACAGCATCCAAATTATACCCTATATAAGTTTTATATTCTGCCTATTTTTGCATCCCATTATGTCATATTACAGAAAATTTTTTAGACTCAATTTTTAATGGGTACACGATATTCCATCAATTGGAGTCCAACAATCCCATCGATTGTTCCACAAATATTTGTTGAATGCATATGATGTGCCAGGTGTTGTATGGCTTGCTCAAGGTCACTTAATTAGCAGTTGAGTGTGGGACACATGGGAAAGTCAATGAATGCACTGCAAAAGGCATTTTCTTCACTGCTCAGAGGCCCTCTGCTGATGTCCAGGCTCACAGATGGTCCAGGTAACTGAATTTGCCTGTGTCAACTGGAAAAGTACCTCTGTATTTTAGTGCCTACATGGGTCTGAACACTGGCCCAACTCTTAATATCCACCATGGATTTCTGGTAAGGGAAAGGAGTTTTAGGACCTGTGTTTGTCAGCGATAACATGGCAATCTTTTTCCATGAGCTGCTTCCTTACTTTTTAAATTTATGTTTTCAAATACCTAATACATTCATGTGGTTCTACATTCAAGACAATATCTTCA
This sequence comes from Homo sapiens, assembly GCF_000001405.40. Taxonomy (NCBI): domain Eukaryota; kingdom Metazoa; phylum Chordata; class Mammalia; order Primates; family Hominidae; genus Homo; species Homo sapiens. The sequence continues at coordinate 122,701,056 of NC_000010.11, read as the reverse complement.
TGTATACCATGAAATGGCTCATTCCCACCACTTCTTCATCTGCTGAATACCTACTGTCTTACTAGTTTTTTGTGTATTATTCTGGTTTCTTTATGCAAATACAAATATATACATGCTTATTTTTTCCCTCCCCAACACAAAAGAGTATTCTAGAATTTATATATGTTTTCATCTTGCTTTTTGCATTTGATTATGTTTCTTGGAGTTATTTCCATATAAGTAAAGGTCTTCCTTCCTTGATCTTTTTGACTCCTATAGTCCTATACTCCATTGTATGGCTAACTAGAATTCTCTGACCAATTACTGGTTAATGGGTATTTGAATTTGCCATGAGGTTTGTCACCTCAAACAAAGTCACACTGACCAACCTTGGGAGTAATTTATTTTGTACACATAACTGGGTGAAAGGGCAAATACATTTATAATTTTGATACATATTGCCAAATTACCTTCCATAGAGTTTTGGCAATATCAATTCCCACCAGTGCCATTCTTAACCACACCTTTGAACAGGGTCTCAGGACAATTGTTTACTGAGTTAGCAAACTGAGCATCTGCCCTACACCATGCCCTATGCTGACAACCACACACCAAAGAAGAATAAGATGCTGTTGGTACCTTCTTTCAATAGAGGGAGAGACAGACTTACCAAGAAATCTGACTTACCAAGCAAGTCATTATGTGAGAAAGCACCATAGCATGAGGCAGAGAGTGCTATGAGAACATGGACAAAGGGTGATTTATTCTGCAAGGAGACATTCAGAGGAAGCAACAATTAAGCTGGGTCCTGAGAGACAAGCAAGTTGCCAAGGATAAGAGAGTTATTCAACACATGAGGGGACTGTGAACAATAGCTCAGACGCTTGTTTTGAGAATGATGGATAGTGTGGCGTTGATCAAGCATGAGGAGCTAAGGCTGAAGAGACTAGTGAAAGCCAGTGAGAGAGATTTTAGTTGACTGAGTCTTCCTCTTGTGAAAACTGAGCAGTCTTGTGGGTTTTTCAGTGGCAGTGACATGGTCAGATTGCCTCCCAGCCACATTCTCTATCCATTCTCTTCGACTCCAACACACCAGGAGCCTGGTAATGTGTGTCCATTTCACCCCAGGGGATCATTCAATGTCTTAAACTCAGACCTCACAATAGCCCCCAGGTAAGCCAGTTATGATGCAAGAAATGTTTGTGACTTACCCTCGGGCCCTCATCACATTGTCTTAGAAACAAACTCCAGGTGTGAACACCTCCCGTCCTAGCTTATTGCCGGAGTATGATCAGAGAATGGAAGAATGACTGTCAGAGGATTGAAAAACAGAGGGCTAGTGACACAATGGTGCAAGAAAGGAAGAATGAAAAGCCAGTTAGAATATTTAATACCAACTCTTCCTTTCAGGATCAAGCCCCAACGTGTTGCCAAGAGGATCTGAGTTCTGCTTCACCGTTGCGGTGAGTCTGACTTGCACTTTAGTCTGTCCATGTCAGAAAGAGGCCAAGTGGAGAAGCCTACCCAGTGGCTACAGAAACCCCTGCTCATGGCGGCCTCAGCCTGGCTAGTGTAGAATAACCCTTTATGAGCCTTCCCACTCCAGGAGGGAAAAGTAGGAAGAGCCTTTCCAGAATTCTGATATTCCTGCTTCTCTTCTTGCAGGATATGGAGCAAATTCTACAGATCAGACCCACGGATTGCCCTTGGGAAATACTCCCCCTTGGAAAAAGAGATCCTAGTAAGTGTCCCGCAGTTTTCACACGGAGAGGCCCCACTGAAGCCAGCCAGTTTAGCTAGAGGGAGCCAAAGGTTCAGAAGCCACCAGTAACAGAGCTGCCTCTCAAACAGTAGACTCCCATTGGCTGAATCTGCTAGTGGCTTCCACACTTGCACAGCAAAATACTCTTTTTTTTTTTTTTTTTTTTTTTTTTTTTGAGACGGAGTCTCGCTCTGTCGCCCAGGCCGGACTGCGGACTGCAGTGGCGCAATCTCGGCTCACTGCAAGCTCCGCTTCCCGGGTTCACGCCATTCTCCTGCCTCAGCCTCCCGAGTAGCTGGGACTACAGGCGCCCGCCACCGCGCCCGGCTAATTTTTTGTATTTTTTTTTTTTTAGTAGAGACGGGGTTTCACCTTGTTAGCCAGGATGGTCTCGATCTTCTGACCTCATGATCCACCCGCCTCGGCCTCCCAAAGTGCTGGGATTACAGGCGTGAGCCACCGCGCCCGGCCCACAGCAAAATACTCTTATTGACACGTCCCACTTACAAATATGAGTAAATAACAAATGATGGAACAGTTATTTCTTCAGCTCCTACCTTGCACTGGTCACTTTCGTATATGTTGTCTTGTCGAGGCTTCACCATGACCCTGTAAAGTCAACAAAATTATTCTGAATTCATTGTAGGTCAGAGGAGAGTCAGGATTTGAACCCAAGGTTATCTGACGCCAAAGGTTCACCTGTTTTCCACTACAGAGAGGCTCAAACACTTTCCACAATGGAGGGAGAACCAGCCACTAGCAAGTTTCTGTGGGTGCCGCCTGCCCCTGTGCTCTTGAGATTTTAATAGTCCTTTCTCCATTGTCAGCGTCTAGGTGGCATTCACACCATAGCAGCAAGAAGGCTTTTGGCTTACAAGCAAGAGGAAGAATGCAGAATGCTCAAGGAACTACAGTTGCTGTCTCCGGACTACAAACAAGCAATGGAGTATAAAAAGAAACATTCCTCTCCTTGTGCTATTTGTGTACCCCTAGAAAAAATATGGACAGCAAAGGTGATTGCGCCCCTGGAGGCATTTAAAATGCCACAACGAGAGCAGGTGAACGTCAGTAAGCACATAGAGAGGATGAGGCTTGCTCGGGCTCTGGGAAATCATCAGCCTTTACCCTACATTGAAAGGTTTACACGCTCCTCATTTCTGTCTGGGGTGGGCCTGGGTCCAATGGCAAAAAATAAGGCCAGACGAAAGGAAGACAACTATGACACCCATAATTGTGATGATGCCAACCAAGATAAGAAAGAGGAGGCAGAGGGAAAAAACACAAAAAGACGAGAAATAAAAATGAATGTAGTTTTCAAGTCAAAAGAACCAAAAAAATGTTTAACATACCATGGAAATGATCGCAAATCATTCCTCCCCGCAAAGAAACCGGAACGGTCCATCGCAGGCCTAACAAACCGAAATCTTTTCTGCATATCAGAATTCCCTGGTGACTTAATGCTAATGAATCAGGATTTTATATCACGGAGAGACCACTTCAGTGATCTGGTCAAGACCTACAGCCTGGAAGAAGAGAGTATCTGGAAAGAGCGCATGCGTAAAGCAACTCCTTATCATTATTAAAGTTTTATTTGTTGCCCAGGGTAACCAGGTGTACTAGTCCTTATTATTCCCGTCAGCTGTGCCCCAGGCTCCTTGCCACCCCATCTTATATTGGGATTTTGGCTTCCCCTGCCCAATCTCCAGGAGGGCCTCAAGGTAAGACCTACCTGACGAGGCTTCCTGACCTCAGGCAACTCTTGGCTATCGCTCCCACCCTCAGCAACAGCCCAGCCTTCTCCTAACCTACTCCCATTGGGGTGTGTGTCTGTTATCTATTTCTATGAAACAAATCACCCCCAAATTTAGTGGCTTAAAACGACAATCATTAATTTTGCTTGTAATTTTGTGGGTTAGCAATTTAAGCTGGGCTCAGCTGGGTGCCTCTCCTGATCTCACCTGGGTTCCTCATGTGTCTATAGTTAACTGCAGGTAAATTAGTTGGCTCTCCTTCTGGGAACTGACAGCTATCAACTGGGTCCATGGGGGTGACTGGGCCACATTTGTCCTCCCTCACGTAGGCTAGCCCAGGCTTGTTCACAGGGTCATTATGGGGCCCAAGAGGGTAAGTGGAAGTTTGCAAGGCCTATTAAGATCAAGGCTCATAACTGGCACACTGTCACTTTTGCCACATTTCTGTTGTCCAAAGCAAGACCTGAGGCCAGCCTAGATGCAAAAGTGGGTAAATGAACTTTATCCCTTGATGAGAGGCCACACTGCAAAAGGCATGAAGACAAAGAAGTGGGAATATTTGGAACCATTAGACAGTCAATAGCAGAGTCTCTGGAACTGGGAGCAGCCTGTAGTACAACTGAAGAAAAGAACGCTATGCCCACATCTAAAAGTTGGAGGTCTATTTCATGCTCTCCACTTCCTGCCCAGGCATACAGCTTCTGCCTTGGAAGGCAGAGCCAGCCCTTTCCAGCCTTATTTCTTTGCTACCCTCATCTTCAATGCAGCCAGGCAGTCCACACCCTCCCCATCAAGTCAAGTGCAGCCACAGGGCAGGCATGGCTGTAGCATGCACAATTCCTTTGGGCATGTCAGGAGCAGGTACCAAATGTCTCTGAGGTCACTATTGCTGCAACTATCAAGGCTTTGCCTGTGCCCCAATGTGGCAGATATAGTAGACAACAACTAGGGTAGTCAGACTTTACCAAGATGGAGCTCTTGTTTCTTACAGATGCTTGGCCATCAACAAGGAGGATGGCTCAGAGAAGGGCTGACCCTTCCAGGTTTGCTTCAAAATATGAAAATGGGTTCTCATGGGAGGAAAGAATTTGAAGCCAGGATTTTTCTAGCCTCTTCCCTGTACACTGCCTCCTCTAAACGGACACACACACACATAGACACTGCCAAGGGACCTTGTTTATTGTGCAGTTCTCATGACAAGTCTTAAGTTTTCACCAATGACCCTCACACCTGCTCTGAGCCACACTCACAACCAGCCACCAACTCATAGCCATTCTGTCAGACTTTCATGGCTAGCACAGACTTCATCAAATTCAAAGCACACATAGCCTGTATAGAACCTGGACATGTCAGTCCAATCTCCTTCCCTCCTTTCCTAATAATCAAGACAGAAGACAGCTGGCAATTGTCCATGACCTCAGGGAACTGTTCCAAATTGTAGGCTTGCTCATAGGCCATTTTCTTGATGCTGAGCTATTCAGTGAAAAACTGGAGTGCCCATTAATCAGTGGGCAATAGGAGTTGGGGGACAACCAGACCCTAAGCTGCACAGAGACGTGGGCCCTCACCCTCCTAAGTATCTTATGGGTCAGACTCGAGTTCCAGGTGTAAATATGAAGTGAAGCATTTTTAGACGTCTAGAAGAAATGAGGATTTTTTTTCCCCAAAAGACAGAACTCTTGTTGCCGAAAAAGGGGGTCCTGATCCAGACACCAAGAGAGGGTCTTGAATCTCGTGTAGGAAGAAATTCAAGGTGAGTTGCAGAAAGCACAGAGAAGAGATAGCTTATTGAAAGCTACTCAGTTACAGAGTGGGGCGTCCTCAGAAAGCAAGCAGAGGAATGCATCATCTTTAAGTTTTTCTTATACAAGGGTCTTATCTATGTAAAAGCTAAGCTATGACAATGTGAGGGTGGGCTAACAGCGTGACAAAATGTATTACTTTGTTGATTTAAAGAAAGTTATTTTTGGTATTTTAGTGTGTAGGTACATCAAAGCATGTCTAGAATCATCTTAAAAGCATATATTATTATGTGATATCGGGACATCTGGACATTTCATTGTAGTAGGAGTTTCCTCAGCCAGAAACATTTCATGACCATGGGTCATGACCAGCAAGGAATGTGCCTTGCTAGTTTAAAGATGGAGTTGATTTTAAAATGGTGTCACCCTGTTTCCCTAACAATCTCACCCTGAGTCCAGCCAGCACCTTCACCATTTGAGATGCATGATGCACTTACTCACTGTCTACATCTGAAGCATAGAGGAATTCCTCCGTTAATCACACTGTGTCCTCAGCAACTCCTCACAGAGTTGGGAAGACAGTGAACTTGTCTACAGGGACCTACAACTGCCTGAGGCAAGGTCAGGTTCCTTTCTAGCTCCCTCTTGCCAGTGGATTTTCCACAATCAGCCCTTTCAGAGCCACAGCTCCCCTCCAAGCAGAGGGAATGTCATTAGCAGGAGGCTTCACCCTTTCTGATTTTTCAGGACAACTCCATTAGCCACAGCTCCAAGTTAAGAGCATTTTGAAGTATTCTATCAGCAGCTGCTGTGGCCAAGACAGTGATTCTGGGCAGTGTAGCATTGTTCCCAAATATCAGTGGATTCTGACTAAAGAATCAGCATGAATCAAAGAAATGGGTTAACTTTTCAGCTGAGGCAAAGTTAGAAATTGGAGTTGGTGGGGGGGGGAGGAAACTATTATTTCCAATGTTGATATAACCTCCTAAATATGTATAAAATAGTGAATACCAAAGCATCACCTGAAAACTCAAGCCAGTTTGAAAAAACTGAAAACGATTTATCTGGACCCTAAAAATTGCTTAGGATCAGCAATATGATGTGGTATAAAGTTCTCTAAAGGAGAAATAAGGAGATCAGTGCTCTCCCTACAGCTCTGTTCCCAACCAGCTGTGAGGCATAGGTAAGCCACCAGGCACTCTGTGACTCAACTTACCCATCAGTTAAACGAGTGCATTGAACTAAATGGTCAGCAAGGCTCAGTTCTATAATTCATTTAATTAGCTGCGTTCAGTGGAGTTGGGAGTTGACTCAATACTTGCCGACTGCTCACCACCTGCTTAGTGTGGACAGTTACAACCTAAGTATTGTGTTACAAGAAGGCCAGGTGGTGCTGGCATAGAGATATTTTCACTGACCCAAATTCTCTGAGATGCGGAAATCACCTATGAGAACAAATTCAACCCTTTGGAAAGAGAAGAGGTCAACAGAATGCCAAGATATTGCCTTACTGGCTGTTATCAATACCAAACTTCTTGATAAGTGTGATATTAATTGCCGTAAACATTAATTACCTGGAGCCATCCAGAATATGCCCACAGTTTACCATGTATGTGTATGCCATCTTTCAGGAAGTCTATATGAAAATAAATGTAGATTCGGATTTGAATTTTTGAAGGTTTTAGAAAATTCCCTGGATTAAGTACTTATTTATCTTAAGCACCACTTACCTGAGTTTCATAAATACATCCAGATGATAATATTTGATAAAGAGATAAGTGACCACAAGGCCCTATGAGACTCTTATGCTCAGTAGATTATGCTAATGGTGATGACGAATTTAGAAAGTCTTTGACATAGCACTGGACACAAAAGAGAGCTCTGGTAATCAGTTGCTTAATCTGAAATTTCTAACAATCCCTGTTCCCTGAGAACGCTGATTAACAAAGAAGGCTTGGAGAACAAGTGATCAATTAAATTTTTACCAAAAGTTTATTATTGGGTTATCCAGCAGACGAAAACAAAATATAAATAGGCTGGGCATGGTGCCTCACACCTGTAATCTCAGCACTTTGGGAGGCTGAGGCGGGTGGATCACTTGAGGCCTGGAGTTTGAGACCAGCCTGGTCAACATGGTGAAAACCCATCGCTACTAAAAATACGAAAATTATCCGGGTGTGGTGACATGCCTGTAATCCCAGCTACTTGGGAGGCTGAGACAAGAGAATCACTTGAATCCTGGAGGTGAAGCTTGCAGTGAGCCAATAGTGTGCCACTGCCCTCCAGGCTGGGCAACAGAGCGAGACCCTGTCTCAAAAAACAGAAAGATAGATATTTTGGAGGAAAAGAATCTGATAGTAGATTTTCATATAAGCTGAAAGTAGTCATTATTGAACAGGTCAGAACTTCCTTGAACTTCCTTTTACTTATAAATTGGTATTGGTTTTATTTAGAATTGCTTTTGTAAACAGACGCCATCATTTGCTCCATTCCTAGAGGCTATATAGTTTTTAATGTGGTCTCACCCCTTACTCACGAGGGCCCTGTGAAATCAGACAGGGCTCACCTATGATGATGGTGTCAGAAGTGGGTGACTAAATTGGGGTCAAACAAGCTAAAGAAGGCTGAGTGTGGTGGCTTACCCCTGTAATCCCAGAACTTTGGGGTGCTTAGGCAGGTGGATCACTTGAGGTCAGGAGTTGAAGACTAGCCCGGCCAACATGGTGAAACCCCATCTCTACAAAAGAAAAAAAAAAAAATTAGCCGGGCATGGTGGTGCATGCCTGTTATCCCAGTTACTCGGGAGGCTAAGGCAGGAGAATAGCTTGAACCAAGGAGGCAGAGGTTGCAGTGAACTGAGATTACGTCACTGCACTCCAGCCTGGGTGACAGAGCAGGACTCCATCTCAAAACAAAAACAAAAACAAACAAACAAACAAACAAAAACAAGCTGGAGAATCCTGAGGTAAAACATCTGGCTAACAATTTGGATATGACCAGACATTTACCTCCATTTCCTGAAGAGACACTGCACTCGTTCTATAATTCATCCCTAAACCAAATCCATTGCCCTCTTCAGGGATCCCATAGCAACTTGACTCTGCTTCTTCCCTCTCACTGACTGCCTTCCTCCTTCCACATGCCATCTGTCTCATGTATAACCCACTGGATGACAAGCCATTTCTGTAGCCAGTGCATAAGCCCAATTTAATCATTCTAGTATCCCTAGTACCTAACATACTGTATGTACTTCAATAAATGATTTTAAAATCATAATGAGGCAGCATTTATATTCCTTAAGAGCTGGCACCCAAAATTATCTTAAGGTAAATTGTTTTTCTTGGGGAAAAATACCTTACAGTTTATTTGGGGCTGGAAGGGGATACTTGAGAAGCCTCCTAACAATGAAAGAATGGTTAGCCTCTTTGCATGAGGAAATGAGAGGAATTTTGTTTTTCTCTTAAAAAGAAAAGGAAGAAGGGAGGAAGAAGAGACAGCCACTAGTGAGATGTACCCCACTGCATGGGGATAAACAGCCATGTAAAACCCCACGTATCAAGGAGGCTGTGGGCTTTTGAGACGAGAAGTACCTAACATGTTGTTGTAAGTTGTTTGCTATGCAGAGCTCCAGAGATTACTCCCTGAGACCCTCACCATCAGAAAAGCCCATTAAATTCATGAGTACGTTGTATGAATGAGCTTCGGGGACTGGCGTTTGTGAATTGACGACAGGGCTGAGTTTCATATCAGGCAGAGAGTTCAGAAGAGAGACAGCATGTGTGGAAATGGTGTCCTACAGCCTGCTGGCAGTTTGCAGAAATCCCAAAGAAGGCTTTGAACTTCAACCAGAGGGAAATTGAGAAGTGGAGCCTGCCTCCTCCAGAGCCTAAGAAGCCAGTGAGCTCAAGCTAGATTTGGGGTTACAGACTGAATGAATGAATGAATAAGTGAATGAAAAATATAGGTGCTTAGAAATGCAGGCAGCTTGAATATTGAGTTAGCCATACATTATCTCAGTCACCCAGCTATTTGCTCTAGTCAGCTGACCATGAACACAGAACAAGACCGCCATTTGTTACCATATTATACCATTTTCAGAGATGGTTCCCTTTGTAGAAGAATTGGCCCCAAGTCCACCTTGCTCTGGTCAGGATGGGTTTCTCACCTGGCTCTTGGAGAGCAGCCCCAGTGGCATTGGAATGAGCTACTGTTTGCCCTGCACATGACCACTTTACACTGAGAATGCACTGCACTGGGTTAAGAGACTAGAAGGCTTTAAACTTAAACTTGACCACTTTGGAGTTGATAGAATAGTAATCAAAGTAGTTAGAAAATAAAGTTAATATGAATGAAGTGCCTTCTGCTCTGGGGGATGGGAACATCTAAATTAAAAGGGTATGAGTGAGTCAGGGTGGGGCACAGTGGTCATGTCTATCTGTAATGCTGTCACCAAAACCTTGACAATGTGAGAGATAAAAGGGAGCACTAAGGGCTGCCCATAGACAAGGGGATTAGATGCCTTGGACTGTAAGGAGAAATAGATTAAGCAAAGGAGAACCTCTTGAGTTCCCCAAATCCAGAGCTGCATCAAAAAGGAAGAAGAATGATTTCTTCTGATGAATTTATGAGGAACACTCTACATACTACACACAAGATATTTTATTGGAAAGGAGATCATGAAGAAGTTGAGTGCCTATTTTTCCTCTTTTGTCTCTTTCCTGGATTTTTAGTAAGTGTTTCTTTTTTTAATGCTATGTCAGTTTTAATGTGACTATAGTGGAATCAATTGGCATTCATTATGTCTCATACAATTTTGTCAACCAGTAATAATTGAATGGATGCGTTGGATTCCTGTTTGATCATGCAGTGATGCTACCCCCGACCTTCAAATAAAAGTCAAAAAAATGGTAGGTGGTTTTTATTTAATTTAAATGCCAAGTTGTAGCTTTGTTGGCAAATGGAGATTTTGTCTGTTCACTGCCCATTTATGTTTTGGAAATTACTGGGAGCCAGTGAACAGTAATTGCATTAAACATTCACAGGGGGTTGTAATTAATCCTTATGCTCTTATTACCAAAATGTCTGGGGAGTGACAAGAAGCAGGATGCCTAGAGGATCTTATGTAATTTGGTAGAAAGAAAATTTCATAAGAGAAGAGGAAAGGAGGAAGCAGAAAAGCATCGGTGATCTTTGGAACATTTCCCTTCCTGGATGAGGTTACCCTCTAATCCCTTCTGACCCCAGGCCCAAAGATCCCAAATATGAAGTTATCTTTGAAGATGGGAGGGAGTCTTTGAGTTTTCTGTAAACTTCTGCTTTTCTCAGATCACTACGCTGGTCAAAAACCTTTCATGGTTTCCTATAATGCTTAGCCATGCATAAACATCTCTGCCTCAATGTCAAAGCTACCTGCAATCCATCCAGCAGGTGTCCTGTCAACATCTGCCATGAGCTCAGATGTTGGAGGGGTTATATGAACCCTGGCTGTATCATCTAGGACATCTATCTCAACATCTCTGAGCTTCGAGTTCCTCTCCCACAAATGGAATCAGAAGAGTAGCTGCCTAATGGGGCTCCTGGATATGTTAAATGTGAGGTATTAGACAGTAATTCTCAACTAGGGGGAATTTTGTCCCTCAGGAGGTATTTGTTAATGTCTGGAGATATTTTTGGTTGTCACAACTGGCATCTAGCGGAGGGTAGAGATGCTACTAAACATCCTGCAATGCACAGGACAGCCCTGCGACAAAGAACGACCTGACCAAAATGCCAATATCGCTGAGGTTAAGAAAACCTGATTCAGAACGAGGCCCAGAACATGATAATAGCTCAATATTAGCATTGATATAGATAGATAGCTGAATATCTATATATCTATATATGGGTGTGGGAATATATATACACCCTTGTTAAGGGTAGAGTCCAGACTATATATATACTTATATATGGGTATATACACACCCATGTCTACCTCTATATGGATATATATATAGAGAGAGAGAGCCTGGACTCTACCATCAACAAGCTTATAAATAGTTGAAGAATGAGACAAATACTCATAAATAATTAAAATAGGAGCCCCACCTAACCAACGTTATCTCCCTCTGTGCCGTAAATCTCCAGTCTCAGCAAACAAGCCTTCAGCGTGTTCTGAAATAGAGTGCTGAGACGTCACCAAGAGCCTGGACGTGGCAGCAGCAGACATGGGTGGGAATAGCTGCTTCAATATCAGGTGAGCTGTGGGATCTCAGCCAGGTTTCTAGGCAGTGCTCAGCTTCATGTTCCCCATCTGTGAGTAGAGGCAATTATAGTGTCTACATCATAGGTAGTTGGAGGATTAAATGAGATAATTCATGGGAAAGAATAAGAACAGCTAATTGAGCATGAGGCTTAGTGAGTACTTCATAGTTACTTCATGTTAGCTAAGAGTTTATAATATCTGAATCTCTATTATTATCTTTGGCTTCAAGCTGCCTCACTTCCTGCCTGTACCGCAAGCTCAAGCCAAGGCTACAGCCAGACAGCCATTTCTCTCCATCCAAACTACCACCATCTTTCACCTGGACTAATGCAGGAGGCTCTTCAAAAGGACCCTCTTATAACTCACAATCCACCTAGCAGCCAGAGTGATATTTTTAAACACATTATGTTACTTCCTTGTTTAAAACTGCTATGTGTTAAATTGTGTCTCCCTCCCTGCAAAAGATATGTTGAAGTTCTAATCCCAGTACCTCAGAATGTGACCTTATTTGGAAATAGGGTTTCTACAGAGGTAGTTAAATTAAAACAAAGTTGGGAGGATGGAACCTAATCCAATATAACTGGTGTGCTTATAACAAGGGGGAATTTGGGCACAGACACTTGCGGGGGAAAAGGATGTGAAGAAACATGGGGATGAGATGGCCATCTACAAGTCAAGGAACACCAGAGGCTACCAGAAGGTGGGAGAACAGCCTGAGACACATTCTTTTCTAGCTCCGTCAGAGGAAGTGTGGCCCTGTTGACAGCTTGCTGTTGGACTTCTAGCCTCTGGAACTGTGAGAGAAGTTTCTGTTGTTCTAAACCATCCAGCTGGTGGTGCTCTGTTACAGCAGGAAATGAATGTAAAACCCTTCCATGCTTCCTCTTGCACTTAAACAGGATCCAAGATTCTAACAGTGGCCTACAAAACCTCCCCTGGTCTGTCCCCTGGTCCTTTCTCTGCTCTCACCTCTTCCTCTTCCCCCACCCTCACTCACTTGAGCAACACTGAACCTCTTTGAGCACCCAGAACAAGCCTAGTTTGCTCTTGCTAAAGATCCTCTGCGCTTGCAGGAATGCTCTTTCTGCAGATAGCTGGCTGCACATTTTGGCCGAAATGTCACCTCTCCAGAGACAGAGGTCACTGAATGCTTAATATATCTGGTCTTCGTCAGCACGACAGAACAAATGGTCTTTGCTGATCTTCCCTCACCCACAGATGATTGCCAAGGTCAACAATATGTCCCCAAAAGGCAGAATATTTGATGGGCAAAGACAGTTTCCTCATTCCTCTGCTGGATTCACTTTTCCACTGGTCATGTTCAGTTTATCGTAACTTTCCCTTTTTAATTTCTTCTCTTTAAGCACTCATTTCCTACTGGATACCTGAAGTATTCAGTAAAGATAACATAAAAACTCAAATTCAAGAGCAATATGGAAAAAAAAATGTCGGCCAGGCAGACATGACAGGTGACACTGTAATAGTTTCTGGAATGACTGCTCCTTGGGGCCCTACCAACCTCCCTCTGAAACCTGAGCCCAGTGCTGCCTGAATGGGCACCCCCACATTTGTGCTCTATGAGTCTCCCCTGCTGGTGATCAGCCATCCAACCAGAGGTGGATCCTCAACCGAATTCACACAAATCAGTCTCTCCCTGGAAATTTCCAGACAGAAATCAGAGGTGCAAGCGAATCTTTGCTGTCGTTTTGAACTATGAACAGTGATATGGCTTGAATCTGCGTCCCCTCACAAAATCTCCCGTCAAATTGCACCCCCCGATTCCCCAGCATTGGAGGTGGGGCCTGGCGGGGGGCGGTGATTGGATTATTCCCCAGCATTGGAGGTGGGGCCTGGAGGGGGGCGGTGATTGGATTATTCCCCAGCGTTGGAGGTGGGGCCTGGTGGGGGGCGGTGATTGGATTATTCCCCAGCGTTGGAGGTGGGGCCTGGTGGGGGGCAGTGATTGGATTATTCCCCAGCGTTGGAGGTGGGGCCTGGAGGGGGGCGGTGATTGGATTATTCCCCAGCGTTGGAGGTGGGGCCTGGTGGGGGGCGGTGATTGGATTATGGAGGAGGGTTTCTCATGAATGGTTTGGCACCATACCCTCGGTGCTGTTTTCGTGACAGTGAGCGAGTCCTCTTGAGATCTGGTCATTTGAAAGTGTGTGACACCCCCCACCCCCTGCCTCTCTCTTGCTCCAGCTTTGGCCCTGTGAAGTGTCTGCTCCCCCTTTGCCTTCTGCCATGATTGGAAGCTTCCTGAGCCCTCTCTGGAAGCTGAGCAGATCCCAGCGCCATGCTTCCTGTACAGCCTGTGAAACTGTGAGCCAACTAAACCTCTTTTCTTTGTAAGTTACCCAGTCTCAGGTATTTCTTCATAGCAACGTGAGAATGGACTAACACAAACAGACACGCTTGGGAGCTGAGCTGTAAGGCAGCTGTCCTCTACAATGTGCACAGAGAAGAGGATGTCGCCAGGCTGGAGGGGAGGAGAATGAAACACAAGGGTCAGGTGAGATGGCATCAAAAATAGAGAGGTGAGGGTAGCTTCCCAAATTGCTTCCCTGTCTACACCGCCCCTTCAGTTCTGAGACTTACTCTAGAATCCTTCAGTAAATTTCCTCATTTTTTGCTCAATCTACCTAAAGTGTATTTCTGTTACTTGTAACAAAAAGGACATTCACTAAGGTAATAGCAAGTGATTCTTCTCAGCATTCAGTCAACCTGGAAGAAGCAGGTAAATGGAGGTAGATAAATAGATATATTAATATATTGGTTTATACAGAAATATAGATACAGGAACAAATATTGGTTGTGATTCTTGCTGGTGTCATTATCCTGTTTTGGAACAGCATGATAAGAAGTACTGAATCAGGCTGGGCATGGTGACTCATGCCTGTAATCCCAGCACTTTGGGAGGCCGAGGCAGGCAGATCACCTGAGGTTAGAAGTTCAAGATCAGCCTGGCCAACATGATGAAACCCTTTCTCCACTAAAAATACAAAAATTAGCCAGATGTGGTGGTGGGTGCCTGTAATCCCAGCAACTCAGGAGGCTGAGGCAGGAGAATCACTTGAATCCAGGAGACAAAGTTTGCAGTGAGCTGAGATTGTGCCACTGCACTCTAGCCTGGGCAACAGAGTGAGACTCCATCTCAAAAAAAAAAAAACAAAACAAAACGGAAGTACTGAATCAGATTGGCCAGCCAATCAGTCGGGTCCCTGACTGCTACAGTTTGGATGTGTATTCCCTCTAAATCTCACAATGAAATGTAATCCCCAGTGTTGAAGGTGGAGCCTGCTGGGAGGTGATTGGATCATGGGGGTGGATTTCTCATGAATGCTTTATCACGATCTCCTTGGTGCTGTCTTTACAATAGTGAGTGAGTTTTCACAAGATGTGGTTGTTTAAGTGTGTGGCACCTCCTCCCCAACTCTCTCTCTCTTGCTCCTGCTTTGCCATGTAAAGTGCCTGTTCCCTCTTTGCCTTCTGCCATGATTGGAAGCCTCCTGAGGCCTCCCCAGAAGCAGATGCTGCTATGCGTCCTGTATAGCCTGCAGAACCATGAGCCAATTAAACCTCTTTTCTTATAAATTACCCAGTCTCAGGTATTTCTTTATAAGAATGCAAGAATGGCCCAACCCACTAACCCAGCTAGATTATGGTATAGTAATAGCCATTAAGTCAGTTCACTAAAACACTGAACTTTCATCTCGTTAGGAGAGGATGTCTTCCCAGAAGGCCACAGATATTTTTCAGTAGAAAATGGTTCCAGGAGCCTTCAAAGATGTCAAGTTAACCCAACAGCAATTGGAGAAGGGCACCAGCCTGTAAGTGAGGAGTAAAAAGGTTAGATCCCACCTCAAACACCCAAGATAGCATTTGAAGTCAACTTTCCACTCAAAGCAAAGAGCATTTAACTGATTCTCATCCATAAATATTATCGAAAGTTTCATTTTATACATAGCAGGAACTTAAGCATCATTTGTAGGCCAACTACTATCACGAGCAAGACAGAACTACTGGTTTTATGGAGAGTTGACTATACATATGGTCATGCACATTTGAACTATGATTGAAGAGGTTTCTATTCCTTAATCTCTACATTTCACAGAAAAACCTTAGCTGGGTATATTCATAGAGATACCAACGTCTGTTTAAAATGTTATGTGACAGCTGAAAACAACATAGGTAACTGGAGTGTGATGATCACACAAACAAGGTGGGCTTTTTGTTTTACTCCATGCAGAGGTTTTTAAGGGACCCAGTTCCATATGTAGTCTAATGTGTTTTTGACCAGTGGGAGATAGTAGAACTTTAACACCATCATCATAGCATACTGCATCACCACATTGGCAGAATGGTGATCAGAAAGCCGGCACCTTCTCAATTGTGTGTCCCTACAGGTCTTTTCCCAGTACAGGGGAGAGAAATAGCAAATAGGCTGTTCTCCTGCCTCAAGAGAGACCTCAGACAAACAAGAATCCATCTTATTTTAAAGACAGGTCAGAAGAGGCTGCACGATCATGCTCAGTGATGCCCAGGTCCCCAAAGTGTGATAGGAAGATTGTCAAATAATAAACCAAATCCCAACGTAGCTTTAAATAGATTGATATGGTTTGGCTGTGTCTCCACCCAAATCTCATCTTGAATTGTAGCTCCCATAACTCCCATGTGTTGTAGGAGGGACCTAGTGGGAGGTAATTGAATCATGAGGGTGGGTCTTTCCCATGCTGTTCTCATGATAGCAAATGAGTCTCATGAGACCTGATGGCTTATAAATGGGAGTTTCCCTGCACAAGCTCTCTTTTTGCCTGCCACCATCCATGTACAATGTGACTTGCTCCTCCTTGCCTTCTGCCATGATTGTGGCTGCTCCCCAGCCATGTGGAACTGTAAGTCCATTAAACTTCTTTTTTTGTAAATTACCCAGTCTCATGTATGTCTTTATGAGCAGTGTAGAAATGGACTAATACAAAGACTTTATTCAAAATGCTTATAGCAGTACTGAGAATGCTCCAACCAGAGGATTGGCAAGGATCTCAGAGGTCAGAGAGAAAGGAATTTGGTTTCTAGGGAGGATGACAGAAGCTAGAAGGACTGAGGGTGGGAGATGGGATGAGCAGGTAGTGTGACAGGTGACCAGGAATTTGTGTCTCCTGGTCAGCTCATTTCCAGAAGGGTCTTTGGGAGGATTATTCTGCTTTGCAGTGCTTGTTTATCTTGAGGGATGAATCAAAGGTGGGGAAGCTGTGGTGGGAGACCAGCTTAACTAAAGTTTGGTTAGGTCAATTTGGCAAGCATTTCATTTCAATTGATAAGGAAGGAAAATAGTTCAGCTAATCATTGAAGAGAAAATGAGTGAGAATTTGGGGTGTCCAGGTTGCCTAAGGAAAATGTGGGATCATATGAGTCTTATCTAAGTCATACAGGTGAGGGTGGTCTTTCTAGTAAGCCATTCTCCAGAACAAAAATGGTGGAGAACTTTCCTTAACCTTGTTGTTTTCCATTATCACAGATAAGGAGGATTAGTCTCAGATAAGTTTAAATTGTCACGATAATTGTACCTATCACAGTGGGTGATCTAGGATCAATTGTGTTCTTATTTGTAAAGCACTTAGCCCATAATTGAGCCCATAATTTCTGCCTTTTAAGCACTAGGTGGATAAACACTTTGGAAGTCCCCTATATCCTGAGAAAAACTCTCCTCCCTCCAACCAGCACCCTCCATGCTGCAGTTCTTCGCTCTTCCTTCAATGCTCTCATCTCTGACACTGAGGATGGAGCCGTTCCTCAGCTCTCCAGACTTCAGGGGTTTACAGGAGTCTCCTCTCCTGGGAACAGGCTCTGGAGGAGGTGGCCACTTTCTCTGCCCAGGAAGCTGCCCAGAAGGGAGGGCAGAGGAAGGTCCCTAGGACTTGGAGTTGCAGAGGGAGAGGGGAGGAGGAACAGGGAGGAAATAGTGGTGAGCACCTGGTAGGGAGGGTGATCTAGGGATTGTGAAGTGCTTAAGCAGATAGTCAGTTACTTATTCCACTTTTCTTTGGCCAAGAACATGTCTCAGAACATGATTTTTAGGGGTGAGCTGTTTGGATTCCAACCTGAAAATGCAAAGCCTCCTTGTGAGAAGAATGAAAGCATGAAATTAGATTGCCCACATTTACCTCATATCCTTCTTGGCTAATTGATTTTCCATAAAAGGACACAAAACAAAAAACAAAATGCCAAGCTGGGAGTTAGCTGTAGGTCAAGGCAGGAGAATCAATAATGACCACACTGTGAAAAGGGACTTGAGTGCAAAGAGATGGAGCTGAGCAGGGAGAGGAGGTGGCATCGCTGTCCCCATCCCTGGGAGCAACGCTGGGTCCCTCAGGGGCAGGGAGGAAAGAAGGACTGGCTCTCAGCATTTACAGACCAGCTCACTCACTGCTTTCTTCTTGTTTCTTTGATTCCACTCAAAGTACAATATCCCCACTCTGGAGCCACAGACAGAAAAGTCAGCCCTGACCAAGGCAACCTTCACGTCCTAGTTTTTGATAACGTTTGTTGTTTAGGACTGAAATTCTCCTGTCCCTGAAACCTCTTATTCCGGGCAAACCAGAAAAATCAGCCAATCTAATGCTCACCTGAATATTTCTTGTTTTAAATTCTGTAATGAGACCAATAATCAACCTAATGTTGAAGTAAACCTATTGAATACGATTTTTTTTTGGAGTTAGGAGAAATAAGCCATCTTAATTTATGAAATTTTCACCATTTCAGGGACCTGTCATGGACTTGAATGCAGGAGCCCTGAGTGCAGTCACAGGGCCTCCCTCTGGGACATGACTCTGTGGCTCGCACTCATGATGGACGTGTTGGCAGGAGCCCAGCCTCTGCATCAGATGGCCCTCGTCACAGTCCTAGCTGGCATGACAGTGTGTGCCTCTGGAGAAGTTATTTTCAACTAACTTTCTCAAATCCTAGGCCAGACACAATGGCTCACACCTGTAATCCCAGCACTTTGGGGGGCTGAGGCGGGTGGATCACCTGAGGTCAGGAGTTCAAGACCACCCTGGCCAACATGGTGAAACCCTGTCTGTACTAAAAATACAAAAATTAGCCAGGCAAGGTGGAGCGCACCTGTAATCCCAGCTACTAGGAAGGCTGAGGCAGGAGAATTGCTTGAACCCGGAAGGCGGAGTTTTTGGTGAGCCAAGATCGTGACACTGCACTCCAGCCTGGGTGAGAGAGTGAGACTCCATCTCAGAAACAAACAAACAAACATACAGAAAACAAAACAAAACAAAACCTTCTCAAATCCTAAGTAAACTAGGGATAGTAATACTACCCCAAAAGACTTCATGTCATGATGAAATTAGACAACCTGTATGACATTATTAAGGTAGTACCTAGAGAATGTTGTGTTGAATAAACATTTAATGGTTTTCACTATTATTATTCCTTTGTCATCTGTTTCTATCTCCAGTTCACACATGAGAAAACCATGGTTGACAGAGGTAAAAGGTCTGATGTTTCTATCTCCAGTTCACACACGAGAAAACCATGGTTGACAGAGGTAAAAGGTCTGATGTTTCTATCTCCAGTTCACACACGAGAAAACCATGGTTGACAGAGGTAAAAGGTCTGATGTTTCTATCTCCAGTTCACACACGAGAAAACCATGGTTGACAGAGGTAAAAGGTCTGATGTTTCTATCTCCAGTTCACACACGAGAAAACCATGGTTGACAGAGGTAAAAGGTCTGATGTTTCTATCTCCAGTTCACACACGAGGAAACCATGGTTGACAGAGGTAAAAGGTCTGATGTTTCTATCTCCAGTTCACACACGAGAAAACCATGGTTGACAGAGGTAAAAGGTCTGATGTTTCTATCTCCAGTTCACACACGAGAAAACCATGGTTGACAGAGGTAAAAGGTCTGATGTTTCTATCTCCAGTTCACACACGAGGAAACCATGGTTGACAGAGGTAAAAGGTCTGATGTTTCTATCTCCCGTTCACACACGAGGAAACCATGGTTGACAGAGGTAAAAGGTCTGATGTTTCTATCTCCAGTTCACACATGAGAAAACCATGGTTGACAGAGGTAAAAGGTCTGATGTTTCTATCTCCAGTTCACACATGAGAAAACCATGGTTGACAGAGGTAAAAGGTCTGATGTTTCTATCTCCAGTTCACACATGAGAAAACCATGGTTGACAGAGGTAAAAGGTCTGATGTTTCTATCTCCAGTTCACACGTGAGGAAACCATGGTTGACAGAGGTAAAAGGTCTGATGTTTCTATCTCCGGTTCATACATGAGAAAAACCATGGTTGACAGAGGTAAAAGGTCTGATGTTTCTATCTCCGGTTCACACACGAGGAAACCATGGTTGACAGAGGTAAAAGGTCTGATGTTTCTATCTCCAGTTCACACACGAGAAAACCATGGTTGACAGAGGTAAAAGGTCTGATGTTTCTATCTCCAGTTCACACATGAGGAAACCATGGTTGACAGAGGTAAAAGGTCTGATGTTTCTATCTCCAGTTCACACGTGAGGAAACCATGGTTGACAGAGGTAAAAGGTCTGATGTTTCTATCTCCAGTTCACACGTGAGAAAACCATGGTTGACAGAGGTAAAAGGTCTGATGTTTCTATCTCCAGTTCACACATGAGGAAACCATGGTTGACAGAGGTAAAAGGTCTGATGTTTCTATCTCCAGTTCACACGTGAGGAAACCATGGTTGACAGAGGTAAAAGGTCTGATGTTTCTATCTCCAGTTCACACGTGAGAAAACCATGGTTGACAGAGGTAAAAGGTCTGATGTTTCTATCTCCAGTTCACACATGAGAAAACCATGGTTGACAGAGGTAAAAAGTCTGACCTGGAGCCGCACGTCACTCAGCAACAGAATGGACACAGGTAGCTTGTTATTTTTCTTTGACTCTGCTTTTTGTCCAGGGTTTCCCTGGACCTTTTCCAGTCAAAGACATCAGCACGCTAAGCAGAAGTCATGTTCAGCTGGTCACATTGTATTATTCTACTCCAAGATGCTCTTGGAACATTAAAGACCTGACCTGCTCACACAAAGTCCCAGGCTACCGTGTGCTGTGCACCAGAGCTAGAGGACAAGTCCTCCTGCTGTGTCTCCATATCTGTACATTTAGAAAAACCAGAAAAGCCAACCAAAACTAGGATTTGTTTTTTTTTTTCTTCAAACATGTGAGTTTCAGGTGATCCTTCAAGCTCCAAGACAAACATTCTGGAACAACTTAGATGACAGACAGAGATGCTTGCTTCATGTGAGGTTTACAGGGTCCAGATGCTCCTTCCAGCTTCAAGGGTGGAGGGAAACTCCACAAGGTCAGCTCTGGAAGGTCCCTGACCCTGTGTCCTCCTCTCCCCTGGTCA
Source organism: Homo sapiens (assembly GCF_000001405.40). Classification (NCBI taxonomy): domain Eukaryota; kingdom Metazoa; phylum Chordata; class Mammalia; order Primates; family Hominidae; genus Homo; species Homo sapiens. The sequence continues at coordinate 122,680,183 of NC_000010.11, read as the reverse complement.
CATTCAGGGAGGACTGTGGGCCTCCTGGGGACTGACCAAGTATCCCGGGGAAAAAAAAACAAAACAACAAAAAAAACTGGACTCATCCAGAACCAAGACCAGGAGCCAAGCCTTCTTCTGTCCCCAGATAGACCTCACCCATGGTGAAGGAAGAAGTAGCCACTTCAGCGATGTGCCTGAAATGCACTCAAATGTGCCCAACACAGGCCCCACTGGGAGCTCTGCCCTTTCTGAAACACTCAGAAAGATGGAGGGGGCACCTTTCTCTGTGTTCTCTTTGTTCCTAAATTCACCCCATTCGGGTGACTCCACCTCTGCTCACAGCACCTGCTCAGCATGTCCTATTCCGGCCTTTCCAGACCTCCCCATGCTGGAGGCCAGACCTGAGCTCCACCTCACTGGGAAGCCTGGTGTGAACAGCATAGCTGGGTGAACCCCAGACCTCACAGTGTCTGCAGCTGTCACCCACTGCCTGATGGGGGTGTCAGGGGCCATTGCTTCTTGTGCTGCTGTTTGACTCTATGCAAGCTGGTTTCAGTCCTCAACTGAATACAAGTCTCTTAGGGATGGGGAGTGTGTGCTGTGTATTTCAGTGTGTCCAGAGACTCATAGGGCACCAAGTATAATCTCAGTCCAGGAGGCACAAGTTTCTTATTTATATATATTTTATGTATATATAATATATATTTCTTGTTTATATATATTTTCTAGGATTATATATTCATATAGAATATGTGTATTATACATTCCTTATAGTATATAGTTCATATACTACTCACTTTGCAGAAATACACTAGAAAATGCTACAGGGCATATAATAAGATCAATAGAGAGAAAGATGGCTTCTCAGAGATACCCACTTCTATATCAAGAAGACAGGAAAGATAAAGTTTTCACATATGATCTTCTAACACTAAAGATGTGGGTGTACAGAAATGCTGAGACAGAACCCGTACCTTTTTCTGGAAGGGTCACAGGGTCACATTCCCTCTCCCTCACCCAATGCTGATCCAGGAGAACTATGACTCAATCTTATTTCTGCAGTCCCAGGTATAGCCTCTGTCCAACATATGCAGAACCAGGCTCAGGCAGAGCAGGGGAGCATCAGCAGGTGCCTCTTCCCCCGATCTTCCTATTAATGTGTTGACCAAGCGTCAACAAAGTAATATATTTCAAAGAAGGTGGGTGGATGACTGGGTTCTCTGGAGTACTTGATGGTGATGATGTTGGAAGAAGAGTAATAGAATGTACTGAAGGCTTTACAAATCCTGTCCAAGGACTCAGACCCTGGAGGTCCATCCAGCACTTCCACGTATTCTTTGCCACATGCGAATCCTCTGGGTCAGAAGAAAAGGCAACCATCAGCATTTGGATTTGTCCTCCAGCCAGGCTGCCACCTCCCTCCACCAATGAATCCACACTAGATCCCAACAGCTTTGCTCATGAGAAGTGCAAGGACAGATGAGAACGAAAGAAGGAAAGTTTGTCAGTTCTTCAATAACGCAAGCAGGGGCCCGAGCACCCCCTCCATCTTCCCAGAAAACTTCACCTCCACCAGGGCAGCAGGTGGCTTCCCAGTCTCATGGTTTCCATGTCTTCCAGGGAGCCCAGCCCATGGCCCTAGGATTCCAACCCAGGAATTTTAGTCAAAACATCAGCTGTGTTTCAAGTTCCCCAAACAGGGAATGCAGCCAGCAGAGTGGTATGTTTCCTTAAACCACAACCTCTGTGTCAGGACAAAAATCACCAGAAATGAGTGTGTGGACACCACTCCCTGGTTCCTGCCTTCCTTTCCCCTGGCAGATGGGACAGGAAGAGGTGAAGCATGACCCCCCACTAGCATAAGCTTGGCCTTGCTTACTCACTGCAGAGGAGAGAGGGGTCTCTATCTCCATCCTGTGAGAGACAAGCTGCACATGGAAGTTCTCAGTCCTAGGAGACCTCCCTACTTCCCTCTCCTCCCTGTGCTTTTCCAGTCCTAATCTCCACCCCTCATCCTCAGGCCCCAGCAGGTCTCAGTTCACAAGGAGGGGCTGGAGCCTCTCTGGGGTATAATAAGACAACAAGGGGACACCCCACCAGGACACACACAGGGCTGACTTTATACTAGTTTTGCTCTTGGCCCAGCCTGTGTCCCTCCTTGGTGCCAAGGACAATCAGATTCAAAATCAACTTTGAAAAGGACAAAGGGACAATATGGGAAAATGTCCACAGCCGCCCATCCCGCTGGCCTTGGGGAAATTATGACACAGGAAGTGCACGACTCTTTCATTCCAGGTCCCTCCTCAAGCTCCTTCTCTCCTTGTTTCCCCATCTGGGTCTTCATGGCCACACATCCTTTTTGAATCCCTGGGCCTCAGGTTGGGTAGACAGTTTAAGCCCCGTATTTGAGGCAGGTGTCTCGAAGTGTCCTTGATCCCATAGAACTCCTGCATAACGTAGTGGGATTCTGAGCCCATAGGCTGTCTGGAGGGGACAGGACCTCTGGGTCACACAGTTCCACCATCTGTCTCATCCACCATTGTGGGCTGTGTTTGGCTTGGTCTGGAATTGATGGAAATGTGGTTTCCATGCTGAAATCTGTGAACACTGCCCTGGGATATCAATGCAGTAACTTAGGCTGCATTGGAAATGCCTTCTGTGGCTTTATCACTTCATTCATTCATTCATTTAAGAAAAATACCTGCAATCCAAAGACAGACTCCTAGTAGACACAAACAAAGTCATAGCCAAGAGTAATATTACACTATAAATTCAGTGTAGAGCTTTCCAGGGGTATTATGTAAACCCCTGTGAGAAAAAGATCTCTCCTCCTCTGCAGAGAGTCAGGAAAGTGGTTTTATTGTTATGGAGGTTGTTGTCCTTGAGCTAACTCATGAAATACAACATGAAAACCCTTTGCAGAGGGCAGATGAGTCTGGCAGGGATTGAAGGATGCATTCCAGGCAGAGGGCAGGTGTGAGCAAAGGCAAGGAGCTGCTGGACTCTGGTGTGTCCAGGAAACTCAGTGTAATGGCACAGCCCATAGCAGGGTCCAGAGAGGAGAAGTGATCAGAAGTGAGCAGAGAAGAGAAACCAGTTGTGAGGAATGAGAAAGGCATGACAAGAAAATCAACTTTATTTGGAGAAAACGAGCCAGTGAAAAGCTTTCAACAGGAAGTGAAAATGTCGTCAAATTGTGTGTCAAATGGCTGTCATGGATAGGGTGGAAGGTGAACCATATGAGGTCAAGATGGGATCTTTCCTAGAAATACCAACAACATCAAAGAAAACTCACAACCCCAGTACTCACTTGAGGTCTGGAATGGCCACCGTGACTATCTCCCCGGGGTTCAACTCGATGATCCAGACGCATTCAGTTTTCGGCCCAGCGTAGTTGAAGATCCTGCCATATTCATCTGTGTAGTGGCCCCCACAGTCACTGGGTGCTACAAGAGGAGAAACGGGGCCCAGGCACTGCAGGGATGCTCTAGGTCTGGGATTGGCTTGTGTCATTCCAGGGGCCCCTGTTATTACTGATTCTCCCAACTTCCCATCCTTGGGAAGAAAATTCAACCTTAATGGCCCAGTCTGATGGCTCCACAAACAAGGTGGGCTTTTTGGTTTCAGACTTTATTAGGTGACCCACACTTATTTTAAAGTACAATTTGTTTATGACCAGTGGGAAATAGAGGAACTTAACTCCCCTTACTAAAACTTTCTCACCAATCGTATTGCCCGATTAGTGAACAGAAAATCAGCACAAACACTATCTTTCCATTTCCCTACAGATCTTTTCTTAGGGCAGGCTGGACAAATAACAAATAGGCAGTGCTCCTGCCCCAATAGTAGCCCAATCCCTGAACAAATGAGAATCCATCTCCTTGAGGTTCAATGATGCCTCAGGCTCCGAAAGTGTGACTGAGGATGAAAAGAGCACTTTCCTTGAGTGGTCAAATGTGTTCCAGTTTCTAAAGCACTTAGCTTGTGCCCAGCAACTGGTTAAACACTAGGTGAATCCACCAATCAATCAACAAGCCACCCTGCATCGCAAGAAACTGCTCCTCCCTCTAGCCTGCATCCTCACGGAGAAGCTCGTAGGAAGAGGGAAGAACTGCACCCTGGAGGAAGCAGGTTAGAGGGAGGAGCAGTTTTCTGACACCCAGGATGGAGCAGCTCCTCAGATCTCCAGACTCCAGGTGTTTAGAAGAGGCTCCCAACCTCCAGGAACACAGGCTCTGTGGAGTGGTGGCTCCTTTCCCTGCCCAGCAGGCTGGTCAGACAGGAGGGCAGAGGAGACTTCGGGGGGGCTTGGAGGTGTTGGGGAAGTTGGGAGGAGTCTCATGGAGGGGAGCACTGAGAGGGTGGGAGGGGGAATTAGCGATTATGAAGGCTGAATCCAATTACCAAGTCCTTTTGGACAAGAATTATCCCTGGTACGTGCCCTTCTCATTGATCCATTTGGATTTCAACCCCAAAACAGTGTCTCTGTGTGAGGCAAGGGAAAGAGGGTAACAGTCTTGTCTGCATTTACCTGTGGCAAATGGAGCTTTAACAGTTGTGGCTGAAAGACAAAACAAAACAAAAAAAACCATGAAAATCTGAACTTACCAATGGGTGAAAGCAGAAGAAAGGAAAATGACTACACTGTGAAGAGGAGCTTGAGTGCAAAGGGACAGAGCTGAGCACAAAGGGACAGAGCTAAGCAGGAAGAAGAGATGGCGTCACTGTCCCCATTTATGGGAACAGCCCTGGGTTACCCAGAGAGAAGGATGGAAGGAAGCATCGGCTCTCAGCACTCACAAATTCACAAACTAGCTCACTCACAGCATTCTTGTTTTTCCCATTCCACTCAATTAAAGTTCAATTGTCTCACTCTGGAGCCATGGTCAGAAATGACTGCTCTGATAGAGTAGTCAGCTTATCTTGAATTATCCGAGACATTCCTGATTTTTTAGCTAAAGGTCTCACGTCCCACTTTCCTGGGAAAAAATAAAAGTCAGCTACCTTAACTCTGATATAAACACTTCTCCTTGTAAATTCTATAACAAAACCAGTGATTAATTTGAATTTGAAATAAATCTGTTGACTAAAATTTTTAAGTGAGTAGAAGTGAGCCATGTTTATTTATGGAAATTTCACTATTCAGGGACTGGAGTTAGATAACGGGATCCAAGCCAGCCCTGCACACAATCTCATACGTCCCACGGTGCACGTGACACTGGGATCATTGTCAGGCTATGATCTAGCGGGCAGGCCCACGGGTTCAGAATCAGATGTCCCTGGTTAACTGTCCCAGCAGCCTAGAGCTGAACGACTTTGGACAAAGTTTTTAACTCTCCCTAAGCCTCAGTCACTCATCTATACAATGGGCATCTTGATTTTAACTACCTTACAGGATGAAGCTGGGTGCACGAGCCCATGGCCCAATGCCCAGCACAGGGTAGCCTGGCATACACCTGATCTGTCACTCTAACGCTTTCAAGACAGTTGCTTCGTTTTCCAAATTAGATGATGTTTCTTTACTAAGTAAATTAGCAATCCTCATAATGCTACACAACCTATTCTGACAAGAAAGTCAACCAGGACATCTTAGCTGTCCTTCCTGAGCCTGAGACTATATTGGTCCTTTGTGGGTGCAAAGAAGAGTCTCCCCACAGCTGGGGCCTCTATCAAGTTGGCTCTGGAAGAAATAAATCACGATTCCCCAGAAAGCAGACCTCAAGTGCAAATCCTGAACATGCCTGTCATATTGAGTGACATTTCTGTACTGTAACCACATCTACCTTAAATTCCTTTCATCTAGATTCTTAGGCAAAGGCCTTGAGGCATGGGGAAGAAGCTGCTACTTAACAATCACTAACCACACAAGCTTTCAGGCTGTGAGGCTAGTGATCACTCCAGGGAGCTTTAGTAATGAACTTTTCTAAATTTGCTTGAATGGAAACTTTTGCTTCACTAACTCCTCACAACAGCCCTGTCGAGGCACCCCGATTCTACAGCTGAGGTTAAGAGGGGTTGGGTGACTTGGCCAAGCCTATGCAGCACTCATTAGTTTCTGCATTTAAGCTCAGCACCTCTCCCTCTTTTTCATCAAGTTGTCTTTGTGTCTCTTGATTTCACCAAGGATGAGGAAACCAAATGTCAAGCATATTAAATTTTTCCACCAAGCTGTTAGGGTTCCTATGACCAGTTGCCCTAAGGCCTCACTGTAGCCCTAATTTAGACAGAAGCTGTAAGCTGTTATCTGAGTTGGAAATGTAGATGGGCATCTGAAGCTTTAGCCAGAGGCAGCCATGTGGAGCTGGGGCCTACAGTGAGGCTGAAATCCTGGCAGGGGAGGAGAGCACCCGGTGATGGGGCAGCCCCTGACGTGAGTGTGCAGTCAGCAAAGTGGAGCAGCGCAGGAGAAATGGGCAAGGTTGGAAAGGACCCGGCAAGGGCAAGAGAGGAGAAAGAAGTGACGAGAGTAGGAAACAAGGAGCTCAGGAAGGAAAGGGGAGAGAAAGAGGAGGATACAAAGAAAGAAGGTGGGGAGAATGAGGGAAACAGGAAGCCAGGGGAAGAGAGACATAGAGACGAAGACATCTCCCTGAGGAAATCTATACCCTCTTCCTTTCCTGCCTGCATTCAAAATCAGTTGGCCAGTCCTCATGCAGTTGACACAATTCCCAGGGTCCAGCCCTCTAGAGGGCAAGTGACTCCCCCTCTTCCAGGCACTCCCAGCCAGCGGTGGGAGCTGCTGGTTATTGCTCCTCCCGAAGTTGCTGCAGCAGCCATGTGACAACCCGCTGGGCAGATGCAGAGCTCCCTCCTGCTGTGGGCTCCCCCAAGGGCCACAGTTACCCCCTCAGAAGTCCCCAGACACATTCAATGCAGGGCACCCTCACCAAGACACTGCCTGCCGTCAGACCACCTGGAAAGCCTCGAAAGCAAGACCATGTCTGATTTTCTCAGCCACTTCTGGGTGAGCCCTGCAGAATCTCAGCATACATTGCTTAAGGCAGGAAGGAGGGTCACAGAACACATCAAGACCGGGAACTCAGGAACCCAGAAATGTTTAAAAATCACGATGGCATCAGCACAATGACATAGATATTTTCCTATTTGTCTCTTCTTCCACCAGCACTAAGTGAAACATTCTGTATGGAAGAGAGTATCTTTCAGCTAATCAGCCATGGGCTTCTTCCTTGGCAATAAGCAAATTTTAAAATCTCTGCAGTTGAAAAGGAAAACAGTGCGAGGCCCAGAAGAAAGGGCCTGGGGCCATGCGTTACCTATACTGCACAGCAGCGGCCAAGCGAAGGCTCTGGACAGCCTCATCCTCAGCAGGGCCTGGCACCAACCTCAGGAGTGAGCTCAGCTCTGGTGGCTTGGGGTTATATAGAAACACCCATGAAATCTGATCTTCTCCCTCCCATCTGGAGCCAAGATTGGCCAAGCTGTAGGATCTGAGGGTGCTGCAGGATCACCTGGGTGGTCTAGAGAGGGAGGGATGAGGTGTGGCTAGATGCTAATCAACACTGATCTTTCTCAGCCAGGTTCCAGGTTTCACCTAGACAGAGATATAATGGCCAGGTGCTCCTTCTCCTTTCCGCCCAGGCAGACTCAAGGGAAGTATCACAAGCTGGCCTCAATCTGTGATCTCCTACTGGGGCAGCCCTCTTTCTTTGGGTTAACTTGTAGCATCTGCAGCTGTATTATGTTGCGGAAGCCTCACAACACCCCAGAGGTGAGGCAGGCCAGGAGTCCTTGGAAAGCTGAAGATCCGAGACCCAGAGAGAACCAGGAGACTTTCCCAAAGTCACAGGGCATCAGGGGCAGAACCAGGGTGAGGTCCCGAACTCCTGACTGCCCATCTCTCCCACAGCCCTCTCTGTGTCACAGGAGAGCAAAGGCATGAAATCAGGCCCTTGAGCAGATCAATGTGTGAGTGGGTCACAGTGGGGCCACTGCAGGGATAGGCCCACCCATGTAGGAATGTCCAGGTAGATGGCATGAGTACCTGTGTCTGCCTGTATTACCCATGTGTCATGCCAGGATCCACATGGCTCAGTCCCAGGGCAGGGTCATGGTTAAAAGAGGCTTCTGTGGAGAACAGGCTGGAAATTTCTTAGAAGGTTACACAGAGAGTTCCTTTATGGTCTAGCAATTCCACTAGCTGTATGCTAAAGAGAATTAACAGCATATGTCTAGATATAAATTTGTACATGAATGTTCATAGTAACATTGCTTATATTAGCCAAAGAGGGAAACTATCTAATATCAACTGAGAAACAGATGAAGAAAACTTGGTATAGCCATAATGGGAATTTATTCAGCCATATGAAGGAATGCAAGCCAATTTGTCAACCAAAGACTGTGACCAATTTATACAACAACCAGGACTTCATGAGGACCCATTTTCCTAAACTCTAACCAACTCCTGATTTTGTCACATCTTTTAATATGTCTTGTAATCAAATATGATGGAAATAATACCTAATGTTATAAAATGCATTTCCCCAAAGTCCAGTGGGGCTGGCACCCTTTCAATGCCTCCACTCCCACTACAGCTCTTTCAGAAATGCCTGTTCATATCTTCAGGGCAATCTTGTATTGCATCACTCGTCTTCTTATGGATCAAAGAAGCCACCCTCGGCCTTTATTTCCCACAACTTTGTTTGCACAGGCCATGATGGGTTCACAGTGTGAAGGGGCTTTCCAACTCAAGTAGAACAGACCGACACTGCTGGGCTGGGAGCCCAGTTGTTTCTCCCTACTCAGAAGTCACTGAAAAAGGCTGTTTTAGTGTTAAGTCCCCATGTATTACCAAAGTAAACTGCAATACTTCCTCACAATTCTCCTTCCTCCTCTTACTCCAGATACCCTGTCCCATTACCCCTCATTCACCCTACCCCTGGCCCTGGGCTGGGAAGAGGTCAAAGCTCCCCACAATTGGATGTGAATGCCCAGATGGAGCAAATGCTGGAGCCCATGGAGAGGATGCTTCCTTCCTCTTGTACCCCAGCCCAAGGATCCTGCCATGGGCTCCAATGTGTCAGGATGGCTACATGTCTTCCAGCATCGTCCCCGCATGGCTGTGGCTGTCTGAAGGAACAAAGACCTAGTATCTTTTCTGGAGGACCCTGGAAACCAAAGTCTTAGGTGCCCCAACTCACGATGTCAGCTTGGAGGAAAGATTTGGGTTAGCACCAGCTTCTGAGGATTTGCGTCCCTCAGATCTTTATCCTCCCAGGTCGTCCCTTGCTCCTATCTAGCCCTAAGTGGATTTGTTTATTTCCCTTTGTATGTTCTTCTCTCATAGCCTGCTGCACTCAGACCTGTCCTCTGCTTCTCCAGGAGAGGTTAGTAATTCTCTGCACCTTGTTCAAAGACCCCTGTGACTGATGCCATCCACAGTGTCAGAACTGTCCAACTGGTCTCCTCTGTTCCAGGTCTGCCATTATCTGCCTCCCCACCACCCTTACTTTTACTTTACCAGGAAGAATTTTAGGGTCTGATGGGCATTTTTTGTGTTGTCTCCCTAGCATGATTTCCCAGTTGGAAACAAAAAACCCCAACTTTTTCCAGGTATCTATTCTCACCCAGCATACCCAATGTGTCCTAGGAGCAACTGGCTCCAAGCCTAGCTCCAAATGCTGGCCTGAGTAGAGTAGGAAGGTGGCATGGATGGTGACAGAAGGCTCACCCTCTGCATCAGTGATGGATGCGGACTTGAGTATGTGACCCAGATTGGTCCAATGGCATCAAAGGAAGGTGTGACTCAGAGGGAGGCAGACATGGCTGCTCCCCCTTGCTACCAGGATGAGGATGAAGCCAACTGGCAGAGCTGCAGAGCAAGGCAATGGTGGGAAGGCCACACCAGAGCTGCTGCTGATGTCAGCCCTAAAGCCTCTGCATTGTCCAGACACAGGCATCAATCCCTGTCCTCATTGTTTAAGTCAATTTGAGATGAGGTTTTTGTTCATGTAGCTGAAAATATCCTAAGCTCTTCAAGGCCCCTTGAATACCAGAAATTAAAGTGCTTGCTCTTTAGAGAGTCTTAGAAGAATGAGAACCATCCATCACCTGCTAAAATCCCCCAGGCTGAGCAGACCTGCCATGGCACCTCATTTGGGAGATTCCAAACAGCTTGGGCAGGTGGCGCCACAGAAACCTCCAACGTCCCTTTGACAAAATGCTGACTATGTCAACTTCTCAGAGGCCCTGAGGCACATGTGCATGTGGGTCCTTCTATTTACTGCCTCACCAAAGTCTCCAGAAGCCAGCCACAGCCATCAGAAAATACAGCCATCTAAATTACAAGAATAAGCAGAGGGACATATGCAAAACATTATGCTTGGGAAACACTCATCCTGAAGATTTACATAAAATGGTAGTTATTGAGTAAAGTAACCATAATCTATTGACAGGGCTTCTGAAAATCAAATCATGGAAAGCCAGGCTATGGCTAAACTCCAAGCCCTTACGCTGGTAACTACAACAAAAATTCCATCTTCATTTGGCAGTATCTTTTCCTATGCTTATTTGTTATCTATCTTCTGTGAAAGAAAAATAAAAACTCCAAACTCCAATTTCCTATGCCAAAAGGAAAAAGGAAACTAAGCTGAAAGCTGAGGCATGCAAGAAGCTGCCTTTCCTTTTGTTCCTAAGCAGAGAGCTACAGATAAAAGGTTAAATATCTCCACAGGTAGTTACTCTATGTTCACCTTATCTTATATAAATGCCTATTTACTGAGTGTGAGACAAACTCATGATTGACTATCCCCTACCTGCTCCTTTTCTTAAGACTTAGAAACATTTTTAAAGTAATTGAATTAAGATTATTGATTGGGAAGGAAAAAAATTAACACAATGAAATGTAGGAACAGAAATGCAAGAGAAGTTGCTTAATCCTATGCCTTCCAGCCAGGATTATTGATTGGGAAGGAAAAAAATTAACACAATGAAATGTAGGAACAGAGATGCAAGAGAAGTTGCTTAATCCTATGCCTTCCAGCCCAAGCGGCACAGCGTAGACATGTGGATGACCATACCCTCCCTCTTTCCCTTCCAGCCATCTTTTCCCCTTTAAGTATTGAAGCCCACAAAATCTTCTTGGGACCACAAGCTTTTTCTGTGTGTGTGTGTGTGTGTGTGCATGTGTGTGTTTGTTTTTTCAATTTCTAGTCATGTCCTTAACCTTGGCAAAATAAACTTTTAAATCAATTGAGACCTGTCTCAGATACCTTTTGGTTTACAAATTGGCGACCAACTGAAGAGACTCTGAGTGGAGGTGCCCCTGACCTTTGATGAATCTCCTGTGGGTGCTTGGTACTGGCTTGGGCTATCTTTATTGCTCAAACCAATGGGACAATTTGCTGAGGCCTGGGAGCTTCCCCACTCCAGAGAATCCCTGATCTCCCCCAAACTTGGGTGAGATCTAAGGTGTATTTCACCATACGACTGCTTTTCTGGAGTTTTACTCACTTCTAACAGGGAAGGCAAGTTTTCCTGCTTTCCATGACATTGGAAACAGGAGAGCAAGTCCTTCCTGGAATCTCTGCTTACTTGCAAAAGGGAAGGTGAGTTTGAGTTTCTTTCCTGCTTCTAAGATGGTAGAGAGCAATCTTCGGCCTGGGCCCCATTCCTAGGTAAGTAGCTGAATTGGGATATTGTGTTGAAAAGTCTCCTTAATGACTAAAAGTTAAGACTGATAACCAGCTGGTCTTAATTTCTCCTTACCATTAGAGCGTTCAGTGGGGCAAGTGGTGACACAGAAACCTTCAAGGTCCCTTTGACTAAATGCTGACTATGTCAACTTCTCAGAGGCCCTGAGGAACATGCACATATTGGCTCCTTCAGTTTACTACCTCACCAAAATCTCCAAATAGCCATCCTCAGTCATCCAAAAAATACAACTATATGAATAAGAAGAATAAGCATATTGTTTGGCTTTTCGCTGTTTTTTTTTCAGTCTTTCTCCCATTGGATTTGACCAACTGTACTGGACTTGGTCAAATCCGGATAAGAATTCCAAATTATGGAGGCCTCTGAATTGGCTAAAATCCCCCACAGCTGCAAAAAGAAAAACAAAAAGGTGCTTGGCTTCTCAGTTCACTTCCTTTCTTAAAAATTGTTGTTTCACTTACTTCCACCCTGTTGCCATCTTCAGTACCAAGTGAAAAACATATCTAGAAAGGCTTCTAATAATTTGGGTCCCTTAAAGAGCTCAGGATAAAGGCACCGCTCACTCCTTTTAGGGGTGTTCTTTCTTTGTGGAGTTTCAACAGTCATGGGCAGATTGTTCTCAGGTCTAAAGCTCTTCTGTCTTGTATTGCGTTACCTGGTTTCTTTGGCTTTTGGGGGTACCAGAGATTACCTTGTACTGTGAGAGGATCTGACTTTAGTGTGTGTAATGGCAGAAGATAGCTACAATTTTAGGGGTGGCTGAGGACAGTTGGCAGGAAATGGTCATTACTACAGGGAGATACTCTTTTCTTCACACATTTGAATAAGAACATTGTGGTTTAGTCCTTAAAAAATGCATGAATTCTTGGCCCCATTCCCCAAAGAGCTTTACCCTAAAGCCGGTGATCTAATCAAGCTAAGTTAAAAGACCACCTATCATTAGCTGGGCGTGGTGGCGGGCCTCTGTACTCCCAGCTACTCAGGAGGCTGAGGCAGGAGAATGGCGTGAACCCAGGAGGCGGAGGTTGCAGAGAGCCGAGATTGCGCCACTGCACTCTAGCCTGGGCAACAGGGCGAGACTCTGTCTCAAAAACAAACAAACAAACAAATAAAAACACCTATCAAATTAAGTCACTTTAATAAAAACATTTTGTAAAGAAAATTTACATCATTAAAGGAAATCTCCGTTTTGTAAGAGCATCTCTGTCTCTGCATCTGTACCACCAGGAACCTTAACTAGGGGGAAGACAATGGCTTAAAGTTTACATAACAGACCTTGACTTTGTTTAGGTCTAAGTCTGTGCCTTTGAGATGTACATTTTCTACCCTATTTCACCAAAGTCATGTCTTTGGAGTTGTACATTTAGAGTTGCTTCGTTAACAATTATTTTGGACTTGGAACAGATCATCAGGAGACCAATAATCTGAAGTAGGGGACAGAAAAATTTTGAAAACACACAAATGAAAAATCTAAAGTGTTTAAGATCTGCCTCTGTCTGTGTCCGTCTATAGAACTGTATGTGTCATGTGAAGTGATATTTCACGACCAAGTTATATGAAACAGCGCTAATTAATTGTCTTAAAGTCTAAAGAACTCTAATTAATTGTCTTAAAGAAAAGTCTAAGTGTTTATTGGACTAACAGAAACTAGTTCAGAGGCTTTTCAGTTCACATGACTTTGGTCATCTTTGGTAAGTTTAATTTGGTAAATTTAATTTTCTCTATTGATTTGAAATCTTAAAGTCATGTTATGTTAAATTAAGTAATCCTAGAATTTTCACTAGGAATTAGAGTTACTAGGAGTTAGAGAAGTAGGAGAATAAGATGTGTGTTTGGTGAAACAAAAACATAAGGATATGGTTTTTGCTTAAGAAAATGTATTTTTTCTAGTTTAGAGGACCATTCTACTGGTATTAAGATAAAAACAACTGCTTACATCCAACCATTTTTTGATAAGCTGGTGAGTTTGTGTAGATATCTCTTGGCTAGAGTTCCAAAGTTAAAGCTATAGGATCTTTGTATGAGTGTGTATGTGTGCTCAGATGTATTTATGTGTGCATACATCTGTTTTGTTATGTGTTGTGGCCAGAAGGTACTAAATTGGCTTAAAAATAAAGGAGTACTCATAAATTAAGGAAATGTGCCCAAATGTGTGAGAAGGCCCCATGCACTGGAGCCCTTTCAGCACTTTCTTGAAGAAAACTACAAAACAAAATAGAGGACCAGTGACTTAGAAGCCCACCTGAGCAGATAACACCAACCCCTCACCCATGGCCACAGTTATGGGAGAGCAAGTTGTTGTTAGGGCAGCTCCACAGGAGCAGCCCTGTTCTGAGCAGAGCGTGTCCTCCAGGAAGAAGGCCTGCAGCCCTGGCCAGACCAGGCACTTTTCAAGGCCAACACTTCAGCCTGATCCACCACCCCTCGTGTTCACTTAGCCCCCAGTGTATCTCCTGCTCCCAGGCGGGAGCCCAGAGGCTCTGTAGGATAAGAAGATAAGAGGGGCACATCTCAGAACAGCAGAAATATGGGGACCTTCTGTACGAGTTTTCCTACTGGCTGAACCTTGAGCCTCTTGGTGACAGGGACAGTCAGAACCAAAATACCTTTGAAAAAGGAAAGGGTCCTTAGGAAAATGTTCCAAACATCTCACTCTTCTGACCCCTGGAGAAATAGCGACACAAGAAATGCCTGGCTCATTCAGCCCTGTCCTCCCCTCAAACTCCTCTCTGTTCCCTGAATCATGACCTTCATGAACATACCATTATTTGCTGCCTTATGAAAACAAAGTTTTGTAGAGGGTTGTAGCACTGCTCGTGTAAGAGCCATTTCCCAGGTGTCCTTCATCCTAGAAAGCCCCGAGAAACTTAGTGGGGGTCCTGACACCACTCCACCTCTGGAGCGGGAGGAGCCCTTAGTCACTCAGATTTCATCACGTCTCTCATCCATTACTGTGGCCTGCCCTTGGCTTTGTCTGGAGTTGATGGAAATGTGACTCCCACGTTAAAATCCATGATGATGGCCCTGGGATAGCAGGGCAGTAACTTACTGCTATGTTGCTAATGCCTTCCGTGATCTTATCACACTAGTCACACATTCATTCATTTAGGAAATATGGCTTGAACCCAAAGTTAGAGTTTCCATAGTGGCAGACAAAAATAAAAATGCAAGTAACATTTTATGCTAAAATCCACTATAGATTTTCATGGGGTGACTGATGAGGCAAAAGGAGAGAGAGACGCAGTCACCTGAGGAGTTAAAAAAGAAGTGGCATGGAAGAGGTGTTCTAGGATCCAATATGTTCCTATTTTAAAAGGTTTGTTCTGTACCTGGCAAGTCCTCTGTCCTTGGTAAAAAATAAATGAATAAGCTGCCTGCATCACAAGGAAACTGCTCCTGCCCCCAGCCCGCATCCTCCATGCTGCGATTCTTCCCTTTTCCTTCACAGCTCTCACTTTTGACTCTGAAGTTGGAGCAGCCCGTCCGCTCTCCAGACTCTGGGTGATTAGAGGAGGCTCCTGTCCCCCATGGGACACAGGCTCTGTGGAGAGGCAGCTCCTTTCCCTGCCCAGTGAGGCTTCCCAGATGGGAGGGCAGAGGGGCCCCCCATGCTGGAGAGGAGTTGACAGAGCTGGGGGGATGTTCCAGGAAGGAGACCCCTAAGAGGTCCAGCCTCATGTCTGAGCCTCTCAAATGCTCCACCCAGCCGTCCTGCCCCAAACCACCCCAGTGCACACATCTCTGCACCAGCAATGCCTACAGGGCCCATGAGGAAGTGCCTCTCTCTCCTTGTCCTTCAGTTCGCCCCACTCAGGTGACTCCACTCCTGGTCATGGAACCTGCCCAGCACGTCCTTTGCAGTCTTCCCAGACCTCCCCATGCCGGAGGCCAGGCCTGAGCTCCACCTCACTGGGAAGCCTGGTGTGATCAGCGCATGTGGGGCCGACCTCAGACCTCACAGTGTCTGCAGCTTCCACCCATTGCCTGGTGGACGTGTCGGGGGCCATTGCTTCTTGTGCTGCCACTTGACTCTGTGTGAGCTGGTTTCAGTACTCAACTGAATACAAGCCTCTGGGGATACAGACTGGGCATTATTCTACTCATGTGTCAACATGAGTTGCTCCAGGCTATAATCGTATGTCCCAATGCATTTTTTGTACTACCTGTACTCAATACTTGGCCACTGGAAAGCGGTCTCACCTTTTTTTCTGGCAGTCACAGAAACATCTCTATATGCAGCATGCCACTCAGCTGGCTTCCACAGAGAAGGGGAGAATCAGCAGGTTTTCCCCTTCCCCACCTACCTTCTGAGTCACTATGGTAATATGCATCCCACAAAGAATGTGGATGGTTGGCTGAAAGTTCTGTTATATGTGATGGTCATAATATTGGAAGAGGATTGGTAGGTCAGGGACATATCTTTACACATTTTGCTCAGGGATCTGGACCCCAGAGATCCATCCAAGACTTCTACCTGTTCACTCCCATAGGTGAGGCTGTGGGGCAGAGAACTGACAGGTGTCAGCATTTGGAATCAGCCTAACTCCAGCAGGCAGCTTCCTCCCCAGCGAGTGGCACCAGCTCTCATTAGCTTACTTCTCAGAAGTGCAAGGCCCGGGGCGAGCAAGGAATGGAAAGTCTAACAGCTCTTCTGCACACAGATTAGTCTCTTTCCATAACCCCTGAATAAAATAAATGTTTTCTTCACCAGGACTGCAGGCGTCTTCCGAGTGCCCTTGGAAGCCCTGCCTGTGGATGGGAATACCACTCAGGAATTTTAATTCCAGCCACCAGCTGTGTTTCAGGCCCCACAAGCTACAAAATCTGCATCTCAGGGACATGTGTTTTCAGCCACAGCCTCTGTGTCAGGATGAGATGCTCCAGACATGAGTGTGTGGATGCCACTCTGTGATTCCTGCCCTTGGCAAATAGAGGGGCAACAAGGGTCCCCAGCCCAAGCTTGGCTTCCCTGACTCAAGGCAGGGAGGGGCCTCCATTTCTTACCTACAGTGAGATATTGTGGACATGGAATGTCGCCCTCCTGAGGGGTCTCCCCACTCCTCTTACCCCCTTCAGTCTTCAAACCTGACCTCTCATCCTCAATTAGCCCCCAGCAAGCTTTATGTACATGGGAGAGTGTTTACAGCTTATTTGAAGTATGAGAAGACAGTTAAGACATATCCCATTAGGACACACACAGGGTTGACTTCATACTAGTTTTGCTTTTGGCCCAGCCTGAGTGCTTCCTTGATGCCAAGGACAGTGAGATCTAAAACCAATCTTTGAAAAGGGCAAAAGGACAATACAGGAAAATGTTCAGAGCTGCCAATCCTTCTGAGCCCGGAAAAATGGTGGCACAGGGAATTCCCAACTCCAACCTCCTTCTCTCCTTGTTTCTCCATCTTGGTCTCCTGTGCTGCAAGTCCTTTTTCAGAATCACTGGAGCCCGTGTTGGGCAAATGGTCTAAGTTCTGTATCTGAGGCAGCCATCCAAAAGATGTCCTTTGTCACACAGAGCACCTGCATAACCTTGAGGTCCCAGCCCAAAAGCCAGTGTGGAGGGAAAGGGGGACCTTAGTCACATATATTCCATCATCTTTCTCATCCACATCCTGGGTTGTGTTTGGCTTTGTCTGGAATTGATGGAAATGTGGCTGCCATGCTCAATCAAAACAGACTGTCTTGGGTATAAATGCTACAGGGTTTTCTGCCTTCTGGGATCTTATCACTGCTTTCATTCATTCAATCATTCATTCATGTATTCATTCATTAACAATTTTGCCTTGAACCCCAAAAGAGAGCTTTCATTGCAGTGGCGTCAAAGAATGAAACAAGTGTCGGTGTACATTGAAAAGACAACTCGGCCTTTTCTGAAGGTATCTAGTAGGGTGCAAAAGAAAGAGCTCTGCCCGTCTGGGAAGGAGTCACGCAGACACTACAGAAGAGCTGGGCCTCCAGCTGAATCATGAAATCCTCGTAGAGGACCCTAAGGATAGGGCAGATGAGTCTGACAGGGGTAGAAGTAGGCGTTCTCATCAGAGCCCAGTGTGAGCAATGGCATGGAGCTGCTTCACAGGTGGTGCCAGGAACCCCAGTGTGGAGGGGGCCGAGGGCAGGAGTGGGTGGAGGGGAGGAGAGGTCCAGGAGCCACATTGGGAAGTATTTTGCAATGCAGGCTAAGGAGAGAGCACCTGACCTGGAAGACAGGGAGGCACTAAATGCATTTGCAGCAGGAGTGGAAGCCTCCAATTCTATTTAGAGGCCTCTGGGTTGGGTGGGGGTAAACTGGCAAGACGCCATGTGGATTTCATCCCAGCAAACTATACCATCAACAAAGGAAATCACATCCTGAGCACTCACTTGAGGAAAGGAAATAACAGATAGATTTCCTTTTAGTTTCACCTGGATGGCCCAGACAGATTCTGTTTTGTTCCTGAGTTGAAAACCTTCCCAGAGAATGCGTGAGGACAACCCCCACACTGAGGACACCCCCCACACCGAGGACACCCCACACACCGAGGACACCCCCACACCGAGGACACCCCCACACCGAGGACACCCCCACACCGAGGACACCCCCACACTGAGGACACCCCTACACTGAGGACACCCCTACACTAAGGACACTCCTACACTGAGCGGGTCCTACAACCAGAGAATCAGGAACCACCGTGGCTCCAGGGCATCTCCTGAGCTGAGGGACTTTGCTATCTCTGGGGCAAATGGTTGTTGATACTCTCAACTTCCAGGTGTTCTCAGAAAAATTGGTGATCAGGCCAGGTGCGGTGGCTCACGCTTGCAATCCCAGAACTTTGAGAGGCCGAGGCAGGCAGATCACTTGAGATCAGAAGTTTGAGACCAGTGTAGCCAACATGGCGAAACCCCATCTCTACTAAAAAGTACAAAAATTAGCTGGGTGTGGTTGTGCACGCCTGTAATCCCAGCTACTCAGGAGGCTGAGGCACAAGAATCACTTGAATCCAGGAGGTGGAGGTTGTAGTGAGCCAAGATAGCACCACTGCCCTCCAGCCTGGGTGACAGAGCCAGACTTGGTCTCAAACAAACAAACAACAACAAACAAAACAAAACAAAAACAAAAAAGGAAATTGGTGACCAGATAGCCATTCCCCCAAAACTAATGTGGCTTCTGTTTCATACACTCAGAGATTTTGAGTTATCACACCCATTTGTAGTATAATTTCTTTTAGATCACTGGGAAATAGAAGAAATTTAGCACCCCTCACCAAATCTTCTTTATCATCTACCCCACCGCCACAGTGGAAAACAGAAAGTCAGCACGAACACCTCCTTTCTACCACTCTGATTGTCTTTTCCTAAGGAGGCCAGAAAAAATAGCAAATAGGCAGTGTTCCTGCCCCCAGAGAGGCCTAACCACCCCCATACATGAGAATCCATGTCACTGTAAGACCTGAGGGTGCGGTTCCAGAACACTGTTCAGTGAGGATGAAAGTAGCACCTCGCATAAGGGGGCAAATGTGTTCGGGTGTGTAAAGTGCCCAGCAGGTACCCAGCAACTGGCTAAGCACTAAGTAAATGAATCCATCCATCAACAGGCTGCCTGCAGCAGGAGGAAACCTCTCCTCCCTCCGACCCACCCTCTCCACGCTGCAGTTCTTCCCTGTTCCTTCAAGGCTTTCATCTCTGACTCCGAGGATGGAGCAGCCCCTCAGCTCTCTAGGACTCCAGGTGTTTAGAAGAGGCTCCCATTCTCCTGGGACACAGCTCTGTGGAGAGGTGGCTCCTTTCTCTGCACAGTGAGGCTACAGAGAAGGCAGGAAAAGAGGGGGGCTCCATGGGGCTGGAAGGAGTTGAGGGACACACAGAGGAAGACCATGTGTGGAGAGAGAAGTTTCAGGATTGAGCTGAAGTTGTATCAGTGCTGAAGCTGATATTCAGATACATGTACCACATTCTTTTGGCCCAGAAAAAGGCTCAGGTCCTACACTTCCTGTCGAGACATATGGTGTCCAACTCAGAAATACATAGTCCTTGTGTGAGGAGAGGGAAAGGGTGAATATATATTGCTCATGTTTACTTCTTGTCATTGTTGGTAAATGGATTATTCCTGAATAATCATGAAAACAGAAAAGCAAAATGAAAAGCCGAAGTTACCAATGGGTCAAGGGAGAAGAATGGAAAATGACCACACTATGAAGAGGAGCTTGAGTGCAAAGGGACAGAGCTGGGCAGGGAGAGGAGGGGATATCGCTGTCCCCATCCCTGGAGCAGCCCTGCATCCCAAGGAAAGAAGGAATGGCTCTCAGCACTCACGGCCCAGCTCACTCACTGCTGCTTTCTCCTTGCTCGGTTCGACTCAAAGTCCACATTCTGACACCACAGTCTGAAAAACTGCTCTGATCAAGGGGACTGTCTTGTCCTAGTTTTGATGATTTTTGTTGCTTTAGCGTGGAAGATCACTTGTCCATGAAACCTTTCATCCTGGGCAAAACTGGAGAGTTTTTCACACTAAACCTTTTCTAAACATTTCTTATTGTAAATTTCATAATAAAATCAATAATCAACTTGAATAACATTGTTAAGTGAAGGGAAATGACACGTTTATTTATGGAAGGCTCACCATTTCAGGGACGTGTCACGGACTTGGATGCAGGAGCTCTGGGTGCAGTCGCAGGGCCTCCCTCAGGAGACGTGGCTCTGTGGTTCACACTCGTGACAGACATGGCGGCAGGAGCCCAGCCTCTGCATCAGAATGGCCCTCATCACAGTCCTAGCTAGCATGACAGCATGTGCCTCTAGGGAAGCTGTTTGCAACTTATTTACTTTCTCAAACCCTAAAAATTTTGGGAAAATTATTACTATTCAAAAAGTTCCAATCATGGTGAAATTAGACAACCTGTATGAAATTATTGATGTAGTACCTACAGAATGTTGAGTGTTGAATAAGTGTTTAATGGTCTTCACCATTATTATTTCTTTGTTACCTGTTTCTATCTCCAATTCATAAATGAGAAAATCGTGGTTGACAGAGGTGAAAGGTCTGACCTGGAGCCGCATGTCAGTCAGCAGGAGAATGGACATAGGCGCCTTGTTATTTTTATTTCTTTGGCTCCTTTTTGGCCAGGGTTTCCCTAGACCCTTTCCAGCCAAAGACATCAGCGTGCTAAGCAGAAGCTAGGACTCAGCTGGTTCCATCATATTATTCCACTCCAGGGTGCTCTGGGACCATCAAAGACCTGGATCTGCTCTCACTAAATCCCAGGGGACCGTGCGCTGCATGCCAGAGCTAGAGGACAAGGCCTGCCTGCAGCACCTCTGTATCTGTTAATTTAGAAAAATCAGAAAGGGCAAATAAAAGTAGGATTTGTTTTTCCTCTCCAAACGTGTCAGTGAATTTCAGGCAATCCTTCAAGCTCCAGGACAAACATTCAGAACAACTTAGACGACACGACAGAGATGCTCGCTTCATGTGAGGTTTACAGGATCCAAACGCTCCTTCCAGCTTCATGAGTGGAGGGAAACTCTGCAAGGTCAGTTCTGGAAGGTCCCTGACCCTGTGTCTTCCTCTCCCCAAATCACATTCATGGAGGACTGTGGGCCTCCCCAAGGCCCACCAAGTGTCTTGGAAAAAGCCCAGACCTATCTAGAACAAAGACCAGGAGCCAAGCCCTCTTCTGTCCCCAGAGAGACCTCACGCATAGTGAAGCAAGAAGCGGCCACTTCAGCAATGTGCCTGAAATGCAGTTGAACATGCTCAAATGTGCCTAACCCAGGCCCCAGGGTGAGCTTTGCCCTTCCTGAAACACTCAGACTAAGGAGGGAGCACCTTTCTCTGTGTTCTCTTTGTTCCTAAATTCACCCCATTCGGGTGACTCCACCTCTGCTCACGGCACCTGCTCAGCACGTCCTATTCCGGCCTTTCCAGACCTCCCCATGCTGGAGGCCAGACCTGAGCTCCACCTCACTGGGAAGCCTGGTGTGAACAGCACAGCTGGGTGAACCCCAGACCTCACAGTGTCTGCAGCTGCCACGGCTGCCTGGTGGGGGTGTCGGGGGCCATTGCTTCTTGTGCTGCTATTTGACTCTGTGTGAGCTGGTTTCAGTCCTCAATTGAATACAAGCCTTTTAGGGATGGGGAATGTGTGCTGTGTGTTTCAGTACAGAGAGTAATTCATAGGGCACCAACTGTCATCACATTCCATGAGTTATGAGTTTCTTTATTTTATATATTTTTTCCAGGATTATATATCTTATATAGACATTGGGTATTATACATCCTTGATATTATAAAGTTCATATGCTACTCATTTCGCATAAATACATTGGGAAATGCCATAGGGCTTATAATAAGATCAACAAAGAGGAAGAAGATAGAGTCTAACAGACACATGCTCCAATATCAAAAGGACAGGAACGATAGAATAGTTTTCACATCTGACCTACTGACCCCAAAGAAGTAGGTGTACAGAAATGCTGGAACAGAATCCATGTATGTTTCTGGAAGGGTTACTGGGTCATACTCCTTCTCCCTCACCCAAGGCTGATGCAGGAAAACTGTGGCTCAATCTTATTTCTGCAGTCACAGGTGCAGCCTCTGCCCAACATGTGCAGAGCCAGGCTTGCATGAGCCAGGGGAGCATTGGCAGATGCTCACACCACCTGGAACGCCTCCAAAGCAAGACCGTGTCTCATTCTCTCAGCCACTTCTGGCTTGCCCCCCGTAGAATCTCAGCCTAAGTTGCTTAAGGCAAGGAAGAGGCCCATAGATCCAAGAGCTGAGAAACATTAAAAATCATGCTGACATCAGCCTAGTGACCAGAACAATCCCTGTCTGTCCCTTCCTCCTCCAGTACTAAGGGGAAAGTGACACATTTTGTATGGAGGAGAGTATCTCACAGCCAATCAGCCATGAGCTTCTTCCTATGCAAAAAGCAAACTACAACAACCTCAGAGTGGAACAGGAAAGCAAAGAGAAGCCCAGGACAGAGGGCTCGGGGGCCACACATTACCTGTACTGCACAGCAGTGCCCAAGCGAAGGCTCTGGACAGCCTCATCCTGAGCAGAGCCTGGCACCAGCCTCAGGAGTGAGCACAGCTCTGGTGGCTTGGAGCTATATAGAGCCGCTCCTGAAATCTGATCTCCTCCCTCTCACCTGGAGCCAAGGCTGTCCAAGCTGCAGGATCTGAGTGTGCTGCAGGATCACCTGCAGCACTGGGTGGTCTAGAGAGGGAGGCGTGAGGTGTGGCTAGCTGCTAATGAACACTGTTCCTTCTCAGTCTGGTTCAGAGTCCTCTGTCACCTAGAATGAGATATAATGATCAGGTTCTCCTCTTTTCCTCTCTGGGTGGTCTCAGAGGAAGAATCACAAGTTGACCACAGACCATCATGACCTCCTGATTGGGCAGCCCACCTGCCTTAGGTTTAGCTCATAGCACTTTCACCTGTGTTACATTGAAAAAGTCTCATAACACCTGAGAGGTGAGGCAGGCCAGGAGTCCTTGGACAAGCAAGGAACCAAGACCCACAAAGAGCAGGAGACTTACCCAAAGTCACAGGGCATCAGGGGTGGCACTAGGGCGAGGTCCCAACCTCCTGACTGCCTGTGGCTCCCACCGCCCTCTCTGTATCTGTGGAGGACAAAGGCACAGAATCAGGCCCTTGAGCTGCTCGAGGTGTGAGTGGGTCATGGTGGGGCCACTGCAGGGGCAGGTCCACCTGTGTGCGAATGTCCAGGTGGATGGCATGAGTACCTGTGTCTGTATTTATTATCCATGGGTCATGCTAGGACCTACACGGCTCAGTCCCAGGGCAGGGTTGTGATTAAAATAACACAGCACAAGCCTCTGTGGAAACAGGTTGGCAGTTTTCCTTAAGGTTACACAGAGAGTTCCCTTATGGCCCATAAATTCCATCAGATATATACTTCAGAGAAATGAAAACATAAGCCCACACAAAAATTGGTACATGAATTTCCATAGCAGCATTGCTCATAATAGCCAGCATGTGGAAGCAACCCAAGCGTCCATCAGCTGATGAGTAAGTAAATAAAACGTGGTATGGACTTAAGATGGACTGTTCCTCTACCATGAATAGGAATGTGAGCTGCAGTGCCTACCAAGGACTGTTGCCAATTTATACAACAACCAAGACAACAGGAGTATCCACTTTTCTGAACTATTTACCAAATCTTTTAATGTGTCTTGCTGATCAAATATGCTAGAAACAATACCTAACTTTATTAAATGTGTGTTTTCCTGAATTCCAGTGGGACTGGCATCTTTTCAGTGTCTCTGCTCCAGCTGAGGCCCTTTTGGAAATGCCAGTCCATGCCTTCAGAACAGTTTTCTCTTGCATTGCTCTTCTTCTTCTTATGAATCATAGAGGCCACACTTGTCCTTTCCTTCCCGTAATTATTTGCACAGGCCCTGATGGGTTCACAGTG
Source organism: Homo sapiens (assembly GCF_000001405.40). Lineage (NCBI taxonomy): Eukaryota > Metazoa > Chordata > Mammalia > Primates > Hominidae > Homo > Homo sapiens. The sequence continues at coordinate 122,656,109 of NC_000010.11, read as the reverse complement.
TGAAGGAGCTTTCCAACTCAAGTAGAACAGGCCGACACTTCTGGGCTAGGAGCCATCTAGCCACTCATAGCATCCCAACTGAGGAAGGGAGGCAGAAGCGAAGTTGGTAAGTTTCCTCTCTGCTCAGAATTCAGTGCTAAGGCCGTTTTAGTGTTAAGCTCCCAGGTATTACCAAAGTAAACTGCAATGCTTCCTCACAATTCTCCTTCCTCCTCTTACTCCAGATACCCTGTCCCATTACCCCTCATTCATCTTTCTTCAGGCCCTGGGCTGGGGGAGGACAAAGCTCCTCACCATTGGATGTGAATACCCACATGGAACAAATGCGGGAGCCCATGGAGAGGATACGTCCTTCCTCTTGTTGTCCATGCTGAGGATGCTACCATGGGCTCCAATGTGTCAGGGCAGCTGTGCTCCCCGCCAGCAGCATCCCAGCATGGCTGCGGCTGCGTGGGAAGAAGAAGCAGTTAATCTCTTACTATCTAACTTGTTTTCTGGGGGACCCCAGAAATCAATGTCTTAGGTACCCCAAGCAGTGTCCTCTTGGAGGAAAGATCTGGGTTCACACCAGCTTTTGAGGAGTTATGTCCCTTGGATCTTTGTTCCTTCAGGTAATTCCTAGTTTCCAAATGGTCCTAGGCAGACCGGCATTTCTCCCCTTTGTATGTTCCTTCCTCATGGCCTTCTGCACTGCAGTTTTTCTCTCTGCTTCTCCAGGAGAGTTTAGTAATTCTCCACATCTTGTTCAAAGACCCCCTCTGACTGTCTGTCCCCCACAGATTCAGAACTGTCGCACTGGTCTCGCCACTGCCCCAGCGTCTGTCATCATTCACCTCCCTAGCACCCTTGCTTTTATTTTACCAGGAAGAGTTTAAGGATCTGGTGGGCATTTCATAAGTTTCTTCTCCAGCATAGTTTCCCTCCTTTTTTATAGAACCCCAATTTTGTCCATGTATCTATTCTCACCCCATGCGCCCAATGTGCCCAGGGGGCAACTGACCTCATACTCAGGTCTGAGAACTGGCCTGAGTTGCCACTTCCCACCTGCCCATTATTCACTTAGGAGCCATCTGGGTTACCAGATTGAGTGTGTTGGATAGCAGTGCTTGCATCCAAATAACCTTTATTTTATTTAAAATTGGCCTTAAGGTGCAGGACATGGAATCACGGCAATCCGGATATGCCATAGGGAAGTCATGAAGTGGTTTCTTTAAGTGAAAATGTGAATCTTCTCGGCTTAATAAGGAAAAAAGATGTGTATGTGAAGTTGCTAAGATCTACAGTACAATAAGATGTTTTGAGAAACAAAGGCAGACCACATTTACATAACTTTTATTATAGCATATTTTTATAATTGTTCTATTTTATTATCATTGTTAATTTCTTACCATCTAATTTATGAAATAAAGTTTGTCATAGGTATGTATGAATAGGAAAAAACACTATCTGCAATTTCAGATATTCATTAGGGTCTTGAAATGTATACTTTGTGGATAAGGGGGAACTACTGTATTTGTCCTTGCTGTTTAAGCCAACTTGAGTGGGTTTCTTTCATATGAAGCTGAAAATATCCTAACCCCTACAATGTCCCATGAATACCAGAAAATAAAACACTTGCCCCTTAAGAAAATCTTTCAACAGTAAGAACAACACTCCATCACCTGTTAGTCACGCCCCTTCCAAAACTAACCAGACATGCTCTGCCTGTTCACTTTTAGAGATACCAAACTCCTTGGACAGGTGGTTACAAAGAAATCTTCCAGGTCCCTCTGACAAATGTTAACTTCACCTTCTTAGAGGGATATGTGCATATCTGTGACTTTGGTTCAGTGCTTCACCCCAATCTCCAAAATCCTGTCAAAGCTGTTCTAGAATACAACCAAATAAATATCAAAAATAATCAGATAGAAATATGAAAAATACTATGCTTGGAAAACACCTATCCTGACAGCTTACACAAAATGATTCTTAATGACTTTCCTAATCTTAAAATATATTGACAGGGCTTGCAAAAATTAAACCATGGAAAACGAGGACATAGCTAGAACCAGTGGACTATATGTTGCTAACTACCACTACAATTCCATATTCACAATGCAACAGAGAACCCCAGTACCCTTGTGAGCAATTATTGCTCATCTTTGGTACAGACTCAGAATGCTTTAAATTAAACAGACCCAGAAATTTCAAAAGACTTCATTTTCAATGAAAATATCCAAATTCCTATATAGATTAATTGATGCTTTTGTTTAACCTCTCTCTCTTTTTTTTTTTTTAATTCTGTGGTAATAGCCATCAGAGAGATGAAGCACTTAGGACTTAAAGTCTACAAAAATACCAAATGCATCACTGAATTTCACTCCATTCCAAATTGGCCTATCACTTGTCATTCGGTAACTGCTCTTATTAAGGAGTTGTATAGTTTTTAGCTTTCAAGTCAGCCATTATCTGGAAATCCTTTTCATTCACTGCTTTTGACCATCCAATTCATCTCACATATCAGAGGTTGTTTCAGCCATTTTTGACATGGAGAGCATAAAATATTCTTTCCTGCTTATAGGGGAGTTTTTTCTATTTAAACATGAAATGCTTTCAAAGAGAAATACCATGACTTTTAAGGAGTTAGAAAGCATTCCTGTCACGGTAGTATTTATTGCTTGTAAGGTGGGGGTTAAATGTTAGCCAGTTATATTTACATCCTAATGAGTAACTGGTTCATAGCTACCAAACGATAAACATTATGACCTTAGTAACTATGTCTCCAATAGAAAAAAGAAAGAAAAAAGAAAGAAAGAAAGAAAAGAAAAGAAAAGAAAAGAAAAGAAAAGAAAAGAAAAGAAAGGAAGAAAGGAAGGAAAGAAGGAAGGATCAACATCAACCTACTTTCACCTTGCTCCTTATATCGAAGGTGATTGTGTACACCCACAAATGTAGGCCCAAGAAACTTTTATTACAATTATCCAGGCTTATACAGTTCAAGGCTATATGCCAACTGATGAATTTATTTGGTTAAAGAAAAAATGTCCAAGGCAGAGGGAAGGGTGATGTGAGCAAGATGGCAGAATAGGAATCCCCAGCTCTCACTTCTCCACAAAACAACAATTTGGCAACCATCCACAGACACATATACCTTTATGGAAGCTTCAGGACCCAGGTAGGAGGTTGTGACACACCACTGAAACATAAGAGCATAGAAATCTGCTTCTAGAAGGTATGCCTGTGTCCCAGGAACAGGTCAGCTACCATAGACTCAGCCCCAGACTGAAAACCAGCCTGCATAGTCAACTCTAGCCCTGGTTTCTGTAGTGTTAAAGGCAGTCTCTTTTCTCTGGGGACCCCACAGAAACTATACTCACCCACACCCAGGATAACAGGACTGCCAACCATGGACCCAACTGAAGACATGAAAGAAGCCCCATGACCAAGGGCCATCCCAGCTTGACTGCAGTCCCAGAGGCGGCATATCTGTCTTGAGACCCAGTAGATCTTTTCCTACCAAATCCAGTCTTTAAAGATCAGAAGAGGCGACTGCTCCTTCTGATGCACAGACACCATTGCAAGATTACAAGGACCATGAAGAATCAGGCAAACATGATTCCATCAAAGGAAACTAATAAGGCTCCAGTAACCAGCTCTAAAGAAGTGGAAATCCATTAACTACTTGACAAATAATTCAAATAATTGTCTTGAAGTTCACTGAAAAGAACAGATTTAGTACTACATGAAATCTATGAAACAACAATGAAAAAAATTATAAGTTCATTTAAAAAATAGAAACCATAAAAAAGAAACAAGCAGAAATCCTACAGCTGAAGAATACAATGACTGAGCTGAAAAACTCAAGAGATCTTCAATAGTAAGCTTGATTAGCAGAAGAAAGAATCAGTGAACTCAAACAGGTTATTTGAAATCATCTGGTTAGATAAACAAAAAGAAGAAAGATGAAAAATAGGGGGAAAAGACTGGGATTTACGTGATACCATCAAGTAAACCAATGTACATATTCTGAGAATTCCAGATGCAGAAAAGAGACAGAAAAGGGAGAAAAACATATTTAAGAAAATCATAATTGAAAATTTCTGATATCTAGGCAGAGAAATGGACATCCAGATTCATGAAGATCAAAGGTTCCCAATAGGTTGAATCCTAAAAGGTTTACAATGAGACACAATATAATTAAATTTTCAGTAGTCGAAGAGAGAATTTTGAGAGCGACAAGAAAAGCAACTTATCATATACAAAGGAGCTCCCCTTAAGTCTATGAGTTAACTTCTCAGCGGAAACTTTGCAGGCCAGGAGAGACTGGGATAATGATATATTCAAAATACTAAAAGACAAAAAGTCAGTCAACCAAGAATACTTTAGACAGGAAAACTGTCCTTTGTAAACGAAGGAAATATAAAGACTTTCCCAGACTAACCATAACCAAGGGAGTTCATCAGTTCATAACCACTAGACCTTCCCTACAAGAAATGCTAAAAGGAATTATTCAAACTGAATTGAAAAGAGACTAAAAAAGTGAAAGTCTAAATTTCATTGCTAAAGGGTTTCCAGTCTTCTGTGTTTGATGATTGTTATAGCATCTGGACCTCCTCTTCCCTGTAGCCTTGTCCAGAGGCTCTAGAGTGACCAGCCATTCTGGCTTGTCTGGGATCGAAGGGTTCCAGAACTTGAGATTTTCAGTGCTAAAACTGGAAAAGTCCCAGGAAAATAGTACTGAATTGGTTCCCCTACCAAAGTTCTGGGTGTAATTTAAAGGAAAATCCAGTGATCAGAGGAAGGGAGAAGAGACAGAGATTTTATTAACCAAAGTCCCAGGAAAATAGTACTGAATTGTTTCCCCTACCAAAATTCTGCATGTAATTTAAAGGAAAATCCGGTGATCAGAGAAAGGAAGAAGAGACAGCAATTTTATTAACTAGGCAGCCATCCTGACACAATGGGAGCCAACCACATCCTGACCAAACTTAACCAGTGAGGCTTCCACAAAGATTTAAGAGTTCCAGTAGCTTCCTGATACCCCCTCCCCAACTCTTCTGCTCTCCTCACAGCACACAGAAGGCATCCCTCTGGGAGAAGGTGACAAGCTGGGACAGTCACTGTGGGTCTCTATCCTGAGAAGTTACTGATCCTGTGTTCCCTGTGAGTTTCTTCATAATTTTCCACCCCCACCCACCCCTCCAATACAAAAGTCTGAGCTTGGCACTATGCCTAGGCACCCCAGGCCAACACTCAACCCTCCAGTATTTACATACTTGGGAGAAGACAGGTATCAAGAAGCAGACTCCCCATCTTTGCCACCTGTAGTCCCATATGTAGAAATCTGCAGTGGTGCATGGGGTGGAGGTGGGTTGGTTGAGGAGAGATTCTAACTCATCAGAACACAGGAAAGCCTGGGTGGCTGTGCACCCATTCCAAGCCTCCTTGACCATAGAGAGCTCCCCAGCAGGCTGTGAATGAGGATGGAGCAGATTTTGAAAGCGTTCACTCCTCTATGTTCCCTGCTAGCTCTGTACAAATCTTAGATCTCAATCAGATGAGTCATTACCCAGCATGGTGGCCTCACTCTGCCTTGGCTTCTCCTTTGTCCTGAGCAGTTGTCCCAGGCCAAGCCCTTGGAGTCATCAGTGCCCCCACATGACTCCATCACTTAATCTTGGAGCTTAAGCCTCTTGGAAGATGCTGTTACAGAAACAAATCTTTGTCTCTGATTCAGCAGGGATGCTGTTCCTCATTTCGAAGCTTGGACAAACCATATGGGCTCCCAGGCACTTATAGGTATAGAGTTCCAGGGAAAACAGAACTGTCACCTGAAGGTTGGCTCAGGCCAGATATCCAAAGATGGAGCTGAGGGATATCAGACGTCCTCATGGCTAAGAGGAGCAGGAGAGGGAATTTGGTGCTGGACTCAGGCAGAGGGAGATGAGGCAGGACTCTGACGTGTGCCATCCCATAGCCTCCACCACCTGGCTTCCCGTCTTTGGCCTGCCCCTAACCTGTACCTGGACAGCTTTCCCTTCCCCAGGGGCCAAGAGTAGGCCAGGTGCCACAACCACTGCTTTCATCAGAGCCTGTGGGAGCTTCCCAAGGCATCTCCCTGCCGAGGTAGCTTTGGATTCCACACTTGCTAAAACACAGACGCTTTCCAAAAAAATTTAATGCCAATGAAGGAAACTTGAACATGGTGGCAGGCCAATGAAGCCTTTTTCCAAGCTCTCCTAGTGTATTTGCCCCTTTCTGGGTGAGCTGTAGGCAGTGGGGCATTGTGAAATCTTTAACAACAGGCTCTGGGAAGGTGGAAGCTTCCTTTGTAGCGTGATTTCCATGGTGTGAATCCTCCCCCCATGGCCATTTTATGCCAGCAATAAGACGCCATTGCATGTGGAGCTGGGAGAGCTGGGCAGTCACTCCGCGGGGGACAGTATTTCCAGCAGACAGACACAACGTGATGTAAATATCCTTGGGCACAGGTAATAGTAAAATGGAGTCAAATAACCAGAAAGTGCTGAGTTTTGGTATTTAATATTTTTATTTTTAATATAATATTTATTTAATTGTAAGACTCTACAATTTAATTTTTAATAATGGCCACATAACATCCAGCTTGTATGATTTCTGAAAATGCAGCATTTCACAGACACAGGTTTCCCGAGAGGACCTTCTCCCTCCAGTCAGTGCACACCTGAGTGGCCTTGCCAAGCACTCGGGACACTAAGTACTCCAGCCAACACAGGCAATGGGAAGAGATGCTGAGGTCAAAGTTTCATCCCCTACAGGAAACGACCATTGGCTGGGGCTGTCCCTGATTCCCACACACCAGAAGCCATTCAGGTGCCATCAAACCTGCAGAGGATAGAGCCCCTGCCCAGGGCAGAACCCCTTACTAGCCACTGCAGGGATTTGGATGCCAGGAACAGGGCTGGAGGGGACAAGATCTCAAGGGGCTGCTGAATGCCACCTTCAGCCTGTGGTAGGGACCAGGCAGAAAGGGGAGCTACCATCCACTCTGTTGTCAGACAGTAGATCGGATTCTGTCCCCTTAAAGTAATGGAAAGGAGCCAGGACAGGCTTTCACAGGAGTCCTTTATTAGAGCTGAAAACTGTGGAACCCCTTCCTGTAATGGACAACCACGGGCACTCACAGTAAACACAGTAACAAGTTCTTCAGGAATAAAATAGCTCCAAGGTTGTTCTGCAGCGCCCTCTGGCACTGGCAGGTGGGATAACAGGAGGATGGTGAGATGCTGTGGTTCGAAGGGGCTGGAGGGCAGCCTCTGTCCCTACAAGGTCACAGGAGACAGCTCAAAACAGGTGCCATGTGGCCCGGCCTTGTGTTCTCTTGGCCCCTGGTTGTCAGTCACTCTGCTGAAGGTGGAGCCTGGAGCAGGATCACCGGGCTATGAGCAGGTACTGGAGGTGCGGAGAACTTGGAGGAGCCACCACAGGTCAAGTGAGTAGTCCCGTGGGGCCAGCTGGGGTGTGGGTGTGGTGTAGACATCACAACCCTCCTTTAAGCCCTCCTTTTGCACCTGGTACCACATCTTACATAGGAGCTGCAGACAGGAGTGTGTCTGATGCAGTTCTCTGTGCAAACTCAATGTGAGGCCAGGCCTCCTGGGCTCCTGGGCTCCTGGTGCCTTGGGGATGATGGAACAGGGAGGAGGGAACCTAGGACCAGAAGTCAGTGACCCCGACTCAGACCCCAACTCTGCCACTCGCTACCTGAATCCTGTGCAGTTCTGTGCTGACTTGCCTCTCTCAGCCTCAGTTTCCATCCCTGCCAGGTGAGAATAATACCTGGCCACATGGAGGATTAGAGGATTATGTCCAAGGTGCCAGGCTGGCAGAAGATGCTTAATCAGTGTTTCCTCCATGGCATGTTCTTATGGATGGCAGAGGCTGGGGCAAATATGAATCAGCAGAAATGAGGCACTTTAGGTCAGTGGGATTTTGATACGGTCTTTTGGGACTTGGAAAGTAGATCTTTCAGGAACACTCAGGGCAAGCCTGCTGAGAACCCCGCACCAGGGTCCCCCTCATCCTCACAGCAGGGACCCATAGTCTCCACTGCTCCTTCTTAAGCACAGGGCACAACCTGGACTCTCTCAGAGGGATTTAAGGAGTCCTAAACCAGCAGCTCTCAATCTTGGAACAACCTGAGTCTGGTGGGTCACCAATGTCCAGGCCTACCCTCTGATTAGATTCTGATCTAACTGGCTTGGGTGCAGCCTGGCAGCAGCAGGTTCAAAAGCCCCCGGGCCATTCTCACGTGCAGTAGAGTTGAGCACCCTTGCCTCAAACCACAGTCTCAGTTGCTGGGAATCACAGCCACTTGGTGTCAGCCCAATCCTCCCTGAGTGTGGAGATGTGGTGTGGATGGGGAGGATGGGTCCCTGCTCCCAAGCAAGCCCACTTCTCTGTGTCCCCTGTGACTGGACCCTCAGTCACACTCTGACAGCTTTAGTCCAGAGCCCCTGTCACCGGTGGCCCTGTCTTCTGCTCTACCTTTCACCTGGACCTCACTGCCTCTTGCTACCAAACTCATCTGTCCCTACTAGCCACTCTCCTGGCTGGGCCCTGCTGATAAAGGGGCCATTACCTCCTTCCTTGAGAGGCTGCCAAGTGGCTAACACTGTGGTGGTTATCTGTGAAGAAGCACTGGCTACTGGGGCTATTTTTAAGGAGAGGGGACACTTCAGGAGGTGGAAATGTTTCCTGTGGAAATAAATTTCCCCTTATAATGGTGACCCCTGCATGACCCCTCTTTGTATCCACAGGTTCAAGTACAGAGCCTGGCTTGGGGCTGGCGCTCATGGGGACCACTCAGGGCAAGCCTGCTGAGCCCCCAGCCCCAGGGTCCCCCTCATCCTCACAGCAGGGACCCACAGCCTCCACTGCTCCTTCTCAAGCACAGGGTACAACTTAGACATTCATGAATGAGTGAATGAACGAATGAATGAATGAATGAATGAATGAACGAACGAATGAATGGATGGAGTTGGGATTCCATGTTGGGTTCCCAGCCTCTGAACTTTTTTGAATTCTCGGATGTCTGACTTGCCACTTTGTTACTCTGATTGATGTGTACCTCAAACCCGCACACCACTCCAGCTTCCTGCTGCTTCTGCATCTGCTCAGATCCAGTCCTGGGCTGGTGCCTGCATTCCACTGCATTGACATTGCTTTTCAGGGCAGACTCATGGTCACAGGGGAACCCTTAAGGCTTTCCTTAACTGCCCCAGCCTGGGAGGTTAAGGGTGAGTGTTGGGGGTGATGGCAAGGAGAATGGAAACCAACAAGAGACAGTCCCTGGGGCCCCCTAGCTCCTCTGACTCCTGGTAGGGCTCAGGACGCACTCTGAATCCCACGGAGGCTCATGGCGTCTCACCACAGCTGCCGGTGGTGGGCAGCTCTTGGGCAGCCCTAGTCAGAGCTGGCAGCTATGGCCAAGTCTCTGCTGGAATTCTCTGTCCCCTTGTCCTGGGGTTTCCCCTGTAGCCATTGCCCTGCTGGGGTCTCATGCAGCTCAACTCACACATCCAGAGTTAGGCTGTCTTAGCTGTCCCCTCTTGGGACAGGGGTCCTGAGATTGGCTTCATGGGGCAAACACTGGCATTGCCAGGGCAGTACACAAAAGCTCCCATTCCTGCCAAGCCTGACCTAGGAGCCCTGAGCCTGATATCTCTCTGATTTTCTAGGCAAATGTACTGCTTCCTTGGAACCCAGCTCATCCCTTTGTTTCTTCTGAGCTCCTTGGGTCACCTGTCAATCTCCTTCTCTCTGGAGACCTCATGCAAACAGGACTCCCTTCCTAAGGGCCCTAAGGAGTTTGCTTCTTTCCCTGAACCGCCCCAGCCCATAGTTCTGGAGATGAAGTGTCAAAAACCAAAAGAGGCAGATCCCTAGAGAAATGGAGGCAATCATCTTTAATTTTCAATCACAGCCACTGAAACTTACAATGCATTTAGCATTCTTGTCTTTCTCCAGGCTGCATCCTGCATATCCTGCTTTGGGAAGAACCAACACTCCAAGGACACTGGGAAGACACACGAGTTGCCCCTTCTCATTCTGTATGACAACCACCCCACCTGTCTGCTTAATTTGAAAGGATCTAGTTCTTAGGAGAAACGAAGGCAACAGTGGCCAAATTGACACTTACTCTGAAAAAGGTTCTTTATTCAGCTGGCTCTACCCTAAGGAAAGGCTGAGATTTATGCTACAGGCCTAAGAAGCGAGCTTATAAAAGGTCAGAAAAGAGGCCGGGTACAGTGGCTCACACCTGTAATCCCGGCACTTTGGGAGGCCTAGGCAGGCAGATCACTTGAAGTCAGGAGTTTGAGACCAGCCTGGCCAACATGATGAAACCCCGTCTCTACTAAAAATACAAAACTTAGCTGGGCATGGTCTAGCCTGTCTGTAATCTTAGCTACTAGGGAGGCTGAGGCAGAAGAATCGCTTGAACCCAGGAGACGGAGGTTGCAGTGAGTTGAGATTGTGTCACTGCACTCAAGCCTGGGCAACAAAGCAAGACACTGTCTCAAAAAAAAAAAAAAAAAGGCTCAGAAATTCCACCTAGAGAAAGCTCTGCTGTTACTAATGTTTGGCTTAGAGTTGCAGGTGAGGCTTTAGACGTTAGCACCTGTTTACCTTTGACATTTTGACCCAGCACTGAGCCTTCGGATCTGGGGAAAACCTCGCTCCACCTTTCTTCACCCCACCTCTACCCACCCCATCTTTCTTCACCCCACCTCCACCCACCCCACCATACACCTGTGCCAAGCTAAATGGAGTTCAGGTGCTGCTGGGCGCCAAGCTCTGCACCCTTGTTTCTTCCATCCTCTCTCGGGTGCCTGGGCTGGCAGAGCCAATATCTAAACACCTTCTCTGGGCTTCATATCTAGGAGCTCAGAGGCCGGCCACTGGTGCTGTGTGCCTTCCTCCCCAGGGTGAAGGCTGCCACAACCAGAACCACAGCCAGGAAGACCCCAGAAGAGATGGCAGTGCTGTGATACCTCCCCTGGGTGCTGGCTGTCTCCTCCACATCAGCCACCAACACGTCTGGGAAGGAGAGGAGACCACAATAACAGACAGGGCACCAGGACAGAGCCTGGCAGAGGAGGAGAGGAAGACAAGTAAAGGCCATGGCCCCCTGGGCATAGTAAAGGCAATCAGAACTGTTTGGTGGGAAAGGATAAAAAACTTGGAGAAGGAAGTGCTGAATGGGAAACTGAGGCCAGACCCCAATGGGCAGCTGACTGTCAGACTAGAGAGATTTCACGTTTATCAGCCAAGGAGAGTCAGGGAAGTTTTTCTTAGCAGGAACTGGGAACTGGGCTTTGGGAGAACAAATCTGGCCTGAGGCTCCAGATGAATGGGAGGGGAGAGAGTTGGGCATTTTAGACCAGCTGGGAAATGATTACAAGAGTCCCAGGTAAGAGGCCCCCAGGACGTGAGCTACTACGGCAGCTGCAGGGAACAGGAGGGAGAGGAGGGAAGTGAGCCTGTGCCCACAGGCACCTTCGCCCTGCCCTGATGTCCTTTGCTCCTCACTCCGACCCCATTGCATGCACCATTCATGAGACTTATTCTGAATTGCATCTTTTCCTCCAAGACTTTATCTGCCTCCTGGTGCATAACAGTCCTTCATTAAACATGCATTGAATGAATGAACAAGTGAGGAAAGAGTCTGGACTCAGGTGGACATAAAGACGGCCTGAATAGGAATCAAGAGGAAAGAGCTGTCAAAGATGCCCCATGGGCAGCGCCCTGACCAAGGAGAGGGCTTGTGACAACTACTGCTGCCCCACCCACCCCCAACACCATGGCCACCACATCTGTTGACCTAGCCCCAGACTGGGCCAGAAATCCTGGGCATCACTCTGCAAACATTCATTCCCTCGTCCATGCCCACAACACAGCAGCACAGCCGCACAGCAACACAGCAGCACAGCCGCACAGCCGCACAGCCGCACAGCCGCACAGCATCACAGCATGACAGCAGCACAGCCGCACAGCATCACAGCAGCACAGCATGACAGCAGCACAGCAGCGCAGCATCACAGCCGCACAGCAACACAGCAGCACAGCCGCACAGCAACACAGCAGCACAGCAGCAGATGCACTCCCTGTTCTGGAGAAGAAAAGTGACATAGCTTGTGCCCAGTAGAGCCTGCCAGCGATCAGGACAAATCCATGCAGCTGGCGTCCCCATGGCCCTGTCTAGACCCTGATGTCAACACGTCTGCTGTTATAGTTATTATCGTTGTGAGGAATACTGTCATCATTGGTGTTGTTAACATGGGTGACAACAACAGGAGTAACAAAAACTACCATTTACCAAGCACTCAATGACTTGCACCAGGAACAGGCTGAGGCAGTTTCACCAAAATTCCTTTATGTAAGTAACCCTCTCAACAGTGCTAAGAAGTAAGTATTGACATTTTCATTTTGCAGATGAGAAGCATGGATTCTGGGACGTCAGGTCTATGGGCCATCCAGGTCAGAACTCTCTTGACCTCACCCTGCAACGGGTCCTCCAAGGACCATGAGCCTTGGGGGAGGCGGGAACCAGGTCTGATTCAACTCCGTATGACCAGGTGCAGCACAATGTAGGGCTCAATCTGAGTTGGAATATGACACCAAGAGGAACATCCCAAGTCCCCGAGTCAGGGGTCTGCGCCCCGGTGGACAGTGGGGTCTGAGAGCGACCACCTACCGAGGCTCCTCTTCTCGGCGTGGGGGGGTCTGCAGCTGGATGGGACCCAGGACGACGTCCACCTTTTCCTGGTAGGAGCCCACATCCCTCTTCGACCTCAACACACAGCCTCGGTAGCAGCGGGAAGAGGGGTCATACGCTCTGCACACCACCATTTTACAACGCAGGTACACGGAGGGGAAGCGGTTCAGGAAGTGGAAGGCCCTGAACCGGAAGCGGGCAATGCGAAGAGATGGCGAGGAGTAGGGTCCGTAGGTGTCATCCCTCACGCATCTGGAAGAGAACAGTAGCCCCTTAGCTCTCACCAAGGCCCGATTCTTCCTTCATGACTCAGTTGTACCAGGTGAGGAACTCCACAGCCTGTCCTCACTGCCCCTGCCTCCTGCACACCTCACCTTCCTTCTGTCAGAACGTGTGGATCAGACACTCACTGAGGGGCCTGCAGAGAAATCCTGGCAGCTCCGGTACCTCACCGCCATCCTTAGGCAGCAAAGCCTGTGAGAGCTTTCCCGATAGACAAGCAGGTCCCATACTGCACAGTGGGTTGAGGCCTAATCCCACAATGACCACATGCTCCATGCACCCAGGTAAACCAGATGAGTCAGGGAAGTAGCTGGAGTTTGGAGCCCAGGAGCGGGACCCAGAGACAGGGCAGAAAAGTAAATGACCTTCCCTTCTCTCACCTGGTGTCAGGGCCAGGCAAGGTCTCATTCGGCTGCACTCTGAGTACAGTGCCCTGACCCTCCCTCTCCCAGGGCCTCTCTTTCCTGACCCTCCTCAGCCTGCCCTGAGCCCCATGCAGCTGTACGTTCCACACTGGCCTGCGAACCCTCCAGGAGCCCCTATACCGATATAAACCCCCTCCTCATTCCCTGGGGCACCTCCTCTCAGCAGGGGTCAGAGGGAAAATAACCTAAGGATATGCTTACAGGAATTTTCCTAAGATGGAAGAAGCAGCTCACACTAACCCAGTTATTATAGATTGGTGGGATTTTGAAGGGCATGGCAAAGAGAAAAGCCAGGAAAACTGGCCCACTGGCCTAGGATGGGCATTTCTCGTGGGTGGTGGATGTGGTCTCCAGGGCAGTCTGGCTCAGCCTGGGAACCTGGCCAGGATCTGCTCCCCTCCTTCTGTCTTCTAGAGCCTCCTTCCTTCCTCCATAGGCAACCCAGATTCTCTCAAATACCAAGTTTTCTTTTTTGTTTTTGTTTTTTTTTTCACAGTAGCTCCCTTAGTGGCAAAGGAGGAAGCAAAAATAGCCAGAGGCTTGTTCAGAGGTGGGACACTTGGGAAAAAGGTCAGGGTCACTTAGAAGCCCCTGGGCAGTCATTGCATTTGCCGTAAAACCCTGCCATTCAGGGCTCCACGCAGACCAGAATGCCACAGCGAAGCCACAGCCATGACTCCACCTCAGAATCACTCAAGATTTTTTAAACGTAACATGCCCAAGCCCCACCAGGCCAAACAGAGAATGTATGGGTAGGGCCTGGGCAGGGTGTGTTTGGAGCCCCAGGTCATTCTAATGGACTTCCAGGTGGATGATCTTGTTGATGGCCAGGTGTAGCCAATAAGTCCCTGTGCTCCAGGTATAGCCAGGGTACATCTACCCCTGCACACACATCCCCGTCTTCCCAGCAAATTGCATTGTCATATAGAAATGGCAGGATTTGACCAGAAAGAATCCTTTGGCAAGGAAGAACTAAGGTCACCCACTCATTTTCATTAATGTCAATCAATTCACACAAATTCAAAAGTCACCTTATGACTATTTGTACAACGGGAATCTGGTTAAGCTTTCTCCCCTCCTCTCAGCCACCAAGGGGGCTGCTGTGAATTGAGCAAGCTGCATAGACTGTAAACAAGGTGAGCCTCAACACCTACCTACTGAACTGACATATGTTCACACTGTGCCTGGAAAGAGGTGCTACGTTTAGCATATCAAGAGGGTGTCGAATTGAATCTGCCCACCTCTAATTCCTAGTAGAACTCTTTATCCTATTGGTATAAATTCTCTTGGAAGGCAATGGCTACTGAAGTGTCCAGGTCTATATTGTAAGCCAAGAAGTGTGGTACACATCTATCAACAGAGACTTCAGAGGGGGCTGGAGTTGCACATCATGGTGTCATCATGAGTGCAGAAGAGTCAAACCCCACTTCACCCACATGCAGTCATCCAGGGAAGCTGGGCTATGGTAGAGCAGCCCAGCCTGCACACCCTCTGGCCCCAGCCTGACATCTCTGGCCTGACCTCTGCACCTCCTGAGCTTGACTGGAACCCGTGGACTCCCAGAGCTTCTATTCCCAGGCTGAAGGAGGGCAGCAGGGCTCCTGCCATCTTCAGTGCACATTCCTGGTGGACCACCTGCTGCACACTCTCTGTGCTCAGTGCCACATCCACTCTCTCTCATCCCATCCTCCCAACAGCCTTACAATGTGCGTGTCATTATCCCCACTTGACAGGCGAGCAACTGGTCCATAGAGGTGCTTTCACTGGCCCAGAATCATGCAACTGGCACGTGGCAGAGCTGGCATTTCAACCTTGGTCTGCTCCAAATCAATGCTTTTCCCACTATACGCAGGTCTTTTTAACCGTATGGCTGGAGTTCAGTCACCTAGAGTCTGATCACGGTTTACAGCTAACCTGCTGAGTGAACACTGCTGAGCTGTTCTATTCTCCAGAAACCCATCTCCCCAGATGTTAACTGGAGATGATACATGGTCATCCTACCTGATGAGAAATCAGGGATGTGATACAGAACACAGAGTAAAAGCACCTCAAAGGTGAAAGCTACAGGACATCACTACATGTAGAAAGGGATCCAGTTAAGCTGGAAGTACTGGGAACTGCAGTTCATCAAAATTTGCATTCTTCAAGCCTTTGGGGCTACTCATGTTTGAGTTATCAAGTAAAGGTTTAAGGCCATCGCATAAAGACACTCCTTACCCACTCCGGATTAGATCATAAGTCAAAGACGTGAAGTCATTGGAGTATGGTGATGCCACGCAGGTGTCCACAAACAAGGTCAGTACAGCATCAGAATGGAGGATTTCAGCCTGAACGTACAAGTCCTGGTTCAGGTCCACGTAGTAAGGGCGGCTGGTCACAGGATACAAGAAAGATGAGGAAGTATAAAAGGAAATGTTCACGTCAAAATTGCCATACTGGACTTCCTCGACCTGGATGGTGTTATTAGCAACGTGGATGGTGTCATTAGCAATGTACATGGTGTCGACCCAGGTGTTCTGAAGCATTCTGCAGCTGACGTGAATACGGAGGTCTGTCCTCCTCTTGATGATGCCACCTGAGACAGCTGCTGTGAGGAAGTTGGAATAGTCGATGGTGTCATTGTCTGCCTAGGAGAGGCAGGCAAGAGAGCAGAGTCAGGCACATGTCACCTGCTAAGGGAATCCCATAGCTGATTTGGGTGTGAATGAGAGGGACGTGACTCAACAAGACTTCCACCCCTCCCAGAACCACTCAGAGATGGCCATGGCACGTGCCTATCCTTTGGCTATGAGCCAGCACAGGGTGCCAGAGCTTACACTCTGGGTCCAGGTCTGGGGAAGACCCACAGGAAGGGGTTCTACCTTGTCCACCTGCTCTTAGCGTACATTTTCTGACTTTAAACTGTCTTAAAAATTTGTTTTTGCTTTATATTTCAGTGCCAACAGTTGTCACAATAAACCGTATGACTTAAACCATACGACCGCAATAAACCCTTTTGTCAGGCCTCTGAGCCCAAGCCTGCACATATACATCCAGATGGCCTGAAGTAACTGAAGAATCACAAAACAAGTAAAAATGGCTGGTTCCTGCCTTAACTGATGACGTTACCTTGTGAAATTCCTTCTCCTGGCTCAGAAGCTCCCCCACTGAGCACCTTGTGACCCCCGCCCCTGCCCGCCAGAGAACAACCCCCTTTGACTGTAATTTTCCACTACCTACCCAAATCCTATAAAACGGCCCCACCCCTATCTCTCTTCGCTGACTCTCTTTTTGGACTCAGCCCACCTGCACCCAGGTAATTAAAAAGCTTTATTGCTCACACAAAGCTTGTTTGGTGGTCTTTTCACATGGACGCACATGACAGTATGACCCTTCTTACTCTTTCAAAGATGCTCTCAAGTGCTTTCCATTGAACCCTGTACATTAACATGATCATTTGCATGGATGTCACATTTGCCTGTGGTGCCTACGATGGAGGTAAATTCTGAATCCACTCCAAATAATGAACATGGAGTGCAGATTTATTTCTTGGTCAGAAGAAGCAGTTCTAATTTTAGATAAAAATTCACTATCACAGGCCAGCCTGGTGGAGCTGTGGGAAGCTCCAGCCATGGATGGCACAGCCCTACTTCTATGTCTTAGACCCGCAGCTCATGGCCATATGGTTCTGGGCAAGTGGCTTACCTTCTGCAAGCCTCCGTTGCCTCATAATTAAGTGGGAATAAAGTTGTCCTGAGAATTTTAAAAGTTATATAGCACACTTAGTTCAGTGTCTGATATCTGTATGAGCTGTTAATAATACTATATCAACTCTTAGGCTCAGGACCAGGGGCACTGGGGGTTGCAAAGATGAACAAAACATTGGCCCTGCCCCTGAGGCACTCAGTGTGATAGGCAATATGGTTATTTAAAGAAATAGAGGAGGCCAGGAGCAGTGGTTCATGCCCGTAATCCCAGCATTTGGGAGGCCAAGGCAGGAGGATCACTTGAGCTCAGGAGTTCGAGATCAGCCTGGGACACATAGCAAGATCCCACCTCTACAAAAAAAAATTTGTTAATTAGCTGGGTGTGGTGGTGCATGCCTATAGTCCCAGCTACTCTGGAGGCTGAGGCTGGAAGATTGCTTAAGCCCAGGAGTTCAAGTCTGCTGTGAGCTATGATGCACCCCTGCCTGGGCATCCAGCCTGGGCAACAGAATGAGAACCTGTCATTAAAAAATTAAAATAAAATAAAAATAAATAAATGAGTGGAGGAATAAGAATGTGGCGTGTGCTATTCATGATCAGCCAAGTTAGAAGAAACAGGGCTGACAGAGTTGTCTGGCCGCTCCAAACGGGTGTGAATGGGTGTGAACGAGTGTGAATGGGTGTGAATGGGTGTGAAGGGCCCTCAGCGGGGCCGCTCAGGGAGTCTCCAGGCTGCTCACTTGGCATAGGAACAATGGTCACCTTCAGTGGACTGACTTCCACTGACCAAACTCACAGCAAGCCAGAACCCAACACAATTAAGGCCAGGCCTTCACTGGGGGAGTATGACAAGGACCAATCACAGCATCTGCCACTTGTAGGGTGACTAACCGTCCTCATTTGCCTGGGAGTGAGGGGTTTCCTGGAACGTGGGACTTTCTATGCTAAAATCTGCAAAGTCCCAGGCAAACCACAGAAATCGGTGGTAGGGGCTGTTGAAAACTTCAGTATAATCATAGTTGCAGCCACCTTCAAGCCTGTAGAGAAGGGACACACCATATTGGCTTCACTTTCACCCAAAATTGGATGCAGGGGGCCATCTTAGATGGTGATAGCTCAACAAATGGTAGCTGCAGAGGCCAGCTGACTATGGAGCTAATGAAGCTGAAGCTTTTGGGCCCCCTCTTCCCTGCCTACTGCAATGTGCAGGCCTCCTCCAAGGCCTAGCAATGTGTTTGCACAGCCATACGTTTTTGCAAAGTTTATAAAAGTTCATAGATATTGCATTCTTTGACTTAATGAGGCCCCTGCCCATCTCAACACCTGCCTCTCACCCCCAACCCTAACTGTATAAGCTTCAGGCCCTGCAAAATCTGGAGCTGCTCCAGGAGCTGCTGTTGTTATTGCTGATGGGAGTGGCGGTCTGCCAGAAGCCCTCTCTGCTGGACACAGCTGGAGATACTCTTTCTGCTCAGCTTCCTTCTTCCTATTTGGAAGTAGCTGCAGCCATATCATAGCACCAAAGGTTTTTTATCTTCCTTTATTCCAATTATGTCCTGATTATCCCAAAATCATAATTTCTTCATCCCCAGAATTCAAGAAGCACAGGACATACCGCTCTAAGAAAGCTTGTGCACTGGGAAATGGAATGGGAAGCCCCAGGCTTACCTGCTTGAAGGTGCCGCAGCCTGAGTAGGGAATTGTGAATATCACCAGGTTCGGCGTTATCTGGGGCCGACACTCGTAGTATCCATTCCAGGTGGAAATGACAAGGTCACTGGCAGAAAAGCCCAAGGATTGGAGATAGCTCCTGCTCACACTGGCTTGCATGTGATTTGGCAGACAGAGCAGGTCTGATAGACAAGGACAGATAAGGCACTCAGTCACTGCCCCAGACTCCACAAGTCCTACGGGGCCAGAGGCTGTTTCCACTTAAAAAGTGCACAGACCAGGGTGGCTGACAGGGAGGGTCAGCACTTAGGATGTGGGCATAGACCTCACTGCAATCCCCCAAGGACCCGAGGGTCAAGTCAGCCCCATCCTTATGAAAGCCCAAGGAGAGCACGTGGACTCAGGATTTCTCTGATGGAGAATTGGAGGCAGGATTTTTAAATAAGTGGTATGTTTGGCCAAGTTACCATTTATCTATAAAGTAAAGTAACTGTATGATCAAATTGTGGGAATGTCATGAAACAAGGTCTTTTAGCCATGAAGCAAGTCAGTCTTTAATCCTGACTGCATAAGAGACCCTGGATGTCACCTTGCCTGGCCCTTGGCCATTCTACATATCAGTCCATACAGCAACTCAAATCATGGCCATACAGGCTCTGCTGGAAGTGTCTGAGTGACCTTATCTCAGCCACTTCCAGCCACCCAGCTCAGTCCATCTTCAGATAGAAACCAAATGTGTTAGGTCTCAGGCCATGGCCACAGTGTCCCACACTCTGAGAAGGTCACAAGGTTTCAAGCCAAGAGGTCACCTCTGCCTTTGGCACTGACTCATCACTCTCCACGAAGAGCATCATCTGGGACCCTCTACTTAGTCTCTGCTGACCACAGTAAGACCAATCATCACCCATCAGCCAGTTCTAGCCCTGACTTTATTTCTGGGCAGCCAGAGTCCCAAGTCCCACTGCTCCTGGTCCCTTTCAGCTGAAAATCAAGCCCTGGTGACCTGAAAGGGTTCCTTCATTTCTTATTTCACAACAACAGGACAGTTGAGCCACAGATGCTCTCAGGATGTCCCCAGTCCCAACAGAGCATTTCCACAAGGGGACTTACTGGTGCTGTCATTGGAGGGACTGGAGTAGTACTCAGCCCGGAACCCTCTCCTTGTGATGCTGTGGTCACTGATGAAGCGAATGGACATGAAGTTGGAGGAAGAAGTGAAGGAGCCTCTGGCCCCATCACAAACTCGAGCAATGAGAGGGGAACTGCGGTAGGGGCCATCGAAAACTTCAATATAATCATAGTTGCAGCCACCTTCAAGCCTGCAGAGAGAGGACACACCATTTGGCTTCATTTCCTCCCAGAATTTGACGCAGGGGGTCAGATCTCAGGGTGGGGTCACACCTCTGTGCCAGAAACTCTGACAAAGTTCATCGATGAAAGTCATAGGTCTCCTTGGCTGGGCGCAGTAGCTCACACTTATAATCCCAGCACTTTGGGAGACCAAGGCAGGTGGATCATCTGAGGTCATAAGTTCGAGACCAGCCTGGCCAACGTGGTGAAACCCTGTCTCTACTAAAAATCCAAAAATTAGCCGGGCGTGGTGGCACAAGCCTGTAGGGTGAGGGAGGCTACTCAGGAGGCTGAGGCAGGAAAATCACTTGAACCAAGGAGGCAGAGGTTGCAGTGAGCCGAGATCGTGCCACTGCACTCCAGTTTGGGCGACAGAGTGAGGCCCTGTCTCAAAAAATAAAAAGAAAAATAAAAATTGAAACAAAAGAAAGTCATAGGTATCCTTAAATCAAGAGAGTCTCATCTTCCCTCAACCTCCATGCCTGGGTCTTAGTCCTGCCCTTTGCAATCACACATATGAAATCTACAGCCCCTCACCTGTCAGCCCTTTACATCAGGAAAGGAAGGGCTCGCATCCTGATTTAGACCATTTTTCTTCCATCGAAAAGTCCCTAGTGCCCCCACAGAATAAAATCAATATGCATGAATTCATAGTGAGAGAAATAAATAATTGAATAAATAAATACTGGGCAAGTCAAATAATCTCTCTAAAGCTTTTCCTATTTACAAAGGCAAAGTAATCTGATCCATGCACACTGAAGAGGGCTATGGTGAAGCTCAAATAAAACAACATACAGAAAAGGGCTTTGTAAAATGTCACAAATGGTGATGGTCATTGCTATCAAGATGCTGGTTAAAGAACCAGTCATGGTCAACCTTTTCCCATAGGACTGCATCAGCTTTAAGTGCAATCTTTGTATTGTAATGACAAAGAGAATAAAATGATGTATCTTTTGCAAAATCCCAAATGAATCACTAAAGCAGAGACTCCAAAGCCCACTGCAAACAGAAATCAACAGGGAAAACTATTTTGTTCAACAGTGGCTGTTAGAGAAGAAATTAGTGTAGCCCCTTGTTCAGGACACTAGCAAACACTGGTGCCTCTTCACAGTTAGCTGGGCCACCCGCCTCCTTGGATAAATCATATATTAATGTACTTTTGACATCAGGCATGGTGGCTCACACCTGTAATCCCAGCACTTTGGGAGGCCGAGGTGGGAGGATAACCTGAGGCCAGGAGTTGAAGACCAGCCTGACCAATATGGTGAAACCCCGTCTCTAATAAAAATACAAAAATTAGCCAGGCATTGTGGCGTGTGCCTGTAAGCCCAGCTACTTGAAAGGCTGAGGCAGGAGAATCGCTTGAACCCGGGAGGCAGAGGTTGCAGTGAGCCGAGACCGTGCCACTACATTCCAGCCTGGGTGACAGAGCGAGACTCCATGTCCGGAAAAAAAAAGAAAGAAAGAAAAAGAGAGAAAGAGAGAGAGAGAGAGAGAGAGAGAGAGAGAGAGAGAGAGAGAGAGAGAGAAGAGAGAGAGAGAGAGAGAAAGAAAGAAAAGAAAGAAAGAAAGAAAGAAAGAAAGAAAGAAAGAAAGAAAGAAAGAAAGAAAGAAAGAAAAGTGCTTTTAGTAATGTCCTCTCTGCTTAAAACGATGATTTCTACTTATGATTGGATGCAGAGCAGATACCCTACCCTCTGGAGCAGCAATTCCTCCATCTCTGCCCGACCCCTGGGGAACTCACATGAAGAAAGGAATGGGTGGAGAAAAAGGGTTCCACAAAACAGATACAATTGTTCTTTTTGTTTTGTTTTGTTTTCCTGAGACAGGGTCTCGTTTTGTTCCACAAGCTGGAGTGCACTGGCGCTATCATAGTTCACCACAACCTTCAACTCCCAGGGCTCTAGCGATTCTCCCACCTCAGCCTCCTTAGTAGCTGGGACTACAGGTGCAGGCCACCACACCCAGCTAATTTTTGTACTTTTTTGTAGAGATGGGGGGTCTCCCTATATTGCTCAGGCTGGTCTTGAACTCCTGCATTCAGGTGATCCTCCTGCCTCGGCCTCCCAAAGTGTTGGGATTACAACCCTGAGGCAGCATACCTGGCCAGTGTGGTTGTTAATAGGATTATTAGTGCTATTATTGCCCCTAAGTCTATCATTACTACTTAACAACCATCTTTTCCACTGGACAACATTTTGTAAATATTTTCACATCTCTCTCCCTCTCTCTCCTCTCTGTTTCTCGTGACCTTCCCAGTAAACAGTGAGGTGAGGAAAGCAGGTATTTTATTCCCCTCTTTTGACTGAGGCTCAGGAAAGTTGAGTGACTTCCTGTGGTCACACAGCAAATTGGTGAAAGACCTAGGACTTGAAACCAGAGCTTTTGTCCACTCCAAGGCTCTCGTGCCCCCTCCCCAACTCTCCACGGGATGCCTCTGGGCTAGGTCAAAAATGTCTCTCAGCAAACTTCTCTCCTGGCTTTCTAAGCACCATTTATTCCCTCTTGAAAGGTCTGTGGGGCCCCAAGGCATTCTTCTGGGCGCACACTTAAGCACCATTTATTCCCTCTTGAAAGGTCTGTGGGGCCCCAAGGCATTCTTCTGGGCGCACACTTACTGGACATCTCTGAAGATCACAGTCACACGGTAGTTGTTTTGCACCTCAATGTCCCACACACACTTGGCATTGTTTGGATAGTTCCCGGGATAGAATGGGCTGGAAAAGTCCCCTGATGGTTGGGATAGGAAGCCTCCGCAGGAATAATCTGCTGTCAGGACAAAAAGTGGGAATGTCGGTGACCCCCAGAGCACACTGCACAGTCTACCTGCGGACTACTTTAAATTTAAATTACTTTAAAATTTTATAAAATAATTCCCAAGACAGAAACCAAGTAAGAGCAAGAGGTGGCCTAGATCTGGACCGTCCACTGAGGGCTGGCAGGGCACTCTTGCAGGGAGACCACTTTGGGGGAAGCCATCTCCTCCCCAGCCCCATTGTCACTGAGGAAATGGGAAGGGGAATTTCCAGGCCACTCTGCCACAGACTTGTCAGGGAGCTCAGAACTTACTGTTTGGACGGGTGATGTTGAGAAAAGGAGCTGTTGACAAAAAGAAAAGATCAGGATCAGTTTTCTGGCATCCCTGACACAGCTGTCGACTGCTCATGAGCTGTGCAGATGCTGTGCCAAGCCTGAGTCCACAGGGAGGAGCTGGACACAGGCCTTGCCCTTGGGGAGCTCACTTGCCTTTGGGGAGGTCTGGAGGAGAGCGAATCCCAGCACACTGGGAAAAGGATGAGATTGACCAAAGCCTGGGGAAGGAGAGGAGCCTGGAAGTCTGGCCCCTGCCCCAGATGGAGTGGGGAAAAAAGGGCAGTAATTAGGGGGCAGGCAAAGAGGTAGAAACGGGGTGTCCCAGGCAGAGGAACAGCAGGTGCAACTGCACCTGGGTGGAATAGATTTGGGAACCTCCGTGTAGATGGAGCAGGCAGAGGATGGGGAGAGGGCACCAAGCATAGGGAGCAGATCATGGGGAGCCCTGGCAGTCATGCTGTGCTGAGGAGCGGGGTCATCACCAGAAGACCCTGAGGAATCTCTTGAAGGGGCTGCACAGTGGAGAATGGATGGGAGGGCACAGGCCTGAAGCTGCTGCTATGGGAGGCCAGGAGGGGATGACAAAGCAAGCAGGGGGCGGGGCAGTGGGGGGTGTTGGAGAGGTGCCAGGGCCATGCTGGGAACACTCAGAGCAGCTCAGGGGCAGGCAGGGAGGAGCTCTGCGATGCAGTGGGCCCCATTTGGCCAACACTGGTCAGGGTCTGGTGTCTGTGAGGACAGTCAAATCTGACAGGTGGCGGGCCTCACCTCGGGACTGACTGGAGATCCTAATCTTAGGTGGGTCAGGCCACTGAAGCACAGAGAGGGGCACACTATCCTGGTGGCCGGCAGGGGAGGGGACAGGGGCTGTAGAGGATGGTACCACAGATGAACTCCTTGGAGAGTGAGCAACATGCCCTGCACAGTCTAGGCAGCAGTAATGGAGAGACCTGGAGACCAGGGAAGTGGAATGGAAATCGGAGGGACTTACCAGGTGTCGATAGATGGTTTCCTGAAAAAGGAATAGAAAAAAAGCATAGGTCACAGACATGTGGCTTGGAGGAGGGGCCGGAATGAGACAGAGATACACTTACATGGCCCATAACCTGACCCCCCTCGGCGAGGGTCCCCAGGTCCACCCAGCAATTGCTATTGAGAAGCCTTCCCAGCTTCCCCAGATGCTCCCTAAGTCCCGTCATACTTGTGGTCATCAGGATTACAGCTGAGGTCATAACACCCATCACTCTCTCCTTGACCATGATTGTTCTAAAACCATCCCAATTGTCACCAGTAGCAAGTACTATCATAGCCACCCCGACTCAACAGTCAAGGAAACTGAAGCATAAAGAAGTAAAATCATTGCTGGAGGTCCTTTAGTCAGATGAGTGTTCAGCATAATGGCCCTGGGTCCAGAAACTGGCCAAAGATAAAGCAGCCCCCTGCATGCTCTTCTGGAGTGCGCAGGCCACGAGGACACAATGACCAGCTCCTGCCTGGGCCACAGACACCATCAGCCACTGGCCTTAAGCTCTTGCTTTATAGCAAGTTACAGGTGAAATGGGCCTTCCATGGCATTGGGCCATACCTGAGCAGATGACACCAGCATCTTCACGATGATTACAGTTGTGGGAGAACCAGCCTCGGTTCCGGCACTGCCAGAGAGTGGATTCCGTCCCTGAGCACTCTACATCGTCCAGGGTGATGGGGCCAGAGCCAGAGCCAAAATATGCATTTCCAAGGGCTGAAACTGCACGTCCACACCCTAGCTGTCTGCAGACCACCTCAGCTTCCTGAATGGTCCAGGAGTCATCACAAACTGTCCCCCAGGTGCCACCATGGTAAATTTCTACACGCCCGGCACATAGACCATAGGATGAATTTAAATTGACCAACCTCAAGGTGGCATCTGAAAGACACATTAACTGAGAGATCATGGCCATGTCCCACAACAAATGTCCCACAACAAACCTCAAAGGCCAAGCATCCCACAGGCCTTTTCCCACCTCTAAAGTCGCCAAATAGAAATGTGGAAAAGCTGGGGTGGAGGTACTGGACCGCTCCATGCAGAGCTGAAAGGGGCTCTAGACATCGCCAAGCTCAGATCCCCTCACCTCCAGACGGAGAGGGGTGGCTCTGAAGGAGAGTCACCAGGTCCCCTGGAGAGTTGGTGGCAGACCCAAGGCCAGGTGGAACCCCCAGTCTGCACCCTTTGCTGCCTTCCCAAGGGCCTGCCCACACAGTCAGTGCCAAGAGAAAGAGAATGGGCCGTGCATCGCTGAGGCCCTTCTTTGATTTCCTTGGGGAACCATGGTGCCCCCAAAGAGGCAGCTGGGTAAATCCACCAAGCCTCATAGGCATGGTCTAGTGTGCACTTACCGCTTGGGAAGGAGTTATACCAAGCCAAAAAGCCAGTGTTTTGGAAACTGATGTCACTTCGAAAGTGAATGGTCATTCGGTTGTAAGAAGATGTAAATATTTGCCTGGTATCATTACAGATTTTCCCCAGCAGGAGACTGCTATTCAATGATCCATCAAAGATTTCAACATAATCAAAACTGCAGTTATGGTGTGCCTCCAATCTGTATGGAGAAAATGTATTCAAGTCAACATTGAAATTCCTATTGCCCCTCCATTTTATAAATAGTTTGCACTTTACGAGGGATGCCATTGAATACAGGTTTTTCTTCTAGCTCTTCCTCAATTAAGTCAAAGGACATCAGTGTTCCCTGATGCTTTATGGTAGGAATCAAAGCCACCAAAAGCTTGTCCATGGCACATGAGAGTGAAAAGCATCCCAGCCCAGGACACAGTCTAAACCAGTGGGTGTGCTGCAGAGGAACTCACCCCTCACCAGATGACCAGGCATTACTTACTTCAGATTACTGAAGCCCAGGTTTATGCGATAACCAGAATTCACTTCTATTTCCCAAACACACTTAGCATTGTTGGGGTAGTATGCAGGGTAGGATGGGCTGGAGAATGTCCCACTGGCATAGAATAAGAAGCCACCACAATTTGAAGAGGGTCCTAGAGAGGAGAGAGGGGACATCTCCATTGTACCAGGTCTTCAGGTATTTTGTGACAAGGAATCATCTGTGTAAGTATCATCCAGTTTCATCTTCTGCACTTTATAACAAGACTTAACTTTCCCTGTAAACAAGTCCCCTCTCTTGGGCCTGGTTCTAGGTGGCCCAACATTAGAAGCTTTGATTCAAGTCCCTGCTTTCCCTGTTAGGCCTGGACAGCAACCCTCTGCGAGGAGGTGACCCAAGCTTCAGAGGGAGCATGTGTCACCTCTAGCAAAAATGCCAAGAAAGCAACAAAGTGACAGCTATCATTGTTCAATCAGCTACAGACAGGGACGTGGGATAGTCCTGGCTGAACACAGTGCTGACCCGTGGAGAGCACTCCATAACACAGTGTGTTCCCTAGCGTCTTCCATGAGCACAGGACTCTGCCAATTCACAAGTAGCACAACGTTGGGTTAGGAGCAGGGTTTCTGCAACAAGAAGCCTGGGTTTGCATCTTGGCTCTGCCTCTATCAGCTCCATGATCTGGAGCCAGTTACTTAACCTCTCTGCCTCAGTTTCCTCATCAGAAAAATGAGAGTGGTAATGGCATCTGCCTCATCTGTCTGATGAGGGTATTAAATAAGATATGTATATATGAACATTTATACATAAACATAAGATAGGTTTCTATGTCTATATAAACTCTTAGAGAGTGCCAGGCACATAAGCACCCAGCAATATTAGCTATTGTTATTTATCAGAAAAGGATAAATATTAAGTGGTCAAACATTTTGTTGGTTGGTTTATAGTAATAAAAACTTTTTAAAAACATGTGCACACTCAGTGATAGAAATTAAAACGTCTTTTTTTTTCTTTTTCATAACTCTTTGTTTACTTTTTCTAAGGGGATAAGTCCATGGTTTTTAGCATACTGAGAGCTCTGAAATCACCACAGTCAATTTTAGATTATTTTCATCACCCCAAAAAGAAACCCTGTACTCATTAGCAATCACTCCCCATTTCTTCTCAACACCCTCCATTCCTGGCACCCACTGATCTACTTTTCTGTCTCTATAGATTTGCCTATTGTGGACATTTCATATAAAACAAATTGTACAATATGGTAGTTTTTTTGACTGACTTCTCAATGTGTTTTCAAAGTTCATCATGTTGTAGCATAAATCAATATTAAATTCTTTTTTTTCTTTTGTTTTGTTTTGAGATGGAGTTTCGCTCTTGTCACCCAGGCTGGAGTGCAGTGGCACGATCTCAGCTTACTGCAACCTCCGCTTCCCGGGTTCAAGCGATTCTCCTGCCCCAGCTTCCCAAGTAGCTGGGATTACAGCCGCCCACCACTATGCCCAGCTAATTTTTGTATTTTTAGTAGAGACAGGGTTTCACCACGTTGTCCAGGCTGGTCTCGAAGTCCTGACCTCAGCCAATCCGCCCATCTTGGCCTCCCAAAATGCTGGGATTACAGGTATGAGCCACCGCGCCCGGCCACTATTAAATTCATTTTTATTGCCAAATAATACTCCACTGCATGGACATATCATATTTGTTTCTCGATTCACCATGATGGACATTTGCATTGCATTCACATTTGGCTACTATGAATAAAGCTGTCCTGAACATTCACATACAAGTTTCTGTATGGACATATGTTTTCATTTCTCCTGGGTATATACCTAGGAATACAACTGCTGGGTCATATGGTGACTCCAGGTCTAACCTTTCGAGGAGCCACCAAACTGCTTCTCAAAGTGGCTGTACCATTTTACATTCCCTGCAGCCGTGCATAAGGTTTCCAATTTCTCCACATCCTCATCAACACTTGCTATTATCTGGCTTTTTGACTACAGCCCACCTACTGGGTGTTTCATTTGCATGACCCTGACGGCTAATGACATTGAGCATCTTTCCAATGCCTTCTCTGCTATCTGTGAATCTTCTGTAGAGAAATATCTTTCAGGTCTTTTGCTCATTGTTCAGTTGGGTTATTTGACTTTTTATCATTGACTACAAGAGTCACTTATATATCCTAGATACAAGTCCCTTATGAGATAGAAATACGTTCTCCCATTTGATGGGAAGACAGTGTTTCTTGAAGATCATGTGGCCTGCCCTCCCTTTCTATTTCTACACTGGGAAATAATTAAGGATAAAGTCAAACTTTCAGAGACAAGGATACGAGTTACATATTTCTAATCATTAAATATAAATGGTTATAAAATATGCTATTGTATATAGTCACTTAACATTATAAAATATAATTGGAAACAATGTTTTTGCCCCACAATTAGTAACCGTTTAACTAAATGATGATATATCTATACAGTGGAAAATCATATAGTCATTAAACCTTCTTCTATACAAATAATTTCAATGTTATAAAAATGCTAATTTTAAGGTCATGAAAAAAGTATTATATACACTTAAATGAAAATGATGGGTTATACAATGGGATATAAAGCATGCCATACTGTGTGTGTGTGTGTGTTTGTGTGTGTGTATACAGTGTATGGAATGTATGCCAAAATGCCAACAGTAATTATGTATTTATTCATTAATTTATCCATTCATTCATTCACTCATTTATTCCTTCAATAAACAGTTCTTGAAAGGCAGACACAATGCTAGATAATAAGGATACATTATGAAAAAGGCAGACATGGCCCCTGCCTTCAGGAAATGCAGTTTGGCAGAAAAGATAAACATGATCTTTTGCAAATATATTTCCAATTAGCTAATTCTCAAGATTAAAATCTTTCTGCAGCCTCCCTACCTTTAGGATAAAGATGGGAGTCTTAACCCACCCACAAGGCCCTGAATGATCTGGCCTCACCCGACAGATTTCCTGCAGTCCCTCCTTGCCCGCACCCCACCCTCCTTCAAAGAGCCAAGCTCCTTCCCACCCTAGGGCCTTCAAAGCATCCCTTCTGGTTAGAAGACACTTCAGCAAATGAACCTGCTCCTCTATTAACTCCCAGCTTAAATGTCACTTCCATAAGGAACTTCCCCTAACTCCCCAATCAAGGAAGATCTCTACTAATACTTCCTCTTTGCACACTGAACTTTTCCTTGGAAACAGTTGTCACAACTGTAATTTTCTAGTTTGTTGTGTACAAAATAATATTGTGAGCTCTGAGGAAGAAGATCAGTTTGTCTCTTACATCATTCCATAATTTTACAACCATTCTTGATGGTAGTTTGACCATACACACAGCAAGATCTTAAAATACCTAACACAGTAAAAGTTAATATGCATGAAGTACATTCTATGTACCAGGCACTACAATGACATTGACTTTGGTCCAGTAAACCCATTTATATCCTAAAGGAAAAATTAGTGAGGTATGCAAAAAAATTATCTATAAAAATATTCTTCATCACAAAATCATTTACAGTAATGAAGAAATACAAACAAATATCTAGCATCTGATGATTTGTCAAATAATTCATGGCATATCTGTATAATAGAATACAATACAGGGACTTAAAATGATTGTGAGAAAAGATTTAATAACACAGAAAAGTATCCCTATTATTTTTTAAAAGCAATGAAAATCTATTGAAACATAGCCATATGGTGAAATAAAAATGACATGGAAAAGCATAATTTGTAGTAAAATTATCCATTTACTATTTGTCTCCCTTCTTCCTCCTAAAGCTTTGGAGATACCCCCCAAAATAAAAGCCTTTAAGTCTATTATTTTAAGAATACTTATCTCATTGATTCAAATGAAGAGGTGAAGGGTATAGTGGGACAGGCCAGGGCTATGTGCAGATTGAGGAAGGCTGGGGTGGGGCAGAGCATTCGCTCATGGATAGCCAAGCTTGGGGATAAGAAATGTATGACCTATGGTTCAGGTAGAAAATGTGATACCTACTTGCAGTGGTTGTAGTTGTTGGATGCCACCAATCTAGAAAAAAAAATGAAGCTGTTTAGGATTTTAGTAGATAATTTTTCCATTCCATAGTAATTTGTTTGACTGACAAAGTTAAATCCTTTTCCTTAGTACAGGACTTCTCAGAGCCTTGACCATTCCAGTTTACACTGTTCATGGCCAGTAAGGTCTAGAGTATGTAGCACCTCCCAACATATTTGGCCCAGGATATTTTCACTGTGGCACAAAAACGCTTTGCGGATGGCTCCCTCAAAGTGAAAGTATTCTTTATTTGACAAATACGTGCAGAAGTATTACTTGGCTATGTTTCTAAAATGAAGGTCCTAATTTTCCATGGGTTAATTTAGACAGTTATTTTCATCTGAAATAATGGGAGGACCAAAGCCTCCTTCCACAGCAGCATCTCTGCCAGCACTTAGCACTATCAGCAGGCAATAGCAGGAGGCCACAGGGGCCCTCCACGGTGAACCAGACATGAGAGTGATGGCAGTGGGAACTCAGCTCGTCACCCTAACAAAGATCAGAGTCCTCAGAGAGAAATTACCCCCCCAGGGGGAGTCTACCCTACTCCTCCTACTTCTGGAAACAAGAGAGGGTGGAATTCCCAAGAGAAATATTGCTGGACTGGGGTGTAGCAGACTCACCTGTCGTAGTAGAATTTATTTGGGTGGCTGCAAGGAAAAGAAGAAAACATGAGTCAGTCCCAGTGCCCAGGATGATGAGCGAGAGAAATGCTGAGTGCCTGTCCCCATCTCATCACTTAGAAATGCTCCCCAAGAGTCATCCAGGAGAGTGGAATAGTAGATATAAACCTTAACGGTTAGTCTCAAAAAAAGATGTTGGAAGAATTCATTCTTACAGCCTGAAAGTAGATTGAACCCTTGTTTGCTATAGGAACCTACATAAGAAAGAAGCTAGTGCCTACCCATAAAATTCAAAGACGCCAACAACATTTGCTGAGGTTATTGCCTTGCTGAGGTATCAGAGAAACTGGCCATCTTGAAGAGAAGCTCAGGCTGGGAAGAGGCCAGTGCAAAGAGAAGCCTTGTCATGGAGAAAACCACACACTAAAATAGAGGCCCAAGGTCTTGGAGGCCCATCTGAACAGATGACACAGCATCTTCACTGTGCTGACAGCTGTGGGAGAGCCAGCCATTGTGCGGGCAGCTCCACAGTTAGGACTCATTCCCTGAGCAGCACACATCATCCAGGACAATGGGTCCTGAGCCCTGATCAAACCAGGCATTTCCTGGGAATGCCACGGCCCAGCCACGGCCCAGCTGCCTGCAGACCACATTGGCGTCATTGGTGTCATCATACACGGTGCCCCAGGAGACTTGGTACAGGACCTCCACCTGGCCCTGACACTGGTCACCTCCATTCACCAGCCTCAGGGCCAAACCAGAATTGGATTCTAGAAAAGACAGGAAAATTAACTCTCTCCTGTATCTCCTAAAGGAAGAGGATCTGAGGTCAAGTGAAGTTCAGAATTCTTCCAGAAGGCCAAGGTTTCTGGGTCTCCAGTTAATGTTCTCCAGCAGCATAGACATTGACGGAAGCCTGTTCTTCATCATTTTAAGTTGATGTTCTTCATCAACTTAAGGGTTGTTTTCTAGAACCCTTGGGTGTGGACTGAGCTGTGCATGTTCTCTGATGGAGTTACCCCAGTGACCAGCAATTCAAGTGCTGAGCCAGGCCTTCAGATTCAGAGGTTAAAGTGCAGGAGCCATCAGCATGGATCTGCAGGGACCACTGGGCTCAAGTGCCCCTGCAGCAGGATGCAACCGAGACCAGCTCCCAGCTGCCTGGCAAGGTGCAGCCCTAGGACCTGGTTCTTGGGAGAGTCCACCTCTCCACCTCTGGCTGACTCACTCTGCTCACAGGGACCACCCCATCAGGCCCGAGGCTTATTCCTGAGTCACTTTCAAACCCACAGCTTGCCTTCAATCTGAAACAAAACCTGGACCTACTGAATACCATGAGCTACAGGGACAGTGGGCAGAAGCAACTATGAGGACACTTAGTTGTGCATACCTAGCAGTGCCTATGCCTGAGAATGGAGAAAAAATGGCAGAGTTAGGCCTCCATGAAGGAATGTCACATGCTAGACACAACACTGGGCCAGGCATCCTGATCCCTCTGTGTACCTGAACCCTGTCCTGTGAGCCTGGGCTAAGATACTGACATTAGTCTAGTTCCTCTGGCCTTCAGCTTAGTATCTATAAAATGAAGCCCCTGTTCTCCCAAGAATATATACAAAGGGCCCACCAACACATGAAAAGATGCTCAACATCATTAGTCATCAAGGAAATGCAAATCAAAACACCATGAAATACCACCTTACACCCACTAGGATGGCCATGATGAAAAAGACATCATAACAAGTGTTGGTGAGGATACGGAGGAATCAGAATTCTCAGGCATTGCTTGGGGGAATGCAAATTTGGTGCAGCAGCTGTGGCAACTGTTCAGTGTTTCCACAATAAATTAAACATAATTACCCTATTACCGAGCAATCCCACTCCTAGGTATATATCTCCCAAAATTGGAAACACAAGTGCAAACAAAAAACCGTACACTAATTCTCATAGCAGACTTATTCACAACAGCCAAAAGATGGAAGCAACCCATATGTCCATAAGCTGATAAATGGATAGACAAAGATGGCGTAGCCATACAATGGAATATTAGTTGGCAGTTAAAAGTAGTGGAGTTCTGACACATGCTAAAATATGAATGAACCTTGAAAACATTATGTTAAGTGAATGAAGCCAGACAGAAAAGGCTATGATTCCATTCATAGAAAGTGACCACAATTCTTAGTAAAATCTGTATACAGAGGCAGAAAGCAGATTAGTGGTTGCCAGGGGCTGAGGGAAAGAGAAATGGATTATGAATGGTTAAGGGGTAAGAGCTTTCAGTTGGGGATAATGAAAAAGTCCTGGAACTAGATAGAGATGATGGTAATGAACATGGGCAACAGCCAGGGAGAGGGAAGGTTCCATCTCAGGATAGAGGGGTAACGTCAACCAGCAAAGAGCAGATAGTATCAAAAGAAAGGAAGGGTCCAACTGAGGGATGGCTATCTCTGTCACAAACATCCTGCCTGTTTTTTATTCTAATAGAAACAGTCATTCCTATTTTAAAAAGTAGCATCCTACAAGATTCAAGTAGAGCCTAGTGCCCCCATCCTTCCCGTCGCCCCAAAGGAACACAAAGATGGGTATAGAACTCTGGCTGAGCCGTCAGAGCTAATAGAGATGGTTTGGAAGAAAGCACCTGTTTACAAGCAGGTCAATCAAAGTCCTCCCAGGCCTTGTCAGCCAGAGGTACTGGGACAGACTGACTCCTTCTCCTGGTGGGATATAGACTTGGGGCTGCCCACTGCTGTCTCTCAGCCACATGCAAAAAGCAAGTTGATAGTGAAGCCCACACAGATAAAAGAGTAGATGTAAGCAAAGCATGGGGAAAAAAGACTTGGAACTTCTGGAACCAGCTGTACCTGAAGCTCCAGATCCACCACTAAACATTCTGGATAACTGAGACAATGAATTCCTTTCTAGCTTAAGAGTGTTTGAGTTGAGTTCCTGCCATGTGCAAACAAAAGCATCCCTAATAATAGATCCTCTTTAAAGATCAATTGACAACTGGTAGATACCACATTGATTGAGGTAGGGAGCGGCCAGAGGCTTCAAGCAAGACCCAGGAGTTTCACCCAGACCTGCTGAATGCTAGTGCTTTGGCTGGATTCAAAGACGCTCCTTATAAGGGATCCAAGCAGATTCTGTCCACCATTTCCAGCTCCAAGGCAATTAACTCTGTGTCTGGATGTGATGTCCAATTGAACCAAAACCAACCCTTTCCCTTGCAGGTTTTAGCAATTCACCAAGTCAGCAAGTCTCAGGATACCACTCCAGCAAAAATCCCCTGTGTGATCTTCCATCCCAAACCACACGTAATAACAAGGCTTTGCCTGGCAGATCTCATGGGAGCTGCCCTCCCAACACCATGCTTGCTAGACACACAATGCACTGCAGTTCTTTGGAAGGAGCTGAAACTGACCAAGACCCAGGTCACACATGCACAGATACCCGTTTGCACTCTTAGCCCATATGCCTCCAATCCAAATGCTCCTTACTGGGGCCTCAAGTGAGAATTCCCTACCCCAACATATGTCCTTTCCTTACCATGAGCCTCCTCCTAAGGAGAGGATCCCTCCTCTGCCCCGCTGTCTGTGCTGTGTCCACCATACCCTCACCCAGTGCTACTCAGTAGGGGAGAAATGGAGCCCTGGGGAGCCAGAAATTTTTTCTTCTGCCTCTTCCTTGCACTGCCTCAGGAAGGGGATAAAGTCTGGGTTGTTGTTTCAGTTTGGTCCCCTGTCCTAAGTGACCACAGGAACACTAGGCAGTGAATTCATATGGATTCTTAGCAGAGAGCTAACAAGTCTTCAAAAACACAGGAAACACAGGAGAAGCTTTGAGTGAGGAGATCAGAATGTAATTAGGAGTTTCTTCTGGAGCAAACTCCACCCCAAGAGAGGGAGCCCCAGGTCTTGAAGGCCCACCTGAGCAGATGACACCAGCGTCTTCGTGATGGCCACAGTTGTGGGTGAGCCAGCCTTTGTGGGGGCAGCTCCACAGGTAGGACTCATTCCCTGAGCAGCGCACATCATCCAGGACAATGGGTCCTGAGCCC
Organism: Homo sapiens; assembly: GCF_000001405.40. Lineage (NCBI taxonomy): Eukaryota > Metazoa > Chordata > Mammalia > Primates > Hominidae > Homo > Homo sapiens. The sequence goes on along the minus strand of NC_000010.11, from coordinate 122,621,249 downwards.
TGGCCAAACCGGGCATTTCCTGGGGCCGACATGGCCCAGCCACAGCCCAGCTGCCTGCAGACCACATTGGCATCATTGGTGTCCCAGCTGTCATCACACACGGTTCCCCAGGAGCCTCGATACAGGACCTCCACTCGGCCTCGACACCTGTCACCTCCATTCACCAGCCTCAGAGCCAAACTGGATTCAGATCCTACAGGGGAACACAAGAACCCTTCATCCATACTGATTATGAGGTCAAGGATTTAAGGAATGTTCCACACTCAGGGCACTTCCTAATGGCCAAAGTCACGTGTGCAGGTAATCACCTTTGAATATGAATACAGACAGAGGTTCAGCTTCATGATAGTGGAAGAAGCAGTGATGTCCTACTCCACCCAAGTCTATGGAAGCTCAAGTATTGGGGAAGCACCTGTGACCCCACTGGAGGTGACAGGAATGGACGCCTCACTCCTCATTCTGAGCTCCATTCTCACACAGGATGAAGCTGCACAGCTCCAGATAGGAGGCCAAGACCTGCCTCACGTTCAGGAGTTTGGTGGCACCCACATGATCCTCTCTGGCTTCTAGCAAAGTGCCAGGAATGGTAGGACATTGGCCAGACAGCTATGGGGACAGGCACTTTCCCCACTATTCGCAGGTCTGCAGCCTGTGGCCTGAGGGCCAGGAACAAGGTCCCAGTAGGATTAGGGAGCCCTCCAGGGCTTGTCCTGAGCACCTGGCTGAGGATCTTTCCTGACTACATAAAACAGAATCCCAGGGGAGACAGGTCACCAGCACCCTCCAGCCTCCAACATCTGACCCAGGACTAGGTTCCCAGGGAGTCTACCTCCCCAGGCAACTCGCGGAAACATGAAAAACAGAGGCGCCAGCTTGAGCCTCATTCTTTCATTTTCAAAAGAAACGTTTGTCCAGAGGTAGAGAGTGAGCCCTAGGGAGGGGCGAGAGGATTATTTACCTACTGTCAATGCCGGTAAGTTGGTGGTCAGCCAAGTATCTGTAAATTGCAACAAAGAGAAAGGACAAAATTAGACTTGAGGGAGGAAAGCTACAAAAAAAAATCTCTGAACCAGGCAAGCATCATGAAAACTATTCAATTTCTGGTTCCTGCCACTTGCTCCAAGTGCTACCCAAGTCTTCAGCTCAGTGAGCACAGCCAGGAACAAAGGCCTTGCTGGAGACCAGTTCGATCCCTCCTACCTCTGAAGTGTGAGATGTCCTCTTCTCAGCTACGAAGGGTTAGCCTGCCCCATCCAGTGACACATGGACTGATGGGCACATGTGACACCATTGCTGAGACTCTGACAGTTCGAGCTAAAATGTTAGGGGAACCAAGGAGCCGCCCAAAGGGGTATCAAGTTTCCTGATAAGTGGAGGCACCAGAAATATTTATTATCCCTCTCCCTGCCCGAGCATGGCCTCTGCCTTTTCTGGATGCAGATATGGCCTTGCAAAATCTGGGGTATTTGAAGGAGTGAGGGACGGAGGTATCAGGCCTGCACTGACATTGCTTGCCCATGGCAGAAGTCATGTTTAAGGCTTGAACTGACATTGCCTTCCCAGGTGACTTTGGCAGTCACTCTCAATTCTCAGAAAGGTTGTATCAGCTCTGAATATAAATGAGCTAAAGCTCATTAAACATGAGGCCACTTCCTGAACCTGTAAGGCTTGTCCATTGTACAGTATGAAACTGCTTCATGAAACCTGAAATAAATTGAACAGAAGACAGAAGCCTCCTGAACCCTATGTCTGTTGAAGCACTATGCTGGGGTCTCAGTTACAGAGTGGTGGGAGGAAAAATAATATGCCCCACAGTATCCGCACAGAAAAGCAGGAGAGCTCTGTGGAGTGGGGAAGAGGTAACTGGGCAGAAAGAGAAGGGACATCCCGATGAAGGATGCTGGGGACTCACCTGGCCTGGGCGTTGACTGGGACTGAGCAGCTGTGAGAAAGAGAAGAGAAGGTCAGATCAGATGCACTATACAGAAAATGGCAAAACTGGAACAAAGATAGAAGGAACTGGGCAAGCCTGACACTCAGTCCATCCTAGTCCCTATCACAGAGGGAGGGGCATTGCCATGTAAATTCCCACAGAGATGCACCATATAAGGGGTGCAGGCAGATCCTGGCCACTATTGTCAGCTCCGAGGTGAGTAACTTTGTGTCTGCCCAGGGTGACCAGGTTGACCCAAAACCAACACTCTCCCTTGGATGTTTTGGCAGTTCCTGAGTCAGCAAGGCTGAGGAGGCCACTCCAGCCCAAATGCCTTGTGTGATCTTACAGCCCCGACCACAGGCAATAACAAGGCCATGCCTGGCCAGACTCATGGGGGCTGCCCTCCCCACACCAGACCTGGGGCACAGGCAGTGCTCTGCAGCATTCTTAGAGGACCTGAGGTCAAGGACTCCAAGCAGGCCTGACACAAACAGACATGCATTTGCACTCCTAACCCTTGAGCCTCTATTTCCAGACCTCCTCACTGGGTCTCAGCTGAGAACCCACTTCCAGACAAGCATCTTTAGTTCACAGTTCCTTGTAGTGAGAGGATCCCTCCCTGCCCCTGCTATCTGTGCTGTGTCCACGATACCCTCAACCAGTGCTACTCAGCAGGGAAGAAATGGAGCCGTGGGGAGCCAGCACTTTTCTCTTCTGCCTCTTCCTTGCACTGCCTCAGGATGGGGATAAAGTCTGGGTTGTTGTTTCAGTTCGGAGCCCTGGCCTAAGTGGCCACAGCTGCACCAGGTACTGTAGCAAAATTCATAAAGATTCTTAGCAGAGAGCTAACAAGACTTCAGAAATATAGAAAACATAGAAAAAGCTTTGAGTGAGGAGATCAGAATGTAATTAGGATTTTCTTCCTGAGCAAACTTCAACTTAAGAGAGGGAGCCCAAGGTCTTGAAAGCCCACCTGAGCAGATGACACCAGCATCTTCATGATGGCCACAGTTGTGGGAGAGCCAGCCATTGTGGGGGCAGCTCCACAGGTAAGACTCGTGTCCTGAGCAGCGCACATCATCCAGGACAATGGGTCCTGAGCCCTGGCCAAACTGGGCATTTCCTGGGGCTGACATGGCCCAGCCACAGCCCAGCTGCCTGCAGACCACGTTGGCATCATTGGTGTCCCAGTAGTCATCACACACGGTGCCCCAGGAGCCTTGGTATAGGACCTCCACTCGGCCTCGACACCTGTCACCTCCATTCACCAGTCTCAGGGCCAAAGTGGATTCAGATCCTACAGGGGAACACAAGAACCCTTCATCCATCCCCACCAGGAGGTCAACAATCTAAGGCAAGTTCCACACTCAGGGTACTTCCTAATGGCCAGAGTCACCTGGGCAAGCAGTCACAATTGCATACAACTGCTACCGGAGGTTCAGCTTTATCATAGGGAAAGGAGAGGTGATACACTATGCTGCCTGGGTTTATGGAGGCTCAGATTTTGGGGAAGCACCTGTGACCCCACTGGAAGTGACAGGAATGAATGCCCCACTCCCTACTCTGGGCACACACAGGATGGAGCTCCACAGCTCCAGAGAGCAGGCCCATGCTGGCCCCATGTTTAAGAGTTTGGTGGCATCCACATGGTCCTCTCTGGTTTCTGGCAAATTTCCAGGGATGGCAAGGACTTGGCCAGACAGCTGCAGGGACAGAAATTTTCACCCACCCTTGCAGGTCTGCAGTGCGTGGTCAGAGGGCCAGGAAAGAGGTCCCAGCAGGATTAGGGAGCCTTCCAGTGCTCGTCCTGAGCACCTGGATGAGGATCGTTCCTGAACACTTGGAACAGGGTCCCATGAGAGACAGTCACCAGCACCCTCCATCCTCAAACATCAAACCCAGGGCTGACTCCCTAGAAACTCCACCTTCCTCCCACCCAACCCACAGGGACATGAAAAGAGAGGGGCCCACCTTGAGCCTCATCCTATCAGTTTCAAACACAAAATATGTCCAGAGATAGTGAGCCCTAGGGAGGGGTGAGAGGATTGTTTACCTGCTGTTGATGCACGAGAGGTTGGCCAAGTGTCTGTAAATAGCAACAAAGAAAAAAGACAGAATTAGACTTGAAGGGAAAAGGCACAGAACAAAAGGTTCTCTGGGAGGGGGAATCAACCTGGCAACAATTCCACTTCCTGTTCCTGCCACTTGCTTCCCATGTGTCTTCCCAGGTCTCCTCTGCTGTGAACTCATCCATGAACAAAGGTCCTGCTGGAGACCAGACTGAGCCCTCCATTTCTCTAATCCTGGGGTATCTTTCTATCTGTTAGAGGATGCCCCCCACCATGCAATCCCACATCTGCTGATGCATGGACTGACTAGGACATCAGATGCCATTGCTGAGGCTCAGACACTGGCAGATAAAATGTTAGGGGAACCAGGGGCTGCCCAGGGGACAATCAGGAATCAGGTTTCTGGCTAAGCAGAGACACTACAAACCTTTATTATCCCTTTCCCTGCCCAAGCACAAACCCTGCCTCTTCTGGATACAAATGTGGTCCATCATAATCTCAGAATTTTTCCAGCAGTGATGGATGGGGGTATCGAGCCTGCCCTGACAATGCCTTGAACAGGTCAGAGGGTGACACCCTCAATTTTCGAAACTATATGTGAGTCCTGAATATAAAAGGACCAAAACTCATTAAACATGGGGCCACTTCCTGAACCTGTAAGGGCTGTCCACTGGGACAGTATGAAACTGTTTCATGAAAGCTGAGAGGGGTTGAAAAGAAGACAGAGGCCTCCTGAATCCTATGTGTGTTTTCAAAGCACTGTGCTGTGTTGCGGGAAGTCAGGGACCCCAAACAGAGGGACCGGCTGAGGCCATGGCACAAGAACATAAATTTGAAGATTTCATGGACATTTATTAGTTCCCCAAATTAATATTTTTATAATTTCTTACGCCTGTCTTTACTGCAATCTCTGAACATAAATTGTGAAGATTTCATGGACACTTATCACTTCCCCAATCAATACTCTTGTGATTTCCTATGCCTGTCTTTACTTTAATCTCTTAATCCCATCTTCTTCATAAACTGAGGATGAATGTCACCTCAGGACCCTGTGATGATTGCGTTAACTGCAGAAATTGTTTAAACAATATGAAATCTGGGCACTGTGAAAAAAGAACAGGATAACAGCGTTGTTCAGGGAACAAGGGAGATAACCTTAAAGGCTGGCTGCCTGTGGGCCAGGCAGAACAGAGCCACATTTCTCTTCCTTCAAAAGCAAATAGGAGAAATATCGCTGAATTCCTTTTCTCAGCAAGGAACATCCCTGAGAAAGAGAATGTGTTCCTAAGGGGAGGCCTCTGAAATGGCCGCTTTGGGAACGTCTGTCTTTTACGCTTACAGATAAGGGATGAAATAAGCCCCGGTCCCCCGTAGCGCTTCCAGGCTTATTAGGATGAGGAAATTGCCTCCTAATAAATTTTGGTCAGACCAGTTGTCTGCTCTCAAACCCTGTCTCCTGATAAAATGTTTTCAATGACAATGCGTGCCCGAAACTTCATTAGCAATTTTAATTTCACCCCAGTCCTGTGATCTTGCCCTGCCTCCATTTACCTTGTGATATTTTATTACCTTGTGAAGGATGTGATCTCTGTGACCCACACCCTATTTGTGCACTCCCTCCCCTTTTGAAAATCACCAATAAAAACTTGCTGGTTTTGCTACTCAGGAGGGATCACGGAACCTGCTGACATGTGATGTCTCCCCCCAACACCCAGCTTTAAAATTTTGCTCTTTTGTATGCCTTCCCTTTATTTCTCAGACCGGCTGACACTTAGGGAAAATAGAAAAGGACCCATGTGAAATACAGCCGGTGGTGGCGGTAGAAATAATATGCCCCACAGTATCCACACAGAGAAACAGGAGAGCTCTGTGGAGTGGGGAAGGGGTGATTGGGCAGAAAGAGAAGGGACATTTTGAGGAAGGACACTGGGAACTTACCTGGGCTGGGTGTCGGCTGGGACTGGGAAGCTGTGAGAAAGAGAAGAGAAGGTCAGATCAGGAATGTTACACAGAAGTCGACAAAACTGGAATGAGGAGGGAAAGAAATGGGCGAGTCTGACACTCAGTCCATCCTAGTTCCTATCACACAGGGAGGGACATTGCCATGCACATCCCCACAGAGATGCACCGTGTAAGGGGTTGAGGCAGATCCTGTCCACTATTGCCAGCTCTGAGGAGATCAAATTGTGTCTGCGCAGGGTAACCCAGTTGACCTAAACCAACCCACTCCCTTGCACATCTTAGGTGTTCCTGAGTCAGCAAGGCTGAGGAAGCCACTCCAGCCAAAATCCCTTGTGTGATCTTCAAGCCCCGACCACAGGCAATAATGAGGCCAAGCCTGGCCAGTCTCATGGGGGCTGCCCTCCCCACACCAGACCCAGGGCAAGGCAGTGCTCTGCAGCGTTCTGAGAGGACCTGAGGTCAAGGACTCCAACCTCACACAACCCAGGCCTGATAGAACCAGACACCCATTTTGCACTCCTAACCCTTGAGCCTCTGTTTCCAGACCTCCTCACTGGGTCTCAGCTGAGAACCCACTTCCAGACAAGCATCTTTGGTTCAGAGTTCCTCACAGTGAGAGGATCCCTCCTCTGCCCCGCTGTCTGTCCTATGTCCATGATACCCTCAACCACTGCTACTCAGCAGGGAAGAAATGGAGCCCTGGGGAGCCAGCAGTTTTCTCTTCTGCCTCTTCCTTGCACTGCCTCAGGAAGGGGATAAAGTCTGGGTTGTTGTTTGACTTTGGTCCCCTGTCCTAAGTGACCACATGAACACCAACCGCTGTAGCAAAATTCATACAGATTCTTAGCAGGGAGCTAACAAGGCTGCATAAATACAAGAAACATAGAAGAATCTGTGAGTTCAGAGGAGATCATAATGTAATTAGGATTTTCTTCCTGAGCAAACTCCAACCTAGGAGAGGGAGCCGAAGGTCTTGGAGGCCCACCTGAGCAGATGACACCAGCGTCTTCATGATGGCCACAGTTGTGGGAGAGCCAGCCATTGTGGGGGCAGCTCCACAGATAGGACTCATGTCCTGAGCAGCGCACATCATCCAGGACAATGGGTCCTGAACCCTGGCCAAACCGGGCATTTCCTGGGGCTGACGTGGCCCAGCCACAGCCCAGCTGCCTGCAAACCACATTGGCATCATTGGTGTCCCAGTAGTCATCACACACGGTGCCCCAGGAGCCTCGGTATAGGACCTCCACTCGGCCCTGACACCTGTCACCTCCATTCACCAGCCTCAGGGCCAAACTGGATTCAGATCCTACAGGGGAACACAAGAACGCTTCATCCATCTCAAATATGAGGTCAAGGATAAGGCATGGACAACAATCAGGGCAGTGGGCAAAGTAGTCAAGTTTCAATACGAATGCAGAAGTCACCAGGGCATGCAGTCATGATGGAAGATAGCTGCACCCAGAGGTTAAACTTTGTCATAGTGGAAAAAGTGATGCCCTATTCTACTCAAGTCTATAAAAGCTCAAGCTATGGGTAAGCATGTATGACCCCAGAGGAGGGGACAGGAATGGACACCCCATTCCCCACTCTGGGTACACAAAGGATGGAGATACACAGCTACAAATGACAAGCCCAGACCCCCTCCGAATTCAGGAGCTCATTGGCACCTGCATGGTCCTCTCTGCCTTCTGGCAATTTGCCAGTGATGGCAAGACCTTGGCCACACAAGTGCAGAGACTGGCACTTTCACCTGCTCTTCAGAGATCTGGATCCCATGGCCTGAGGGCCAGGAACGAGGTCCCAGTAGGATTAAGGAGCCCTCCAGTGCTCATCCTGAGCACCTGGATGAGGATCTTTCCTGACCACTTGGAACAGGATTCCATGGGAGACAGTCACCAGCACCCTCCATCCTCAAACATCAGACCCAGCACTGGCTCCTCAGAGATTCCACCTTCCTCCCACGCAACCCACAGGGGAGTGAAAAAAGAGGGGCCCACCTTGAGCCTCATCCTATCAGTTTCAAACACAAAATATGTCCAGAGACAGTGAGCCCTAGGGAGGGGTGAGAGGATTATTTACCTGCTGTTGATGCATGTGAGGTTGGCCAAGTGTCTGTAAATTGCAACAAAGGAAAAGACAGAATTAGACTTGAAGGGAAAAGGTGCAGAACAAAAGGTTCTCTGGGAGGGGGAATCCACCTGGCAACAATTCCACTTCCTGTTCCTGCCACTTGCTTCCCATGTGTCTTCCCAGGTCTCCTCTGCTGTGAACTCATCCATGAACAAAGGTCCTGCTGGAGACCAGACTGAGCCCTCCATTTCTCTAATCCTGGGGTATCTTTCTATCTGTTAGAGGATGCCCCCCACCATGCAATCCCACATCTGCTGATGCATGGACTGACTAGGACATCAGATGCCATTGCTGAGGCTCAGACACTGGCAGATAAAATGTTAGGGGAACCAGGGGCTGCCCAGGGGACAATCAGGAATCAGGTTTCTGGCTAAGCAGAGACACTACAAACCTTTATTATCCCTTTCCCTGCCCAAGCACAAACCCTGCCTCTTCTGGATACAAATGTGGTCCATCATAATCTCAGAATTTTTCCAGCAGTGATGGATGGGGGTATCGAGCCTGCCCTGACAATGCCTTGAACAGGTCAGAGGGTGACACCCTCAATTTTCGAAACTATATGTGAGTCCTGAATATAAAAGGACCAAAACTCATTAAACATGGGGCCACTTCCTGAACCTGTAAGGGCTGTCCACTGGGACAGTATGAAACTGTTTCATGAAAGCTGAGAGGGGTTGAAAAGAAGACAGAGGCCTCCTGAATCCTATGTGTGTTTTCAAAGCACTGTGCTGTGTTGCGGGAAGTCAGGGACCCCAAACAGAGGGACCGGCTGAGGCCATGGCACAAGAACATAAATTTGAAGATTTCATGGACATTTATTAGTTCCCCAAATTAATATTTTTATAATTTCTTACGCCTGTCTTTACTGCAATCTCTGAACATAAATTGTGAAGATTTCATGGACACTTATCACTTCCCCAATCAATACTCTTGTGATTTCCTATGCCTGTCTTTACTTTAATCTCTTAATCCCATCTTCTTCATAAACTGAGGATGAATGTCACCTCAGGACCCTGTGATGATTGCGTTAACTGCAGAAATTGTTTAAACAATATGAAATCTGGGCACTGTGAAAAAAGAACAGGATAACAGCGTTGTTCAGGGAACAAGGGAGATAACCTTAAAGGCTGGCTGCCTGTGGGCCAGGCAGAACAGAGCCACATTTCTCTTCCTTCAAAAGCAAATAGGAGAAATATCGCTGAATTCCTTTTCTCAGCAAGGAACATCCCTGAGAAAGAGAATGTGTTCCTAAGGGGAGGCCTCTGAAATGGCCGCTTTGGGAACGTCTGTCTTTTACGCTTACAGATAAGGGATGAAATAAGCCCCGGTCCCCCGTAGCGCTTCCAGGCTTATTAGGATGAGGAAATTGCCTCCTAATAAATTTTGGTCAGACCAGTTGTCTGCTCTCAAACCCTGTCTCCTGATAAAATGTTTTCAATGACAATGCGTGCCCGAAACTTCATTAGCAATTTTAATTTCACCCCAGTCCTGTGATCTTGCCCTGCCTCCATTTACCTTGTGATATTTTATTACCTTGTGAAGGATGTGATCTCTGTGACCCACACCCTATTTGTGCACTCCCTCCCCTTTTGAAAATCACCAATAAAAACTTGCTGGTTTTGCTACTCAGGAGGGATCACGGAACCTGCTGACATGTGATGTCTCCCCCCAACACCCAGCTTTAAAATTTTGCTCTTTTGTATGCCTTCCCTTTATTTCTCAGACCGGCTGACACTTAGGGAAAATAGAAAAGGACCCATGTGAAATACAGCCGGTGGTGGCGGTAGAAATAATATGCCCCACAGTATCCACACAGAGAAACAGGAGAGCTCTGTGGAGTGGGGAAGGGGTGATTGGGCAGAAAGAGAAGGGACATTTTGAGGAAGGACACTGGGAACTTACCTGGGCTGGGTGTCGGCTGGGACTGGGAAGCTGTGAGAAAGAGAAGAGAAGGTCAGATCAGGAATGTTACACAGAAGTCGACAAAACTGGAATGAGGAGGGAAAGAAATGGGCGAGTCTGACACTCAGTCCATCCTAGTTCCTATCACACAGGGAGGGACATTGCCATGCACATCCCCACAGAGATGCACCGTGTAAGGGGTTGAGGCAGATCCTGTCCACTATTGCCAGCTCTGAGGAGATCAAATTGTGTCTGCGCAGGGTAACCCAGTTGACCTAAACCAACCCACTCCCTTGCACATCTTAGGTGTTCCTGAGTCAGCAAGGCTGAGGAAGCCACTCCAGCCAAAATCCCTTGTGTGATCTTCAAGCCCCGACCACAGGCAATAATGAGGCCAAGCCTGGCCAGTCTCATGGGGGCTGCCCTCCCCACACCAGACCCAGGGCAAGGCAGTGCTCTGCAGCGTTCTGAGAGGACCTGAGGTCAAGGACTCCAACCTCACACAACCCAGGCCTGATAGAACCAGACACCCATTTTGCACTCCTAACCCTTGAGCCTCTGTTTCCAGACCTCCTCACTGGGTCTCAGCTGAGAACCCACTTCCAGACAAGCATCTTTGGTTCAGAGTTCCTCACAGTGAGAGGATCCCTCCTCTGCCCCGCTGTCTGTCCTATGTCCATGATACCCTCAACCACTGCTACTCAGCAGGGAAGAAATGGAGCCCTGGGGAGCCAGCAGTTTTCTCTTCTGCCTCTTCCTTGCACTGCCTCAGGAAGGGGATAAAGTCTGGGTTGTTGTTTGACTTTGGTCCCCTGTCCTAAGTGACCACATGAACACCAACCGCTGTAGCAAAATTCATACAGATTCTTAGCAGGGAGCTAACAAGGCTGCATAAATACAAGAAACATAGAAGAATCTGTGAGTTCAGAGGAGATCATAATGTAATTAGGATTTTCTTCCTGAGCAAACTCCAACCTAGGAGAGGGAGCCGAAGGTCTTGGAGGCCCACCTGAGCAGATGACACCAGCGTCTTCATGATGGCCACAGTTGTGGGAGAGCCAGCCATTGTGGGGGCAGCTCCACAGATAGGACTCATGTCCTGAGCAGCGCACATCATCCAGGACAATGGGTCCTGAACCCTGGCCAAACCGGGCATTTCCTGGGGCTGACGTGGCCCAGCCACAGCCCAGCTGCCTGCAAACCACATTGGCATCATTGGTGTCCCAGTAGTCATCACACACGGTGCCCCAGGAGCCTCGGTATAGGACCTCCACTCGGCCCTGACACCTGTCACCTCCATTCACCAGCCTCAGGGCCAAACTGGATTCAGATCCTACAGGGGAACACAAGAACGCTTCATCCATCTCAAATATGAGGTCAAGGATAAGGCATGGACAACAATCAGGGCAGTGGGCAAAGTAGTCAAGTTTCAATACGAATGCAGAAGTCACCAGGGCATGCAGTCATGATGGAAGATAGCTGCACCCAGAGGTTAAACTTTGTCATAGTGGAAAAAGTGATGCCCTATTCTACTCAAGTCTATAAAAGCTCAAGCTATGGGTAAGCATGTATGACCCCAGAGGAGGGGACAGGAATGGACACCCCATTCCCCACTCTGGGTACACAAAGGATGGAGATACACAGCTACAAATGACAAGCCCAGACCCCCTCCGAATTCAGGAGCTCATTGGCACCTGCATGGTCCTCTCTGCCTTCTGGCAATTTGCCAGTGATGGCAAGACCTTGGCCACACAAGTGCAGAGACTGGCACTTTCACCTGCTCTTCAGAGATCTGGATCCCATGGCCTGAGGGCCAGGAACGAGGTCCCAGTAGGATTAAGGAGCCCTCCAGTGCTCATCCTGAGCACCTGGATGAGGATCTTTCCTGACCACTTGGAACAGGATTCCATGGGAGACAGTCACCAGCACCCTCCATCCTCAAACATCAGACCCAGCACTGGCTCCTCAGAGATTCCACCTTCCTCCCACGCAACCCACAGGGGAGTGAAAAAAGAGGGGCCCACCTTGAGCCTCATCCTATCAGTTTCAAACACAAAATATGTCCAGAGACAGTGAGCCCTAGGGAGGGGTGAGAGGATTATTTACCTGCTGTTGATGCATGTGAGGTTGGCCAAGTGTCTGTAAATTGCAACAAAGGAAAAGACAGAATTAGACTTGAAGGGAAAAGGTGCAGAACAAAAGGTTCTCTGGGAGGGGGAATCCACCTGGCAACAATTCCACTTCCTGTTCCTGCCACTTGCTTCCCATGTGTCTTCCCAGGTCTCCTCTGCTGTGAACTCATCCATGAACAAAGGTCCTGCTGGAGACCAGACTGAGCCCTCCATTTCTCTAATCCTGGGGTATCTTTCTATCTGTTAGAGGATGCCCCCCACCATGCAATCCCACATCTGCTGATGCATGGACTGACTAGGACATCAGATGCCATTGCTGAGGCTCAGACACTGGCAGATAAAATGTTAGGGGAACCAGGGGCTGCCCAGGGGACAATCAGGAATCAGGTTTCTGGCTAAGCAGAGACACTACAAACCTTTATTATCCCTTTCCCTGCCCAAGCACAAACCCTGCCTCTTCTGGATACAAATGTGGTCCATCATAATCTCAGAATTTTTCCAGCAGTGATGGATGGGGGTATCGAGCCTGCCCTGACAATGCCTTGAACAGGTCAGAGGGTGACACCCTCAATTTTCGAAACTATATGTGAGTCCTGAATATAAAAGGACCAAAACTCATTAAACATGGGGCCACTTCCTGAACCTGTAAGGGCTGTCCACTGGGACAGTATGAAACTGTTTCATGAAAGCTGAGAGGGGTTGAAAAGAAGACAGAGGCCTCCTGAATCCTATGTGTGTTTTCAAAGCACTGTGCTGTGTTGCGGGAAGTCAGGGACCCCAAACAGAGGGACCGGCTGAGGCCATGGCACAAGAACATAAATTTGAAGATTTCATGGACATTTATTAGTTCCCCAAATTAATATTTTTATAATTTCTTACGCCTGTCTTTACTGCAATCTCTGAACATAAATTGTGAAGATTTCATGGACACTTATCACTTCCCCAATCAATACTCTTGTGATTTCCTATGCCTGTCTTTACTTTAATCTCTTAATCCCATCTTCTTCATAAACTGAGGATGAATGTCACCTCAGGACCCTGTGATGATTGCGTTAACTGCAGAAATTGTTTAAACAATATGAAATCTGGGCACTGTGAAAAAAGAACAGGATAACAGCGTTGTTCAGGGAACAAGGGAGATAACCTTAAAGGCTGGCTGCCTGTGGGCCAGGCAGAACAGAGCCACATTTCTCTTCCTTCAAAAGCAAATAGGAGAAATATCGCTGAATTCCTTTTCTCAGCAAGGAACATCCCTGAGAAAGAGAATGTGTTCCTAAGGGGAGGCCTCTGAAATGGCCGCTTTGGGAACGTCTGTCTTTTACGCTTACAGATAAGGGATGAAATAAGCCCCGGTCCCCCGTAGCGCTTCCAGGCTTATTAGGATGAGGAAATTGCCTCCTAATAAATTTTGGTCAGACCAGTTGTCTGCTCTCAAACCCTGTCTCCTGATAAAATGTTTTCAATGACAATGCGTGCCCGAAACTTCATTAGCAATTTTAATTTCACCCCAGTCCTGTGATCTTGCCCTGCCTCCATTTACCTTGTGATATTTTATTACCTTGTGAAGGATGTGATCTCTGTGACCCACACCCTATTTGTGCACTCCCTCCCCTTTTGAAAATCACCAATAAAAACTTGCTGGTTTTGCTACTCAGGAGGGATCACGGAACCTGCTGACATGTGATGTCTCCCCCCAACACCCAGCTTTAAAATTTTGCTCTTTTGTATGCCTTCCCTTTATTTCTCAGACCGGCTGACACTTAGGGAAAATAGAAAAGGACCCATGTGAAATACAGCCGGTGGTGGCGGTAGAAATAATATGCCCCACAGTATCCACACAGAGAAACAGGAGAGCTCTGTGGAGTGGGGAAGGGGTGATTGGGCAGAAAGAGAAGGGACATTTTGAGGAAGGACACTGGGAACTTACCTGGGCTGGGTGTCGGCTGGGACTGGGAAGCTGTGAGAAAGAGAAGAGAAGGTCAGATCAGGAATGTTACACAGAAGTCGACAAAACTGGAATGAGGAGGGAAAGAAATGGGCGAGTCTGACACTCAGTCCATCCTAGTTCCTATCACACAGGGAGGGACATTGCCATGCACATCCCCACAGAGATGCACCGTGTAAGGGGTTGAGGCAGATCCTGTCCACTATTGCCAGCTCTGAGGAGATCAAATTGTGTCTGCGCAGGGTAACCCAGTTGACCTAAACCAACCCACTCCCTTGCACATCTTAGGTGTTCCTGAGTCAGCAAGGCTGAGGAAGCCACTCCAGCCAAAATCCCTTGTGTGATCTTCAAGCCCCGACCACAGGCAATAATGAGGCCAAGCCTGGCCAGTCTCATGGGGGCTGCCCTCCCCACACCAGACCCAGGGCAAGGCAGTGCTCTGCAGCGTTCTGAGAGGACCTGAGGTCAAGGACTCCAACCTCACACAACCCAGGCCTGATAGAACCAGACACCCATTTTGCACTCCTAACCCTTGAGCCTCTGTTTCCAGACCTCCTCACTGGGTCTCAGCTGAGAACCCACTTCCAGACAAGCATCTTTGGTTCAGAGTTCCTCACAGTGAGAGGATCCCTCCTCTGCCCCGCTGTCTGTCCTATGTCCATGATACCCTCAACCACTGCTACTCAGCAGGGAAGAAATGGAGCCCTGGGGAGCCAGCAGTTTTCTCTTCTGCCTCTTCCTTGCACTGCCTCAGGAAGGGGATAAAGTCTGGGTTGTTGTTTGACTTTGGTCCCCTGTCCTAAGTGACCACATGAACACCAACCGCTGTAGCAAAATTCATACAGATTCTTAGCAGGGAGCTAACAAGGCTGCATAAATACAAGAAACATAGAAGAATCTGTGAGTTCAGAGGAGATCATAATGTAATTAGGATTTTCTTCCTGAGCAAACTCCAACCTAGGAGAGGGAGCCGAAGGTCTTGGAGGCCCACCTGAGCAGATGACACCAGCGTCTTCATGATGGCCACAGTTGTGGGAGAGCCAGCCATTGTGGGGGCAGCTCCACAGATAGGACTCATGTCCTGAGCAGCGCACATCATCCAGGACAATGGGTCCTGAACCCTGGCCAAACCGGGCATTTCCTGGGGCTGACGTGGCCCAGCCACAGCCCAGCTGCCTGCAAACCACATTGGCATCATTGGTGTCCCAGTAGTCATCACACACGGTGCCCCAGGAGCCTCGGTATAGGACCTCCACTCGGCCCTGACACCTGTCACCTCCATTCACCAGCCTCAGGGCCAAACTGGATTCAGATCCTACAGGGGAACACAAGAACGCTTCATCCATCTCAAATATGAGGTCAAGGATAAGGCATGGACAACAATCAGGGCAGTGGGCAAAGTAGTCAAGTTTCAATACGAATGCAGAAGTCACCAGGGCATGCAGTCATGATGGAAGATAGCTGCACCCAGAGGTTAAACTTTGTCATAGTGGAAAAAGTGATGCCCTATTCTACTCAAGTCTATAAAAGCTCAAGCTATGGGTAAGCATGTATGACCCCAGAGGAGGGGACAGGAATGGACACCCCATTCCCCACTCTGGGTACACAAAGGATGGAGATACACAGCTACAAATGACAAGCCCAGACCCCCTCCGAATTCAGGAGCTCATTGGCACCTGCATGGTCCTCTCTGCCTTCTGGCAATTTGCCAGTGATGGCAAGACCTTGGCCACACAAGTGCAGAGACTGGCACTTTCACCTGCTCTTCAGAGATCTGGATCCCATGGCCTGAGGGCCAGGAACGAGGTCCCAGTAGGATTAAGGAGCCCTCCAGTGCTCATCCTGAGCACCTGGATGAGGATCTTTCCTGACCACTTGGAACAGGATTCCATGGGAGACAGTCACCAGCACCCTCCATCCTCAAACATCAGACCCAGCACTGGCTCCTCAGAGATTCCACCTTCCTCCCACGCAACCCACAGGGGAGTGAAAAAAGAGGGGCCCACCTTGAGCCTCATCCTATCAGTTTCAAACACAAAATATGTCCAGAGACAGTGAGCCCTAGGGAGGGGTGAGAGGATTATTTACCTGCTGTTGATGCATGTGAGGTTGGCCAAGTGTCTGTAAATTGCAACAAAGGAAAAGACAGAATTAGACTTGAAGGGAAAAGGTGCAGAACAAAAGGTTCTCTGGGAGGGGGAATCCACCTGGCAACAATTCCACTTCCTGTTCCTGCCACTTGCTTCCCATGTGTCTTCCCAGGTCTCCTCTGCTGTGAACTCATCCATGAACAAAGGTCCTGCTGGAGACCAGACTGAGCCCTCCATTTCTCTAATCCTGGGGTATCTTTCTATCTGTTAGAGGATGCCCCCCACCATGCAATCCCACATCTGCTGATGCATGGACTGACTAGGACATCAGATGCCATTGCTGAGGCTCAGACACTGGCAGATAAAATGTTAGGGGAACCAGGGGCTGCCCAGGGGACAATCAGGAATCAGGTTTCTGGCTAAGCAGAGACACTACAAACCTTTATTATCCCTTTCCCTGCCCAAGCACAAACCCTGCCTCTTCTGGATACAAATGTGGTCCATCATAATCTCAGAATTTTTCCAGCAGTGATGGATGGGGGTATCGAGCCTGCCCTGACAATGCCTTGAACAGGTCAGAGGGTGACACCCTCAATTTTCGAAACTATATGTGAGTCCTGAATATAAAAGGACCAAAACTCATTAAACATGGGGCCACTTCCTGAACCTGTAAGGGCTGTCCACTGGGACAGTATGAAACTGTTTCATGAAAGCTGAGAGGGGTTGAAAAGAAGACAGAGGCCTCCTGAATCCTATGTGTGTTTTCAAAGCACTGTGCTGTGTTGCGGGAAGTCAGGGACCCCAAACAGAGGGACCGGCTGAGGCCATGGCACAAGAACATAAATTTGAAGATTTCATGGACATTTATTAGTTCCCCAAATTAATATTTTTATAATTTCTTACGCCTGTCTTTACTGCAATCTCTGAACATAAATTGTGAAGATTTCATGGACACTTATCACTTCCCCAATCAATACTCTTGTGATTTCCTATGCCTGTCTTTACTTTAATCTCTTAATCCCATCTTCTTCATAAACTGAGGATGAATGTCACCTCAGGACCCTGTGATGATTGCGTTAACTGCAGAAATTGTTTAAACAATATGAAATCTGGGCACTGTGAAAAAAGAACAGGATAACAGCGTTGTTCAGGGAACAAGGGAGATAACCTTAAAGGCTGGCTGCCTGTGGGCCAGGCAGAACAGAGCCACATTTCTCTTCCTTCAAAAGCAAATAGGAGAAATATCGCTGAATTCCTTTTCTCAGCAAGGAACATCCCTGAGAAAGAGAATGTGTTCCTAAGGGGAGGCCTCTGAAATGGCCGCTTTGGGAACGTCTGTCTTTTACGCTTACAGATAAGGGATGAAATAAGCCCCGGTCCCCCGTAGCGCTTCCAGGCTTATTAGGATGAGGAAATTGCCTCCTAATAAATTTTGGTCAGACCAGTTGTCTGCTCTCAAACCCTGTCTCCTGATAAAATGTTTTCAATGACAATGCGTGCCCGAAACTTCATTAGCAATTTTAATTTCACCCCAGTCCTGTGATCTTGCCCTGCCTCCATTTACCTTGTGATATTTTATTACCTTGTGAAGGATGTGATCTCTGTGACCCACACCCTATTTGTGCACTCCCTCCCCTTTTGAAAATCACCAATAAAAACTTGCTGGTTTTGCTACTCAGGAGGGATCACGGAACCTGCTGACATGTGATGTCTCCCCCCAACACCCAGCTTTAAAATTTTGCTCTTTTGTATGCCTTCCCTTTATTTCTCAGACCGGCTGACACTTAGGGAAAATAGAAAAGGACCCATGTGAAATACAGCCGGTGGTGGCGGTAGAAATAATATGCCCCACAGTATCCACACAGAGAAACAGGAGAGCTCTGTGGAGTGGGGAAGGGGTGATTGGGCAGAAAGAGAAGGGACATTTTGAGGAAGGACACTGGGAACTTACCTGGGCTGGGTGTCGGCTGGGACTGGGAAGCTGTGAGAAAGAGAAGAGAAGGTCAGATCAGGAATGTTACACAGAAGTCGACAAAACTGGAATGAGGAGGGAAAGAAATGGGCGAGTCTGACACTCAGTCCATCCTAGTTCCTATCACACAGGGAGGGACATTGCCATGCACATCCCCACAGAGATGCACCGTGTAAGGGGTTGAGGCAGATCCTGTCCACTATTGCCAGCTCTGAGGAGATCAAATTGTGTCTGCGCAGGGTAACCCAGTTGACCTAAACCAACCCACTCCCTTGCACATCTTAAGTGTTCCTGAGTCAGCAAGGCTGAGGAAGCCACTCCAGCCAAAATCCCTTGTGTGATCTTCAAGCCCCGACCACAGGCAATAATGAGGCCAAGCCTGGCCAGTCTCATGGGGGCTGCCCTCCCCACACCAGACCCAGGGCAAGGCAGTGCTCTGCAGCGTTCTGAGAGGACCTGAGGTCAAGGACTCCAACCTCACACAACCCAGGCCTGATAGAACCAGACACCCATTTTGCACTCCTAACCCTTGAGCCTCTGTTTCCAGACCTCCTCACTGGGTCTCAGCTGAGAACCCACTTCCAGACAAGCATCTTTGGTTCAGAGTTCCTCACAGTGAGAGGATCCCTCCTCTGCCCCGCTGTCTGTCCTATGTCCATGATACCCTCAACCACTGCTACTCAGCAGGGAAGAAATGGAGCCCTGGGGAGCC
This sequence comes from Homo sapiens, assembly GCF_000001405.40. Taxonomy (NCBI): domain Eukaryota; kingdom Metazoa; phylum Chordata; class Mammalia; order Primates; family Hominidae; genus Homo; species Homo sapiens. The sequence continues at coordinate 122,602,396 of NC_000010.11, read as the reverse complement.
AGCAGTTTTCTCTTCTGCCTCTTCCTTGCACTGCCTCAGGAAGGGGATAAAGTCTGGGTTGTTGTTTGACTTTGGTCCCCTGTCCTAAGTGACCACATGAACACCAACCGCTGTAGCAAAATTCATACAGATTCTTAGCAGGGAGCTAACAAGGCTGCATAAATACAAGAAACATAGAAGAATCTGTGAGTTCAGAGGAGATCATAATGTAATTAGGATTTTCTTCCTGAGCAAACTCCAACCTAGGAGAGGGAGCCGAAGGTCTTGGAGGCCCACCTGAGCAGATGACACCAGCGTCTTCATGATGGCCACAGTTGTGGGAGAGCCAGCCATTGTGGGGGCAGCTCCACAGATAGGACTCATGTCCTGAGCAGCGCACATCATCCAGGACAATGGGTCCTGAACCCTGGCCAAACCGGGCATTTCCTGGGGCTGACATGGCCCAGCCACAGCCCAGCTGCCTGCAAACCACATTGGCATCATTGGTGTCCCAGTAGTCATCACACACGGTGCCCCAGGAGCCTCGGTATAGGACCTCCACTCGGCCCTGACACCTGTCACCTCCATTCACCAGCCTCAGGGCCAAACTGGATTCAGATCCTACAGGGGAACACAAGAACGCTTCATCCATCTCAAATATGAGGTCAAGGATAAGGCATGGACAACAATCAGGGCAGTGGGCAAAGTAGTCAAGTTTCAATACGAATGCAGAAGTCACCAGGGCATGCAGTCATGATGGAAGATAGCTGCACCCAGAGGTTAAGCTTTGTCATAGTGGAAAAAGTGATGCCCTATTCTACTCAAGTCTATAAAAGCTCAAGCTATGGGTAAGCATGTATGACCCCAGAGGAGGGGACAGGAATGGACACCCCATTCCCCACTCTGGGTACACAAAGGATGGAGATACACAGCTACAAATGACAAGCCCAGACCCCCTCCGAATTCAGGAGCTCATTGGCACCTGCATGGTCCTCTCTGCCTTCTGGCAATTTGCCAGTGATGGCAAGACCTTGGCCACACAAGTGCAGAGACTGGCACTTTCACCTGCTCTTCAGAGATCTGGATCCCATGGCCTGAGGGCCAGGAACGAGGTCCCAGTAGGATTAAGGAGCCCTCCAGTGCTCATCCTGAGCACCTGGATGAGGATCTTTCCTGACCACTTGGAACAGGATTCCATGGGAGACAGTCACCAGCACCCTCCATCCTCAAACATCAGACCCAGCACTGGCTCCTCAGAGATTCCACCTTCCTCCCACGCAACCCACAGGGGAGTGAAAAAAGAGGGGCCCACCTTGAGCCTCATCCTATCAGTTTCAAACACAAAATATGTCCAGAGACAGTGAGCCCTAGGGAGGGGTGAGAGGATTATTTACCTGCTGTTGATGCATGTGAGGTTGGCCAAGTGTCTGTAAATTGCAACAAAGGAAAAGACAGAATTAGACTTGAAGGGAAAAGGTGCAGAACAAAAGGTTCTCTGGGAGGGGGAATCCACCTGGCAACAATTCCACTTCCTGTTCCTGCCACTTGCTTCCCATGTGTCTTCCCAGGTCTCCTCTGCTGTGAACTCATCCACGGACAAAGGTCCTGCTGGAGACCAGACTGAGCCCTCCATTTCTCTAATCCTGGGGTATCTTTCTATCTCTTAGAGGATGCCCCCACCATGCCATCCCACATCTGCTGATGCATGGACTGACTAGGACATCAGACGCCATTGCTGAGGCTCGGACACTGGCAGATAAAATGTTAGGGGAACCAGGGGCTGCCCAGGGGACAATCAGGAATCAGGTTTCTGGTTAAGCAGTGACATCACAAACCTTTATTATCCCTCTCCCTGCCCAAGCACAAACTCTGCCTTTTCTGGATACAAATGTGGCCCATGATAATCTCGGAATGTTTCCAGCAGTGAAGGATGGGGGTATCGAGCCTGCCCTGATGATGCCTTGAACAGGTCAGAGGGTGACACTCACAATTTTCAGAAACTATATGTGAGTCCGGAATATAAAAGGACCAAAGCTCATTAAACATGGGGCCACTTCCTGAACCTGTAAGGGTTGTCCACTGGGACAGTATGAAACTGTTTCATGAAAGCTGAGAGGGGTTGAAAAGAAGACAGAGGCCTCCTCAATCCTGTGTGTGTTTAAAAAGCGCTGTGCTGGGGTCTCAGTTACACAACTGGTGTTGGGGGTAGAAATAATATGCCCCACAGTATCCACACAGAGAAACAGGAGAGCTCTGTGGAGTGTGGAAGGGGTGATTGGGCAGAAAGAGAAGGGACATTTTGAGGAAGGACACTGGGGACCCACCTGGACTAGGTGTTGGCCGGGACTGGGAAGCTGTGAGAAAGAGAAGAGAAGGTCAGATCAGGAACATTACACAGAAGTCGGCAAAGTGGAACGAGGAGGGAAAGAAATGGGCGAGTCTGACACTCAGTCCATCCTAGTTCCTATCACACAGGGAGGGGCATTGCCATGCACATCCCCACAGAGATGCACCATGTAAGGGGTCGAGGCAGATCCTGTCCACTATTGCCAGCTCTGAGGTGATCAACTTGTGTCTGCCCAGGGTAACCCGGTTGGCCTAAACCAACCCTCTCCCTTGCACGTCTTAGGCATTCTTGAGTCAGCAAGGCTGAGGAAGCCACTCCAGCCAAAATCCCTTGTGCCGTCCTCAAGCCCTGATCACAGGCAATGACAAGGCCATGCCTGGCCGGCCTCATGGGGGCTGCCCTCCCCACACCAGACCTGGGGCACAGGCAATGCTCAGCAGTGATCTGAGAGGACCTGAGGTCAAGGACTCCAACCTCACACAACCCAGGCGTGATAGAATCAGACACCCATTTGCACTCCTAACCCTTGAGCCTCTATTTCCAGACCTCCTCACTGGGTCTCAGCTGAGAACCCACTTTCAGACAAGCATCTTTAGTTCAGAGTTCCTCACAGTGAGAGGATCCCTACCCCGCCTTGCTGTCTGTCCTGCATCCATTATACCCTCACACCGTGCTACTCAGCAGGGGAGAAATGGAGCCCTGGGGAGCCAGCACTTTTCTCTTCTGCCTCTTCCTTGCCTTCCCTCAGGAAGGGGAAAAACTCTGGGTTGTTTGAGTTTGGTCCCCTGTCCTAAGTGACCACAGGAACACTAGGCAGTGAGTACATAGGGATTCTTAGCAGAGAGCTAACAAGTCTTCAGAAATATAGAAAACATAGAAGAAGCTTTGAGTGAGGAGATCAGAATGTAATTAGGAGTTTCTTCTGGAGCAAACTCCACCCCAAGAGAGTGATCCCAAGTTCTTGAAGGCCCACCTGAGCAGATGACACCAGCGTCTTCACTATGGCCACAGTTGTGGGAGAGCCAGCCATTGTGGGGGCAGCTCCACAGGTAAGACTCGTGTCCTGAGCAGCGCACATCATCCAGGACAATGGGTCCTGAGCCCTGACCAAACCGGGCATTTCCTGGGGCTGACATGGCCCAGCCACAGCCCAGTTGCCTGCAGACGACATTGGCATCATTGGTGTCCCAGCTGTCATCGCACACGGTGCCCCAGGAGCCTTGGTATAGGACCTCCACTCGGCCCTGACACCTGTCACCTCCATTCACCAGCCTCAGGGCCAAACTGGATTCAGATCCTACAGGGGAACACAAGAATCCTTCATCCATCCCTATCATGAGGTCAGGAATCTAAGGAATGTTCCACACTCAAGGCATGTCCTAATGGCTAAAGTCACCTGGGCAGGCAGTCACCTTTGAATATGAATAAAATCAGAGATTCAGCTTCATCAAAGTCAAAGAAGCAGTGACACCCTATTCTGCCTGGGTTTATGAAGGCTCAAGTTTTGGGGAAGCATCTGTGACCCTACTGAAGTTAACAGGAATGGAAACCCCATTCCCTAACCTGGGTACACACAGGACAGAGCTACACAGCTACAGTAGGCAGGCCAGACTCTCCCCATCTCAGGAGCTTGGTGGCAATCCTATGGTCTTGTCTGACTTCTGAAAATTTCACAGGTATGACAAGGCCTTGGCCAGACAGGTGTGGGGACAGTCACTTCCACCGACTCTTCACACCTCTGCAGCCCATGGGCTGAGGGACAGGAATGAGGTCTTAGTAGGATTAGGGAACCCTCCAGGGCTTTTCCTCAGCACCTGGATGAGGATGTTTCCTGACCACTTGGAACAGGATTCCACGGGAGACAAGTCACCAGCACCCTCCAGCCTCCAACATCAGACCCAGAGCTGGGTCCCCAGAGACGCTACCTTCCTCCCATGCAACCCACAGGGACATGAAAAAGAGAGGGGCCCACCTTGACCCTCATCCTATCATTTTCAGAAAAAACATTTGTCCAGAGGTAGAGAGTGAGCCCTAGGGAGGGGCGAGAGGAATATTTACCTACTGTCGATGCAGGCAAGGTGATGGTCGGCAATGTGTCTGTAATTGCAACAGAGACAAAGGCTAGAATTAAAGTTGATGGTGAAAATCTCCAAAAGGAAAGGTCTCCGGAGAAGGCAAACATCATGAAAACTACCCCACTTCTGGTTCCTGCCACTTGCTCCCCATGTGTCTGCCCAAGTCTGCAGCTCAGCAAGCTCAGCAAGGGTCATAGGCCTTGCTGGAGACCAGTTCGATCCCTCCTGCCTCTGAAGTGTGGGATGTCCTCTTCTCAGTCACAAAGGGTTAGCCTGTTCCATGCACTGACACATGCACTGACGGGTACATCTAACACCATTGCTGACACTCTACTAGCTCGAGCTAAAATGTTAGGGAAACCAAGGAGCTGACCAAAGGGGTATCAAGTTTCCCAGTAAGTGGAGGCACCAGAAATATTTATTATCCCTCTCCCTGCCCGAGCATGGCCTATGCCTCTTCTGGATGCACATGTAGCCCTGCAGAATCTGGGGTGTTGGAAGGAGTGAGGAAGGGAGGTGTCAGGCCTGCACTGACATTGCTTGCCTGTGGCGGCAGCCATGTTTAAGGCTTTAGCTGACATTGGCTACCCAGGAGACTTTGGCAATCACTCTCAATTCTCAGGAAGGTCATATCAGCTCTGAATAGAAAAGTGCCAAAGCTAATTAAATATGAGGTCACTTCCTAAACCTCTAAGGGTTGGCCATTGGGACAGTATGAAACTGCTTCATGAAAGCTGAGATAAATGGAACAGAAGACAGAAGCCTCTTGAACCCTATGTCTGGTTCAGAAGCGCCATTCCAGGGTCTCAGTTACAGAGCAGGGGAAAATTGTATGCCATGTAGTATTCACTCAGAGAAGAACGAGGGCTCTGTGGAGTGCAGAAAGGGATAATTATACAGAAAGAGAAGGGACATCCCAAGGAAGGACACTGGGGACTCACCTGGACTGGGCGTCGACCAGGAGTGGGCAGCTGTGAGAAAGAGGAGGTCAGATCAGATGCACTATACAGAAGCTGGCAAAATCGGAACAAAGGTGGAAGGAACTAAACAGATCATGCCTTCAGTCCACCCTAGGTCCCCATCACAGAGGGAGGGCATTGCCATGCATGTCCCCACAGAGATGCTCCTTGGAGGGTGTCTGGGCAGATCCTGTCCACTATTGCCAACTCCAAGGTGATTAACCTTGTGTCTGCCCATAGTAATCAGGTTGACACAAAACCTACCCTCTCCCTTGCATGTCTTAGCAGTCCCTGAGTTAGCAAATGTGAGGAGGCCACTCCAGCCAAAGTCCTGCCTCTGATGTTCCAGTCCAGCCCACAGGCGTTCATAACAATGCTTTGCCTAGCAGACCTCATGGGGACTGCACACTCCACACCAGACCGGTGCACAGGCAAGACACTGCAGTGCTCTGGAGGGAGTTGTGGTCAAGGACTCACAGCCCCCAAATCTCAGGCCAGAGAGGGACAGACACACATCCGCACTCCTAGCCTTGTGTCTCTATTAAGACATCACCTTATTGGGCCTCAGCAGAAGACCGCGCTTCCTAGCAGGAGCCTGTGGTTCTGGGCTCCTCCCAGGGAGACAGTCCCTCCCCCATCCTCTATATGTGCTTCATCCATGTAACCCTTTGCAAAATCTTTCAGTAGGGGAAAGATGGAACCCTGGAGAGCCAGGGTGCTATACTTTAGAGGCTTGTCACATCCAAGTGTTATATTGCAACTGAATCCCCAAGTTTAGAGGTGAGGCCTGATGCACCAGGTCTGGGTCATGGAGACCAACACTGCATGAATAACTTAGTGCCCTCCCTGGTCAGGGGTGAGTTCTTCTCTTAGTTCCTAGCAAGAGCTGGTGGTTGAAGAGTCTGAGCCCTCCCTCTTGCTCTCTCTTCCTTCCTCCCTCACCTTGTGACCTCTGCCCAGGCCACCTCCCCATCCCTTTCTGCTAGGAGTACAAGCAGCCCGAGGCCCTCATCAGAAGCTGAGCAGACGCCTGCACCATGGTCCTATGCAGCCTGCAAAGCCAAGACCCAAATCAGCCTCTTTCCTCATGAACAAACCAGCCCCAGCTATTCCTTTCCAGCCACACTAAAAGGCAAAGACCTGGCACTTTCCTCTTCTCCCTCTGCTTGCGCTGCCTCGGTAGGTGAACAAAGGCGTGACCCTTATTTCACTTTGGCCCGTTGTCCTACCTGACCTCCTCAAAACCTGGCAATGAAGACTCATGCAGTTTCCTAGGAGAGAGCTAAGGAGATATCAGATATATAGGAAAGGCTGAAAAAGCTCTGAGTGAGGAGATCAGAACATAATGAGACCTCGCTTCCTGAGCAAAATCTACCCCAAGAGAGGGAGCCCAAGGTCTTGGAGGCCCACCTGAGCAGATGACACCAGCGTCTTCACTGTGCTGACAGTTATGGGAGAGCCAGCCATTGTGGGGGCAGCTCCACAGGTAGGACTCATAGCCTGAGCAGCGCACGTCATCCAGGACAATGGGTCCTGAACCCTGGCCAAACCGGGCATTTCCTGGGGCTGACGTGGCCCAGCCACAGCCCAGCTGCCGGCAGACCACATTGGCGTCACTGGTGTCCCAGCTATCATCACACACGGTGCCCCAGGAGCCTCGGTATAGGACCTCCACTCGGCCCTGACACCTGTCACCTCCATTCACCAGCCTCAGGGCCAAACTGGATTCAGGTCCTACAGGGGAACACAAGAATCCTTCATCCATCTCCATTCTGAGGTGAAGGAAAAGGCATGGACAACACTCAGGGCAATGGGAAAAGTAGTCAAGTTTGAATACAAATGCCAAAGTCACCAGGGCACGCAGTCACAATGGCAGATGGCTGCACCCAGAGGTTAAGCTTGGTCATAGTGGAAAAAGTGATGCCCTATTCTACTCAAGTCTATAAAAGCTCAAGCTATGGGTAAGCATGTATGACCCCAGAGGAGAGGACAGGAATGGACACCCCACTCCCCACTCTGGGTGAACACAGGATGGAGCTACACAGCTACAAATGACAGGCCTAGACCCCCTCCATATTCAGGAGCTTATTGGCACCTGCATGGGCCTCTCTGCCTTCTGGCAAATTGCCAGTGATGGCAAGGCCTTGGCCACACAGGTGCAGGGACCGGCACTTTCACCCGCTCTTCAGAGGTCTGGATCCCATGGCCTGAGGGCCAGGAATGAGGTCCCAGCAGCATTAAGGAGCCCTCCAGTGCTCGTCCTGAGCACCTGGATGAGGATCTTTCCTGACCACTTGGAACAGGATTCCATGGGAGACAGGTCACCAACACCCTCCGTCCTCAAACATCAGACCCAGGACTGGCTCCTCAGAGATTCCACCTTCCTCCCACGCAACCCACAGGGACATGAAAACAGAGAAGCCCACATTGAGCCTCATCCTATCAGTTTCAAACACAAAATATGTCCAGAGATAGTGAGTCCTAGGGAGGGGTGAGAGGGTTATTTACCTGCTGTTGATGCATGTGAGGTCGGCCAAGTATCTGTAAATTGCAACAAAAGGAAAAGACAGAATTAGACTTGAAGGGAAAAGGCACAGAACAAAAGGATCTCTGGGAGGAGGAATCAACGTGACAACAATTCCACTTCTTGTTCCTGCCATTTGTTTCCCATGTGTCTTCCCAGGTCTCCTGTGCTGTGAACTCATCCAGGGACAAAGGTCCTGCTGGAGACCAGACTGAGCCCTCCATTTCTCTAATCCTGGGGTATCTTTCTATCTGTTAGAGGATGCCCCCACCATGCCATCCCACATCTGCTGATGCATGGACTGACTAGGACATCAGACGCCATTGCTGAGGCTCGGACACTGCCAGGTAAAATGTTAGGGGAACCAGGGGCTGCCCAGGGGACAATCAGGAATCAGGTTTCTGGTTAAGCAGAGACATCACAAACCTTTATTATCCCTCTCCCTGCCCGAGCACAAACTCTGCCTCTTCTGGATAGAAATCTCGGAATCATAATCTCGGAATGTTTCCAGCAGTGATGGATGGGGGTATCGAGCCTGCCCTGACGATGCCTTGAACGGGTCAGAGGGTGACACCCTCAATTTTCAGAAACTATATGTGAGTCCGGAATATAAAAGGACCAAAGCTCATTAAACATGGGGCCACTTCCTGAACCTGTAAGGGTTGTCCACTGGGACAGTATGAAACTGTTTCATGAAAGCTGAGAGGGGTTGAAAAGAAGACAGAGGCCTCCTCAATCCTGTGTGTGTTTAAAAAGCGCTGTGCTGGGGTCTCAGTTACACAGCCGGTGTTGGGGGTGGAAATAATATGCCCCACAGTATCCACACAGAGAAACAGGAGAGCTCTGTGGAGTGTGGAAGGGGTGATTGGGCAGAAAGAGAAGGGACATTTTGAGGAAGGACACTGGGGACCTACCTGGACTGGGTGTCGGCCGGGACTGGGAAACTGTGAGAAAGAGAAGAGAAGGTCAGATCAGGAACATTACACAGAAGTCGGCAAAACTGGAACGAGGAGGGAAAGAAATGAGCGAGTCTGACACTCAGTCCATCCTAGTTCCTATCACACAGGGAGGGACATTGCCATGCACATCCCCACAGAGATGCACCGTGTAAGGGGTCGAGGCAGATCCTTCCACTATTGCCAGCTCTGAGGTGATCAAATTGTGTCTGCCCAGGGTAACCCGGTTGACCTAAACCAACCCACTCCCTTGCACATCTTAGGTGTTCCTGAGTCAGCAAGGCTGAGGAAGCCACTCCAGCCAAAATCCCTTGTGTGATCTTCAAGCCCCGACCACAGGCAATAACAAGGCCATGCCTGGCCTGTCTCATGGGGGCTGCCCTCCCCACACCAGACCCAGGGCAAGGCAGTGCTCTGCAGCGTTCTGAGAGGACCTGAGGTCAAGGACTCCAACCTCACACAACCCAGGCCTGATAGAACCAGACACCCATTTGCACCCCTAACCCTTGAGCCTCTATTTCCAGACCTCCTCACTGGGTCTCAGCTGAGAACTCACTTTCAGACAAGCATCTTTAGCTCAGAGTTCCTCTCAGTGAGAGGATTCCTCCCCTACCTTGCTGTCTGTCCTATGTCCATGATACCCTCACCCAGTGCTACTCAGCTGAGGAGAAATGGAACCCTGGGGAGCCAGCAGTTTTCTCTTCGGCCTCTTTCTTGCACTGCCTCAGGAAGGGGATAAAGTCTGGGTTGTTGTTTCAGTTTGGGGCCTGTCCTAAGTGACCACAGGAACACCAAGCCCTGTAGTAAAATTCATACAGATCCTTAGCAGAGAGCTAACAAGACTACATAAATATAGGAAACATAGAAGAATCTTTGAGTGAGGAGATCAGAATGTAATTAGGATTTTCTTCCTGAGCAAACTCCAGTCTAGGAGAGGGAGCCCAAGGTCTTGGAGGCCCACCTGAGCAGATGACACCAGCATCTTCATGATGGCCACAGTTGTGGGAGAGCCAGCCATTGTGGGGGCAGCTCCACAGGTAGGACTCGTGTCCTGAGCAGCGCACATCATCCAGAACAATGGGTCCTGAGCCCTGGCCAAACCGGGCATTTCCTGGGGCCGACGTGGCCCAGCCACAGCCCAGCTGCCTGCAGACCACATTGGCATCATTGGTATCCCAGCTGTCATCACACACGGTGCCCCAGGAGCCTCGGTATAGGACCTCTACTCGGCCCTGACACCTGTCACTTCCATTCACCAGCCTCAGGGTCAAACTGGATTCAGATCCTACAGGGGAACACAAGAACCCTTTATCCATCCCTACCATGAGGTAAGGATCTAAGGCACGTTCCACACTCAGGGTACTTCCTAATGGCCAAGGTCGCCTGGACAAGCAGTCACGATTGAATACGACTGCAACCAGAGGTTCAGCTTCATCATACTGGAAGGAGAGGTGATACCCTATTCTGCCTGGGTTTATGGAGGCTCAGATTTTGGGAAAGCGCCTGTGACCCCAGTGGAGGTGACAGGAATGGACACCCCACTCCCTACTCTGAGCACACACAGGATGGAGCTCCACTGCTCCAGAGGGCAGGCCTATGCTATCCCCATGTCGAAGAGTTTGGTGGCACCCACGTGGTCCTCTCTGGCTTCTGGCAAATTGCCAGGGATGGCAACACATTGGCCAGACAACTGCAGGGACAGAAATTTTCACCCTCCCTTGCAGGTCTGCAATGCATGGCCAGAAGGCCAGGAATGAGGTCCCAGGAGTAGGGAGCTCTCCAGGGTTTGTCCAGCACCTGAATGAGGATCTTTACTGATACTTGGAACACGGTCCAACAGGAGATAGGTCACCAACACCCTCCACCCTCTAACACCCGACCCGGGACTGGTTCCCCAGAGACTCAACTTCCTCCCACTCAGCGCACAGGGATGTGAAAAAGACAGGGGCCCACCTTGACCCTCATCCTATCATTTTCAGAGAAAACATTTGTCCAGAGGTAGAGAGTGAGCCCTAGGGAGGGGTGAGAGGATTATTTACCTACTGTCGATGGAGGTAACGTGATGGTCGACAACGTGTCTGTAAATTGCAACAAAGACAAAGGCTAGAATTAAAGTTGAGGGAGAAAAGCTCCAAAAGGAAAGGTCTCTGGACAAGGCAAGCATCATGAATATTCTTCCATTTCTAGTTCCTGCCACTTGCTCCCCATGTGTCTGCCCAAGTCTGTAGCTCAGGAAGCACAGCCAGGGACATAGTCCTCACTGGAGACCAGTCCGATCCCTCCTGCCTCTGAAGTGTGGAATACCCTCTTCTCAGCTACAAAGGGTTTACCTGCCCCATCCACTGACACATGGACTGATGGGCACATCTGACACCAATGCTGAGCCTCTCACGCTTGAAACTAAAATGTTAGAAGGATCAGGGAGCTGCCTAAGGGAGTATAAAGTCTCCTGGCAAGTGGAGGCAACGGAAATATCTAATATCGCTCTCCCTGCCTGAGCACAGCCTCTGCCTGTCTGGAGGTAGATGGGGCCCTGCCGCATCTGGGGGTGTCTGAAGGAGTGAGGAATGGAGGTATCAGGCCTGCACTGACATTCTTGCCCATGGACAGGCATGTTTAAGGCTTTAGCTGAAATTGCCTTCCCAGGAGACTTTGGCAATCACTCTCAATTCTTAGAAAGATCATACCTTCTTAACCATGTCTGGTTAAGAAGCTCCATGCTAGGGTCTCAGTTACAGAGCAGGGAAAATAGTATGACCCACAGTATCCACACAGGTAAGAAGGAGGGCTCTGTGGAATGGGAAAAAGGATAATTGTGCAGAAAGAAAAGGGACATCCCAAGGAAGGACACTGGGGACTCACCTGGCCTGGGCGTCGACCGGGACTGGGCAGCTGTGAGAAAGAGGAGGTCAGATCAGATGCACTATACAGAAGCTGGCAAAACCAGAACAAAGGTACAAGGAACTAAACTGGTAGCGCCTTCAGTCCACCCTATGTCCCCATCACAGAGGGAGGGGCATTGCCATGCACGTCCCCACAAAGATGCTCCTTGAAAGGCATCTGGGCAGATCTTGTCCACTACTGCCAGCTCCAAAGTGATTAAGTTTGTGTCTACCCACAGTAATCAGGTTGACACAAAACCAACCCTCTCCCTTACACGTCTTAGCAGTCCCTGAGTCAGCAAGTATGAAGAGGCCACTCCAGCAAAAATCCAGCCTGTGATCTTCTAGCCCAGCCCACAGGCATTCATAACAAGGCTTTGCTCAGCAGCCCTAATGGGCACTGCCCGCCCTACACCTGACTGGTGTACAGGCAAGATGCTGCAGTGCTCTGGAGGGAATTGCAGTCAAGCACTCACACCCCCAAAACCCAGGCCAGACTTGGACAGACACAGATCTGCACTCCCAGCCTTGTGTTTCCAGTCTGATGCCTCCTTACTGGGCCTCAGCGGAAGACCCTCCCTTCCCAGCATAAGCCTTTGGTTCTGGACTCCTCCCGGTGAGATCGTCCGTCCCCCAACACCTATATGTGCTCCATCCACCTCACCCTCACCTAAACCTTTCAGTGGGGGAAAGATGGAACCCTGGAGAGCCAGTGTGCTATAGATTGGATGTTTGTCCCATACAAGACTCATGTTGGGATTGGATCCCCAAGTATAGAGGTGAGGCCTGATGTGCCATGTCTGGGTCATGGAAGCCAACCATTCATGAACAACTTAGTGCCCTCCCTGATCAGGGGTGAGTTCTTCTCTTAGTTTCTAGCAAGAACTGGTGGTTGAAAAGAGCCTGGGCCTTCCTTCTTGCCCTCTCTTGCTTCCTCCCTTGCCACGTGACCTCTGCTCAGGCCACCTCCCCATCTCCTTCTGCCAGGAGCACAAGCAGCCTGAGGCTGTCAGCAGAAGCCAAGCAGATACCACGCTCCTATGCAGCCTGCAAAGCCAAGACCCAAATCTGCCTCTTTCTTCATGAATAACCTGACCCCAGCCATTCCTTTCCAGCCACACTAAAATGCAAAGACCCAGCCCTTTCCTCTTCTCCCTCTGCTTGCGCTGCCTTGGTAGGGGAACAAAGGCATGACCCTTATTTCACTTTGGCCCATTGTCCTCTCTGACCTCCTCAAAACCTGGCACTGTGGTGAAGACTCATGCAGTTTCCTAGAAGAGAGCTAAGGAGATATCAGAAACATAGGAAAGGTTGAAAAAGCTCTGAGTGAGGAGATTAGAACATAAGACCTCTCTTCCTGGGCAAAATCTACCCCAAGAGAGGAAACCAAAATTGCTGGAGGCCCACCTGAGCAGATGACACCAGCATCTTCATGATGGCCACAGTTGTGGGAGAGCCAGCCATTGTTGGGGCAGCTCCACAGGTAGGACTCATGTCCTGAGCAGCGCACATCATCCAGGACAATGGGTCCTGAGCCCTGACCAAACCGGGCATTTCCTGGGGCTGACGTGGCCCAGCCACAGCCCAGCTGCCTGCAGACCACATTGGCATCATTGGTGTCCCAGCTGTCATCACACACGGTGCCCCAAGAGCCTCGGTATAGGACCTCCACTCGGCCCTGACACCTGTCACCTCCATTCACCAGCCTCAGGGCCAAACTGGATTCAGGTCCTATAGGAGAACACAAGAACCCTTCATCAATCCCTATCAGCAGGTCAAGGATCTAAGGCACATTCCACACTCAGGGCACTTCCTAATGGCCAAAGTCACCTGGGCAGGCAGTCACGATTAAAGATGACTGCAACCAGAGGTTCAGCTTCATCACAGTAGAAGGAGAGGTGATACACTATTCTCCTTGGGTTTATGAAGGCTCAAGTTTTGGGGAAGCACCTGTGACCCCAGTGGAGGTGACAGGAATAGACAACCGACTCCCTACTCTGGGCACACACAGGATGGAGCTCCACAGCTCCAGAGGGCAGGACCATGCTGTCCCCATGTTCAAGAGTTAGGTGGCACCCCCATGGTCCTCCCTGGCTTCTGGCAAATTGCCAAGGATGGCAAGGCTTTGGCCAGACAGCTGCAGGGACAGAAACTGTCACCCACCCTTGCAGGTCTGCAGTGCATGGCTGGAGGGCCAGGAACGAGGTCGAATAGGAGTAGGGAGCCCTCCAGGGCTTGTCCTCAGCACCTGGATGAGGATCTTTTTTTTTTTTCTTTATTATTTCCTGATACTTGGAAGAGGATCCCAAGGGAGACAGGTCACCAGCCCCCTCTACCCTCCAACACCAGAAGCAGGACTGGCTCCCCAGAGACTCCAACTTCCTCCCACTCAATGCACAGGGATATGAAAAAGACAGGGACCCACCCTGACCCTCATCCTCTCATTTTCAGAAAAAAACATTTGTCCAGAAGTAGAGAGTGAGCCCTAGTGGGGGTGAGAAGATTCTGTACCTACTGTTGATGCAGGTAATGTGGTGGTCGGCAACGTGTCTTTAATTGCAACAAAGACAAAGGCTAGAATTAAACTTGAGGGTGAAAAGCTCCAAAAGGAAAAGTCTCCAGATAGGGCAAGCATCATGAAAACTACTGGATTTCTGGTTTTTGCCACTTGCTCCCCATGTGTCTGCCCAACTCTTCAGCCCAGTAAGCTCAGGAAGGGACATAGGCCTCGCTGGAGACCAGTCCAATCCCTCCTACCTCTGAAGTGTGGGATATCCTCTTCTCAGCTACAAAGGGTTTGCCTGCCCCATCCACTGACACATGGACTAATGGACACATCTGACACCATTGCTGAGCCTCTGATTGTTACAGCTAAAATGTTAGAAGGATCAGGGAGCTGCCCAAAGGAGTATAAAGTCTCCTGGCAAGTGGAGGTACCAGAAATATCTAATATCTCTCTCCTTGCCTGAGCACGGCCTCTGCCTTTCCGCATGTAGATGGGGCCCTGCTGCATCTGGGGGTGTTTGAAGGACTTTGTGTCTGCCCATAGTAATCAGGTTGACACAAAACCAACCCACTCCCTTGCACATCTTAGCAGTCCCTGAGTCAGCAAGTATGAAGAGGCCACTCCTGCAAAAAAAAAATATCCAGCCTGTGATCTTCTAGCCCAGCCCACAGGCATTCATAACAAGGCTTTGCTCAGTAAGCCTCATGGGCACTGCCTGCCCCACACCTGACCGGTGCACAGGCAAGACACTGCAGTGCTCTGGAGGGAATTGCAATCAAGCACTCACACCCCCAAAACCCAGGTCAGATATGGACAGTCACGAATCTCCACTCCCAGCCTTGTGTTTCCGGTCTGATGCCTCCTTATTAGTCCTCAGCAGAAAACCCTCCCTTCCCAGCATGAGCCCTTGGTTCTGGAATCCTCCCAGTCAGACCGTCCCTCCCTCAATGCCTATATGTGCTGCATCCACCTCACCCTCACCTAAACCTTTCAGTAGGGGAAAGGTGGAACCCTGGAGAGGCAGCATGCTATAGTTTGGATGTTTGTCCCATCTAAGACTCATGTTGGGATTGGATCCCCAAGTATAGAGGTGAGGCTTGATGTGCCATGTCTGGGTCATGAAGGCCAACTCTTCATGAATAACTTAGTGTCCTCCCTGGTCAGGGGTAAGTTCTTCTCTTAGTTCCTAGAAAGAGCTGGTGGTTGAAAACTGTCTGGGCCCTCCCTCTTGCTCTTTCTTGCTTCCTCCCTCACCATGTGACCTCTGTCCAGGCCACCTCCCCATCTTCTTCTGCCATCTTGCTTCATCCCTCGCCAT
Organism: Homo sapiens; assembly: GCF_000001405.40. Classification (NCBI taxonomy): domain Eukaryota; kingdom Metazoa; phylum Chordata; class Mammalia; order Primates; family Hominidae; genus Homo; species Homo sapiens. The sequence continues at coordinate 122,586,850 of NC_000010.11, read as the reverse complement.
GTGACCTCTGCCCAGGCCAGCTCCCCATCCCCTCTGCCAGGAGTACAAGCAGCCTGAGGTCCTCAGCAGAAGCCGAGCAGATGCCTGCACCATGCTCCTATGCAGCCTGCAAAGACCCAAGACCCAAATCAACCTCTATCTTCATGAACAACCTGGCCCCAGCTATTCCTTTCCAGCCACACTAAAAGGCAAAGACCCGGCGCTTTCGTCTTCTCCCTCTGCTTGCGCTGCCTCAGTAGGGGAACAAAGGTGTGACCCTTATTTCACTTTGGCCCATTGTCCTCTCTGACCTCCTCAAAACCTGGCAATGTGGTGAAGACTCATGCGGTTTCCTAGGAGAGAGCTAAGGAGGTATCAGAAATATAGGAAAAGTTGAAAAAGCTCTAAGTGAGGAGATTAGAACATAATAAAACCTTCCTGAGCAAAATCTACCCCAAGAGAGGAAACCAAAAGTCTTGGAGGCCCACCTGAGCAGATGACACCAGCGTCTTCACTATGGCCACAGTTATGGGAGAGCCAGCCATTGTGGGGGCAGCTCCACAAGTAGGACTCATTCCCTGAGCAGCGCACGTCATCCAGGACAATGGGTCCTGAGCCCTGACCAAACCGGGCATTTCCTGGGGCCAACATGGCCCAGCCACAGCCCAGCTGCCTGCAGACCACATTGGCATCATTGGTGTCCCAGCTGTCATCACACACGGTGCCCCAGGAGCCTCGGTATAGGACCTCCACTCGGCCCTGACACCTGTCACCTCCATTCACCAGCCTCAGGGCCAAACTGGATTCAGATCCTACAGGGGAAAACAAGAACCCTTCATCCATCCCTATCATGAGGTCAAGAATCTAAGGAATGTTCCACACTCAAGGCACGTCCTAATGGCTAAAGTCACCTGGGCAGGCAGTCACCTTTGAATATGAATAAAACCAGAGATTCAGCTTCATCAAAGTCAAAGAAGCAGTTCTGCCTGGGTTTATGAAGGCTCAAGTTTGGGGAAGCACCTGTGACCCTACTGGAGTTAACAGGAACGGAAACCCCATTCCCTAACCTGGGCACACACAGGATGGAGCTACACAGCTACAGTAGGCAGGCCAGACTCTCCCCATCTCAGGAGCTTGGTGGCAATCCTATGGTCCTGTCTGGCTTCTGAAAATTTCACAGGTATGACAAGGCCTTGGCCAGACAGGTGTGGGGACACTCACTTTCACTGACTCTTCACACCTCTGCAGCCCATGGGCTGAGGGACAGGAATGAGGTCTTAGTAGGATTAGGGAAGCTTCCAGGGCTTTTCCTTGGCACCTGGATGAGGATGTTTCCTGACCACTTGGAACAGGATTCCACGGGAGAAAAGTCACCAGCACCCTCCAGCCTCCAACATCAGACCCACAGCTGGGTCCCCAGAGACTCTACCTTCCTCCCATGCAACCCACAGGGACATGAAAAACAGAGGGGCCCACCTTGACCCTCATCCTATCATTTCAGAAAAAAACATTTGTCCAGAGGTAGAGAGTGAGCCCTAGGGAGGGGCGAGAGGATTATTTACCTACTGTCGATGCAGGTAAGGTGATGGTCGGCAACGTGTCTGTAATTGCAACAGAGACAAAGGCTAGAATTAAAGTTGATGGTGAAAATCTCCAAAAGGAAAAGTCTCCGGAGAAGGCGAGCATCATGAAAACTACCCCACTTCTGATTCCTGCCACTTTGCTCCCCATGTGTCTGCCCAAGTCTGCAGCTCAGCAAGCTCAGCAAGGGACATAAGCCTTGCTGGAGACCAGTTCGATCCCTCCTGCCTCTGAAGTGTGGGATGTCCTCTTCTCAGTCACAAAGGGTTAGCCTGTTCCATGCACTGACACATGCACTGACGGGTACATCTAACACCATTGCTGACACTCTACTAGCTCGAGCTAAAACGTTAGGGAAACCAAGGAGCTGACCAAAGGGGTATCAAGTTTCCCAGTAAGTGGAGGCACCAGAAATATTTATTATCCCTCTCCCTGCCCGAGCATGGCCTATGCCTCTTCTGGATGCACATGTAGCGCTGCAGAATCTGGGTGTTGGAAGGAGTGAGGAAGGGAGGTGTCAGGCCTGCACTGACATTGCTTGCCCATGGCGGCAGCCATGTTTAAGGCTTTAGCTGACATTGGCTTCCGAGGAGACTTTGGCAATCACTCTCAATTCTCAGGAAGGTCATATCAGCTCTGAATAGAAAAGGGTCAAAGCTATTTAAATATGAGGCCACTTCCTAAACCTCTAAGGGTTGGCCACTGGGACAGTATGAAACTGCTTCATGAAAGCTGAGATAAATGGAACAGAAGACAGAAGCCTCTTGAACCCTATGTCTGGTTCAGAAGCGCCATTCCAGGGTCTCAGTTACAGAGCAGGGGAAAATTGTATGCCATGTAGTATTCACTCAGAGAAGAACGAGGGCTCTGTGGAGTGCAGAAAGGGATAATTATACAGAAAGAGAAGGGACATCCCAAGGAAGGACACTGGGGACTCACCTGGACTGGGCGTCGACCAGGAGTGGGCAGCTGTGAGAAAGAGGAGGTCAGATCAGATGCACTATACAGAAGCTGGCAAAATCGGAACAAAGGTGGAAGGAACTAAACAGATCATGCCTTCAGTCCACCCTAGGTCCCCATCACAGAGGGAGGGCATTGCCATGCATGTCCCCACAGAGATGCTCCTTGGAGGGTGTCTGGGCAGATCCTGTCCACTATTGCCAACTCCAAGGTGATTAACCTTGTGTCTGCCCATAGTAATCAGGTTGACACAAAACCTACCCTCTCCCTTGCATGTCTTAGCAGTCCCTGAGTTAGCAAATGTGAGGAGGCCACTCCAGCCAAAGTCCTGCCTCTGATGTTCCAGTCCAGCCCACAGGCGTTCATAACAATGCTTTGCCTAGCAGACCTCATGGGGACTGCACACTCCACACCAGACCGGTGCACAGGCAAGACACTGCAGTGCTCTGGAGGGAGTTGTGGTCAAGGACTCACAGCCCCCAAATCTCAGGCCAGAGAGGGACAGACACACATCCGCACTCCTAGCCTTGTGTCTCTATTAAGACATCACCTTATTGGGCCTCAGCAGAAGACCGCGCTTCCTAGCAGGAGCCTGTGGTTCTGGGCTCCTCCCAGGGAGACAGTCCCTCCCCCATCCTCTATATGTGCTTCATCCATGTAACCCTTTGCAAAATCTTTCAGTAGGGGAAAGATGGAACCCTGGAGAGCCAGGGTGCTATACTTTAGAGGCTTGTCACATCCAAGTGTTATATTGCAACTGAATCCCCAAGTTTAGAGGTGAGGCCTGATGCACCAGGTCTGGGTCATGGAGACCAACACTGCATGAATAACTTAGTGCCCTCCCTGGTCAGGGGTGAGTTCTTCTCTTAGTTCCTAGCAAGAGCTGGTGGTTGAAGAGTCTGAGCCCTCCCTCTTGCTCTCTCTTCCTTCCTCCCTCACCTTGTGACCTCTGCCCAGGCCACCTCCCCATCCCTTTCTGCTAGGAGTACAAGCAGCCCGAGGCCCTCATCAGAAGCTGAGCAGACGCCTGCACCATGGTCCTATGCAGCCTGCAAAGCCAAGACCCAAATCAGCCTCTTTCCTCATGAACAAACCAGCCCCAGCTATTCCTTTCCAGCCACACTAAAAGGCAAAGACCTGGCACTTTCCTCTTCTCCCTCTGCTTGCGCTGCCTCGGTAGGTGAACAAAGGCGTGACCCTTATTTCACTTTGGCCCGTTGTCCTACCTGACCTCCTCAAAACCTGGCAATGAAGACTCATGCAGTTTCCTAGGAGAGAGCTAAGGAGATATCAGATATATAGGAAAGGCTGAAAAAGCTCTGAGTGAGGAGATCAGAACATAATGAGACCTCGCTTCCTGAGCAAAATCTACCCCAAGAGAGGGAGCCCAAGGTCTTGGAGGCCCACCTGAGCAGATGACACCAGCGTCTTCACTGTGCTGACAGTTATGGGAGAGCCAGCCATTGTGGGGGCAGCTCCACAGGTAGGACTCATAGCCTGAGCAGCGCACGTCATCCAGGACAATGGGTCCTGAACCCTGGCCAAACCGGGCATTTCCTGGGGCTGACGTGGCCCAGCCACAGCCCAGCTGCCGGCAGACCACATTGGCGTCACTGGTGTCCCAGCTATCATCACACACGGTGCCCCAGGAGCCTCGGTATAGGACCTCCACTCGGCCCTGACACCTGTCACCTCCATTCACCAGCCTCAGGGCCAAACTGGATTCAGGTCCTACAGGGGAACACAAGAATCCTTCATCCATCTCCATTCTGAGGTGAAGGAAAAGGCATGGACAACACTCAGGGCAATGGGAAAAGTAGTCAAGTTTGAATACAAATGCCAAAGTCACCAGGGCACGCAGTCACAATGGCAGATGGCTGCACCCAGAGGTTAAGCTTGGTCATAGTGGAAAAAGTGATGCCCTATTCTACTCAAGTCTATAAAAGCTCAAGCTATGGGTAAGCATGTATGACCCCAGAGGAGAGGACAGGAATGGACACCCCACTCCCCACTCTGGGTGAACACAGGATGGAGCTACACAGCTACAAATGACAGGCCTAGACCCCCTCCATATTCAGGAGCTTATTGGCACCTGCATGGGCCTCTCTGCCTTCTGGCAAATTGCCAGTGATGGCAAGGCCTTGGCCACACAGGTGCAGGGACCGGCACTTTCACCCGCTCTTCAGAGGTCTGGATCCCATGGCCTGAGGGCCAGGAATGAGGTCCCAGCAGCATTAAGGAGCCCTCCAGTGCTCGTCCTGAGCACCTGGATGAGGATCTTTCCTGACCACTTGGAACAGGATTCCATGGGAGACAGGTCACCAACACCCTCCGTCCTCAAACATCAGACCCAGGACTGGCTCCTCAGAGATTCCACCTTCCTCCCACGCAACCCACAGGGACATGAAAACAGAGAAGCCCACATTGAGCCTCATCCTATCAGTTTCAAACACAAAATATGTCCAGAGATAGTGAGTCCTAGGGAGGGGTGAGAGGGTTATTTACCTGCTGTTGATGCATGTGAGGTCGGCCAAGTATCTGTAAATTGCAACAAAAGGAAAAGACAGAATTAGACTTGAAGGGAAAAGGCACAGAACAAAAGGATCTCTGGGAGGAGGAATCAACGTGACAACAATTCCACTTCTTGTTCCTGCCATTTGTTTCCCATGTGTCTTCCCAGGTCTCCTGTGCTGTGAACTCATCCAGGGACAAAGGTCCTGCTGGAGACCAGACTGAGCCCTCCATTTCTGTAATCCTGGGGTATCTTTCTATCTGTTAGAGGATGCCCCCACCATGCCATCCCACATCTGCTGATGCATGGACTGACTAGGACATCAGACGCCATTGCTGAAGCTCGGACACTGCCAGGTAAAATGTTAGGGGAACCAGGGGCTGCCCAGGGGACAATCAGGAATCAGGTTTCTGGTTAAGCAGAGACATCACAAACCTTTATTATCCCTCTCCCTGCCCGAGCACAAACTCTGCCTCTTCTGGATAGAAATCTCGGAATCATAATCTCGGAATGTTTCCAGCAGTGATGGATGGGGGTATCGAGCCTGCCCTGACGATGCCTTGAACGGGTCAGAGGGTGACACCCTCAATTTTCAGAAACTATATGTGAGTCCGGAATATAAAAGGACCAAAGCTCATTAAACATGGGGCCACTTCCTGAACCTGTAAGGGTTGTCCACTGGGACAGTATGAAACTGTTTCATGAAAGCTGAGAGGGGTTGAAAAGAAGACAGAGGCCTCCTCAATCCTGTGTGTGTTTAAAAAGCGCTGTGCTGGGATCTCAGTTACACAGCCGGTGTTGGGGGTGGAAATAATATGCCCCACAGTATCCACACAGAGAAACAGGAGAGCTCTGTGGAGTGTGGAAGGGGTGATTGGGCAGAAAGAGAAGGGACATTTTGAGGAAGGACACTGGGGACCTACCTGGGCTGGGTGTCGGCCGGGACTGGGGAGCTGTGAGAAAGAGAAGAGAAGGTCAGATCAGGAACATTACACAGAAGTCGGCAAAACTGGAACGAGGAGGGAAAGAAATGAGCGAGTCTGACACTCAGTCCATCCTAGTTCCTATCACACAGGGAGGGACATTGCCATGCACATCCCCACAGAGATGCACCGTGTAAGGGGTCGAGGCAGATCCTGTCCACTATTGCCAGCTCTGAGGTGATCAAATTGTGTCTGCCCAGGGTAACCCGGTTGACCTAAACCAACCCACTCCCTTGCACATCTTAGGTGTTCCTGAGTCAGCAAGGCTGAGGAAGCCACTCCAGCCAAAATCCCTTGTGCGATCTTCAAGCCCCAATCACAGGCAATGACAAGGCCATGTCTGGCTGGCCTCATGGGGACTGCCCTCCCCTCACCAGACCTAGAACACAGGCAATGCTCAGCAGCGTTCTGAGAAGAGCTGAGGTCAAGAACTCCAACCCCACGCAACCCAGGCCTGATACAAACAGACACCCATTTGCACTCCTAACCCTTGAGCCTCTATTTCCAGACCTCCTCACTGGGTCTCAGCTGAGAACCCACTTTTAGCCAAGCATCTTTAGTTCAGAGTTCCTCGCAGTGAGGGGATCCCTCCCCTGCCTTGCTGTCTGTGCTGCATCCATTATACCCTCACACCGTGCTACTCAGCAGGGGAGAAATGGAGCCCTGGGGAGCCGGCACTTTTCTCTTCTGCCTCTTCCTTGCCTTGCCTCAGGAAGGGGAAAAACTCTGGGTTGTTTTAGTTTGATCCCCTGTCCTAAGTGACCACAGGAACACTAGGCAGTGAGTACATATGGATTCTTAGCAGAGAGCTGACAAGTCTTCAGAAACATAGAAAACATAGAAGCTTTGAGTGAGGAGATCAGAATGTAATTAGGAGTTTCTTTTGGAGCAAACTCCACCCCAAGAGAGTGAGCCCAAGTTCTTGAAGGCCCACCTGAGCAGATGACACCAGCGTCTTCACTATGGCCACAGTTGTGGGTGAGCCAGCCATTGTGGGGGCAGCTCCACAGGTAGGACTCATGTCCTGAGCAGCGCACATCATCCAGGACAATGGGTCCTGAGCCCTGGCCAAACTGGGCATTTCCTGGGGCTGACATGGCCCAGCCACAGCCCAGCTGCCTGCAGACCACATTGGCATCATTGGTGTCCCAGTAGTCATCACACACGGTGCCCCAGGAGCCTCGGTATAGGACCTCCACTCGGCCTCGACACCTGTCGCCTCCATTCACCAGCCTCAGGGCCAAACTGGATTCAGATCCTACAGGGGAACACAAGAACCCTTCATCCATCCCTATCATGAGGTCAAGAATCTAAGGTAAGTTCCACACTCAGGGTACTTCCTAATGAACTAAGTCACCTAGGCAGGCAGTCACCTTTGCATATGACCACAGACTAGGCTTCATCACCGTGAAAGTAGCACTGATAACCTACTCTGCCCAGGTCTATGGATGCTCAACTTTTGGGGAAGCACCTGTGACCCCAGTGGATGTGATGGGAATGGATGCCCCACTCCCCAGTTGGGTACACAGAGGATGGAGCTGCTCAGCTCCAGATGGCAGGCCCAGACCCCTCCCTTATTCAGGAGCATGGTCCTATCTGGGATCTGACTGGCAGAGTACCAGAGATGGCAGGGATGAGGTCCCCATAGGATTAGGGAGACCCCCAGGGCTTGTTCTGAGCCCATAGATAAGGATCTTTTCTGACCACTTGGAACAGGATCCCACAGGAGACAGGTCACCAGCACCCTCCACCCTCCAATATCACATCTAATTCTGGGTTTTCAGAGACTCCAGCTTCCTCCCTACCCAACCCACAGAAACATGAAAAAGCAAGGGGCCCACCTTGAGCCTCATCCTATCATGAGCCTAATGATTCCTAATGATCTTCTGGGAGGTCCTGCTCTTGTTCCCAGTGCCGAGCTGACTCTTGAGCCAACTGTTTATCACCTGCTGCCACCCTCCCACGCTTAGCCCACTTCCCCACCTCTCTTTATGGCAATCATAAGTGAACTATGAAATCCAAAGTGTATCCAGAGGTAGAAAGTGAGCCCCAGGGAGTGTTGAGAGGATTCTTTACCTTCTGTGGGTACAGGTGGTGATATCCTGACAGGCCAACTTTCTGTAAACAGCAACAAAGAGAAAGGATACAATTGGACTTGAAGGGAAAAAGGTAAAAAACAAGCGGTTCTCTGGACCAGGCAAGCACTGTGAAAACAATTCCACTCGAAGGTCTGGCCACTTGCTCCCCATGTGTCTGCCCAGGTCTCCTGCCCAGGGAACTCATTCAGGGACAAAGGACACCATGCAGGCCCTTCCACCTCTCTCTGAGAGAGGGATGACCTATTCGCAGTTAGGAAACCTTCACCACCCCCATCCCCCACCATCCACTGACGCGTGGACTGACTGGCTCATCTGACACCACTGCCAAGACTTGACACTTGCAGCTAAAATGTTCGGGATACTAGGGGTCCGCCCTGGGGGAAATCAGGTTTCCTGGTAAGTGAAGGCACCAGAAACATTTCTTAGCCTCTCTCTCCCCTCAGCATGGCCTCTGCCTCTTCTGAATGCAGACGTGGCCCTGCAGAATCTGGGGGTTTTTCAAGTAGTGAGAGATGGGGGTATCAAGCCTGTACTGACCTTGCCTTCAACAGAACATTAGAGGGTCTCACCCTCAATTCTCAGAAAGGTTGTGTCAGCCCTGAATATAAAGAGGCCAAAGCTCATTAAACAGCAGGCTTCTTTCTGAACTTCTAAGAGTTGTTCATTGGGACAGCATGGAACTGTGTGATGAAAGCTGAGATGGACTGAAGAGAAGGCAGAAGCTAAATCCCATGTGTGGTTAAGAAGCCCCATGCTAGGGTCTCAGTTACAGAGTTGGGGGTGAAATAATATGCCCCAGAGTATCTGCAGAGAAGCAGGAGGGCTCTGTGGAGTAGGGAAGGGGTAACTGAGCAGAAAGAGAAGGGGTATCCCGAGGAAGGATTCTGGGGACTCACCTGGCCTGAGTGTTGACTGAGGCTGGGCAGCTGTGAGAAAAAAATAGCAACATTAGACACCAAACACTCAGTGACTCCAAGTAGAGTTAAGGCTGAAGTGACTTGGGGTATCTACACCCTGAGCTGATGCCCATCACACGCCCACCAAGTGGGCCCTGCCAGTGCCCACCGTGAAGCCCTCGGTCCCTCAGGGACCCCACAGCCCCTGGCATTGCCTTCTCTGTGCCTGTGGCTCACTCTCCAGGGATATGAAGGTCACTTCGGTGCCTGGGACCGGCCACAACAACCTCGGTATCAACACCCAGGGAGCAGCAAACAGCCACCCTAAGCAATGAGTAGATGAAGACCCTAACTCTCCACGCTTGAGCTGCGATGAGTCTGAGGTTTGACGTGGATTCCTGGTGATACTCTAGGAGGTCCCCCTGCTCCCTATGCTGAGCTCACTCGTGAGCCCACCATTTGCGACTCACTGCCATCCTCCCACCCTTACCCCACTTCCATGCCTCTCTTCACAGCAATCATAAGTGAACTATTTACAATTGCATCCTTCCCTCTGGGTCAGCGGCTGACAACACTCAAGGTAATACAGTGTTCAAGGGGAGGGAAGGCTTCACCAACCAGATCCCCAAAACGTGCTGTCCCTGAGAAGGAGCCTCGGGGAAAATGGGGGTATGAGTTATGCGGATGTTCCTGGAGCAGAATAAAAAGCTCATCATTTCTGATGTCAGCATGCTGGACCCTGTGTCTGAACACTGGTGCCTCAGTCACCTCCAAACCAATGTTGCGGCACTGCTCGCAGCTTGGGGATTTGTGCTGACCGTGGCATTGTACCCACAGGCCAACTGCCCCAACTAAACTCCAGAGCCACCAGATAACCAGGAAAGACTTGGGCGGGGGCCCTGGAGTGAGAAACCTGTTACTATATTCTCTGAATACAGTCTGTCCCCAGAATGGGCCCAAGTGATTTTCTTTTTTTAATAGAGATGGGGTTTGCCATCTTGCCTAGAGCTGGTCTTGAACGCCTGAGCTCAAGCAATCTGCCTACCTCATCCTCCCAAAGTGTGGGGATTAAAGGCATGAGCCACCACACCCAACCCTCCAGAGATCTGGATGCCTACCTGAGCAGATAACACCAGCATCTTCACCATGGCCACAGTTATGGGAGAGCCAGCCATTGTGGGGGCAGCTCCACAGGTAGGATTCGTGTCCTGAGCAGCGCACATCATCCAGGGCAATGGGTCCTGAGCCCTGGCCAAACCAGGCATTTCCTGGAGCTGACATGGCCCAGCCACAACCCAGCTGCCTACAGACCACGTTGGCATCATTGGTGTCCCAGCTGTCATCACACACGGTGCCCCAGGAGCCTCGGTATAGGATCTCCACTCGGCCCTGACACCTGCCATCTCCATTCACCAGCCTCAGGGCCAAACCAGAATCAGATCCTAGAGGAAGGCACAGAATTTCTCTTGCACATTCCTACTGAGGCACAAGGTCTCAGGGCCTGCAGGGCATTCAGGGTCTTCCCCATAGGCAGATATCTTTGAGAGAATCTCTAATTGGGCTGGGCTTTAACAGGCCTTAAGGTTAGAGTTCTTCATGGGGAAGAGGACAGTGACTGCTTGGCCCAAACCCAAGCCTTAGAGCTTCAGCTGGAGCAGAATAAAAGGCTCCTCCTGATCTGCATCCTGGAGGGGACCTAGAGATACACATGACCCTTCTCTAAGCAGACCATGGGCTCTGCCTGATTCCCTCAGACAGGGGACACACAACACCCCACACTGAAGAGCAGCACGATAACATCAAGATGTCCCGGGAGGAGCTCTGATGTGTATCTGCAGCTCTAAGGTTGGTTTGGAGCACATTTGTCACGTGATATTCCTGGCCTTATAGCCTTCCTCAGGGCCAGGATTGTTAGGGTCAGCACAGAGCTGTGGAGATGGGGGAGCTGGGCTGTCACTCTGGACTGGAGACTGATCCCACTGGTCTCTGCTTCCAAAGCACACAGGCTCTTGGAGACACCATATTCTGACTGATTTCTCCCTACCTCCAGGAACATGGGCAATGAAGGAAGCTTCACTCTAGCTGACCTCTGGGATCCAGAAGGTCACTGTGTACTCACAACATTCCCTCCCATCCCATTCCCTAAAATTTTTCCTGAGTAACAGTAAAGCCCATGGATATAGTTGGCAACATGACCTACAGAAAGGGATTCAAAGTTACTCATTACCTGTCACAACAGTAGACTCAGTATTTGTAGTGGTAGTCTCTGCTTTTGCCAATTGTAGAAGATGAAAAACAAACCCCACCACACCCCCCCAAAAAAAACCAGAAAATATAAAGTTAGGTCTCCTCTGAAGACACTCATGGGCTGAAAGTAAACTAGGATCTGCTGAGGAGCCATCACTCCTGATCTGGATATTGTCTTGCTGTGTAAATTTGGGAAAGTCAAGAAACCTGTCTAGCATTGAGTTCTTTGATTCTAAAGGGCTGCTTGGGGAGGAAATATTTCTGTACCAACATACTCACTCTGATTCCGATGTGCCTACATGTAACCTATACAGAACTCCAGAAGAGGGATGCAAAAATAACTTTTCCCATGCTTAGGCCTCTAATTGATTTCTCTTCTCTCATTGCATTGGCTACTACCTCCAGTACAACATTGAACAGCAGTGGAGATGGAGGGCATACTTGCCTTGTTTTTCACATTAGCAGAAATGCTTCTAATATTCCCCTTTAAGTAAGGTACTGGCTTGGAATCTCCGTTTTTGAATTGCTCCAGAGCCCTGGAATTTGTCCAGGGCACCTACAGGAGCTGACTGAGTGCTGGGGCTTGGAGAGGAAGTGATCTGAGAGTTACCCTTAACCCACTGCAGCCACAGCACTCAGCTTCTGTCTGAGCTCTCCACTGGGCTGCTACGTGAGGTCTCCAGATCTAGAAGAAATGTGACTCCCAGCTGACACTAGAGTTCCTGATAAGAGCAACTCCAGGTAAGTCCTATCTGCAGTCCTGTGTGACAGGCAGATCAGCCAAATACCTCTGCCCCCTCACTCCCATCCCTGGCTGGACCAGTTATACCAAAGGGCTTGTCCCACCAAGGTGTGGTCCTTAACATGTAACAGGGACCTCAGGGGAAACCACTCAAGAGGAAGGAACAGATTCTCCTCTTATAGCTGCTGCAAATAAGAAAATGTGGGAATCTTGCGAAGGGACATGGCTAAGTCAGAATAAAGCCAGTCTCACCCTCACTTCAAGTGTCTTCTGTGTCCTTCATCATAGGAAAGAGGAAGAGGTTAAGTCAGACCTCACCCCATGGGCCAGAGGGAGAAGGGAGAAGAAAGAAGACGACCTGAGGAACAGGAGGGCCCGATGCATGTACCATCAGCATTCCCAACTGCATGCCAACCCTGGGCAGCGCAGAGGCCTTGGTGAGAATGTTGTCCTTGAGCTTCTCCTAGGGCCAAGATTTCCCATGGGAAATGGGAAGTGACTTCCCTTCCCAAAGCCCAGGCTGCCAGAATCCCAGGATGTATTGACTATGTCTCCCAGATTTCTCACTGGAGATACCCAAGGGGGAAGTACATGAGCTCTGATGCCCATGAGCTGAAGGATTGTGATTTCTCTCTGTTAAGAAGAAACAAGGGTGGCATAATATAGGCTTAAAGAAAGGGCAAGGGCAAGGATGCTGTCCTAGCAATTTGGCTACGTTAGCAGGTAGGCACCTGACCCTCAAGGCCCTGTAGCCAGAGATCCAGAACCCTAGGCTGGCCACGGATGAGCACAGCTGGGTGAGGAACACAGGAGTGAGCAACAAGCAAAGATAACAGAATCTCTAGAGACAGAATAAAAGGCTCCACTGAGAACTCCTTGGAGACGCGTCTTCAAGTTGATTCCTCCTCAGTCTCAGACATGATCGATGCAAGATATACCTGTTCAGACCTGAGGCCTTTTGTGGAAGGGCCCCTCGTGGGAGCTAAGCACCCTACTTTCTATGCCCTCTGCACCTCATCTGAATCAGAGATTAACCTAGGGGTGCAGGGGGGTAATGAGCCTACAGGGATCCCCCATAGTAGACGTTACCTTCTGCTACAGTTGACTCCAGGGTTGACTCTGAGGGAATCAGAGAACCTGCAGGGTGGAGAAAGGAAGAGCTCATTGATCGTAGCCCTCGCTTGGGGAGGGTTGGTCCAGGGCTTGCTCAGCTCTGAAGCAAGGGCTGGAAGCACAGGTCCTAAGGGCACCATCCATTGCTAAAAGCCAACCATGTGCCAATCGCTTTGTCATTGTACTGGCCCCAGACTGGGCTAGGATGCCACATGAGCATCCTTTACTCTTATTACCCTACCCCCATGTCCTCTGCTGCCACAGCCTCTATTCAAAAAGTCACCCAGTCCATTCACAACCCCATGCTAGTCACAAGATTGAATGTCAAAAGACATCTGGCGGTTTCTATGGCTCAAACACACCCTTAAATGACAAATATTCACCATCACTGAAATATTTCTGAGAAGGTGGTTCAACCAGAAAAAAAGGTGGTTTCGAAAGAAAACCAACCTTTCCAGAATGCAAAACTAAACCACTCACAAAGTGGCTGCATGGAGGACGATGCCCCCTTGGGGAGCCCAGTCCCACTTGGTGGTTGGATTACCAAGGACACACCCCAGGCATGGTGGCATGGGCTCAGTCCAGCCCACACTCCAAATGACAGAGTTGCTCTTGAAGTAGACAGTTTAACCAGAAACTCGTCTTTGGGGATCACGCCATGGGACAGTGTCCTTGTAGGTTTCTTTGTGAATTAAAAAAACCTCTTGGTGTCTGCACACATCCTGGCACTATGTGAACAAAGGAAATCAGCACTGGGACTTGCTGGGTTAGGTCCAGGAGAAGTTCTCTTTTCCATTGAGCATGTTAAGTATCTTTTATTTGTCACTTAATTTCCAGTAAAGAGAATGCCTGGGTTCCCTCCTCAATTTGATGTTGATATACATTTATGTCTTAAGTCCCAAGAGTTCTCCCACTCTCCTCAAATTTTAAAAAGGGAGAAACTGCCACTTAGGAAGATATATATTTGGTATCCCAGGCCAGGTCGTGATGCTGCTAAAGTGATTGCATCAGCAGGCTCTGAGGGGCTGAGACTGAAGCCTACCTCCACCACATCCAACTTCAGGATATGTAGATGATCCCTTGGCCTTCATTGTCTATGAAAAGGGGTGGTACCACTCACACTCCAACATCAATGAAGACATCACTTACAGCAAAGCAAGTAAACTACAGAGCACACACACGTGTACAAACGTGCTCGTGTGTGGTGATATGGACTCAGAGTTGCACATACACAGCACAAGGTGATATCCACACTACCTGAGCACCTGACGCCAGCACACTACTTTCTATGTCCTCTACACCTCATCTGGGTCAGAGATGAATCTAGGAGTACAGAGGGGTAATGAGCCCATAGAGCTCCCCCATAGTAGACGTTACCTTCTGCTACGGTTGACTCCAGGGTTGACTCCAAGGAAATCGGAGAACCTGCAGGGTGGAGAAAGGAAGAGCTCATTGATGGTAGCCCTTGCTTGAAGAGGGTTGGTCCATGGCTTCCTCAGGTCTGAAGCAAGGGCTGGAAACACAGGTCCTAAAGGCAACCTCCATTGCTAAAAGCCAACCATGTGCCAATCACTCTGTCACTGTACTGGTCCCACGCTGGGCCAAGGTGCCGCACAAGCATCCTTTGTTCTCCTTACCCTCCCCCAACCTCTTCTGCTGCCACAGCCTCTATTCAACAAGTCACACAGTCTATTCACAGCCCCATCCTAGTCACAAGAATGGACGTCAAATGACATCTGGCTGTTTCTATAGCTCAAACACACCCTCAAATGACAAATATTCACCATCACTGAAATATTCCTGAGAAGGTGGTACAACAAGAAAGATGGTTTCCAAAGAAAACCAACCATTTCAGAATGCAAAACTAAACCACTCAAAAAGGTGGCTGCATGGAGGACGATGCCCCCTTGGGGAGCCCAGTTCCACTTGGTGATTGGGTTATCAAGGGCACACCCCAGGCATGGTAGCCTGGGTTCAGTCCAGCCCAAACACTGAATGCCAGAGTTGCTCTAGAAGTAGACAGTTTCACCAGAAACTCCTCTTTGGGGAGCACACCATGGGACAGTGTCCTTGCAGGTTTCTTCATGAATTAAAGAAATCTCTTGGTGTCTGCACACATCCTGGCACTATGTGAACAAAGGAAATCAGCACAGGGATTTGCTGGGTTGGGTCCAGGAGAAGTTCTCTTTTCCATTGAGGATGTTAAGTATCTTATTTGTCATTTAATTCCCAGTAAAGAGAATGCCTTGGTTCGCTCCTCAATTTGATGTTGGGATACCTTTATGTCTTAAGAACCAGCAGTTCCCCCATCCTCCAAAGCCTTTAAAAAAGGAAAAACTGCCACTTAGGAAGATAAATATTTGGCACCCCAGGACAGGGGTTGTCGTGATGCTGCTCATCAGAACCAGTCCACAAGGTGATTCCATCAGCAGATTCTGAGGGGCTGAGACTGAAGCCTGCCTCCACCACGTCCAGCTTCAGAAGGACAGGAAGATAACCGCTTGACCTTCATTGTCTATGAAAAGGGGCAGTACTACTTACCCTCCAAACACCAATTCAGACATCACTTACAGCAAAGCAAGTAAAATGCAGAGCACACACACGTGTACAAACACGTGCTCATGTGTGGTGATATTGACTCTGAGTTGCACATACACAGAGCAAGGTGATATCCACACTACCTGAGAACATGACACCAGCACCCTACCTTCTATGCCCTCTGCACCTCGTCTGAATCAGAGATGAACCTAGGGGTGCAGTGGGGTAATGAGCCCACAGGGATCCCCCATAGTAGACGTTACCTTCTGCTACAGTTGACTCCAGGGTCGACTCCGAGGGAAATGGAGAACCTGCAGGGTGGAGAAAGGAAGAGCTCATTGATGGTAGCCCTTGTTTGGGGAGGGTTGGTCCATGGCTTCGTCAGCTCTGAAGCAAGGGCTGGAAACACAGATCCTAAGGGCAACCTCCATTGCTAAAAGCCAACCATGTGCCAATCACTGTGTTACCGTACTGGCTCCAGGCTGGGCTAAGATGCCGCACAAGCATCCTTTGCTCTACTTACCCTCCCCCAACCTCTTCTGCTGCCACAGCCTCTATTCAACAAGTCACACAGTCTATTCACAGCCCCATCCTAGTCACAAGATTGAATGTCAAAAGATATCTGGCTGTTTCTATAGCTAAAACACACCCTCAAATGACAAATATTCACCATCACTGAAATATTCCCGAGAAGGTGGTTCAACAAGAAAGAAAGATGGTTTTGAAAGAAAACCAACCATTCCAGAATGCAAAACTAAACCATCACAAAGTGGCTGCATGGAGGACCATGCCCCCTTGGGGAGCCCAGTCTCACTTGGTAGTTGGATTATCAAGGGCACACCCCAGGCATTGTAGCCTGGGTTCAGTCAGCCCAAACACTGAATGCCAGAGTTGCTAGAAGTATGGCTTCTGCATCTCTTCTGGATCAGAGATGAACCTAGGGGTGCAGTGGGGTAATGAGCCCACAGGGTTCCCCCATAATAGACCTTACCTTCTGCTACAGTTGGATCCAAGGGCACCTCCGAGGGAATCAGTGAAGCTGCGAGGTGGAAAAGGAAGAGCTCATTGATGGTAGCCCTTGCTTGGGGAGGGCTGGTCCCTGGCTTCCTCAGCTCTCAAGCAAGAACTGGAAGCCAGGGCCTAAGGGCACCCTCCATTGCTAAAAGCCAACTATGTGCCAATCGCTCCATCACTGAAATGGCCCCAGGCTGGGCTAGGATGCCACACCAGCATCCTTTGCTCCTGTTACCCTCCCCACACCTCCTCTGCTGCCACGACCTGTATTCAAAAAATCACCAAGTCCACTCATAGCCCCATCCTAGTCACAAGATCCAATGTCAATGACAACTGGCTGTATCTATAGCTAAAACACACCCTCAAATGACAAACATTCACCATCACTGATATACTCCTGATAAGATGGTTCAACTAGAAAGAAAGGTGGTTTCGAAAGAATACCAACCTTTTCAGAATGCCGAAATAAATCACTCACAAAGTGGCTGCATGGAGGACCATGTCCCCTTGGGGAGTCCAGTCCCACTTGCTGGTTGGATTATCAAGGGTACATCCCATGCATGGTGGCATGGGCTCAGTCCAGTCCATACGGCAAATGCCAGAGTTGCTCTAGAAGTGAACATTCTAACCACAAACTCCTCTTTGGGGAACACGCCATGGGACAGTGTCCTTGAAGGTTTCTTTGGGAACTAAAGGACCCCTTGGTGTCCACACACTTCCTGGCACTACGCAAACAAAGGAAATCAACACTGGGATTTGCTGGGTTGGGTCCAGGAGAAGTTCTCTTTTCCATTGAGGATATTAAGTAGCTTTTATTTGTCATTTAATTCCAAATAAAGAGAATGCTTTGGTTCACTCCTCAATTTGATGTTGGTATACATTTATGTTTTAAGGACCAGCAGTTCCTCCATCCTCGTCAGCTTTTAAAGGAGGAGAAACTGCCACTTAGGAAGATATATATTTGGTATCCCAGGCCGGGGGTGGTCGTGATGCTGCTCATCAAAACCACTCCATGAGGTGATTGCATCAGCAGGCTCTGGGGGGTGAGACTGAAGCCTGCCTCCACTATATCCAGCTTTAGAAGGACTGGCCGATGATCCCTTGACCTTCATTGTCTATGAAAAGGGCCAGTACCACCTGCCCTCCAATATCAATTAAGACATGACTTACTGCAAAGCAGGTAAGCTGTAGAGCACACACATATGTACGCACACATACTTATGTGTGGTAATATTGACTCAGAGTTGCAGATACACAGAGCAAGGTGATATCCACACTACCTGAGCACATGACACCAGCATCTTCCCTGTGGCCACATTCGTGGTTGTACCATCCGCTGTGGGGACAGCTTGACAGGTAGGACTCCCTTCCCAAGCAATGCAAGTCACCCAAGGGAATGTTACCCAAGCCCTGACCAAAGTGGGCCCCGCCCAGGGCTGACATGGAATAGCCACAGCCGAGCTGCCTGCAGACAACATCTGCATCCTGGGCGTCCCAGCTGTCATCACACATAGTGCCCCATTAGCCTTGGTACAGGACCTCCACCCGGCCCTGACACCGGTCACCTCCATTCACCAGCCTCAGAGGCAGACCTGCAGTGACACAGCCAGAAGCTTTTATCTTGGTGCTCTCGGCCCCCTTGACTTGCATCCCTACCCTCCTCACTCCTCCTTCTTCCTCTCACCACCCTGCTTATTTACAATCTTTCTCCCAGCAGGATCTTAAGTATCCTTGTTCTTCCATGTTCTCTCTTTGCCCTCTTCTCATTCTGTATTTTCCCCCTGGAGAACCTCATGTACTCTGAGAACTTTCCAGAAGACCCCCAAATCCACCTCTCTGGTTCTGACTCAGCCCTGACAGCCCAGCCCTGAGCTCTAGACCAGCATTTTCAGTGGCCTCCTGGCCATCCTACCCCCCACATCATCCCAAACTCAACACAGCCTCTTCCCTCCGTTTGAATTAAGGATGTCATCATGCTCCATATTAACCATGCTGGGAATAAGGGCATCATATTCGACTCCTCCTTCTCCTCACATCCTACATCTAACATCACCAAGGTCATTCCTTCCGTGTCGTTCCCACTGCCATTTCACTGGGATAAGCCTTCATCCCCTTGAACCTGGCCTCCTCCCAGCTGAATCCTCAGTGTCTGCTCTTCCTTTCTCTAGTCCATCCACATTCATTGATTCAATCAGCATCGATGGAGTGCTTACTCTGCACCCATTTCTATACTAAGAGGATTCACTGGTCTCCAGGTGGTTTTCAAGTTTTATCTTTAGAAAGTACAAATATATTCAATTCAATTCCTTGCTCAAAATGCTTCAGTACACTCTCCAGTCCCATCAGGATCAAGTCCAAGAGCAAGCCTCGACCTACTTTTCCAGCCTCCTCTCCTGGGAGGGGCTAATTGAGCCTGCTTCCCACCATGGAGCTGGCCATGCTGGGAAGTCAATAAGCACCATGTTCCTGCCCGACGTGATGCCACTAGACCACCCACTGGGGTAAGCTGTATTGATGGTGTGAGGAAAATAGGTACAGGTCCTGAGGGGTGCAGCCCACCGTCCTGACAGTAGGAGCCAGATCCTGGGTGTGGCTTTTCAATGGTGAGTTTGAGATTATGAGAAACTTGTG
Source organism: Homo sapiens (assembly GCF_000001405.40). Classification (NCBI taxonomy): domain Eukaryota; kingdom Metazoa; phylum Chordata; class Mammalia; order Primates; family Hominidae; genus Homo; species Homo sapiens. The sequence goes on along the minus strand of NC_000010.11, from coordinate 122,567,555 downwards.
GTCACAGAGTGAGAGGCTGGAATGGGATGCAAAGGGAGGGGGCAGGTTGCTTTTCCTCCCAGAGGGAGGAAAGGCCAGCTGGACCATCTTCAGGGTATCCCCAAAGTACATTCTGGACTTCCCATGCTCTGTCCTTCCCCAGTCTCAGGGACATAATCCATGGAGATGCCTGTTCAGACCTGAGGCCTTATTCGGAAGGGCCCCTCTTACGAGCAAAACACCCTACCTTCTATGCCATCTGCAACTCTTCTGGATCAGAGATGAACCTAGAGGTGCAGCAGGGCAATGCGCCCCCTCCTGGTCACCCTGTGAATGGTCCCTCCAGGAGAGTGCTCGGTCTCCCTGCCTCAGCCTCTCCCTTGCTCTGTGTTGGTCAGAAATCTGCCTTTCCCAGGCCATTTCTGGATCTCTCAAGTCATGTCCTGGAAGGGGAGGGACTGACCTCAACAAGGCCAAGGGCCCAGGAGCAGAGTCATCCTAAGTGAACACATGGAAGGCCCTGAAAAATTAAACTTGGGCACAAAGTTCTCTGCACATTCTCACTGGAGAGGCAGGGACATTTAGCCAAAGTCAAAGACCAGGGCAGGGGTAAGAGGAGGCACCCATCCTAGCCTCAAATCTCTGCCCTGCTACTCACCAGACACATGATCTTAGACATAGAAATATTGACAAATTAGCTAACTGTGCCCTGGTTTTCCCATCTGCAAAATGGGTATAATCGTATTACTTACCTCAAAGTGTTCTTGGAAAGATTTCATGATAATAGCACTCACTATGTGCATTAGTTGAGCACTTATTAGGTGCCAGGTGGTATTTTAAGTATTTTTTAAAAATATATCAATTCATTTCATACATGAAAATCATTTTATGCAGGGTATATAACAAGTGCTTGGTAGATGTTAGTTATCTTCAAGATACCTGTCATTATTAGTGAAAAGAAAAGGTAGGCCGGGCGCAGTGGCTCATGCCTGTAACCCCAGCACTTTGGGAGGCCGAGGTGGGTGGATCACGAGGTCAAGAGATCAAGACCATCCTGGCCAACATGGTGAAACCCCATCTCTACTAAAAATACAAAAATTAGCTGGGCGTGGTGGTGCGCACCTGTAGTCCCAGCTACTCTGGAGGCTGAGACAGGAGAATTGCTTGAACCCAGGAGGCGGAGGTTGCAGTGAGCTGAGATTGCACCACTGCACTCCAGTCTGGTGACAGAGCAAGACTCCATCTCAAAAAGAAAAAAGAAAAAGAAAAAAAAAGAAAAGGTACTGACCTTTATTTTCAACTATCTCTCCTCACACCAAACTGAAACTAACCTCATCTGATAAATGACTGAGAGTCAGAGAGCAAGAGGAAGGAGAATGACAGCTGGGATTGGCCGAGTGTGCACTTGAGACATGCCCCAGGTCTTGGCACGCACGTCTCCTGTCCCCCCGGCATTCCTGCATTCGACAAGGCAGGCGTTTGCTCTGTGACCTCAGCTGTGCTCAGCCTCAACTAGCCAACAGTAGCAGAGGAGAACTGGCCAACCCCACCAGGGAAGAGGAGTGAAGAAAAGGTCTTACCGTAGTCTGTAGTCCTTGGGATCCACCCACCTGGAAAGAACACAAATTCGTCTTAGAAACACTGTTTAGAAATGATTTCCTACAAGTCACAGAAATTGGCTTTAGCTTCACCGTACAATCACACCAGAGGGCGCTGTGGCTCAATCTTGGGTTTGTGTGTCCCCGACGTTCTTGCTAAATGAATTCTGCAATAGCGGATTAAAGCAAGTGGATTGGATATGAGGAGCTCAATCATTTTAGATGTAATGAAGCATATGTCTCTTTACTAGGCCCCTAACACTACAGCTTATGGTGACAGGATGTAATCTATGCTTGGAAAGAAGGGCTGGACAAGAGAAGACAGCTTAAGCTCGTTGTCCAGTCTGAAATTTGAGTATAGCTGGCATTGACAACAGCCACTCAGATGACCCCTAAAGAAGAAAATATGTTAATGTCAGATATTCTGTTCCTTCTGACTCATAACCTGAAAACATTTTATTCCATCTTGAAGCAAATGGAAATCTAGAGATCCCTGGATCTTTATATTCAGTGAGGCCAGACAAGGTCCATCGGACTCAACTGTAGCTTTTGAGTTTCTTTTTGAGCAGTTCTAACTATACTCGTGAGTGTTGATATTTAACAACTTTTATATATTTTAGAGGTCTTTCAAAGATCAGAGAGAGTATTTATTCATTTAAAAAAAAGGATAAAACTCATCCTATCTTGTAATCACCATATGGATCCATTAGATCCTTTTATAAATCCAAGATTCATTATTGGCTTCTGATTTTATTTTTCCTATGTCTTGAAGCATTTCACTATTTCATCATCCAAGAAAGTATTGCATCATTATTCATCAATTATTAAATAGTAAGAAAATGATAGAATGGTGAAGTTGCCTAGAAGGAAGATGAACTAGTGAAATAAGTCATAATTCTTCCATGCCCAAAGTATTGTATTATCTTTCAAGAAGATTTTTTTTAAGATTGGAGACACTTTCTTCATAGTCTGTTTTTAGCTTTCATTGAATGCAGTTAAAAATTCAAATTTTTTCATTTTCTACTTGTGATGGCAAAGAGAAGAAAACTGACAAGGGAAGATGTTTCTGCAATAATTAGATGAACCAGAAGAGGAATATAGAGACAAGATATAGCACTCCAGATACTAATAATGGTAGAATTGATTGTACAACAGAAATCTCAGACTATGAGTCTTCAGATGATGATATCCTAGATGAATTTCTCAAATTCAAGAATCCAGGGTCAATGATACAATTCTAAGGACAAAAATAAAATACAGTACTCTTACACACTTCGATAGGGATTTCATCACATGATATTTTGCAACAAGAACTTCAACCATCTTATTTTGCTAAAAAAAAAAAATACATGTGATGGTATTCTTTTGTCTTTTATGATGTTTATATACCAAAATGTATGTGATACAAAAAGGTCTGCTATGTTTAAATTCTTATTAACAATTCCAGCATACTTTCTTTCATTATTCCTTTTCTTTTTACTTCCTGGTAAAAGGAGGATTAAGGCATTTGACAAAATTATCAGATTATTATTTTATTTTTAGAGATAGAGTCTTGCTCTATTGCCCAGGCTAGATTCAAATTCCTGGGTTCAAGCGAGCCTCCTGCCTCCAGCCCTAGAGTAGCTGGAACTACAGGCATGTGTCACCATGCCCGGCTCTTCAGATTCTTTGTAAATGTGGGTCCTGAGAGCAGTGACAGTCACAGTTCAGAGATTTGAATTTCTCTAATGGAACCAACAGGCCAGTGACAGGACTTGCCGTATGTCAGAGAACATCTTCACCTGCCTCAACAGCCTGAATATGAGCTCCATGATGGGCTCCCCCAGCTGCCCTGCTTCATATTGATGGCTTAGGAAGGGGGCCACTGAAACCATGTGGCTATGCATCCCTGAAAATGAAGAAGAAACTCGCAATAGAAACCACAACATTCTTTCAACAGAGATAGCAAACTAGGGAACTCTGTACCAGAACATCCCCACCTCTTTTCTGACATGCCATCCCTGCTCCCACACTCAAGAACGAGCTGATAGATGTGCCTAAGAGAGCCTTCCATTCAAAACTCGGCCATTTAAACACAGTCTACCTGACACCATGCAATTCCCACTGCCAGGTCCCAGGTATCCTGCCTAATCCCATGGCAGTCGAACTCATCCAGCCAGAGCCTTGACAAGGCTCATCCACAGCATGGAACACCACATTGAAGTTGTTCCTGGTTCTGCTGTGTCCACACATTTTGAATAGACCCTTCTGCACATACTGAGACCAATCTGTAGTCTTCCAAGAATCAACCACATAGCTGTAGGTTACTCCAGCTGCCATTGTGGGAATGGTGGTAAATTGCCTGAAGGGAGAAGAATCACTTCTGGAAAATGATTTATTAATTTTTTTTTTTGAGACAGAGTCTCACTCTGTCACCCAGGCTGGAGTGCAGTGGCACAATCTCGGCTCACGGCAACCTCTGCCTCCTGAGTTCAAGTGATTCTCATGCTAACAAACACTGGTACCTTCCTACTAAGTTTACTCCAGGCTTTATCTGGATTTCACCAGTTTTTCATTTTCTGTTGCAGGATCCAATCCAAGAGCTCACATTACTTTTAGGAAGCTGCTTTTGGATAAAACATGAGGAAAATGTCTAGAGTAGTAACACTAAATGGTTCTGAGGCTCTGTCTATGTGCCAGATACTGCATGGGTTGGAACATAACCTCCATTTATAAATGAGTAAACTGAGGGTCACAGAGGATCCACAGCAGGCAAGTGGCAGAGGAGGGGCATTGCTGGGGCTAGCAGTGGGTACCACAGCCTTTCCTGCCCAGCACAAACCTGGGCATACTGAGTTTTTCTCAAGAGTTTGCATGAAGACCAGAGCTGACAGGTGCCTGCCACCTCGGTACTTCCAGCGCAAAGCTCTGTGGTCAGGCTCCAAGCACTGAGTTAGATGCCACAGTTCAGTTCATCACCTCAGTTCCCTGCAAGGAGCAGCAAGGGCCAGTGGGCCAGAGCTGTCATCTGAATGCTAGTGAATTTGATCCAGATTCAAGCCCTAACCCAGCCACTCACCAGTGCTGTCTTTGGACAAGCCAATAACCTTTCTGAGCCTCAGTTTCCCCATCTGAAATGTGGAAATAATTGTTCCTAACTTCAGCAATGTTAGAAGATTTAAATAAGAGAATACAGGTCCACTTCAGAGAGCATGAATTCCCACCTCTGAATGGCAAACACAGGCATGCATGCACATGTGTGCATGTCTGTCCATATGCATGCACATAACATCATGGGCAAACTACAAATGTCCTCAATCCAAGAGCACTGCTGCCTGTTGTTTCTTTGTAGATAAAGACGAGGCAATTCACTCCCTGTCTACAGTGGCTGATGTGAATTCCATGTCATGGTTCAGAGACAATCTGGAGGGTGAACTCGGTACTGACAAGAGCTGGGGCTGAGGACGCAGCCTCCCAGTTTCAGATGCTTCTGATGGAGGCAGGATGAGGATGCCCAGTCTCCACTCCCCTGAGGTCCTGGGCCTGGTGGCCCCCAGTCCCTCCACACACTCATCACAGGGGGTGGGCCTGCTCCCTACCACCTGGGTGGGAGGGCTGGGTTTGGGGGTGCTGCTTTCATGAAAGCAACCAACCAGATGAACCTTAATCTTCAAAGCTTCCCCCACTGAGCCTAGGGGGAGAGTGACAGTTCCAGAAGTTACCTGAAAATTAGGTGATTTTTACCCTGTATCCTGAAATTCATAAATCTAGCAAAAGATGACATAAAAGAAAAAAAAGGCAGTAGGAAAGATAAAAGAGAAGAAGGAAGAAAGAAATGAATAAAGAGAGGGAGAGAAAGAAAAAGGGATGGAAGGAAGGTAGAAAGAAGATAGAAACAAAGGGAGAGAGAGAGAGAGAAATAGGGAGGAAAAGTGATAAGAGCTGCCCAATAGATGATGAGAAAGAGTGAGAGAGAAAAAGAGAGGGGGAGGGAAGGTGATAATAGCTGCCTGACAGATGAAGAGAAACAGATAGAGAGAGAGAGGAAAGGTGATAATAGTTGCCCAATAGTTGAAGAGAAAGAGAGACAGAGACAGAGAGAAAGGTGATAATAGCTGCCCAATAAAGAGAAAGAGAGATGGAGAGAGAAACAGAGAAGGAGGAGGAGGGAGGGAGGAAAGGTAATAACTGCCTGATAGATGAGAAAGACAGGAAGATACAGTGAGGGGGGCAGGGAGAGAAAGGCAGAGGCAGAAACAGAGGGAGGAGGAGGAAGAAAAGGTGATATCTGCCCAAAAGATGGGAAAAAGAGAAAGATACAGAGAGAGAGAGAAACACAGACAGACAGACAGAAACAGAGGGAGAGAGAGGGGAGAGAAAAGATGATAATAACTACACAATAGATAAGAGAGAAAGAGAGAGAGAGAGAGGCAGAGAGACAGGAAGAGAGAGACAAAATAGGCAAACTGAGAATCACTTGTTCCTCTAGTATCTCTGCAAAATGCCATTGAGATGCAGCAATCAGAGTGCGCTACCGACGGCTCTCTCACGTTTATCATCTGACTCTCTAAGAACATACAGCTATGCTTGAGTGACTGGGCTTCAAGTGTTTGTTTAAAGCTGTGCATGACAGAGAAACTTGGAATTCCAAGACAAACTTGGAATCTTAATGATCTTGTCTGCGCTCAATTACTTGACCTGATTTTGCTCGGCAAATATTAGCCATCAAGCCAGACACACCTGTAGAAAGAAGCCACATAAAGGGCATTTGCAGTGGGAATCCTTTCTGCCCGTTTTCATAGCACACAAATTGTGTGTTTAACCAATTGTTGCAAAGTTTAAGGGCCTCTTAATAATACACATCCACCTTTCCTAAACTTCAGGGATTTTTCTAAGACAAATCAATCATTCCTTTAGTTGAATGACTTACTGAAAACATTGACTTAATGACTGGCTTTTTCTAACTACAACCATTTATATTTCTCAGCCAGAAATAAAACAAAAAAGAGCCATTCCTCCTGAATACCTGCAAACAATTACAATTATCAGCAAAGTGCTACCCACTCTTTGATATAAAACTTCCCTTGTAATGGAAAGTAGTAGATATAATTTGCCATGATTGGGTCTGCAGGAGAGAAATTAATGAATATAATAATTAAACGTAATACCTGTAGATAGAACTTGTCCCCATAAAAGACACATTTCAAGGATGACTGTGGAGATCCCCATTTTGCTGGGTTCTTCTCAATTGAATAGAAAATCCTGGACATTTATAGGTACCTAGCTAAAAGGAGGTGTGTCCTCTAGGGTGGTATATTTCTACTGCTGCTATAAATCAATATAAAGGAAGTGAGGGCTTTTGCTAACAGTCGATGGCTAATATGTGGAAAAAACTTAGGTGTGTTTGATTGATTGCCATATGAACAATCTGGCTGTTGCCCAACTGCAAACGCACTGACATAAGTGAAAAATTTCCAACTTCCCTCTCGGTGAACCTCAAGGACTCCCAAGTGTTTCCTGAATACGGGCTTGATTTTAATCTTGGGGAGTTCAAATTCACCTGTGGGAAGTCTGCCCCAAGGTTTGGGGAAGAACAGGATGTGGGCTGCTGAGCAAATACAGGACACAGTGCCAAGGGGGAAAGCATCTCTGGGATGGTTTTTCCTGGCAGGACATGCTCTCATCAGCCCCTGTGCAGTACTAGTAACCTCACCTTGGAAGAACGAGGATGACATGAGTGTGGATGTGATCAGAGAGCAGAAGTCATGAGGGATGATTCCACGGAGACCATGGGTCCATAATAGCTTTGGCCACAGTCTTCTGGGTCTCACACTAATTCCACAACAGGAGCTGAGAAACACATGACCTCAAACTGAACCACCTCCAACCATTTCACATGGCTTTGATTTCTTGTCCTTGACATGCACATTGTATGACCCTTGGAGCTTGGCAAACCCACAAAACCTGCCCCCACCTCCACCTATATTGCACACAATCCCCCTCCTTGGATTTGCTATGTAAATATCACTTCACTCTTTGGGACCCTCAGAAGTCATTACCAGACTCTGATAATGCCCCCCAACACACTCTACCAAGAAGGTTGCCTGACACTTATTTTTTAACCAAGACACTTGATGGCCAGTAACTCTTGGTTAAAAGCAGACAGCTTTCCAGGACTTGCCTCTGTTTTCCTAGCCTGGGTGAGCTGTGCCCTGCTTCTCAGCTGAGAGGCTGAGGCCATGAAATGACACTTGGCTTCTTTGCCATGCACTGTTCATCAGTAGTCTATGCTGCATTCTAGAAGGGTACCATGAACCCATGTCCTGTGTCAGCCACCAGTCAGAATTTAGGGCTGGAAGTCTGCCTTTGGCTTCATCCAGATGAAAGTTACATTTAATCTTGGATGTCCTTTTTAATCCTACAACTCTTCCTGTTGTTTCCAGGTGCCTCTTCACCCCTTGAGTAGAACAGGAACACAGAATAGGCTCACTGTGTTTCATCCTCCTACTGCCAGATCAGCAACTGATAAGCACTGGGTGACGAGAGAACAGGTTTACTCACCTACCAGGGAATGCCCAAGACCAGGCACATGCTGGATTCCTCTTAGAAGTGGATTGTGATCCCTTGGTTCCTGGAGTGTTGGACTGAGAATGATAATGCAGCTGGGTCTGGGATCATCAGAGTGTCATGACAGATTAGAATTGTCTGCCGGGAGCACAGCAGGGAAAGATGATGGTAAGAATACTAAATACCTGTGAACAGGAAGGGGTAATAAGTGTCCTTCCAAGACAAAAGCAGACTGTCTGGTCTTAGAGACAGACCTGCCTGGTGACAATTTCAACAGGGGGTAGCAAGTATTAGTACAAGCTGCTATGAGAAGGTAAAGAAAAGCATCTAAATCAGATGAGGGAGGCCATCTCTCAGAGAGGGTGGCACCAAACAGTCTTGAAATACCAGCAGAGGTCAGCCCAGCAAATGAGAGCGAGAAGATGGGATGACGAACAGGAGCGACTCTCCCGGCTGTACAGGAATGGGGGCAGGGAGCCTTCCCCTCCAGGAAAGCATGATGTCCCAGGTATCTCTCAGCTTGGCGGGGACACCCTTCTTGAGAATGTGTGGGATTTTCTGAACTGCGTAACCTCCCCGTTTTTGTTGTTTTGACTGCATCTTTTGCCCATGGTGGTTAGCAGAAAAGATCCTGAGAAAATAAGGTTTGTGAGCTTTTTGTTCAGGAGACACCAGGAAGAAGGAAGTGGTGAAGCCTAGCTGTCATTTCAAAGCCAGCCCAGGTAGGCATCCCAGGTGGGAAATGGGTGACGTCAGTGGAACAGGAAGGATGTGGCGGTCCTGGGCATGCGGGCAGAAGACAATGGGCTTGAGGGCCACCTGCCAACACCGTGTGGGACCTCAGCCTTCACCGTCAGGTGCCTCATCTTGTCCCAAGGCCATTTTGTGGCTCATAAGACACCATTTAGGGAGGTCTTTCCTTGGACTAAGAGAAGGGTTCAGGGGGACAACCTCCTCCAGCAGCAGCCCCTGCCAGAGGACCCTCATCTTCCCCTTCCTACTGGTTAGAAGCATCTGCTTAAACAGCAGGGGTTGGAAGACCACAACCACAAAGTTCCATTTTATTCACCCCAGAACTGCCATGAAGAACAACAGGAAGCAAGATAAGCCCATTAAAGCTCAGAGACTCGGCGCCCGGGCCCCATTTGCAAAGCACCTTCCCCAGGCAATTAAGCCAGCGGCACCCCCACAGCACACTCCAGGAGGTGGGACCAAGCCCCTAAATCCCAGCACCAGAGGACTGGTCATTATGGGGAAGAGCCCCCTGGATCATATGTGGCCATTTATTTATTTATTTACTTATTTATTTTAAGACGGAGTCTTGTTCTGTCGCCCAGGCTGGAGTGCAGTGGTGCAATCTCGGCTCACTACAACCTCCGCCTCCCAAGTTCAAGCGATTCTCCTGCCTCAGCCTCCCGAGTAGCTGGAACTACAGGCGTGCATCACCACACCCAGCTAACTTTTGTATTTTTAGTAGAGACAGGGTTTCACCATGTTGGCCAGGATGGTGTCGATCTCTTGACCTTGCGATCTGCCTGCCTCGGCCTCTCAAAGTTCTGAGATTACAGGCATGAGTCACCGCGCCCGGCCATGTATGGCTTTTTTTTTTAAAGCTACAGAATCCTTTCCTAAATTGGAATTCATGGGGAAGCCCCAAAACATAAAACAGGCCAGTGGAATGCTCCCGAGTGTGGTGAGGGAGTCCCCTTCCAGGCCCCTCCCCTAGGGCCACCTGCCGTCAGAGCTGAGGATTACCTGTGGGAAGCCAAGACCTCCCTTCATAAGACAGGGCACTGAGAGGCCCAGCAGGGCCCCTGGGGCTGCCAGGCACACATCCCTGCCACGAAGCTGAGCTGGGGTCCCAGGCAGACTTCCCAAAACAGCCCGTTGTTCTCCTTCTTCTAAAGATTCTTTCTACCCACAGACCAGTGCCCTGGGAAGCCAGAGGAAGACGGAGATCAGGGAGGCAGCCCAGGGCCCCTCCCACCTCCCACCTCTGAGGGGTCTCTGATTTCTGAACCAGGAGCCCTGTGACCTGACAGACAGACGAGGGGGACAGAAGGACGGGGAGCCTGGTGGGAAGGGTCGGGGCTGTAGCACTTTCCGGCTGCTGCTGTTTGCCTTCCAGTCCCTGAATCCTGTAATCTGTGTGACCAGGGCTCCCCTTCAGGTGTCAGTCTGACCCCAAACTCTAATTTTACCCTCATTGAGTAGCACACCATAATTGCTGGTCATCGTTACCGTTGTAACAATCTTTTGACATTGTATGTCTGATATTTATAATGTCGCTCATTTTTGTTGCTCAGAGAGCCGGTCTTCCCAATCGGGTTATAAGGGGACCCCTTCCTACCCTCCTTCACTCACTCCCCCCACCCCCCACTGCCCCACACCTCCTTGCTGGGCTTTGAGGATCAAGCTGAGACCCGTTGTCTCCTGCTGCCCCTCTGTGATCCCAGTGCCCCAGCAGAGCAGGTGCTCAGCAGGCAATGGCTTTGAAGGTGGGGATTGTGAGTGGCTCACCCATGCTGTCCAGGGGTCCCCAGAAAGAAGTCTTGTGGTTAAACGGGGGCTGGTGACGAGCCAGTTCTCCTCCACCACTCAGCCTCCAGCTGGGGACGATGAGGTCCAGAGAAGGGAAATGACACACAGAGCTGAGACCATGTCCAGGACAGCACTCACGGCAGCTGCTGCCCCCCATCTGAAGGACAGATGAGCTCCACGTTCATCAGGATGCCATCCAACCGCGGAATCTTCCAGCAACAAACACAGCCCTCTAGGGACCCCTGACACACAGAAATCCCATTGCATGCCTCCCATCTTGCTCAGAGTAAGGCTCAAAGCCCTCCCATGGTTTATAAGGCCCTGCACAAGATACCCCTGCCTCTCTCTCCCCCTTGCCCCCTGTAACCATCATCCAGCCCCAGGGCCTTTGCACTTGCTGCTCCCTGTGCCTGAAGACTTTTTCCCCAAATGTCTGGAGACTCACTCCTTCCCCTCCTCCAGAGATTTTCTCACATAGCACCGCCTCCATGCAGCCTTACCGACTGCCCCTCCCCAGCACTCCCTAACACTCCCATCCTCTCCCCACGGCACTCCTCACCATCTGGCCACCTTCTATTTCACTTCTTTATTCTTTTGCCTGTCTGCTCTGACTAAAATGCAAGCTATACAAGGTGGGATTTTTGTCTGTTTTATCCATTGCTGTATACTCAGAACCTAGAACAATGCTTCACACATAGTAGTAGACGCTCAAGAAATATCTGCATTCAGGCCAGGCACGGTGGCTCATGCCTGTAATCCCAGCACTTTGGGAGGCCAAGGTGGGTGGATCACTTGAGTTTGTGACCAGCCTGGCCAACATGGCGAACCCTGTCTCTACTAAAAATACTAAAAAATTAGCTGGGAATGTGGCACATGCCTGTAGTCCCAGCTACTCAGGAGGCTGAGGCAGAAGAATCACTTGAACCCAGGAGGCAAGGGTTGCAGTGAGCTGAGATCATGGCACTGCACTCCAGCCTAGACAACAGAGCAAGACTCCATCTCGAAAAAAATTGTATATATAGATATATATATATATGCAGATAGATAGATAGATAGATAGATAGATAGATAGATAGATAGATAGGTCTGCAGATTGATTGACTGGATGAGCATGGGCAGATCTGGAAGAGGAGGACCAGGCCCCTTTGCACAGATGGTTCAAGTGAGTTCTGTGTTTGCCGAAGGATAATGCTGTTCATTCATCTGCTCATTCAGCAAATACACGCTGATGCCTCCAATGTGCCAGACACTGCTCTAGGGAGTGCTCTAGAGGGTGGGGCTGCAGCCTAATGCCAGATGGACATGCTCCCTGTCCTCACAGGGAGGCAAAACAGACAACAGACAAGAAATCAATCAGCAGGGAGAAGGGTTTCAGATTGTGGTAAGAATTATGGAGGAAATGAACAAGGCAATGGCATAGAGAATAGCTGTGGTAGGGAGGACGACTTTGGATAGGGCATCACATTTACCTACTAACTGCCCCTGGTATGAGAAATCTGAGGCTCAGAGAGGTTAAGTAACTTGCTCAAAGTCACACACCCAGAAACTGGCAGAGCCAGAGCTTAAATCGAGGTCTGACCCCAAAGCCTGGTATTTTTCCAAAAGACACTGAATCTTTCCCCTTCCCACGAAAAGACTATGTTTCCATTCAAATGGTAGGTTTGAGTCCTCTACACCAAAGGACATCTTGCTATTCAGAACCATTCAAAGGAATGGGTAGAGAAGGAAAACTGGCTCTGAGGTCATCAGGGAGAGTGCAGATTTTTTGACATAAGCCCTACAAAAGGTGGTAAGTGGCCTATCCCCGAAAGAGTGAAGAGAGAATATTTTTAATGGCAACACTAGATCTACACTGACCTGGTTATAATCACGAAGGCAACTAGCAGTTCAGGGGAGGCTTACAGCAAAGAGGGAAAATAAAAGGAGATTGAAGCTGTGACTCCCACTCCCGGATCCTCTGTGCTACCCTCATTCCTCCACCCCAGATTCCAAGAGCCATTCTACTTCACCAACAATCACCATCCTCCCGAAGTTATTTTGCAACTCTTTCCCATTAAGGCACTTGAGCTTGGTGAAGCACAGTGTGCTGCCTCTCCAAAGGGTTATTGGAACTGAGCAAAGAAACCCTGGTTTCAGGTCCAAGAACAAAGTCACCAAAGCACCAGCCCGGGGTAGCATTTCAGGCAGGATAGCATCACTAAGCCAGCCTTTCGGAGATTGCTCAGCCCAGAGTGATCAGGTTCCAGGAAACCCAGGTACACTAATTGTACTCACCAAACACTAATTGGTAAACCAGGAGGCCAATTCATTTATTTCCAATAGGGTGTATACTTTGGCTCCAGAATTAGTCTGCTTGAGGGACAAAATTATATACCAATAGTTTGCTTGGGGAGCAAAGAATGAGGACAAGGAAATTGGATGGCATCCAAAAGAAACTCTTATCAAGATAATGGAACCTGTCATCATCCTTCCTGCATAAAGAACTGTTCTGGGCACCTCTAAATGCTTATCAGCATGACTGCCCTCCCAAATCCCACACATGAAGCCCTGGTACATAACAGATATGGGACTCTTAAAAAGAGTCCATATCTGGTACATAAGAGATATGGGACTCTTTCAAGTGTACCCCAAATCAGACCTGTCCTTAAGCCTCGCAAACAACTGCACAGTTCCTGAACAATGGGGACAGTGGGGACAGTGGGGTGGGTTTTACTGAGTTGTGTGAAAACAAGTTACAATTGGCTGGAATTGCCTGGAAGTCCAGTAGAATAAGGATGCCACAAAAAGCAGATGGATCAGGCCGGGTTCGGTGGCTCAGGCCTGTAATCCCAGCACTTTGAGAGGCCGAGGCGGGTGGATCACCTGAGGTCAGTAGTTCGAGACCAGTCTTGTCAACATGGTGAAACCTCGTCTCTACCAAAAATACAAAAATTAGTCTGGCATGGTGGTGGCCTGTAATCCCAGCTACCCAGGAGGCTGAGGCAGGAGAATCGCTTGAACCCAGGAGGTGGAGGTTGCAGCGAACTGAGATCACACCATTGCACTCTAGCCTGGGTCACAGAGACTCCACCTCAAAAGAAAAGAAAAGAAAAAAAAGCAGATGGATCTAAGGGCATTCTAATTGTTGCATGGACCCCTGAGCCACTTCCATCTGAATGGACCAGACCATACGTTGAGTACCAGCATAGTTGCAGCCAATCAGTCCATGCACGAGAGCACTGGTTCTCAAAGCACAGGCCCTAGACCACTAGCATCAGCATTGCCTGACAACTTGCTAGAACTGCAAAATCTGAGGCTGCAGTGTGGGACCCAGCAATCTGTGTTTTAACACGCCCTCCAGGGGATTCTGAGGCTTGCACAACACAGATAACATTTGCATGAAGCAAACTTGTAAGGAACACTGGTCTGTTTGCCAGGCCAGCTCCCCATCAAGGCACACGCAGGTGAATAAGTCATGGACCCTGCGCTCCAGGGATGAAGCAGACCCAGCGGCCATGGGGAAGGAAGATATTTCAGAGATGATGGGAACTACAGTGAGAAACATGAGCTGGGGGCTGAATGGATATCAGGGGAGTGGGGACAAAGGGGACCAAGGAGCCCAAATGACTCCCAGGTCTGATTGGATTCATTGCCAAGTGTGGATGCCACCATATGAGACAGGTAACCCAGCGGGAGGGGTGGGCTCTGGGGACAGTGAGTGCATTCCAGGCTCTGCTGCAGCCCTCTTCTCCCTCCCACCCCTGATGGGCTCCAGCTACTCCCACTGACCCTGGCCCTCTCCACCCAGTGCCTGCTTCCTGTCCATCCTCCAACTACTCACTGGTCATCTCCACCTAAATGAAAGCTTAACCTGCACACTGAGGGCATTTAGCCCTGGAGAGAGTAGGACAGGGCCCTGACCTAAGGTACACAGAAGGACTAACAAGAGCCCAGCAGCAGCTGGGGTTGGGCCACACATAAGAGGAGTCCACACCCACTCGACTGTGGGGTCTTTGGCAGCTGCACTCGGCCCCATGGGTTAGGGTGAAGAAAACAGCCCCAGGTGGTTCCAGGGGTGAGGGTCTGGAAGGCGGGCAAACAGAGGGTCATGGGTGTGATATCGGGGCTGGGGAATGGTTGTATGAGGTACCAGGGAAATGGGATGCGGCTCTATCACCAGCCATGTGGCTGCCATCAGGGAAGGGAGCGCTGGGGCCCTGGGCTGAGTGGAGACTGGCACATCAGACCACAGTCCTGGAAGCTGCTATGGTCAGGGTGTGGCCATGGGGCTAAGGAGCCAAAGTGGAATAAAGACCACAAGGCCCCTGGGCACAGAAGCTGGAGAGATCCCTAAAAATCACAAGGCAAATCCCATATTGTCCTGTGAAATAAACCCTTCAGTGGCAACCCCAGTGTGTTCCACATGAAGACCGAGCTCCATGGCACAGCCTCTAGCTAGGGCCACAGGTCCCAGTCCGGCTGCTTTTTTTTTCTTTTTTCTTTTTTTCTTTCTTCCTTTTTACTTTTTTTTTTTTTTTTTTTTTGAGACGGAATTTTGCTCTTGTTACCCAGGCTGGAGTGCAATGGCGTGATCTTGGCTCGCCGCAACTTCCACCTCCCAGGTTCGAGCAGTTCTCCTGCCTCAGCCTCCCAAGTAGTTGGGATTACAGGTATGCACCACCACTCCTGGCTAATTTTGTATTTTTAGTAGAGACGAGGTTTCTCCATGTTGGTCAGGCTGGCCTTGAACTCCCAACCTCAGGTGATCGGCCTCCCAAAGTGCTGGGGTTACAGGTGTGAACCACCACGCCTGGCCCCCGTCCTGCTTCTTTTTTTTTTTTTTTTTTTTTTTTTTTTGAGATGGAGTCTCGCTGTGTCACCCAGGCTGGAGTGCAGTGGCACGATCTTGGTTCACTGCAAGCTCCGCCTCCCGGGTTCATGTCATTCTCCTGCCTCAGCCTCCTGAGCAGCTGGGACTACAGGCGCCCCTCTTGCTTCTTATCCCAGGGCAGTGATTGCTTCAGCCCCCTTCCCCTTAACCAAGCAAGTGGGTTGGGTTGGGATATTATGTGGTCACCTCCTCTAAAGTCATCCTCTGTGCACATCTGGGCCCTGCTTACAGTCCTCCTGCCCTCTGACCTACAGCCCAGGCAGCCTGCCTTCTCCTCGGGGCCCGGCATGCTCTATCCACCTCTCTTTCTCACCTTCAGCCAGAAGCATGGGCCTTTCAAGTCAGTGAAACCACACGGGGGCAGAAAAGGAAGGCAGCATGAGCAACAGGAGGCAGGGGACGCTGGTGACAAACGGTACTGTGCCTTCACAACTCACCGTGCCCCAGGATTGGAGGGAAGATACACAGGAGCCCGGTTCTGAGCAGGAGCCCAGTAGGGCCCTGGTAGGGCCTCTGGGCAGGGTATCAGCCCAAGCCACCCACGCTCCAGTCATGGAGACGTTGTCTCTGCCAGCCTATTATTCCTACACTGAGGATGGTGGTCATGGCTCGGGACTGCAAGCAAAGTGGGCCAAGTTGAGTGGCTCAGAGGACACCCATCACCCGGAAGGAAAGTCTTAAAAAAGGAGGGGGGCAAGGATCTGTTGCCCATGTTGGCTGAAGAGCCTACTGTAGTCCCAAAGTGAGCTCAGTGGCAGGTAAGGCCCTGGGGGCCCTGAAGCCCTGGCCATGCCCTCTGTCCCAGTGAGCTGGTTCACATAGAGTTTAAGGCAGAGGCCCAAATCCACTGCTCACTTGTCAACAACTACCAAGTCAGCCGTGGTTGAGAGCTTGGCAGGTAGTATTAAAAACCACAACAAATACTCTAAGGAAATTGGAACAAAGGAAGAGTTTTAAACACGTATAGGGCAATGACAAGCACACAACACTCAGCCAAACCAAAGGACAAAAGAGTCACTGGTGTCACCAAAGCTAAAGGGGGGCATGGCCACAATGGGGTCCCTATGCCTGACCAGTGAGGAGGGAAACCGCGATGGATGGCCTCCATGAAGCTATCACTGGCACTCAGCTAGTTCCTTGAGTGGGAAATATTCCATTTATATTTCCTTCTTCCTCGTCATAGCACCAGGCCCAGGAGCCAGTGCCTGTGTGTGTGTGTGCATGTGTGCTGTGTGTGCAAGTGCTTGAGTGTGGGCAGGTGCGTATGCGCATAGGTATGGGTGCATGGGTGTGCACATATGTGTGCGTGGGCATGGGTGTGTGTGTGTACATGTACAGGGGCACATGTTTGTATGTAGGGAGGTGCATGCATGCATGTGTGCACGTCTGGTTGCATGTGTGTGCATGCAGGGGGCACATGTTGTGTGGGAGCACCTGTGTGTGTGTGTGCACGTGTGTGAGCGTGCGTATGTTTGTGCCCATGCATATGGCAGTAACTCACAGCAGATGCATAAACAACACACCCATTGCAGTGGATGTACGTGAACAAACATGCTTTTTCGTGGCATTCAAGGCCACCTTGCTGGTGGTTTTGATGGGACTGAGGGGTCAGCACCAGGGGAACCAGGAGGTCCAGCACAGCAAAGAGCTGGTCCCGGCAGTTCCGGAAAGAGGGAGTGTCAGCCCCATGAAAGGAGCTGCCACTCGTCCCCCAGGTGGAGTGGAGCAGCTGCACCCTCCATCACCTCTGCAGTAACGCCCTCCCCAAGACTATGGCAACTTAGGCAGTTTGTTTGCCTTGCTCCAAAGCATTTGATGCAATTTTCACAACCGCACACAAAGCAACAGCAAAGAATGAAGTGGTTAGGAAGACCACATAAATGGAAAAATAATGGTAGACTAGGGAAACAAAGGCAGGGTACATTGAGAACATAAAACTGAGGAATACCACAAGGCCTTCCACTGGAGGGACTTGGCTACAAGAGATCAACTTGAATTGTGGCTCTAAGATTCCTAGCAGCCAAAGCAAACAAAGAAACAAGATCAGTGCTTATAGGACTTAACCATTTGCTGTTCGTAGGCATTACTTCTGTTCCCAGGGCCTGGAAAAATGTTTCCCATGTGGCCTCATGGAGGGCTTGCCTGGGAGAAGGGCTGTGGCTTTCAAATCATGTTTCCACATCCCAGAGATGTTGGAAGTGATGAAACGGGGAGAAGGGATGAGCTCAGCTCCTGGGCCTTCTTCCTCCCCACAACCTCAGCTCCTGCAGAGCAGCTCTGCTTTTCTGGGTAACACTTAGAATGCTGCCCAGAGCTGGCAACTGCTCATTTCAATTCACAGCTGCCAGAAATATCACCTTTGACTTTGTTAAAATTTCTTTTGTCTGTTTTCTAGCACCCAAGACTCCCAGGGGCCTTTCCCTTTTCTAGGCCAGGAGAGTGCTCAGTGATACCCAGGAAGCCCACATCTGGGTCCCTGTCCCCTTCTCCTCTCCCTCCTCCTCACTCCCAGCATCCCCAGGTGATGTTCTCAAGCATTACCTGGGCTAACAAGGCCTCTGGGAGGGTAGATTTTCTCCTAAAATTGCTATTCTCTCAAGAATTCTCCCATAGGGCTTTTTTCTCCTCTCTCCTCAGACAGCAAAGAGAAGGGAAAAAAACTAAACACTCAACAGGGAGGGAAACGCTGTGTCCCCAACATAAAATATTCCAAGTGTTCTTGATTATAGTACATCATGGATTATATCTAAAACATGTTAATGACCACAGTGAGAGAGGAAGGGAACAGCACATTAAAAGTACATCTCAATTGCGAGACAATTCCAAATTTCACATTAAAAATTGCATAAAAGACATGCATATGAGAATTAGCAAAATGGATTTATTAGAAATGGCTCTCTTTTTATATTTTTTTCCCAGTACAAGAATTTAGAGGCCCCCTAATCAATGGCTCTTATTTTTTGAGGAGGAAATTGAGATCCGAATGGCACCTGCTGCCTCTTTACGGGTTTCCAATGGTTTATCACCTTGTAACTCCTTGATAAGGCACTGCCTTTCTAGTCGCAACTGTTAGAAAGCTAGTAGGTGAGTAGAGATAAGATACGAAGAGGGAAAGAGAGTCAGATTTTTCTACACTGGCTTCCTGGTTAGACTACGAACCTACTTTCTTCTCAACGCTTTGTGGCCCAAAGGTTAGGAGGCCCTTTCTGAGGATACAGGAGATAAGTTCCAGGACCTTCTGGAAAGTGTCTTAACTGAACCATAGAAACTTACAGAGAGTAAGAGATCATTAAAAGTCCTTTTTGTGTTTCTATGTTGCTAAATGCAGTGGCAGACTGACAGTTTGCTCAAGACTGATTCCAAATTCGGGGCCATGAGCTGTGCTGGGCAGTATATAAGCATCATCGGGTGTGTTGGTTTAAAATTTGCATGCCTGGGCCTCACACCCCACGGATTTTCATATGCTAAGGTTGATATAAGGCCTAGAGATTTTTTTCAAGCTTCCCAGGTTATTTTAATTGTGGTGAAATAGACACAATTCCCAGGCGAAGGTGATGCATGGCCAGGTGTGTGAGAACTGAGGCCTACAGATGCTGAGCATGCCCGCCTGGCTACAAACCCAGGTGGAGATTCACATTGATGCAGTCTCATATTCATTTGGGAATAGAAGAAAGGAAGTTTGGGCTGCAAGGCAGTGATCTCAAAGAGCTCATAGAGGACTCTGTATTTAATTCAGTAGGAAATGGGGAGCTCTGGCAGGTTCTTGACGAATTTTATAAAGTGGTCAGAGATGAATTTTATAAAGACAGAAGATAGAATAAGAAATGGCGGTGTGTCTGTATTGAGATGCATGGAGATGCACACATTTCTTGAGCACAACTGCACCAAATAGCCTGTGCCAGGGGTCTGGAAAGCTGCAATCCCAGCCTGAGGAATTTATAATCCAGCTGGGGAGAAAAGTCACTGGTGCGTTGGAAAATAACCGATGAAAACCACTAAGCCACTTCAAGACCTGTGAATCAGAACTGGCACTAGAGATGTGCACTACAAACCTCAGAAGACACTTGATTTTAAGAAAAAAAACTTAGGTGAAATCAAAGACCTCTGTAAGCTTGAATTTGGAGAACAGCTAAGAGTTAGATGGACGATAGTGAAAGATTTCTGAGACAGTACCTGGCAGTGCCTAGACATTCATAAGTTCGAATCTTCATTTATGTCATGGATTACTTTTTTAGAAATAGAAAACCACTGGTTGTTTTGAATTATTACTTGAAGAAATTGTTTTTTAAATTTAAAGGTGAAAATAAAGCCACTAACAGAGCCCAGGTTGTCTGTCATGCTGTATCAGGAGGGCAGCATGTGCCAGTGCCTGGCAGAAGCCAGGACTGCATGGATTTGAGGGATTGGATGACGCTTCCCAGAGCAGTGTAGGGCTTACTCTGGGCCCCATGGGATGCTGTCAAGATGATCCTTCACATTCCTGGGAAACATGTCCTCAGATCTTACAAGTGTCTGACCACAAACCACTTTAGAAAATTCCAGGCCAGGCACGGTGCCTCACACCTGTAATCCCAGCACTTTGGGAGGCCGAGGCAGATGAATTACTGGAGCCCAGGAGTTCGAGACAACGTGACAAAACCTGGGCAACGTGACAAAACCTTGTCTCTACAAAAAAATTAGCTGGGCGTGGTGGAGCACACCTATAGTCCCAGCTACTTGTAGGGGGCTAAAGCAAGAGATCGCTTGAGCCTAGGAGGTCGAGGCTGCAAAGAGCCAAGATCATGCCACTGTACTGCAGCCTGGGTAACAAAGTGAGAGCCTGTCTCAAAAAAAAAAAAAAAAAAGAAAGAAAGAAAAGAAGAAAGAAAATTCTAATGTCTTGACAAGAAAGCAGTTAGCATGAGTTTAAAATGAGGTATAATTTGATTCATACTTGGACTTAAAATGGTCTCTTCAACAAATTGCTGCAACAAGTGATCAAAATGTAATTCCCAAACCATTTTAAATTTTACAATGAAATAACAAAAGAAAGTCTAATTTTTTTAGAAGCAAGGGCCTTGCTATGTTGCCCAGGCTGGTCTTGAACCCCTGGACTCAAGCAATCCTCTCCCCTCAGCCTCCTGAGCAAGAGTTACCATGCCTGGCTCCATTCTTTTTTTAAGGATAATATGTTTCATTTTTAAAGAGCAAAATATATTAAGGGAAGCTTTTACTTTACATTTTTTATAAAATAACCCTTCCAAACAAAGGTGTTTAAGAAGGATGATATGTTTGTATTTTTATCACATGCAGTGGAGATATTCAGATGGAAAAATCTCCACATTAATCTTCCTTGATTCAATCAAACCATGCCACAAACCTCCCATTCCCCAGTGTTGCTTAGGAGGCCCACATCCATCATCCTCAGGGGTCCTCCTGCCTCCTCGGATCATGCCAAGGTCCCAAATGTGGTCTCGTGTGCTTCAGCCCCGACCCCGTCTCTCCCTGTGGTTCTCTGACGCTGTATTGAAACCTGGTCCTCTCCAGTCTGCCCGTCACTGCAGCCTTGTAGAAGCAGATCTTGTGTGACATGCTTCCTGCCCAGGCCAGTTGGCTCAAGCAGTGGTGGGTGACTCTACTGTCCAAGCATCTGGGTTTAGTGCCCATGCCTCTGCTGGCCCCCAGGTGGCCAGCCCCAAAACTCTGCTCTGTGATTTAAAGTAACCATAGCACTCTGTTACTGAAGAAGGACCCACGCAAGTTTTCGTCCTGGAGCAGGGAAAGATACTACTAAGGCAGGAGAATGGCATGAACCCGGGAGGCAGAGGTTACAGTGAGCCGAGATCGCGCCACTGCACTCCAGCCTGGGCGACAGTGCGAGACTCCGTCTCAAAAAAAAAAAAAAAAATTAAGGTGCAAAGACAAAAAGTAAGTTTGCGTTTTGATTATACCATGGATTATGTTTATTCAATGTATCAACCATACTAGTGAATTTCTAAAGGATAAATATAACTTTCAAATAAGGCACAAAATAATAAAATGAACAACATACCATCATACATAGGCACCCACCTAATCCCAAAGGATTTATGGGTCACATGTCACCCCTAGAAATGTTCTTCATTACATTCTTCTTCACATAACAAAACCGTCCCAGAATATGTAGCATTCTGTGAATGAAACTCTATTTTTATGGGAACTTAGGGAGGTTGGCTGTGAGGACTCCCTTTGTACATTGAAAAATCATTTCCTAGCTATTTGGGGGTGGAGATTAGTCTGGCTTCCTAAGCATCAGCTTGCTCAAAGAAATCTTTAAAGTTCTCTTTCCATTTTAGCTGAGAAAATAGAAATAAAAATGGCAGTTGGGTTGGCCTTCTAACAACAGAGGCTGGGTGTGGTGGCTCACGCCTGTAATCCCAGCACTTTGGGAGGCCTGAGGCATGAGTTCAAGGCCAGCCGGGCCACCATAATGAGACCCTGCCTCTAGAAAAAAAAAAAAAAAAACTTAAAAATTAGCCAGGCATGGTGGCGTGTGCCTGCAGTCTTAGCTAGTCAAGAGGCTAAAGTGGGAAGATCGCTTAAGCCCAGGAGTTCCAGGTTACAATGAGATTGCACCATTGCACTCCAGCCTGGGCGACAGAGACCATGTCTCTTAAACAAGAGAGCAGGAGTACCCAGCCTTAAACCCACAGGAAGAAAGAAGGCCCCATTCCTTCATGCATATTCAATACCCCTTTTCTTCTCTGCTTAGAAACTGCCCCACCTGAAGTTGAAGGGTCCCTTAAATACCAGGATCTGAGAGCTAACAAGGATGTCAGCAAACATTCAAGCCCAGTCCTTCTTCCTCTCCTCATTCTAGAGATGAGAAGACAGAGCTCAGAGAAGCCAGACCATGGTGCCCAAATTCAAACTAATGGCTGCAACACTTCCTGCCCCCCATGGCATCATTCAGCCTCGGGAAAGGTCTCCCAGGGAAGGGGCTTCTGTGGGCCATGGCAGGGAGTTGCTTGTCATTCCAAGGCAGAAGCCCATTGTGGGGCCCCAGTTTCTCCTCCTTTGCATCAACACAGTTCAGCTGGGG
Organism: Homo sapiens; assembly: GCF_000001405.40. Taxonomy (NCBI): domain Eukaryota; kingdom Metazoa; phylum Chordata; class Mammalia; order Primates; family Hominidae; genus Homo; species Homo sapiens. The sequence continues at coordinate 122,544,961 of NC_000010.11, read as the reverse complement.
GATGCATGGACAGGAAGGGGATGGGAAAGTGACAGGAGGCCACCATGGCCTCCATGGGAGAAGTGCCATCTCACTCAGCTTCCACACTGTGCAAGGGGCCATCTCCAGGTGACTGTTCCAGAAGAAGGACTGAGCCACCTATCTGCCTATTAATGAGTATCCACAGCAGGACCCCCACCGCACCCCGGAAACCCGGTGCAAGGGGCGGATTACGTCAGCTCTCTTTGTGGGGCAATGACTGTGACTGGAGTGGCTAAGGACTTGAGGGCAGCTTCCTGTTCATGCTACCAACGCAAGTCACCCAGCCCCCCTCAATCACCCTCAGCTCTGTCACCTCACACAGTCAGTGCCCACAACTTATTGCTCCTCTCCGCAAGGCCTTACTCTTTTCCCACGGTCTTCCTGGTCAGTCTCCTTCTCTTTCCTTCTGGCTTGGCCTGGCTTTCTTTCAGGGCCTTCTTGGTTACCCTCTCACCAGCCTACTCCACACCTGGCAGCCTGGTCTCAGAATTCAGACTGGGTATTGCTGACGAGCTGTGGGCATCTTGTCCCTGGCATGGCTACCAGGCCTGAGACTGCCTGCTACACTAGCCCCTGCCTGTCTTCATGCTAACTACTTTCCCGTTGGCATGCATGCACCTGGCATGGGTATTCTCCCTCAGGACCTCTTTCACAGCCTTCCTATGCCGCTCCCACTGTTTCTCTTTGCCTCCGGGAGGCATCCAGAATGTTGCAGCCATCTGTCACCATGAGCTCTGAAATGACACCTAAAGCTGCAGAGTGTGCATTCAGATGCTCTTCGTTAGGGCATCTGGCCGGGGCTTGCCAGCCACAACTGTCTTCATCACAGATCACATATCTGTAATATCTGAGGATCTCTTGACAAGAAGGGACTTGGTAAGAAGCCAACTTATCTACCTCTCAGTCTTCCAGTTAAAACACCTCTTGAACCACCCCCAGATGGTAAAATCTACATGTTTTCAAACATTTACAACATGAGCTTCCACAACTCTTAGTCACCCTTTTTTATGGGGAACAATGCACAAAAGTCATGAGATAAACGTTGTTAGCCACTGCCCAAAATGAAGAAAGGAAAATGCTCGTCTCTCTCTGTCCCGGCCCTGCTGGGGCAATATCCCCTCTGTCTTCCTCTGAGACCTGCAGAAACAGGATTGGGCTGGACTGGCCAATGGTCATGCTCCCTCACCTCTCACCTGGCTAAGCTGCAGCCTCTCCCCTAATTAAGCACATGTGCACGTGTGTGCATGCACAAACACACCCAGAGAACAAAAAGAGATTCAGATGGAAGCCAAATATGAAATGAAGCCTATCATTCAGGGTTTTTTTTTTTTTCAAAATTCATTTTGAATTTCATATTTCAGCAGCAGCACGCTCAGGTTCACATATTCTAAGAATGTATCTCCTGCCACATAACATGCTTCATGTTGCCTTTCCTTGTTCTAAATGAGCCACATTCATGGACTTCAAAGAATAACTGTTTTAACATTTCCCCTTTCCTGATTTTATAAACTTTTCTTCATTCCCACTCCAGCTCATCTTTCTATTCCTTAGTGTCTTCCTTTGTCTGTCTTTGGATGGTGGCATATCTATATGTATGAGCAACATTTTCATCCTTTGACCATGCTCACTTCCAGTGTTCCTTAAAAAGTCACGATTATGGGCCTTTGTGTTCACGCACACAGCCTGCGGAGAGTCTCTTGCACTTTCTCTTGGCCCCTCTCCCAAAGATCCTAGTGGCATTTAATCATTTGTCTTTTGGAGGGTTTTTGCTCTTTTCTTCATTCTCTTCCACTGTGGATTAGAGGAATTGTGCTGATAGTGCTGACATCCCATATGTCACAGCATCCATGACTAGAGAGGACAAGCCCTCTTTTTTTCTGTTCCTATTCAAAAAATTGGTGAAGGATTCTGATTGGGCTAATTTAGGTCATATGCTTACCCTTGAGCCAATCAGCTAAGTAAGGCCACCTGTGGCATCTTCAAGACCATGGCAATGCCCACTCAAATGGATAGAGCAGTTTCCAGAAGCAATTGAAAATCTCTTCTCAAGAGAACTGAAGACAAAGTACTCAAAACAATAGATACACAATAATTAGCCAGGCATGGTGGTGGGCACCTGTAATCCCAGCCACTCAGGAACCTGAGGCAGGAGAATCGCTTGAACCCTGGAGACAGAGGTTGCAGCGAGCCAAGATCAAGCCACTACACTCCAGCCTGGGTGACAAAGCAAGATTCTGTCTCAAAAAAAAAAAAAAAGACACTCAAAGTATTTGTAAGCCTGCATGTAGGTGTAGTGAGCTATGATAACATTGCTGCCTGAAGACATGTTTACACATAATAAACACATCACAAAGAAGTTATCAAAATGCCAGTAACTACTACACTCATTTGGGATAGATACTGAATAACTTTAAGTTTTTCTAGAAAAAAGTTAGAGTTAAGTATTAATTTAAAATGTAAAATTTAAGGGTAAGAATTAAAAATAAGAAATGCACAATTTACAGCTTCCACATCAGCAAAGGAAATAGAAAGGGGAACACTAATAAACTTCAAAGACAGGCTGGGAAAGAAATGCAAACAACAAGGATGGTAAATAGAAAATACAGAAGATGTTTGAAATAAAGTTTAAATGTATAAGAAATCACACTAAACAGAAATGGATTAAACTAACTTTTTAAAAGAGACTATCCATATGTATTTTTTTAATCAGGCTGCTTCTGTCCTATCTATAAAAGTTATGCCTAAAACAAAATGACATAGAAAGATTGGGAAAAGATGTACTATGCAAGTACTCAACAAAAGTTTGCATGGTGATATTAATTTATAGTAAAATATTATGTAATTTATAGTAAAAATTATTAACAGACATAAAGAGGATGGCTACATAAGAATAAAAGAAACATTGCACCAAAATTTGGTTGCATCTACCAAAATAATCTTGAAACATCCTGAGCAAAACCTCACATAATTGCAAGCGGAAATTAATAAAACCACAACCATCATGGGAGATTTTAGCTCAGACACTATACATCAAGCAAGCACAAAATTCGTGAAAATATAGAAAGGTTATATATGAAAGGGAGCTAGTCACCAAATCATGATTGAAATCCAACCTGTGATGCAATTTTAGGCAAGTTATAAAAAACAGAAGCGTTCACACTGTAAGCCCATTGTCAGCGCCCTTTCTCTTATCACTCTGAAAATCATTTACCCATGAACAGCATGACTGAAAAACTATTGCTGCCAGGAAATGATTAAATAATCTGGATTACAACACACATTTACAAAACTTGCCAAAGGGTGACAGTTTTGTAAAAACAAGAGGAAGGCAGTCCTTGGCTTTTTATCATTTTATTGATTTGAAAAAATGGTATCAGGCTTAAGGAACATCTCCCATAGTCTCTGCCCGAAGACTTGCCACCTACTGACTGGCGGACTGGTCACTCAGGAACTCTTTCTAGGGCAGGGCTTTCCGCCTAGAATTTTCGCAGGATCTTAAAGAATAAAAGACTCAAAACAACACTAAAGATTACAATAGAATTTTCATGCTGCCTATGAAAGCATCCACAGTTAGTGTGATATTCCCTTGACTGCTGTTTACCAGCATATCCCTGGTCAGGAATGTTTATTGCCCTGTCTGGACTCTTTTCTATACTCATGTTCACATCTGGCTCAGGCTCAATTTTACACTAAGCCTCTTAACTCTTCCTTGGAAGAAAGGTCAGGAGAAAAGCTACTTCACTTCAAATGTCCGGCTTCATTCAATGAGCCTGTGATGAACACTATCAGAACAATATATATCATTTATTTTAACAAAAGTTATTTCATATGTTGATCCAAATCCATTGACCCTTTTGAGAAGAATTTATAACACATCAAGAGGCCATGGCCCAACACTTGAGAACCACAGTCCTAGGGTCTCGCCATCCTTACATCCTTTCTGATGCTTCATAACACACAACATTTTGCTTTAGTTTAAACTAGCTCCTGGAAGACAAATGAAGAGTTAATCCGCATCATCCATTCACTAATAAATTATAGAATACCTACTCCATGTCAGGTCTTGGCCCAGGCATTGAGAGTCAGCATGAATAAAATAAGGTCCCTGAAGAGCTTACGATGCAGGTGGGGAGACCTAGGCAAGCAGGTAATAACAACACAGTGCAATCAGGTAACCAAAGAGACCATGAGGGCACCTAGGAGAGTCCCCTTGCTGGAGAGAGTGGCACAGAGTAAGAGCATCAAGTCCTGAAGGCGGTAGCTGGGCCAAGTCATGAAAGAAGAATAGGCAGAAAGGAAGCGGGGGGCAGGTAGTGACAATGGGGAGAGCATTAGGGCAGAAGGTTTAGCATGCGCAGCGCGGAAAGATAGCAGCAAGCACCAGACACTGGGAGGATTGTGAGTGCAGAAGAAAGTCTAGGAAGTGAGTGGTGAGAGATGAGGCTGCAGAAGCCAGCAGGAACCAGGCACAGCCTTGTGTGCACCCTGAACAAGGAGAGACGCACATGCCTGGCCCTACAAGGAGGCTTAGCTTCATCTCTACAGCAGTTCTTCGTGGATCTGGAGACTCAAAATAGCCTGCTTCTTTGTCTTATCTTCTTGGGGCTTTGAATCAATTCTTTAGCCTTTTGTCCTGTATTTCCAGCTGCCATGAGAAGAATCTTCCAGACATCTTCAATGCCCTTGGCCTAAAGCACAGACTTCCAAGTTTGACATTCCAGGTGTTACGCCAACTCCAGGCAGCCCACCTGCCTCTCTGCAGACTTTCTTCTCCTACCCACCTGTGTCCTAGTAACAGCACTTACTCTTCTCCAGCTCTTTTCAATTGCTTGCAGCAGCCTAGCTCTACCTCTGTAGCCACATTCACTGTCCAGGACTCACCTCGAGCTGCCCCCTTTGGTGGAGCATAAGAAAATGTCTTCCCAATAATTTGGCATTTTCTATGCGCCACCTGGCATTGTCAAATTTCTTCTCATATGTTTACTTCTCATGTCCTGAGCTCCTGGAGGTGGCAAATGTGCTCTGAAAGACACATTCTACATTTCAAAAAGTCAGTTGGGTTAGTATAGATCAAAGCCTGAGTTGTGCTCTCTCGTTGTTAAATGGGAGCACCTTGGTTGTTAGACAGTGGTAGAGGCTAACCCCAAACTGAGATGTCTTGACCTAACAGACAAGTGCAGGACACCTGAAAAGGACCCACTTCCTCCCAGTGAGATTCCACCTATTTAATGCTGATTCCTCCACTGTCAAGATCATCTCCAGGCCCGGTGACCCAGAGATCTTGGGTCACTGAATGGAAAACATGAAGACTATTTACCTCTGAAAGTGGCAATGTACATTTATGAGGTGACCTTCCTCTTTTTCTGTATAAATTTTGGTATTGTTCAAATCTATGGCACATACATAACATACATACATAAGAAAAACAATTATTGAAGTTTTTGATTGCAAAATAATCAAGAAGCTCATAAAAATGATGCCATAGTTGGATGATGTAGGAGGTTGTTTGTTATTCCCAAACACCTCAGCACCTGGGGTACAGAGATGAGTAAAAAAAAAAAAAAAGAATATCAATCCTGCCATTTTAGAGATCAGTGTGCATGCATGTGTGAGTGGCTGTGTGCACATGTGGGGCTTTTAAATGAATGGTCAAAAGAGGGGTGTGAGGGAAGAGAGAAAGACTAAGAAAGAACATGTAAGAAGCAGAAACACCAGCACAGACCAGGATATGGAAGGATATGGAAGTCCTTCCTCTAGCTCTTGAGAGAAACACTCATTTCTTAAAGCAGGAAAAGACCCAAGAAGGATGAAGTCTCAAAGTTTTTGGAGGAAGTTCTTAGGAAAAGGAATGGATTCTCCTTGTTGTACCTCCAGAGAGGAGAACTGGAAGTAACACCAGGTGGATGTTGCAGAAAAGTAAAATACAACGCATCCTGGGAAGGTGCTTTCTCCCAGGTCAAGAGTTTCCAGGGGGCTGTGTGGAGCACGAGCTCCCAGTCCCGTGAAGTGTTGGAACCACGTGTGAAGGCCATCCAGCAGCATATAGGCTCCAGTGACCTCCAGGGCCATCCAAGGCAGTGTGGTACAGCAGAGAGCACTAGGGTTTCCCCTTTTCCCCTACTTCTCATATCTCCCATATACAATCCATAGACACGTCCTGGTGGTGCCAGAGCCAAAATATATCCCAACCCATCTTTGCTGCCAGCTTCCAGCGTCCCAGTCCAAGTTGTTCCCTTCCCCCCTGGAAAGCTGTTGTCCTGGCCTCAACTCTTAGTACTCTGTGGTAGGCTCTCCCCACAGCAGCCAGAGTGGTGTTTCTTTATTTTGTGTGTGTGTGTGTGTGTGTGTGTGTGTGTGAACAAATACTTATTTGTTTATGTGTTTTCATTGATAAATGAAAATTGTATATATTTGTCATGTACAACATGTTATTTTGAAGTATGTATACATTGTGGAATGGCTAAATTGAGCTAATTGACATATGCGTAACCTCACAGACTTATTTTTTGGTAGTGAGAACACTTAAAATCTACTCTCAGCAATTTTCAAGAATACAATACATTGTTATTAACTATAGTCACCATGTTTTACAATAGATCTCTTGAACTTATTCCTCCTAACTGAAATTTTGCATTTGACCAACATCTCCCCAACACTCCCCACTCCCAGCCCCTGGTAACCACCATTCTGCACTGCTTCTGTGAGTTCAGCTTTTTAAAAATTCCACATATAAGTGAAATCACGCAGTATTTTTCTGTGCCTGGCTTATTTCACTTCATGAAATGTCCTCCAGATTCATCCATGTTGTTGAAAATGATCGGATTTCTAGTTCTGTGAAGAATGATGGTGGTATTTTGATGGGAATTGCATTGAATTTTTAGATTGTTTTGGCAGTATGGTCACTTTTACAATATTGATTCTACCCATCCATGAGCATGCGATGTGTTTCCATTTGTTTGTGGCATCTATGATTTCTTTCAGCCGAGTTTTGTAGTTTTCCCTGTAGAGGTCTTTCACCTCCTCAGTTAGATATATTCCTAAGTATTTATTTTATTTTTGCAGCTATCATAAAAGAGATTGAGTTCTTCATTTGATTCTCAGCTTGGTCACTGTTGGTGTATAGCAGAGCTAATGATTTGTGTACACTAATTTTGTATCCTGAAACTTTGCTGAATTCACTTATCGGTTCTAGGAAGAGGTGGTATTTGGTTACATGAGTCAGTTCCTTAGTGGTGATTTGTGAGATTTTGGTGCACCCATCACCCAACTAGTATACACTGAATCCAGTTTGTAGTCTTTTATCCCTCACCCTCCTCCCATCAAGTGATTCTCCTGCTCCAGCCTCTTGAGTAGCTGGGACTACAGGTGTCCGCCACCACACCTGGCTAATTTTTGTATTTTTAGTAGAGACAGGATTTCACCATGTTGGCCAGGCTGGTCTCAAACTCCTGACCTCAAGTGATCTGCCCACCTTGGATTCCCAAAGTGCTGGGAATACAGGTGTGACCCACTGCGCCCGACCTATATGTCTTTTTTTAAATGCCGATACCATGTTGTTTGGATTACTATAGCTTTGTAGTATATTTTGAATTCAGGTAGTGTGATGCCTCCAGCTTTGTTCTTTTTGCTCAGGATTGCTTTGGCTATTTGAGGTCTTTTGTGGTTCCATACAAATTTCAGATTTTTTTTATATTTATGTAAAAAAATCATTAAAATTTTGATAAGGATTGCATTGAATCTGTGGATTGCTTAGAGTAGCATGGACATTTTAACAATATTAATTCTTTCAATTCATGAACATGGGCTATCTTTTCTATTTGTGTCTTCTTCAATTTCTTTCATCAATATTTTATAGTTTTCAGTGTACAAGCCTTTTATCGCCTTGGTTAAACTTTTTCCTAGGTATGTTTCTATAGCTATTGTAAATGTGATTGTTTTCGTTTCTTTTTCAGATAGTTCATTGTTAATGTATAGCAGTGCTATTGGGTTTTGTATGTGGAAGTTGCGTTCTTGACCAAGAAATCCAAGAAATGAACAATAAGTAAATCATGGATCCATCAAATGCTATTAAAACACAGTTGAGCATAACCATGAAAGAACGATTTTTATTAGCATCAACTGTGTCAGCCTTGTTAGAATTTATAAGACCTTTGGGGAAGATATATTGGGTGGCTCAATGCTCTATATGAACCTATGCTTTTTTTCTCAATAAATTTTTCTACAGCAAATAGAGAAGTCAAAATCATTCCATGGATCCTGGGTCCTCCAAACACCTGTGGAATCACAATCTACTGGTTGACGACAGAGTCTCTCCTACAGAACAGCAGTTTGAGCATCACGGATTATCATTTAGTCCACAAATACTTGTTGTACCTACTCTGTGCCAGGTGCTGTGTAGCGAACAAAGAACACAGGGCCGCTGCCCTCCTGGGACTTCCAGACTGGTGGAGGAACAATTAAACAAGTAAACAAGCTGACAAAGAAGGACTGAGCCAATGTTTCTCTCTTTTAGCCTGTCTTAATTTAGTCACCCAAGTAACTTATTTAAACATTTAATGACCGCCAGGAAAGAACGATGCAAGCTGTTCAGGATTTGGTTCCTTTCCTGTGAGTTTCATTGGGCTAGCTTGCTTAAATGACTACAAAAGTACTTCTCATTGAGTTGACAGCCATAACACAACTCTCATTAGTATAAGTATTTGTTTGTTAACTTTTTATTTCATGGGTACACGTGCAGGTTTGGTATATAGGTAAACTTGTGTCATGGGGGTTTGTTGTACAGATTATTTCATCACCCAGGTATTAAGCCTAGTACCCATTAGTTATTTTTCCTGACCCTCTCCCTGCTCCCAGCCTCCTTCCCCCAATACGCCCCAGTGTCTGTTGTTCCCCTCTACGTCTCCATGTGTTCTCATCATTTAGCCCCAACTTTTGAAAAAAACTCAACATCACTGATTATTAGAGAAATGCAAATCATAGCCACAATGAGATACCATCTCACACGAGTCAGCATGACTATTATTAACAAGTCAAAAAATAACAGGCGCTAGCGAGGTTACAGAGAAAAAGGAATGCTTATACATTGTTAATGAGAGTGTAAATTAGTTCAACCATTGTGGAAAACAGTGTGGCGATTCCTCAAAGACCTAAAATCAGAACTACCATTCGACCCAGCAATTCCATTATTGGGTTTACAGCCAAAGGAATATAAATCATTCTATCATAGACAGACATGCATGTGTACATTCATTGAAGCACTATTCACAACAGCAAAGACAGGAGATGCTGAAACCAACTGCAACAAAAGCAAAAATTAACAGATGGGCTCTAATTAAGCTGAAGAGCTTCTGCACAGCAAAAGAAACTATCAACAGAGTAAACAGACAACCTACAGAAAGGGAGAAATTTTTACAAACTATGCATCTGACAACGGTCTAATATCTAGCATCTATAAGGAACTTAAAACTACAAGAAAATAAACAACCCCATTCAAAAGTGGGCAAAGGCCATGAACAGATACCTTTCAAAGAAGAAATACATGTGCCCAACAAGCATATGAAAAAAATATATATGGGTATTCTAATCTGAGCATCCAGACTCCTCCAGGGAGCTAGGAAGACAGCTGAGAGATGCTCCCCTCCACTGAGTACCTAGATTATGACCCTGGAAGAACTGTGGCTCAAGGAAGAAGACCAGAGTCAGCCCGATGGACACTCAACTTCCAGAGAGTAGAGGGCAAGTGAGAATTATAATAGTAACTGCCAGTGCAATTTTACATCCTACTGAACTGGAAGCATGGTGCATTGTAAGTGCTCTCCTAATTCCTATATTATTCATTTCCTGAGTCGGAGATTCCCAACTCTGGTGCCACAAACAAATGGACTTCAGGCATCCATGAACTCCTAAAATACAGGGAGTGTGTGTACACTTCCTAGGTATAGAGTACATGGCTTTTATCCAATTACCAGAAGCCTGAGTTTTAGAGGTTATGTTCTCATCTAACCAGCCATTATGAGCAGAGGCCCAGGTGCAGGATGCAGATCAGTGAATCCACATTCTGCAGTCACGGTCATCCTCAGGAGAGCCGAGCATTGGACTGATTGGGGAAAAACAGACAATGATGATAGCAATAAGCTTTCTTAGGCTCCACACATTGTGCTGAGTGTCTTAGCTGCTGTATTTCATGCATCCTCCCCATGGCTTCTAAGACAAGTCCTAATATCATTACATCCACTTTCCATATGAAGAAACTGAGGCTTGGGAAGGTTAAGTAACTAGCCTAGTAACAGAATGAATAACAGCTCAGATTCAATCCCTGATCTAAATGATTGCCGCATCGCTTGCTTAACCACTACCCTAGGCTTTCCCCATGGCCAGAAGCACTTGACATCTCTTATGGGAACCAAAAAGCACTATTATTACAAAGAGCCTCTAGCTACCCCCTTTGCTATCAAAATCAAGTCCAAAGACTGGTACCAGAAGGTCCCAACAGTGTCTCTGGCAAAATCTGATTAAAAAAAAAAAAGTAAAGGCAATCGAGACAAGTTCCCAAGATTACAGGTGCTAGCAGCTCTGACACCTGGTATGTGTATACCTCAAAGAGCCATTGTGCATCTTAATTACAGGTAAATAGATAGATATAATAGTCTCTGTTGACTCTTTTCAAGTCTAACTATTTAATTGTGGTCTACTCAAAAGTGAAAAACCCAAGTTCCCCATGCCCTGTCAAGATTACTTTGCCAAAGTTTGTAATTCAACTCAATTCAACCCAAACCTACATGGTACCTACAACCTACAAGGCAGTAGGCCCCAGGCAACTGTAGGAGGGAGGTTGAATCACATAGATGAATGAAACATTTCATATATCCTTCCTCGCAAGAAATAAGGATGCAGGATGCATTTGGTATAATTGATACAGTCCTGATCATTAGGTGCAAATCGTTGCTTTAAATGTTTCTAAGGGATTGGATTGAAGAATAAGAACAAGGACCAAGAACAACATTGGGCCTGGCATGTTATATGCAGTGTCTCAAAACCCTACAACAACTCTATGAAGGAGGTTTTATCGGCCCATTCTGCAGGTGATGTACAGTTGAGAAAACTGCCTGGTGGTACACAGCTAGTAAGTGAGAAGCCCAGCAAGAGCCTGAGCCCAATTCTCATGACCTGGAGAGCCTTCATCCTCCCCATGGCCTCCTGCTGAGAAACCTTTGCTGTAAGGAGAATGCAGTGCCTAGTTTATCTCTTTTATCTACTTCATCTTCCAAGAAGCAAATTCAAAATAGTGATATAAGAAATACATTTTAGGCTGGGCACAGTGGCTCATGCCTATCATCCCAGCATTATGGGAGGCCAACTTGGGTGGATCACTTGAGCCCAGGAGTTCCAGATCAGCCTTGGCAACATGGCGAGACCCCATCTCTACAAAAATATACAAAAAATCAGCTGGGCGAAGGGGTCCTCGCCTGTGGTACCAGCTACTGGGGAGGCTGAGGTGGAAGGATCACCTGAGCCAGGGAGGTCAAGGCTGCAGTGAGCTGTGATTGTGGCACTGCACTCCAGACCAGGTGACAGAAAAAAAAAAGAAAAAAAGAAATACATTTAAATTCTAGATTAGAGCACTACGCAATGTGGACCCATGATCTCAGGAGGGTTAGGGTTTGCATGCCGCATTTCCTTTTCCATGTCATTTTTAAGAAGTCTTCCATCCACCACTTGCATTCAACCTTTTCATGTGCAACTGACATCGTCAGCAGCAAGCACAGGTCCCATGTTCCAGAAGACCCCCTCCTCAGGAGCTGTGTGACACTAGCTTATCAAGCTGGCTTCCTCTGTATGAAAATGAGCATGAGAAATCGTACCTGCCTCCTGTCACCCCATGCAGGAATATTATCTAGCGAGCCCATCTTTACACTGCAGTTAATCATTGACAGTATTTCTCACAACTTAGACAATGCCAGTAATGTATAGCATAAAAATAATCTACAGAAAGGTTAGTTTCTATGACCCCATTATGTTATAAAACATCCAAATTACTGGCATTTAGATTATCAAGCAATTGGTTTGTTGGGAAGTGCCTTATCCCAAGAGTTGCTTTATTATTATGGATAACTCTGATTACCAAAAGTTTTCTAGGCAAAGTCCACCATCTTCCATTTTTCAAACATCAGGCTCATTAGAGCCACACACTCTCAACTTACGGTATGCCAAGTATTGCATAAGGTCTGATATGAAGTGTTGAACAGGTACGATAATACATTTTAATTTACTGAAATTGATATATGCTGGAGATGCCATAAAATTTCTACCATTATTATACCTGATAATTGTTAACAGAGGGCAATTATGCAATACTGTATTCGGACTTTTCCGTAGTATATAGAAACTTACAAGGAAAATTAATCACAAGAATCAGGTGGTACAACATGGGTATACTAAGCCCCTCCAAACTTCATGTTAATTAAGTTTTTAAGATTGCTAAGATTATTAATATTTTGAAAACCTTTTGTCCAATAAAGGGAAAATTACCCTGTTCTCAAATCCGAGGTGACATCAGAATCTAGGGGTCTGGAATAGGCATAAGGATCCTAATATATGCTCAGGTCATTCTAATTCAGGTGATTTTGGGGAACTGCACATTAAAGGGATGTAACTGACCTATTTCAGTACAGGGCAATCTCTCCCCTGGCAAGAAGCCCATCAGAAATGCCCTGGGGCTCACCTACACCCTGGTGCAGGGAAGTGATTGAAATCGTTCCAGCCCTTGCTCTCCACTATCCTTTTCAGACCTAAGAGCTAACGTGTTATGATAAATGCCACCTTAACCTTGGAGAATGTGGCTAATTTGTTTGCTTAGCAGTTCAAAGGCCGGGATAAGAGGTTATAACTCACAGAGGTAGGCATGATTAGAGTTCACCAAGCCCCTCCTCATCCCAGAAACTCCCAGCCCCTTGGCACCTACAGTATTCATCTTATACCTTCCTCCCCCCTCTTGCCAACCTCCCCTTTCCTTCATCTCTCCTGGGCTCTGGCTGCCTCCCCTTTTCCTTGTCGTTCATCATTTGGAGTTAAACTTTTAAAAATGTTTGTCATCATGGCGATTCATTTAAAAAATCAAGAGTTCCCTACTTCTAGTTCATTTATAAAAAACTTACTATATTTATTTGTGTTTTGTTTTATATGACCATATGTTTTCTCTGTAGTCACTAGCTAATTCCTACTCATCTTTTTTGTGCAAGGTTTTGAGCTTGGACCTCTAGCCATGTAAAATCTGAGACACTTGTTTTCTGGAGGACAGAGGTATGCTTTACTCATGCCTGCATTGCCTCCCGACACAGGCAGTGTGCTCAGAAATACAGCAAGTGTCCAAAATATTTCTACTGAACTGAATTAAGTACGTCTACGCAGCCAGAACTCACCTCCTGGCTGGGAGATGGATGCAGATGCAGAGAAAGGAGATCACAACACAGACTATGAGTTTCCTGCAGCTGCTATAACAAGTGACCCCAAACTGAGTAGCGGAAAGCAACACAAATGTATCATCTTACAGTTCTGGAGGGTAGAAGTCCAAAATGTGTCTTACGGGCTGAAGTCAAGGTGTCACAGGACTGTGCTCCCCTAGAGGCTCTAGGGGAACACCCATCTCCTTGCCTTTTCCAGTTTCTAGAGGCCACCCACATTCCTAGGCTCGTGACTCCTTCCTCCATCTTCAAAGCCCATCATTCCAACCTCTGCTTTGGTCATCCCATCCCCTCTTCTTCCTTCCGATCCTCCTGACATCGTCTTATAAGGACCCATGTGATTTACACTGTGCCCACCAGAAAATCCAGAATGATCTCCCTGTCTCAAGATTCTTAATTCAATGATGCCTGCAAAGTTCTTTTGCCATATAAGGTCATATATTCACAGGTTCCAGGAATTAGGAGACAGACATCTGTGGGGAGGGGCAATATTCAGCCAAACTTGCAGGCAAGCACAAATCTAGGAATCCAGAAAACAGGGTTGGGGCAGGGAGAGCCCCCAGGCAGGATGGCAGGGGTTGGCTTTCTGGAGGGAAAGGTCTCCAGCTGAGCCATGAAGGACAGATCAAATTGGGGGATAAGAGCGTAAGTTTTGGAGTCAGGCAAAGCTGAAGCCTTGATTTCCTTATTTGTATATTAGTATAGTGTCCATTTCATAGGGTTATTTTGAGGATTCAATCAGATAATGTATGTAAAGGGCCTGGCATGTGCTGAGCATGCCGTGTGACTAAAATCTAGGACACGAAACAGCAGACAGAGGATTTCGGAAACATCAGAGATGACAACCAGCTTAACTGCTCATTTCAGACTATTGCCCTCAAGGCTAAAAGGACACAGCAAAAGAGAAATTGTGGGGGGGAAAAATGTAGTGTCCTAAGAGTGACCATGAAAACAAACTTCGTGCCATTCTCCTTCCCAGAAGTTGTGAGCTCCACATCCAGAGGTCCCAGTCTCCTGCCAACCGTACGTGGCTATTTCCGTTTAGAATCAAAGATGCTTGGGGTGTAGTCCAGCCAAAGGAAATGCTTATGACCACGATCAGGAAACCGTTTCCACAACAACCCAGTGCCAAGCGGCAGCCCAGCAGCGGTCATCTTGGGCCACGCCTGGGGAGCTGGCTATTGTCCTCCCCCTACCGTGACAGAGCACTCCTCCTCAGGTTTCCTCAGACATTGTTTTCTTTTAGAACGTTGGGTTGGGTTCATGAGAAAAAGAAGCCTGACAGGGACTGTTTGTTATAATCCCAGTGGTGGCTGGTCGACTGGACTGTGACTCCTGGTGACCACCTCCTAAATGTGCAAAGCCAATGAGTTTGGGGTTTGATGCTGCTGAATGTTTATGTTACCCCCAAAGTTCATGTGTTGAAACCTAGTCCCCAAGGTGATGGTTTGGAGGTGAGGCTTTGGGAAGGCTATTAGGTCATGAGGGCAGAGCCTCATAAAAAGGATTAACTGCCTAATGAAAAGGACCCCAAAGACAGCCCTCGCCCACAGGAGGACACAGCAACAAGACAACAATCTGTGAACCTGGAAGAGGACCCCCACCAGACACTATATCTGCCAGTGCCTTGCTTTTGGTCATACTGGGCTGCTGGGGGTGGGGCAGGAAGGGGAGTGGACCTCCTTCTTAGGTGACATGATTTTTCCAGCAATTAGATGAAACTGATGGAAGCAGGCCCAGATATCAGCATATTTCCTGAAGCCTTGAGTTGGACAGTTCTCCTGGTTGCATAAACTTCAAGATCAGTTACAAGCACAGGTGTTTCCCACTGAGAGCTGATTTCCTTGTCTCTGGACCAGATGAAGTGGTGGAATGGGGTCCCTAATAAAGTCCAGATTGACCCTTTTGTACAGGGCAATGACTTGGCCCTACTTGAACTTCTGGTTCAGTTTCCCCTGTGGCTTCTATGTTGTATTTATGTCAGCACTGTGTCCTGCTGCCTTCCAAGTCAATAGAGATGGCTTAGGATAAAAACACATTACAAAAATGGACATTTAAAGGCACAAGAATAGAAGCTATGCCTGGGGGCAGGGAGTAGAAGGGGCACAAGGGGGCAGACCTGGCTCTGGAGGGGGTCAGAAGATCACTTCAGCAATAGAGTTGGTGTGACTCCATGTTTGCATGAACCAAGACTCTTGTGGTTGCAAGAAACAGAAACTTAACAGGAACCCCCAAGCAGAAAGGGTGTTTTTAATGCATATCTAGGGTGTCTCATGGTCCCCAAGGGCTAGGGTGCAGTCAGCCCTTGGGAGTGGATGGGAACTAGGGGCCTGGGCTCCTTCATCATCTCCCAGTCCCTCATCTCTGCTCCCTCAGCACTCTGGAACTCCCGTCTTGCTCACACTTTCTTCCCCTTCTCTCTTACTAGTTTCCTCTGCAAGGAAACCTCAGGCTACCAGCAGCTCTCCAACTTGTATCTGCTCCTTTTAAGAAACCAACAAATTTGAACCAAGAATCTCTTAGTTCCAACCTAAGAAAATCAGTGCTTGACACTGCATTTAAATGGCAATTTATGTAAGATTGAGAGCCACTAATTGTCTACATCAAGAAATGGGGCCCCAGAGGGAGATTAGGGGCCTTGGGAAGGAGAAGAGGAGGTTTTAACCCCTTCTCAGAGCTGCCATTATCCTGGTCCAATCAACTGTGCCAGGAGGCAGAGCCACTTTGCAGAAATGGTTGCCTGGGTGTTCACTGCACTTTCCTTGTGAACTGAGTAAGGGAGAGCTCCAAGAACGATTGTGGATGAGGGAAAGAGAACTATGCAGAAAAACTAACAGGTACTCAATACCAAGCTGTCTATACTTAGGCAAAAAGCTTCCACCGAGGATGGGTACCTCAGACTTATTTCTGACATAATACTGCGGGCCCAAGCATTTCAGCAGGAATTCAACCCCAGCAGGAATTTATCATCTAGTACTGGAAACAGGAACACATTCAGAGGATGAACATAATGGTGAGGGCATGGGAGCCCACAGTCTAGGAAGGCTGCATTCCTTTATTATTTTATGTTTCGTTTGATTTTGTTTCTTGTGGCTGTTGGTTTTCTATAGTTTCAGTGGCTAGAAATCGTTTTTAAATGGTGGCTGTTTCACCTAGAAAATTAAAGACAGGAGTTGAGATGGGCATAACTGTGGCCTTTCAGTATGCAACAGGCTTGCTGCCAAAGTGGGATTCAGTGTTCTGGTTGGCCCCATAGCCACAGCTGGGCCACAGAAACAGAACTTAACAGGACACAGATTTTTCAACCCAATGTAAGACTGAGTTGCCTTTGGGTACAGGGAGTCTCCCTTCCTAGGTATGTGCGTTCAGAGGCAGACGCCTACAGTAGCACTTTGAGGGATGCCAGGTCCCATTCCTGGAGGTGTTACTCAGGATGGGCATCTCACAGTGGCAACTTGCTGGGGGAACTGGGTCAGAGGACTCCCCAAATTCCCTCCAGTCTTAGCATGGAGCCACCAGTGCCAGCCCTATTCTGAGGGTCACAGCCCTCCTTGATGGGTGCAGCCTGAGAGGCTCCCATTACCAGACACTGGGGAAGACATGGGGGCACAGGTGTTCTGCAACAGCAGTCATCCTGGGGGCCAAAATCCCCTCTCTGTGGGAAGACCTGAGAAGGTTCTGGGGCTAATCACCTTGGCCAATCACCTGTGCCTCTCACATAGCCCCAACATATGGGAAAGGTGTAAGGATCCCCAATACAGATAAACACACTGAACCCCAGCACCATAAAGTCTTATCATCCAGGAAATAGGAAACATGGGTTGTGGCATACACATGTGATAGAATACTATGCAGAAGTCGAATGGAGCGAACTATAAATATGTATGTATGTATACACACGCACATACACATACATATACATATATCTCTCAACAGGATAGACCTCACACAGTAAAGCTGAATGAAAAACAAAGTTGTAGAATAACACACACAATATCATTTATGAAATTCTTAAAACCTACATAAGACAATGTGTATTGCCAATGGATATATATGTAATATATAAACGTACGAAAAAAACAACACACTAAAGTAATAGCAGTGGTTGCCACTAGGGTGAGGAGGCAGGAAGAATGGGATTGGGTGGGGGTGATCAAAGAGAGTTTCTTTTTTACTTATAAAAAAGCAAATATAACGAAGTGCAAATTGTTAAATCTGGTTAGATGGAGCATGAGTGTTTGCTATGTTGAGAGGCAGAAACAAACTGAGGCCCCAAGAGATTAAATCATTTCTCCAGCATTGGCTGGGATGCTGCTTAACACACACTTTCCAGGCTGTGCACGAAACAGCAGTGGATATTGACCCCAGGCTGCCCAGAGGCCACCTCCATTTCACTCTGGACTTCGACCATCATGCTTGACCACCCCTCCTCCACACAGGCCTGCCATCTCTCCCCCATTCATCGCCTGGAACCCCAGCACCTTCAACTTTTAATAACAGGGAAGGCTCAAGATGTTGAGGGAAGGTGAACCGCTTGCTCCACATCCCTGTAAGAAGTGACTCACATCAGAGCCCAGCTGGTGGTAGGGGGAGGCCTGGGGGCTGGGTGGTGGATGGGAACAGAGGAAGGCAGAGGTGGCTGTAAATTAACACTCTTGCCACCCTGGAGAAGACTGACTTATCACCACCAGTTCCCAGCATTTCTTCCTGGGAGGAAGAGGGCCCAGCACGAGACGGAAACAAGATTTGATCTTTGGCATCAGGGGTTCTCATGCCTGAGTGCCTCAAGTCACCCTGGGCCACTGAGGCAGGAATTCCTCTGTGCCCTGGATGGGTCTGGGTAGGTCAGGAATCCATGGTGGAGGGGGACCCCAAACCAGGTGGGTCCCTATGAACAGACAAGGAATGGTTTAAACCAGATCACAGCCCAGTGCCAATAGGGGAGATTAAGCCCTGGTCATCAAAACGGGGAGAAATGCTTAGCAAGCAAAGAAACCATGAGTAGGGAAGATGAACACAGCGGGAGAGGACAGAAGCCACCCAAATTAGGGAACAAAAAGGTGCTCCTAGCCCTAAGTGATGCTCCCCTGCCCCTTAGGGCCTAAAGTAGCCTCACATTTCAAATTGCATGAGGCTGTAAATGTCTGTGGTTCCCTGTGGACGTCTCTCCACAGCCCCTTCACTCATTTTTCATTCATTCCTCAACTGTTCATGTACAGGGCTCTGGAGAGTCTGTGCACAAGGTCCCTGCTCTCATTGGGAAAAACAAGCAATGAATAAGCAAGGCAATGAGGCTGGGGTGTACAGAAGGTGCCAGACATGGCTGGGGCATAGAAGGGAACAGACAGGGGCAGGTGGTCTTGGAGCCACCTCCCCTGAGCCTGACAGCGCTGCCCACAGTCTGGCTGGAGGAAGCTGCCCGCTCCTGCCAGACTCGTGTGTCCATCCTCTCTCTATTCCTTCCTCCAGATATCCGTCCCTTTCACACCCAGGTCGTTTGACACCTCCCTGGAGTTTCACGAGACCAGCTCACCCCCTGGTGGACATACCTCCACCATCATCACAAAATTTTTTAAAAGGTGTTTGCTTTTTATTTAATTTTTATTTTAAATTCATGGATACATGTGTCTGAACAAGTTTACCTACACAGCCACAATTTTTAGTAGGGCCTTGCCTTCTCTCCTAGCCCAGTAATAAATATTTGAAGTGTTCTGGGTCTCCAATGCAATATACCTACCTCATTGTACTAGTCAGCGTTCTCCAGAGAAATAGCACCAGTAGGACATATAGAAATCTACAGAAAGAGATTGACTATGGGAACTGGCTCACATGATTATGGAAGCTGAGGAATCCTAGTCTGCTCTCTGCAAGCCAGAGCCCCGGGAAGCTGCTGGTGCAGTTTCGGTTCAAACCTAAAGCACCAGAGGTGCTGATGTCAGAGGGCAGAAGACAGATATCCCAGCTTAAGCAGACAGAGAGAACTTTTGCTCTTACTCGGCGTTTTTGCTCTCTCAGGGCTCTCCACAGGTTGACTGATTGATGCCCACCTGCAGTGGAGAGGGTGAATCTTCTTTACTCGGTCTGCTTAATCAAATGCTAATCTCTTCCAAAAACACCCTCAGAGACACGTCCAGAAATGTTTTACCAGCCCTCTGGGCATCCCTTAGCCCAGTCAAGTTGACACATAAAATTAACCCTCACATCCATGAATAAAGAGGAGGTAACGCTGTTATAAAATGAACCAGTGGGAGGAGGAGGCCCTGTGTGAGCAGGGACCAGGTTGTACCAGATATAGCAGCCCTGGGCACTGTAGAAAGGGCTTGGCAGATGAACAAAGGAAGTGGGGAGAGCACATTAGCCAGGCAGGTGCACCTGGGGTGGTGGGCAGGGCACAGGGGCAAGAGGCACCCCCAAAGAGCCCAGGAGGGAGGTGATGGTGGCTGCATGGAAGAGAGGCAGCTCAGGTCTTTGTCACAAGGACAGGTCACTGCCCCCGACCCCGCCACAGGAGAAGGGTTTGTGTGCCCAGTGTGTAGGACTGCATGGGGAAGGCGGCCTACCTGGAGCACCTCACAGAGTCACACTGACCCAAGACATGGCACATGTATCCATCTTGTCACAGCCTCCCAGTCCTCATCAGTCAAGAACAGATTTTCTTTCATGGGAATGTATGTTTCCATCATGGGGAAAGAATGGGGTTACGAAGCACTGGCAGGGCAGGTCGGGAGGAATGCACCTTAGTGCCACGTGGGAGCCAAATGAGAGCCACCTGCCACACTCTAGCTATTGCAATGAGATTTTTCACTTTTATTTCAGGCTTAAATTCCACAACATGAATCTGCTGGGGGAGTCTCTTCCTTTGGGAAGTTCCCAAACCGTGAGAAAAGTATGACAGTGAAAGAGATCTGACCTAACCAACCCCCATCTTGCCTTTAACCTCAAACTGCCTTTAGTCATGCCTGGACTTGGGCCAAATTAACTTTGGGAGAAATTTAGTTTATACTTTAAATGATAATAGCCCTTCCCCAAAACTAAACCGCCTTTGTAAAGCTAATGAAATTCCCCCAGTTTAGAAGGATGACAGGTGCCTGAATTCTGCTAAGGTGTAGACAGGTGTCCTGAGTAAAGGTGAGCAGAGAGTGCTCTTCAGAGAAGAACTGTAACCGCCCAATGGGTTTTTCTTGCCCACTGCCCAGATAGAGCCAATCTGTAATGATTAAATTGATAAATAATTACCAGCCGTTATTCTGGAGGTCACAAGATTTGCAACTTCCCCAGTTACTCCTGCAGACAACAGCACTCTTGCAGAACCTAAGGTTGGCCTTTTGAGATGTCTTTTCAGGTTTTCTGCGTTTCTCATGACCAGTGGCTCCACCCAGACCCACCAACCTGTCCTGCGGCCCCACCCAGAAGCAAACTCAGCACACTTGAGGACCATTTCCCACATGCCTAAGATTGCACCCCCCCAACCAATCAGCAGCACCCATTCCCTAGCCATCCCCCTATCCCCAAACTATCTTTGAAAAACCCTAGCCTCCAAATGTTCAGGGAGGCTGATTTGAGTAATAATAAAACTCTGGTCTCCCATTTAAGCCAGCTCTATGTGTGTAAAATTCTTTCTTTATTGTAATTCCCCTGTCTTGATAGATTAGCTCTATCTGAGCAGTGGGCAACAAAAACGCATTGAGCGGTTAAGAGCACTCTGCTCACCTTTGCCCAGGACACCTGTCTTAGATCTGCAACCTGGGCCAATGCAGGATGCTGCTGCGCGGCCATCATGGGGTCTTTTTCTGGGTCAGACAGGTGCTTCTTCTGGCTCTAGAGCTTGATAATGAGCCTCAGATTATTCCATTTTTAAATTTTAATTAATAGACTTTTTTAGAGCAGTTTTAGTTTCACAGCTGAATTGAGCAGGATGTATAGATAGTACCCTATGCCCCCTGCCTGCCCCAACCCCCAGCCGCCCCCATTATCAACATCCCTCACCAGAGTGGTACATTAGTTACCTAATGATGAACCTACACAGACATGTCATCATCACAAAATCCATAGATTACATTAGGGTTTATTTTTGGTGTTGTGTATTCTATGGATATTGACAAATGTATGTGTCTATCATTACAATATCATACAAAATAGTTGCACTGCCCTAAAAATCCTGTGTTTCACTTCTTTATCTCTCCCTCCACACAACTCCTAGCAACTGCTGATCTTTTTACTGTCTCTGTAATTTTCTAGAATGTTACTGTTTCTATAATTTTCCAGAATGTTATATAATTGGAATCATATACTATGTAGCTTTGTCAGATTGGCTTCTTTCACTTAGCAATATCCATTCAAGTTTCCTCCGTGCCTTTTCATGGCTTGATAGCTCATTTCTTTCTAGCACTGAATAATATTCTATTGTCTGGGTGTATTGCAGTTTCCTTCTCCATTACCTGCTGAAGGATATTTAGCTGCTTCCCATTTTTCGGTAATTATGAATAAAGCTGCTATAAACACCCATGCTTGGGTTTTTGTGTGCACATAAGTTTTCTATCCAGATGCTTTTAAGCATTTTTATTCTTCGTGGATTTTCAGCTTAACATACTTTAAGTAATTTCTACTGATGAGAACACTGTGGCTGACAAATATTTACCCCTTAGCCCATCCAGGACAAGACTGTGCTCAGGCAATCTGACCAATGCCCAGTGGCCCCTGCAGTGAGAACCGGTGTACAAGCGCTAGAGGCAGACAGCATGGTTTCCACCCTCTGCTCTGACTTCAGTAGCTCTGTGTCATTTGACAAGGAAAGCTGCCTCTCTGAGCTTGTTTCTTTCTCTAAAAAGATGAGTAGCAACGTTGACTAAGGTGTGGTGGGAATTCAATGGGTTGGGGACTGTATAGACTTAGCACAGTACCAGGCACAAAACCAGTGCTTGATAAAAGTCAGCAAAAATGGGTGCATGGCCAAGGTTAAAAGTGGACACTGATGTGACAAGCCCCTAACTCAGTATCCCGAGAGAACATTCTCCTGAAACCTCCCTTCCCTTGGATGTGCCTTCGTGCATGTAAGAAAGCTGCTTATACTCTTCCATCTCGACTCCACCTTTCTCAATTGCTGTCCTTAAACTGAAGTCAGGGCAACTCATTTATGAAGGAAAGGACAAGAGTGATAAACAGGAAAATAGCTTAAAAGTTGAGGAGTCTTGGTTGTTGGAATTTCTGATGTAGTTTGAATCCCACACAAATGACTTCCTTGGGCTTCTCTTTGATGAGGTTCCTAGAGCCTGTTTATGCTCAGCATCCATGCAAGGCCTTTGGTGATGGTGCCCATTTTCTACACTGGGTATCATCTCAGACTTTGTGTCTGAATACAGTGACTCATCAGAAGAGAACACAATGGAAAATGCACAAGACAGACCTGATACTCAAGAATCAACGGAGCCAGGCATCTGAGATGGGGAGACAGGTGTCCCTACGGGCTCTCCCTCTTATTGCCTACAGCACTGATGACCTTTCACAGGAGGTGATGCCCATGGAACGTGGTGTGAACTTTTCAGTTTTACAAAATCATTCCCACAAATCAACCACTGAGCTTGTGTCTGGCCAGCTTCACCACTTCAGAGTTAGACCAGTAGAAAATTACACCACGGTGCAAAGTGGGTCTTCAGTTACAAACACTGAGCATCAGACAAAGGGGAAAATGGCATGGGGGTTAAGAGAGAGGGCTCCAGGGCCAGACATCCTGGGTTTCAATGTGTCGGCCACCCCTCCTCCCTGCTGTGTGACTTCAGGCTGGTTACTTAACAGCTCTATTCCTCAATGTCCTCATCTGTAAAATGGAGATTCTAACAAGATCTCATGGAGCAGCTGTGAAATGCTGTATGTACATCACATGTCATGGTGGTTGGTGGTGCTGACAATGGTGGTGGGTGAGGGGAGGAGACGGGCTGAAGAAGGACCAGCTGGCGTGCATAAACGCTTACCTGACCAGGTGAGACACAATTAACCGAACGCTGTTTACAGACAGAGTCTGTGCCACTTTTTATTATTTTAATAAACTAAAAACGCATTTGTTAGTGTTTATTTCATTTGATTTTTGCTGATTCTTGGCAGAGCCCTACACTGAGGCAATGTCTTTTAAAAGTTCTAAATGAAACAACTGCCCACTGGCAGGAAGGCCTCTCCCCTGTGTGTGCCCCATCTGCATTCTGACGGAAGCAGCAAGGCCTTGGCCTCCGAGTTGGGAGCTGGCACTGGCAGCAGTGAGTCAGCCCAGCTGGACCCCCTACATAGGATGCTGTGGGGGTGGGCAGCCCAGGTAGCCTCTCCCAGAACCAGGCCCAGTGCCCTGAAAAGACTGGGGCCCTACTGATGGGTTTTCAACCAGCAGACATGATTTGATTCCAAAACTGGCACCCCCTTGGCAGTCAGACTCCTTTCTGGGGGCCGTGGCTGAGTGATGTCACCCCTTGGGTATTTCCCAAGATCTCCAAACAACAGAGGAGCCTGGGACCCTTTTGCATGGTGGAGAGAGAGGGTGGCCCAGGGAGAACAGTCCACACCCAGACACACCACGGGGTGACTTGAGAACTTTTTCAGGGACATGAAGGAAGCTCATCCAATCAGATCAGATAATGACTGAGGAGGTGAGAGGAAGAGAGAGGCAGGCAACATAGTGTCAGAACCTTGAAGAGTCTTTGGGACATTGGCAAATCAGCAGTTTTTAAACTCAAATGACCATAACTTTTATTGCCTTGTGAAGTATGGGAGCTAGATAATAATTATAGGGACAGTAAAATAGACAGAGGTGAGTGTGGGATGGAACCTGGCATGTCATCCTACTAGCTCCAGGCACTTCTGTTTCCCCATGTGCTAAAATGAATCCTTGATCTAACAGCACAGACAGCCCCCAACTTACAACGGTTGTGGTGTGGGAGCAATGCGCATTCAGCAGAAGTCCCAACACAACCATTCCATTTTACATGTTCAGAATAGTACTCAATAATTGATGACATGAGCTATTCCACGATTTATTATAAACAGGCTTTGTGTGAGGTGATTTTGCCCAATGGAAGGCTAACGTCAGTGTCCTGAGCATGTTTAAGGTGGGCTATGCTGAGCAATGATATTCGGTAGGTGAGGTGTAGTAAATGCATTTTCACCTTATAATATTTTCCATTTACAATGAATTTACCAGGACAAAACCCCATCTTGAGTCAAAGAGCATCTGATCTGCTCACAAGGTGCCTAGAAGGAATGATGTCAGACAGCCGTGGTGGTGCCACTTATGACCTAGCATGAGCACATGGCAGGTACCCACACACCATTCCTGGCGCCTCAGACATGAGGAGAGGCTGACACCAGTTATGACCAATCGTGAGCACGTGGCTGGCACCCACACACCATTGCCCGGCGCCTCAGACACGAGGAGTGGCTGACACCACTTATGACCAAGCATGAGCACATGGCCGGCGCCCACACACAATTCCCCAGCGCCTCAGACACGAGGAGGGGCTGACACCGGCCACTGGACACTTTTTACGGATGAGGACAAGGAATCTCAGCGAAATTAAGGGACTTGCCCCAAGTGTCATGGTCAGTAAAGCCCAGAGCCGGGACTGAACCCACGATCAGGAGCATTCCCGCCACTGGGCCTTGCCCGCAGTGGTTTTGAGAGCAGCTGTTGAAAGAGGGGATCAATGGTAGACTCAGAGATCCCTTCTTGCCTCCACCTGAGGTCCCCCTCCCTTCCGAGGTCAACATGTGAGGCTCTCACAGGTCCTGTTGTGTATTCCTCACAAACCACCCACTTGCACTACTCTGAGAGTGAGGCCCCTTTGCTTTAGCCCCTGGGCACCCCACTGGCCTCCTTCTGTTCTGGGCCCCACTCTGTCCCTCCCCAGCCTCACCCCCTCCTCACACCCCCACTCCCAATATGCCCAGCACAGTCCTGGGTGCACTGTGGTTATGCAAAAAGATGGATTCCATGAAAGAATGCGTGCTAAGAGGATTCTTTCCTCCAGTGGCAGATGTGACTGTCCAGGGAGGTGTGGGCCCACCTCAGTTGTCAGCTAATCCGTATTGATTGACACCTGCTTTGCAGGCTGGGCTCAGCCCTATGGCCTCAATGATGGACTTGGCCCTGTGGAGCTGCAGCCCCAGAGTGAGTCCCGACAAGGGAACAGGCAGTTAGGACAGCACATGGCCAGCGTGCGAGCTCCTGGCAGGGGAGTCCGGTGGGGCAGATGGTGAAGAGATGGGGAGGAGCTTCCATGCACGGGGCAGGGAGGGTACTAGGATTTAGGTGTGGAGACAGGAGAAAGAACAGCCTGTTCAAGGAATGGAAGTGAATTCCACATGACAGAACATTGAGAGCAGGAGAGGAATGGAGAGGTGAGAGTGGAAGGAAAGTGGGGACCAAGTCAGGAAGGGGCTCAGATGTCCCAGAAAGGTGTTTAGTCTTGTTCCAGGGAGGCTGGGGATGAGGCAAGCCGGAGTTGTGTGCTCCTGACCTGTCCCAGACATGGGAGCACTTGTCTCCTCTGGTCAGATACACCAGGCCAGGGACTTGGGGCCCCCACTCTCCCCACTCTCCTCCCTACTTCCCCACAAAGACATGTCCTACCCCCGCCAGAGACAAGCTGAGTGGCCTTGGGCAAGTTACTTAATCTCTCTGAGCCTTCATTCCTTCGTCTATAAAATGGTATAATAATAGTTTCTATTCCTTGGTGTTACTGAGGGGACTAAGTGAGATAGATATGTGTGTAAAATGCTTGTACTGTGCTTGCCACAGAAAGCCTTAGCGACAGCGCCTGCTGCCACCTTCCACACCCTGCACGCCACATCCACACTCATTCTACGGTAGCATTTACTATGTGACACTGCCATTTCTATTGTTAACATCACTCCTCTCCCCTGGATGACATGACGCCCCCTCTCACCGGTTTCCCTTTACCACGGCAAGGAAGCCTCCAGTGCCCACCTGTTGGGCTCCAGAATGCTAATCAATGCACGCACCTGTCCCAGCTGGTCCAGGGCAGCAGTGAGCAGGGCTCCAAGGCTAGAACGCTCACAAAGGTCACCAAAAACACGTGTCTCTAAATGGGAATGGCTCTCCAAGAGAGATCTGATTGTCCTCTTGCCTCAAGGATAGAAAAGAGTCCCATCTCCTGAGGAAGTTACCCTGGAGGTGGGCGCAGTGCAGCAAAAAGCAGCCCCCAGGGCAGCCCGCCTATTCCCACGAGCCTGCTCCAGACTCCTCAGCCTCGGCTACTCCCCGGACTCAACCAGGGAGCTGACGCCGGACACACACCCAGAGCAGGGACCTCATCAGAAGGTCAGGGAACTGAGAGGGAGACCCAGACAGCAGGTCTCCATTTTTTTTTTTTTTTTGACAGGGTCTTTCTCTGTCACCCAGGCTAGAGTGCAATGGTGAGATCGCAGCTCATAGCAGCCTTGACTTCCCAGGCTCAAGTGATCCTCCCACCTAAGCCTCCCAAGTAGCTGGGACCACAGGCACACACCACCACACCTGGCTAATTTTTGTATTTTTTGTAGAGGCAGGGTTTCACCATGATGCCCAGGCTGGTCTTGAACTCCTTGATCCACCTGCCTCAGCCTCTCAAAGTGCTGGGATTACAGGCATGAGCCACCACGCCCGGCCACAGGTCTCTTTTAAGCTCCTTCACACTGAGCCTCACAATCTGCCTCAGCCCAGTGCTCTAGATGGTTCCCACCAATGGATCAGCGTTGGCAGGATGGATGGCAGAAACCTACCTGCCCTCCCGGCACTGAGCCACTCTGACTCTGTCATACCTCTGACCTTACCTATAACCACCTTCAGGGGTGCAAACTTGAACTGGACTGGCCCATTCACCCAGATATATGTCCACACAACCTCAGCGAGGCCTGGCGCTGACTTCAGTGGTATTTGCTGAAATGGGCCAAGCATCCTTGCCAGCCCATGGAAATGCTATCATCCAAGGTTCAGACCTGTCTAAAATATTAACCAGGTGGAGACAATCACTGTGCAGGTTCTGATAACAACATGTGCTGCTCCTCACCACGCCCACCAGACAGGAGCATTCTTCCAAATTTTCAGATGGAGAAATGGAGTCAGAAAAGACAAGACCCCCCAGGCATGGTGGCTCCTGCCTTTGGGAGGCCGAGGTGGGCAGATCGCTTGAGCTCTGGAGTTTGAGACCAGCATGGGCAACACGACGAGACCCTACCTCTACCAAAATTACAAAAATCAGCAGGGCATGACAGTGCATGCTGTAGTCCTAGCTACCCTGGAGGCTGAGGTGGGAGGATCACGTGAGTCCGGGAGGTCGTGACTGCAGTGAGCCATGATCAAACCACTGCACTCTAGCCTGAGCAACAGAACGAGACCCTGTCAAAAAAAAAAAAAAAAAAAGACAGAGGACCTCCCTGTAGAGAGCTGCCCATCTCAGATTCACTCAGCCAAGCCTGAAAGACACAGCAAGGAGACCCCTGCACACCAGGGCCTCTCTGCTGGCCAGTGCATCAAGAGAAGCATCTGGCAGGGCGGGATGGGGATAGTCACGTGATGCAGATGTGCTGGGGAAGCCCAGCCATGTGGTTGGCTCACAGTTTTGCAGAAGCTGGAAGCAGAGGACTAGAGCTGAGGGTGCTGGGATTGGAAGAGGCACTGCTGAGCCCACATTTGGTAAGCAGGAAGTTCTCCAGGAGCCAGAACAGGGGGCAGGTGCGGGCCCACCAGCCAGAGGGCTGTTAAAGTGACCTTGGAGGGACCAGAAGTGGCCAAGAAGAATTAGAAACTGAGCTCCATGGAAGCAGAGATGGACCCAACTGAGGGCATTCTACAGATGAAAAACAGACAGAGAGGTTAAGGGACTTGCTCAAGGTCACACAGCCAGTAAGATATATAGACACTGGATTTAAACCCAAATCCATCTATAACTCCAAAAGCCATGCTCTTTCGACTCAGTGCTCTGCCTCCAGGCTTTAAGACTAATTTATGTTGCAAAACCCTGCATCACAGCCTAAAGCAAGCAGAAGAAACAACTATTCTGGAGGTCTTCAAATGTGAGGTGGGGGTTCCAGGACAAGCAGCCCCCATGGGACACAGGGTCTCATGGGTAAGTGCAACCATGTAACCAAACATGTCATATGCAACAATGTGGCAAGCTGCCATTTCTGTCCTGTATGTGACCATATATGCAGGCAAAACTCCAACCCCATCCAGTGTCCTGCAGAGATGTTGCAGAGTGTTTACAGAGGCCTCAGGCTGGTCCATCACCAGGCTAGTTTCTTCCAGAAGAACCATCAGTGATCTCCCGGATGCCTAACAGGCTGAAGACAGACAGGCTCGGGCCGGGGCTGGGTCTGACCTCAATGCCACCCACGGCATCCTCCCCACCTGTGGCAGCACCTCAGCTCCGGGGACCACACAGGAAAGCAGGCCCACATACAAAACATCTGAGAATGAACCCCTGAAGCCACAAGCCATTCTGAGTCATCACCTTTAATGGAGAAGGGAGGGAATGCAAAACACACTCCCACAGCCAAAGGACTCGCTGGTTCCTTCCTGACTCTACTAGGTCATTCAACCAGAGAGCGAAGAGACGTGCCAGTGTTGCAACGGGCCACAAGCTGCTCAGCCGCCGAGCACCAACACTGATGAGGGCTGTGCTCAACTGGACCGCCCCTGCATTTAAGTTGGCCCTTCGGCCTTCCGCAGCCTCCCCAGTTATGAGTTGGACCTTATGCCTCTGTGGATGGAGGAAGGATTCAGCTCTCAATTGGGAGAACAGAACCTCCATCCGGTCCAAGGCCCTCCTTTTAACTGCTGACAGTTGGAAAGCTTTGACCCGCTGCTCTTGGCATAAACAGCATACTCTCTGGTGTGTGCTCCCCACAGGGACATAGGTCTGTGCAAACTTCCAAGCTAAAGCTGTGCAAGTCCTCTTGGGTCAGCTTCCCAAACTTTCGGAAAGCTTTCATGGAGATAAAGGTGCCTACAGCTGCTTCTAGCTGTACCTGTTTGAGGGCACTTCAAGGGGAGTCCTCCTCTAAACTCACCAAGGCTTAAGGCCTAGTTCTTATTTCACAACCCAGGACAAATGAGGTCAGCTGCAGCCGTGTGCATTCTGGGCCCATTCTGGGGTTGCATCCTGGTCTCCTGAGCTGTCTCCCTTTCAGAAAGAGACTTGGCTTCTGAACTGAAGCTCTACAGAGGGAGAGCCTGCGTCTTTCCTGCTCTCACTGACCACGCACTTACAATGCCTGGCACAGAGCAGAGACCCAGAAAATCTTTGTTGACTAATTGCATGCTGTATGAGGTCAACAGACTCTCTTTCATTTGACAAGCTCCGGATGCGAGTGCAACTGTCCTCAAGTCCTGCTTCATAAAGCCAGGGTGTCCAAGCAGAGTTGTTCATAACCCTGGTAAATCCCATGGGATGATTTTGAAATAACTCATAAGACTAAGAGCTCAAACCTGCGTGGACAATGCAGTCTAATGAGGGGCCCACTGACATTAGAATCATTCCAAAAAGACTGCAACAAGCTGCTCTTGGGAAAGGAAAATAAGCACTACAGAAAGCAATGTGTAAGAAGTACTTTAATAGCTCAAACTCAGAGTCATCGTGCTCCCAATTCCAAAGAGATTCCTAAAAGAGGCAACTTCGGCCGTTTGAGAAGCCAGCGCTCACCCACCCGGGGTCTCTGTGCATTGACCTTTGGGTGCTGACTTGGAGAAAAGCACAAACACGACCAGTCCCATCCTGGCTCCCGTGGGGCTTCTTCTATCTACGCATTGTATCGACTGCATTAGTTGGACTAAGATGATGACTCAGTTAAAGGAGGAGACAAATGCTGACTGTCTAAGCAAGAATGGCCCAAGCTGGCAAGAAAAAGCACACTGCATACATAGGATACAGAAGGGCAGAGCTTCTGCCTGCGGATCTGCAACATTACATTTGTTTTGCCTGCAAACTATCAAGAAGGATTCTGTTGGCCAGGGAGTCTCCACTGAACAAACAAAATGGCAGTCAAAAGTCTTGAGTGTCCTATTCCAGCAGCCCAGAGTCCTCATCCGTCATCCACGGGAGAGTCTTTGAGGGAAACATGAAGTCCAGCTCATGCCTCTGCCTATGGGTCAATTTCTTCGGGAATCACTGTGATCATGATATCTTCATTACCCCTGCGGACCACCATGTTCAGGGTGCTTTCCCTTTTAATGACGTCGCTGACATCATTGGCGGAGACCACGGACTGTCCATTGATGCTGATTATGACGTCGTTTTCCTTGAGACCACCACTGCAACACAAAGGGAAACACAATGGCAATGTTTCGTGTTTCCATTCCTCCTGGTCTGACTTTACATGGACAGAGGCACAGCTTAGAACCTAAAAGCCCAGAGCAAACAGGATTGGACGGTGGCGAACTTAGAATAATTCAAACCATCAGTGGGTCAGGCACGGTGGCTCATGCCTGTAATCCCAGCACTTTGGGAGGCTGAGGCAGGTGGATCACCTGAGGTCAGGAGTTCAAGACCAGCCTGGCCAACATGGTGAAGCCCCGTCTCTACTAAAATTACAAAAAAAAAAAAAAAAAGAGCCAGGTTTGGTGGTGGGCACCTGTAATCCCAGCTACTCAGAGGCTGAGGCAAGAGATTCACTTGAACCCAGGAGGTGGAGGTTGCAGTGAGCCAAGATTGTGCCACTGCACTCCAGCCTGGGTGACAGAGTGGGATTCCATCTCAAAAAAAATAAAATAAAATAAAAAATAAACCATCGGTAGATTGGATTACTTTTTAAGGTTTTTTTTTTTAATAATGTTCTTTTTTCCCCACTCTTTTTTTTTTTTTTTTTTTTTTTTTGAGATGGGGTCTCAATTGTTGCCCAAGCTAGTCTCGAACTCCTGGGCTCAAGGGATCCTTCTGCTTCAGCCTCCTGAGTAGCTGGGATTACATGCATGTGCCAGGATGCTGGGCTCCTTTTGAGATTTTTAGGCTAAATCATCCATTGTGTCCACTGTAGAAATGCCTACTAACACTTGTGTGGCTTTATGACCCCAAGGAGATCAAAGGTCAAGATTGACCCCAAAGTGGGGAAGGATGTACCAGGTACTATCTGCCACGTAGTTGGCCAGATATCTGCCAGATAGTTGGCCACTATCTGGCCAACTTGCTTATAATGGGTATTGCAACTCAGAATGCAGTTCCTATAGGGGTGGGCGGAATGTTTCTGTTAAGAGGCACTTCCTTTGTGTGGTTGCCACTATAACTGTAGCTCTTATATAGCTCAGCGTCAAAACGCTGTCATGGTCCTTCATGGGCTAGCACAAGGGTCTGCAAACTTTTTCTGTAAAGGGCTCCATAGGAAATATTTTAGGCTTTGCAGTACATATGGTCTCTGTTGAAGCTACTCAACTCTGCTGTTCCAGCACAAAAGCCACCATAGATGTCATAAACCAAATTACAGTGGACACTGAAATTTGAATTTCATACAAATTTAACATGTCACAAAATACTATTCTTATTTCAGGATTTTTTCAACCATTTAAATGTTCTCATAAGTGGGAACTAAGCTACGAGGACACAAAGGCATAAGAATGATACAATGGACTCTGGGGACTCAAGGGGAAAGGCTGGGACAGGGATGAGGGATAAAAGACTACAAATTGGGTTCAGTGTACACTGCTTGGGTGATGGGTGCACCAAAACCTCACAAATCACCACCAAAGAACTTACTCATGTAACCAAATACCACCTGTTCCCCCAAAAACCTATGAAAATAAAAAATAAGTAAAAATAAAAATAAAATGCAAAAACTATTCTTAGCCCACAGCTCCATATAAAAGCAGGCAGTGGGCCAGATCCAGCCCCCAAGGCACATTTGCTGGTCCCTGGTCTCGCACTTTTCTCTGGATATTCCGCCAATACAGGTAACAAACCCTGATGGATGGTTGAGCTACTTCTTGTCATGTTACTTTGATATCACTTGGGTTATTTTTCTGGAGGTGTTGACAGGTATGGGCCTAATTGTCAGAGACATTCTGGAAGACTCCAGGAAGAGAAGGGTCCTGAAGCCTAGAAAAGGACCACCAAGTGAGGGCTTGGGGACACTGTTCCTGAAACCCTCTCTCTGGCCAGCCGGGCCATCTCAGAGACTCATTACGAGTCTGCTATTGCTCTGTCCATCTGGAGGGTCCTCGTGGAGCAAGGACTTTTGAAGACAGAAGGCACCCTCCTATGGATGAGTCCCGAGCCGAGCCAGGTCGGAAGGCCTGGCCAGCAGGAATGACAAGCAACGTCCGACCACGTCTGTCAAGGATCAACATAATCATCTGAGCCAGTAGAAAAGGAACAGCGCTCCCTCTTCCTGCTACCCCCACAGGAACAACAAGAATATTGGGAAAAGAGAAAACGACTCCAACTCACGCTTCTGCTGGGGTATCAGGAATTACTTCAATTATATACGCTCCTGAGATCACGTCTGGGAAGTCCCGGTGCCGGTCCTTCAGCTCTTTGGCTTTGCTGCTCCAGAGAAAAAGCACCCGTGTTAGTGTGAAGAAACACCAGGCCTTCCTCACGCAAAACTCAGCTCTCACCAGTTCCCGTCTTCTCCTTAGGTCTAAGGTAAAATTCCTCCAGGAATTCTGATCCTATTTTAAAATTAAAATTGCCTGTCTACCAGAGTCAAAGATTTACTTGGTAACAGCAAGGAAAGTGCTTTATTATTTATTTATTTTTTTTATTTATTTTTTTTTTTTTGAGACAGAGTCTTGCTCTGTCGCCCAGGCTGGAGTGCAGTGGTACGATCTCAGTTCACTGCAACCTACATATCCCGGGTTCAAGCAATTCTCCTGCCTCAGCCACCCGAGTAGCTGGGATTACAGGTGCCTGCCACCAAGCCCGGCTAATTTTTTATATTTTTAGTAGAAACAGGGTTTCACAAATTGGCCAGGCTGGTCTCGAACTCCTGGCCTCAAGTGATCTGCCCGCCTTGGCCTCCCAAAGTGCTGGGATTACAGATGTGAGCCACCGCACCCAGCCATCATCATTGTTATTATTTCTTAATTAATAGTAGCTATTACTAAGGAGTCAGTAAAGTACAGTGGTTGGCCTGGTTTGCAGCCCTAGCTCGGCCATTTGCTAGCTGTGTGACCTCGGACAGTTGCTTAACTTCTCTGTGCCTTCATTTCCTCACCTGCAAAATGGGGATAATAACAGTACCCTACAACATGAGTTGTGAGGATCAGATGAGATCATCCCAGTAAGGCACCTGGCCCAGTACGTGTGATACATAGTGGCTGGCATCACTGTGGCTGGTGACCCCTGCCACCACTCCCTGATCTGAGCCTGGCCACACATCAGAAGCACCTGCGCTGTCATCCCTATCCTGAAGAGGAGGAAACTGAGGCACTCAGGGGTCATATCGTTCCCAAGGTCACAAGGCAGGACATATCAGAGCAGGGACAGGAACCCAGGAAGCTGGGCACCAAGGGCTTACCATCTTTCCCTACACCTCGTAGTTCCAAAGGCAAACAACTGAGGGGACACTTTAACCTTGACAAATGGCTCCATCTTCTGGAGTGCTAAGAAAGGGACCACCATTCATAACATGTATCAAAATATATTAATACTTTCACAGTGAGTGAATCATTAATTCATCATAGTAATGAACACATTAATCTATCTGTTACTATATTCTAGTCTTTACCTACTTTACCTCTGACAGTTTTAGCCATGCCAGGTGAGTCTACTACCAGGACTCATGAGATTACACCAGAATTTTTCATCCAGTTTAGAACACCAGGATGCCATGAGCCTGCCAACCACAGGCCGCAATTCCACCAGCTCGGGGAAAACAAGCACATCAGTCATTCACTTCCCTGCGCTGGACCTGCCCTGGCATTCCTGGAGCCGCGGCCCACGAGCTGCAGAGCAACGAAAGCAGAGTGCCTAGAGCTGCGGGAGGGGCTTGGGGCCCTCCTGGAATGTGGG
Source organism: Homo sapiens (assembly GCF_000001405.40). NCBI lineage: Eukaryota > Metazoa > Chordata > Mammalia > Primates > Hominidae > Homo > Homo sapiens. Next base: position 122,510,499 of record NC_000010.11, on the reverse strand, counting down.
TTTCAACAGAATGTGGGGTAAGGAAGACGTGAGCCAGAGTGAATCAACAGCCCCACCACGCACACACTGTTCAGGCCTGCCTTCAAAGAGGAGGGCAGAACCTTCTACACCGGAGGGCCTGCTGCCAGTGAAGAAAACCAGCTCAGAATGCAAAAACACAGGTTAAAACCAAACAAAGGGGCCAAGGCTAATGACCTGTCCTCTTTCCCGATGCTACTTCATTATAAGCAGAAACTGAGACGTCTTAAGGCAGCATAAGGTTTCTCTTTCAGGGGTGCCCGTGAGCACCTTCTGAAGTTCAGGTTTATTAAAATTTAAGACACAGACACGCATCCTGTTTACCCACCTGGACGTGAGTGACATCATTCGGATACCAATATACTTCTTCTTGGTGATGGCTTTTCCTGGTGAGACAACAAAGGGACAGCAGAAGGTCAGCCCAGTTGGTGGGGGTGCTGGGGACACCAGGGGCCGGGGGCCCAATCCCCCAGGTTGCAGGAAGGGCCACAGAAGGGTACACTGAGGTTGCGGCTCAAATCCTGGTCTGGACCCCTCCCCTCTGGGGGACCTTGGGAAAGTCCCATTGTTTCAATTAATGGTCAGGTACCTGGGCATGACCCTTAATTCCTCATGGCCTCATCCTGACAGCTGGCCCTTCCCCAAGCTTGCTCTACCCCCCATATATATCTGGAATGTGACCCCTCTGTCCCACCTCCACTGCCACCACCCTTGTCTGAGACCCCAGCATGTCTCATCCAGATGGCTGGGAGAGCCCCTTAACCGGTCCCCAACTTCCAGCAACCCCTCCAGCAGACTCCCCGCAGCCATCAGAGTGTCCTTTCAGTGACATCAATCAGATCATAAACTTCCCTGTTCTTAAATGTCGTTAGGATGCAACCCAGGTCCCTCACCACGGCCTGCTGTGAGCCTGCTCGCCCGGCCTTGGCCTCTTTCCACCCCGGGGAACTCCATGCTGTCACTGTGCTCCGGCCCTCAGGCCACTTCAGGGGCCTTGTGCTCACTCAACTATGCTGAGTCCTCTGTCTTTCCTTCTGGAGTGTTCCCCCCACATCCCTGCCCGCTGGTTCCTCCTCACTCAGACCTCAGCTTGGAAGGCATTTCCTGGCCACACCATCTCCACCAGCTGCCCCTCCAGTCGCTCCCTTGACGGCCACCCTGATCCGTTTTCTTGGGAGCACTAATAGTATCTTATGTGTTTGATTATTTACTGTCAGCCTTCCCATCCCCCAACAGAACATAAAAGTCACACCGGCAAAGGCCCCTGTTGAGCCCCAGGCCCCAGTTGAGCTGTCCACTGCCAAGCTCCCTGCTTGACTTAGAGCAGATGGGGCAATAAACGTTTGCAGAATGATCTCCCTGAACCGTTTTCTCATCAGCAAAATGGGACTAGTAATTCCTAACTGATAGGGCAAAAGAATTAAGTGACATACATAAAGAAAGTGAAATAATGTACACAAGTCACCTAGGATCATGCCTGGTACATATTAGACTGACTCAAGTGACATTGCCATGATCAGAGGACAAAAATGGTGAAATGTCTGTGACCTTCTGCGAGGGATTTAGTAATGTGCATTCCCGTTCACTTCTGGATCAGAGACGGCTTGGCTAGTCCTAGGGGCTGCCGCTTTTCCCTTCCCCAAGTCCCAAAGGGCAGCTGAGCTTCAGGCCCCATCTCCGGAGTCCCCAGGGCTGTGTGGGCCTTGCCTACCTTTGGCCTGTCGGTCATGGGACTCCGTGAGGAACTTTTTAATCTTATCAGATGGGATTGCAAAGGAGATTCCAGCTGTCACTTTCAAAGTGTTAATTCCAATCACTTCACCGTCCTGAAAAGCAAGAAGGACACGGCTTACTGAATCGTGAAGCTTTACCGGCAGGTACACACCCAGAGAGAATATGCCTGAAAGAAGTCCCTGAGCTATTTCAGAGATCGAAGTGGGGAGATGCAAGGAGGGGATCCCCGTGGCAGCAGGGAGAGAGGCATCAGGACACCCAGGCAGCGCGAGCCACGCGCAGCTGTGGAAGAATCGCACATACTCCAGGTCGGCACTGGGTGCTCACCTCACGGTAAGCACAGATAGTTTCAAAATGCACGATATGATTTGCTCCTGTTTCACAAGGAATACGTTTCCAAAGGCTCAAACTCCTTTAGGTGGCTGCCCACACCTTCCTGCTTCTCCCATGTCTAATGATCTTAAGATGACTCTGCTGACTTCAGGGGGAAACAACCCTAGAGCTTAGGGCTGTCATGCTTCATTACCAGCAAAGCCATCTCCACTCCATCCCCAAGTGCTGCGCGGGGAGGCAGAGGACAGAGCTGGGAGCACAGCTGCCCCTCTGCTGGGAAGAGAAAGCTGCCAAGTGCACACTTCCCAGGAGTGCTGAGATGTCAGTACCTGATGCCAAGGCACCATCTAGGAGGTGCCATCACACTGGGCCTTGCTAAAGACAGCCCCTATAAATGGCCCCAGAGCTGCCCTCTATAAATGGCCCCAGAGCTGCCCTCTATAAATGGCCCCAGAGCTGCCCTCTAGCTCTGCTGGTCTGTGTTCTAAGGCTTCACTTTTTCTGCTCAAGTATTTAAGGGAAGACTTAAGTGATATCTTTGTGGGTGGGTAACTCCTCCTCATTCCAGCCAGGCCTTAAGGGAGGATTCCTGGCCAAGAGAAAATGTGTATGAGCCCAGCCAGCTCCTTCAGCAGCCCAGGAGATTTAATTTGGAGGAGGTGCTTTCGGTGACTGGCCAGCATTTTTAGTGACCTTCACCTTACTCCTGCATTGGCCCTGAATTTCACGGTGTTTACCTGTAACTCTGAGACACAAGTGTGTTCTCTGGCATAACATTTCCAACCCTCACCTCCGGCCTGCCTTACTCTTTCCAGAAAAGATCCGTAGGGTCATTTGCAAGCACGCAGTACATTTACAGAGCCATTTTAAAGGAATTTATAATACACTTTGGCAACCTTATGTTTGAAAAGACCCCCTGCCTCAAAAACAAACAAACAACAAACAAACAAACAAAAAACAGCGTATACATAGATAAAAACAAATGACCTAACATAGGTTTAAAAGACCTTACCAGGTTTACTAACGGGCCTCCCGAGTTTCCATACTGCAATTAAACAGAAATGAAAAGGTTACAAATCGTGTCATAACATGGTTCAATCTATGTCCCTGCCTGGTCGTTTCCTGAGCACGGTGCCTAGAGTGGGGGGCACGATTCTTCTCTGAGATTCATTCCCATTAACCTAATATTTTGCCGGAAAAAAATGACCTTAACAATTTTCAGAAAGTTTTAGAGGTGCCGTAAACAGGGAGATTTTCTCTCTGAAGCCCAGAAGCCAACTGCAATCACCCTAAAGCACCCAATACAACTTCTTCCTCCTGGGAGGAGGCTGGCTGTCCACCTGCTCCGGTGTCACCGTCCCCGCCATGTGACCCCTGCCATGCTGCTGGCACTAGAATCCACATGGCTTGGTCTAGTTCCATCCCTTCACGCAGACTACAACAAAGTCAGGGGCTAAGACCTATGCTGACTCCTCTCCCCCTGGCAAAACTCTGCCCCAATCCCCACCCGCAGAGGGACAGAGGCTCACGTTGATGATGGCGTCGGTCTGGATGTAGTCCATGTCTGAGTTGCGGAGCCCCAGCTCTTTGCCGCCTCGCTGGGTGGTGCTCACGATCCCGGTGGTGACTGTGTTTTGAAGGGAAAACGGGCTTCCGATGGCGACCACGAACTCTCCCGGCCGCAGCTCTGAGGAGCGGCCAAGCAGCAGGACAGGCAGCTTGCCCTGAAACCACAATGGCTGGCGTTGCTGAGTTGGTTTAATTTAACCAAATAGGTAAAGGCACAGATATCATGGAAAACCAAGCAGGGACAGTGACGGGCTATTTGGAAACACCAGGCCCGGTGGGGAACTGAGCTCACAACTAACATCCCTTTGCTGCGGGCAGGACTGGATTTCCCTCCCACCCGTAATCCACACATTGCAAGCCGTGCGGGAGCCAGTGAACACTGAAGCCACACACACACCAAGGAAACCGTGGGGAGGTAACTGGAGGCCAAGTCGGGGTCTCATCACATCTTGAAGCTATCAGCACAGACTCACTCTGAAACCTTGAGGCCAAGAGACAGAGGAAGACAACATGAATTTAGGGTTTGGGGTGAGACTGCTGGGGATGGCCCTAGAGAACCAAGCCCCAGGGAAGGATCCCAAGCTACAGGCAGTGAAACCTGCCCCGACTCATCATGTGCACATCCGTCCTGAGGCCTGGAATATTTGGGGTGCTCTGCGGGCAGGGAACTGTACTGACTCAGGTGCACGCCTATGCTGAGTACAGGGCCACACTGGTCAGGGGCAGGGATGGAGCATGGGGACAGCAAGACCGAATAGGTAGGCTGTCTCTCCTCTCCTGAAACGGCCCTCTGTCAGCCACCTGTGCTTCCTGGTCTGGGCAGGCTAATTGGCCAACTCCAGAAGCCCTGATCTCCAGCGTCCCACAAAGGCCAGGCAAAGCCAGGAGTCTCAAACAACTCTGCACAACAAAATGGAACAGAAGCCAGCTCCAGGGTCACCCAGGCCAAGGAGCTGGGGGGAACCACAGAAGGGCCTCCCTAGCTCTATCAGGGAAGGCATCGGGGCCCTTTCCCTCTCTGCCTTCCTCGGAGCCGAGCAGACCTCCCGAGTTCCTTCAGCCTTTATTCACTTAGAACGAGCAGCTGCCCTGAACAACATGGACCAGGCCCAGAAATCAGACAGCCACCCCAGCCCTCGTGGGAACTGCAACTCCAGAGCCTCACATTCGTCTATCTCAACAAAGAAAGAGCCAGGGGACCAGTGGGGTGGGGCAGGTGGAACCCAGGGGTTACTTGAGTCATCTCCTCCACCAGGGATGGAGCAGACACTAGCTGATGAGGTGGGGTGACCACCATGCCCATTTAACAGATGAGGAAACTGAGGGTCCAAGATTCTGGGTGACTCGAGACAGAGCAGGGTTTGAAACCTGGGACTGGGATCGGAAAAACAGACTCTCTCATCCACTACACAGTGCCACGCCACACCACAAATATCCCCCAACACACACCAAATAAGGAAGGTGCTGGGTGAGAAAGCTCACGAAGGGAGAAAGGGATATGAAGACAGAGTCCAAGACCTAAAACTGACTATACGAGACTGAGGAGGAGGAAGGTCCCTCAGATCACAGATACCAAGAGGACCAGGAGAGCACTGTCCATGGTCAAGAGCACACACCTGGGGCCAGGCTGCGTGATTTAGATGAGGGCCTGAGCTTATGACCACTCAGGTCCTCAGTTTTCTCATCTGGAAAATGGGACTAACGTACAGCTACCTCAATGGTCCACTGTGAGAATGAAGCAACTTAAGATCTGAACAGCTCTTTGAATACCCGCTGGCTCCTGTAAGCACCATCTAGGTGTTGGTTTTGCTGTGAGCATCTGGGCCTGTGCAAATCCAACAGCGGGAACCACCAAACACCTTTCCACAGCCAGCCCGTGTCACCCAGCCATGGTAAAGGTCTGCCCTGACAGTGGGTGACCCTTTCCCTGTGTGGCTGCCTGAGGCTGGAGCATGCAGGGCAGCTGCGGGGAGGTGCAGGCCTGCCGCATCTCTACTCAGCCCCATGCTCACTTCCCACACTCCTCAAGCTCATCAGCATCCAGCAGCACACCAGCGAGCTCAGCGCAGTGTGTTTACTCTGGGCCTGGGCCAGCAGCCCCTGCCAGGCATGACTTCAGCACTCATGGCGTGCAGGCGGGGCAGGAGGCAGGGCTGGGATGTGCACTAGGCCACACCAGGGGAGGTCCACCAGGGACACTGCCATCCCTTCAGGCCCTGGACTGGCTGGAAGACCAGGCCTTTGAGGCCTTCAGGGCTGGGCTTGCGACAGGTAAAGGGATGGGGTGGCACAGGTTAATGGAGCGGGGTGGCCTGGCTGCCCAAGGAGATAGACAGGAGGCAGGAGGTCAAACTCAACTCAGGAAGGGGGCCCAGCAGGCGTCTGCTTCACCACACATTGAAAACCCATCAGAAAGTTACGAGGCAGGGCTTGCTGTGGGGATCCTAATTCACATCTCACTCATCCCCTATTCTTACCACCCCTTGGCGCCTCCTAGAAAGGGAGGCAGGCCCAGGCTCTATGTCTCAGGAGACCTCAGAAGGCAGAGAGACTGAAAGGCAACTCTCCTTCCAGCTCTTCTTTTCCACCGTCTGAGCTCAGGCCTAGAGGATGCGGCAAGGAGACAAACACTTTTGGAGAAGCTGTGAGGCTGGGGCGGGGGAGCCCCCAGGCAGGGATGGAGGCTGCAGGCTGCTTGCCCATAGGCGCTACTCCCCATGCTCCCGGGGAGGGCCAGGCCTCCAGGGGACGCTGCCTGCTGCCGAAAATGGGGCCCAGAGCACCCCGTGGGCAAGCCTGGCTCAGTCACACTTGGGTGACCACATGGGCTTCGACAAGATGGACACCCGTGATGCAAACCCAGGCAGTCTGCCCAGGAACCAGTCCTCACCTGAACACAGACGAGGAAATGTGGCTACGTAAGTAGCCATTTAGGCAAAGGCTGCACCAATGGGCACCACCAGTGATCATCTCGTTTAGGTTTTCATCCACTCAGACATTTCCTAGCTCATGAAGGGCAACCCTAAGACAGAAAAAAGCAAGCAGACACATGCGGCGGAGTGGGGAGGGGTCTCACATTGTAAACCCTGGATTTCTGTGAAAGGAATAAGCTTTTGCCTGGCAGGTGACAAAGTATTCTCATGGCACCATTAGGAGTTGAGCTATATTTTCCCCCCATTTTAAAGATGTGGATACTGAGGCTTACAGATGATGGGCAGCCTGGCTAAACAAGAGAACAAGCTTCCCAGCTGTCAGACCCACACGCCCAGTACATGTTCATCCAGAATTCCAATCACAGGCAGAAATCTTTGCAAGGGAATGATGTCTGGCAGAGATGTTGACCAGGCCAGATTTATGGTGGTCCATGAGGTCAAGCTGCCTTTTGGGGGTCACGGCCCCAGCTCCCCACAGGAGCCACTGGCTGCAGGAGCATCGGGCACCTCAGCTCATTCCAAAGCCAGATGGGGCCTGTTCTCAGCCGTGAGCCTCACCTCGAGTCTGTCTACTCAGCAGCTATACCTCTGCTGGCCAAATTCCTACTCGGTAATTGAGCATTTAATTCCATAGCTGTCTAGACATCAGCTCCATGGGGGAATGTGGAAGAGATGCAGCACAGATATGGCTGGAAGTGCACAGCCACAGGCGCCGTGAAGCCCCGCGGGGCCCACGCACTCTGAGTCCAAGGCCTCTGCACTGCTGTCCCCAGGCTGGTTCCCGCGCCACCCACAGCAAAGCACCTCTGAGTCTCCCTTTAAAGCGGCACCGGCCACAGGCCGTCTTGAAGGTGGCAGCTCCTCTCCTTGGCCACTTCACCATCTCCCTGGAGCCCCACAGTAAGCCTAGAAGTAAACAGGGCAAACATCTGTCCCCCACTGACGGATGAAAAGGCCAGAGGGAAGAGGAGAAGAAAGAGGGCACGCGAGTCCCACTCCTCATGCCAGATCCTCACACTGCTGGGGGGAAAAGAAAATGCAAGTGTGGGCATGACTGCAGTGACGGGGCAAAAACAACCCATGCCTGCTCTCATAGAGCCCAGGCGGAGATCTCAGGTCCCCCTAAAAGATCTTGTAGCTCAAGTTTGGTGCAAAACCTTTGGGGACGACAGTCTTTCTGCAGTGAGCCCAGCACAGGCCAGTTCTCACAATCTCAGGAGCAGGAAGCCTGGGAGGCCAGAAGAAGAGAGGGGGCATCTAGAAGAAAAACGCCCACTGGCCCCCAGCCTGCAGGGACTCACAATGCTAAATAGTGTCCTCTTAACAGAGCCAGAAGTCTCTCAACAGAGGGACTTTAGGAAGACACAAATCCTCTAATGTCCTAGACGGCCATCCAGGTAGATGTAGAAACAGATCCAGTGAGGGTGTCAGAGTCCTGGCCATGGGCTCCAGGTCTCCCCACCATATCTATGTAAATTGCAAAGTCCTAGCCATAGGCAGGATGCTGACCAGGTAGTGGGAGTAATGCTAACACCTTGGAAGAGGCGGCCCACAGCATGATTAAAGATGGCTCTTAGTGTTCATGCATATTACAACCAACAGACAACAACAAGCAGCATCGTTTCACAAAACATTGCCTCCGTGAAAGAGAACTCTCTCAACAACCATTCAGTGAGTGTCTCCTATGAGCTTGGTGCAGGGAACATATGATTAAGAAAATCTGCCCTTGCCCTCTCGGCTTTTGTCTCATGGGCAGAGACACAAACAAGCCACCAGGACACAGAGCAGTAAGAAAACACAAAGTCCACCTCCCTCACCATGGGCAGCTCAGCCCAGAGTCTTCCATAAGGGCCAAACACAGACCAGCACTAAAAATAGTTTGTGTGTATCAATTAGGGTGTTTTCAACTGCAAGTGACAAAAAAAAAAAAAAAAAAAAAAAAAAAAAAAAACTCCAAATGGAGTATGTAGAGTAGATATCTGTCCAAGGGCTGGGTGGTACCAGGCTGATAACTCAAAGGCTCACAGACAGCATCAAGAACAAGGCTCCTTCCTTCCCTCCATCCAATCAACCTCAGCCTGTTCTCACAGCCACAAGACGGCCACCACCATTCCAGACATCACATCAAGACGTGACTGTGTCCATGACCATGCTGTGGAAGCATCTCTCCAGAAAAGCAAAGTCCCAAAAGCGCCCTGGCACCCTCCTCCTCGTAGGTCATCGGCAGTATCCAATCAAGCAGCGACCTCAGCACTCGTTGGAGGAGGGAACGTGGCTCCCCTGACTGCATTGGACCCTGCGAATTTGCCTGAGTCAGGAATGCGGTGGGGTCAGGGTTGGAACTAAAACAAACCCAGGGCTCTGCCAGCAGGGAAGGAAGTTGGAGGGTGGGCAACCATGAGTGTCATCCAAAGCCTGGGGAATATGGTTCATTTTAAGAGAGGATCCCAATACAAGCACCTAACAATGTTTAGAAAAGACTCTACAAGTCCATACTCCCTCATGCACATTTTTGTTTGTTTGTTTGCTTGTTTGTTTGTTTGTTTGGCAGGGTGGAGCAGGAGATGTCTGCTAATCTGCTTAAAAGGAAAGCAATGGTCACAGCAGTTCCATGGTGGTGACAGGCAGGTTCAGGTGATGGGAGCAGAATCTGGGCAAGGCAGGGAAATCACTCCCACGGCGCGTGTCCGGCATCTTCCCAGAGCTTCTCCCGCTCTGCCAGGTATGCAGCCTTCACGACCCACCACCCTGTGGATGGGCAGGATGGCTTCATAGCCGTTCTGCTGATGAGGGGACTGCAGGTCCCACAGCAGGTGGGGGTGGTACCGGGACTGGGACCCTCCCTGACCCCAACCTCCACTCCAGGTGTTCTTCTCACCAGCCTGCTCCCCACCTCCCAGATGCTCAGGGCACACAGAGGTCAGCGGGGAAACAGCTGCCCTTGTGCCCCGGATCACTCCACAGGGACAGGGGACCAGAGAGGGTATAACACAGAGCAGGGCAAAGGGGAAGTTTAGGAAGAACCCAAGCAGGGGCCCACCACGGGAAGGGAGGGGAGGTCTGTGCACGCAGCCTCGGTTTTGGGGGCACTATGTGTGGTGTGAGTTCCATAACTGAACCACAGATGAACCATAACTGCTGGAACTCCCCCAGGGCAGAAAAGTTGGGCCTGTGCTGAATGAGGCCCCCAGGTTGACAGCGCGCCTCAGGCTCATTCTCCAAGATCAACCAAGGTGGGGCAGAAGTGAAAACTTAGGCAAAACACCTATGTGTATATGCATACATGCACACACACGCACACACATTACCCCCTCAGGCTCCACGTATGCTGAGAGAACACTGTCCCAGACAGTAGGACATCTGGGCTGGGTCTTGGTCCTATATGAACTCAGTCTACAACCTTGAACCACTTGATTAGCTTCTCTGGATTGCGGTTTTAGCACCTCTAAAATTAGGGAGTTGAGCCCAGTGATCTCCAATGGTCATCTCAGCTCTGACAATTAGCTATTCTTTACGGAAAACCTGGTTGCTTTCCAAAAAATCCATTAGCAGACAATAGTTAAATGTAAGTAAGATCCAAACAGGCAACAGGGTCCCCAATAAATCCCCTTTTTCATACAACTCCCCAATGGGGTCAGATGATCCCCGCAAACTTATACTGCTGCAAGAGGAGGGGGCGTTCCTAGAATTCTCCAGATGCTGGCTTGGCCAGTAATCTTTCATAGAGGACTGTGAAAAGCAATGACCCATCGGTATTTCAGCTTCCTTCCATTCAGGGTTCTGCCTAGTAGCACTTGAGTGCTCATTCAATCTCATTCCCTGAAGCTTGGAGAAAAGAAAAATAAAAAAAAACCAATAACATCAAAACCAAAGAAAAAGTTGGCAACTCTTTTTCAACCTAATAAGCCAAGTCAATTACTTCTTTCTCTCCTTTGAAAATTACTAAGTGCTCTTGAGTTACAAAAATATTGTTGTTGCTGAATCTGCAGAATCCACTGCATCATTTCTGGAGGCTGGGACTTCTAGGCTGGTCCTGTGTTGGTTCAAGTTTGCTTCAAAGGCTAACATTGCAGCAACTGGCTGGGACTCAACTGAGTGATTCAATGTGCCTTCTGGAAACAGTTATGCTAACCTTTCATTTTCTTTAAAAAATATGCAATGGACAAAATAGCACATCCTCCATACCCAGCAAGAAACAGTGCTATAGAACTTGCATGTCTCCTAAGGAAAATCAAACCAGGCCGCAGAAGGGTTGTTTACGGGGGATGTCAGCATCCAAAGACTTGCTTGAGGGAGTGCGCCAAGCTGGGTAAGGAGGGAAGTGAGCACATGGGCAGGGGAGGAACTGTGAAAAAGGGCGGGTCAGCGGACTGTGGACTCAGATGAACCAAAGATTTGCTGACTTGAGCTACTAGGGGGCAGGACCAGCTACAAAATTAGCAGAGCCCAGTGCAAAATAAAAATGCAGGCTCCTTGTTCATAAAGCATACAGAAAGCACTGTTAAAGGTACTAAAATAGAAAGCTTTTTCCTTTCTTCCACATGCTGTCTCTCTCGACCTATCACAATGTTTTTGATTTGCTAGTTATTACTGTGGTTATTTATGGGACAGTGAGCGCAGACACTGGAGGCCTCACGACTTGGCATTGTGCCCACCAGCCCCTGGACCTCTGATTGTGCCCTGGCTAGGGGTGGGGAAGTCGAGCCAAGCATCTTCCCTAGGGTCCCACTCCTCCAACACATGGATAATGGATGACCCCAAGGACACTGCCGCTTCTGTGTCGGGTGCATTAGGTACCTGGATCAGGGTGGGAGTGGCTTGACCCTGCCCAGTAGCCCACAGAACAACCACGGTATCATCAGCCTGATCCCTGCACCACCAAGATGTTAAGCGGTGCCCAAGCTGGAACCTAGAACTGCCCTGTGCCTACATCCTTTCCAGGGATAGAGGGTAGCAATGACCCCTGCATAGAGACAGGGAAGGGAAGGTCAGATGGGGCTGGAGTTCTCAGGGGACCAGGGACTGGGGAGGCAGCAGGAGGAATCCAGCCTGAGCTAAAGCCCCAAGTTCCCTGAGCATGCTCCATTAGCTCATAGGGCTTTATTCACAAAAATACAAATTCAAAGATAAAATTAAAACAGCGAGCTCAGGGCACAGGGCCTGTGAGTACACGGGTCACATGCTCATGCAGCTGGCTGTTCCAGCTTCTCCAGACAGGGAGGTGGTGGACCAGGAATTCTCCAGATGCTGGCTTGGCCAGTAATCTTTCACAGAGGACTGTGAAAAGCAATGGCCCATTGATATTTCAGCTTCCATTCAGGGTTCTGAACAGCTTCAGAACCCTTCCGTTCAGGGTTCCATTCAGCTTCCGTTCAGGGTTCAGAACGGACAAGGCTGGGAGGTGGTGGACCAAGAGTGAGAAGCTTGGGATTTAGATTAGAGAAGGTGAAGGTTATCAGTGATCACAAAGTCAAGGGTGGTCGCAGTGAGCAGAAGAGCCAGGGCAGGAAGGATCTGCCAGATGGGCACTGAGATCACCGACATATACAGACTGAGAAGAACGGTGTGACCAAGTTGCCATCATGTTTCTCCAACTGACATGTGATTACTACTGTCTAGGGAGGGGAGTAGAGAAGGTAGAATGGACAGGAGGGCAGCAGGGTAGAAGGGGTTCAGGTGGGAGAGATCAGATAAATGGGGAGATGAAGGGAGAAAAAAGGAAAAAGAGAAGGAGAAGGAGAACAGAGGACAGTGTGCAAAAACAGAGAAAGAGAGAGCACACAAATGAAAAAAATGAAAAGACTTTCCTCCTCGGTGTTTATGAACACCATCAAAATATTTAGTCTCCTTTACACTATATCAGATGTTTGCCATTTCCAATATTCCCTTACTCTTCAGTGTTTAAACCACAAAATGTCAACAGTGCCACATGGGGGCCCGACAGCTAATGACTGTATATATTCGGGGCATCCAGAGGAGGAATAATATTGTCTTGGTCAAGTCTAACTTGCGTCTCCTCCATACATCAGCGCCTTTGATGCATCCCCTTTCATCCACCAACTTCAGAGTGGCTGATGCTGCTACAACAGCATGTGGCCATGGCAGATGCTCCAGAAATATTTACAAAATCAATGAATAAGTAAATAAATGAAAGAATGAACCAGCCAGGTCTTAAAACATCCATTGGGATATTAAAATTAGGTAATAACTGGGGTTAGCCAAGGCCTGGCATTTGGGTCTGGGTAACTGACTGGGTAACGGATGCAGCCTGCTTTTCAGCTGTCTATAGGCTATAAAGCTCAGGGCTCAGGGAGGCAAAGGGAACAGCTTGTATCTCCCGGCTGTCATGGTGGACAGGGGCTCAGTCCTACTCTATTTGGTGGGCCCAGCGAACAGCACACAGCAGCCTTTCAGCATCTGCTGAACTGCCCTGAAGGCACTCTGGCTCCTCATTACCCATAACCACATAGAGCTTCTTTGAGCCCCAAATGCAGGGAAGTTGCCCAGGATGTAGCATTCTTTTCAGATTTATTTTAAAATGTTTAAAACATGTATAACCTCTTCTATATAAGAATAATTTGATATGGTCAATGAACAAAGGGCCTTTTATAATAAGTTAATTAAATATATATTTATGACATAAAATGGGAACACAGGGAAGGCCAGTGGTTTCTGTGAGCTGCCTGGTAGATAAAGCAAAGAAGGAAATACCATGAGTCACATGTTCCCATTATCAGATTCTGGTGCTTTGTTTAACCAAAGGAACTGTTAATTCGCATGTTTATTAGGATAATTAGTCCTCAATTCACCAGAAGGTCTTATTTCTCTCTTGCCACAGAAAGAGATCTGGATGGCTTTAGGAAACCAGCTACGGAACTGCATCAATGCTGCTATGATTGAGAGGTGATCGTATCATTGTGAATCTTTGTGCTTTCAGACTCTTGGGAGACTGACTACTTAAGACACTGGAGCTTTCCAGAGTATGAGTAGGAACCCCAAAGAACCAGAACCAACAAGAAATGAGACAACACACAGAGAAACTAGCTAACCAGAAACTTGTTCTGGAGGGTTCTAATAAACTCACGAGGAAATGACAGTTTGCAATTAGTCCAAGATCCAGGATCTGCAGGCTGAGCAGAAGTGGGAAATTAAGCAACTCCACCTGCAACTCTTGTCACCCAACTTGTTTCCTTGGCTGGCTCTCACTGTCCTTTCCATCTCAGCTTAGATGTCACCCCCTCAGATAAGATTCCCTGCCTACACTATCTGCTGTCTTTGCAGCCTGATACCTTCTACCCCTTCACTTGTTTGCTTCGTGCACTGTACTTATCGCCATATTTACTTTACATCACCCATTTCCCACACTAGATCTTAAGCCCCATGGCTTTGCCCACTATTGCTGCATCCTCAGCACCTAAGAAGTATTTGGCCAAGACAGATGTTCAACACACATTTATAAAATCAGGGAATTAACAAGGAATCACTAAAAGAATGAACAAACTAGACCTCGAAAGATCCATTAGGATCTCAAAATTGGATAATTGCCAAATAGCTTGGAATTCTGACAAAGTCCTTTCTACCAATGTCACAGAGAAATAGACAAAAATAAGGCCTCCCTCTGCTATTGTGACAAGATCAAAGCTTCATCTCTGCAAAAAAAAAAAAAAAAAAAAAAAAAAAAAAAGAACCCACAATCTCTGGCAAACGAAAGGGCAAACAAAATCAGCTTCTCTTCCTGCTCGCCGCGGCCACCTAGTGCTTCACCTCGCTTGGTTCTTATAAGCATTCCTGCCTCCAGCCACTTTCAGCTCCTCGAGGACAAGGTGTTAATTGCCTGCCACTGGGGCTGGGAATTTTTTTCCTGTAAAGGGCCAGGAAGCAAATATTTTTGGCTTCACGGGCCACGTGGTCTTCATCACAACTATTTAACTCTGCTGGTGTAGACTGAATGCAGCCATACACTCTACCTAAATAAGTGAGCATGACCATGTCCCAATAAAACTTTATTTACAACAACAGAGGGCCAGCTTTGGACTACTGGCTGTAGTTGGCCAACCCTGGACTCTGATACTCTGTCACACACTTGATAAACTGTCAAATGGAAGCAATTTGTATTCCCCCCTCAATGAAGAGGACAGGAGACATTCCTAAACAAATCCAGTCCCAACAACTTGGGAACTGCTTTGTCAGACCCATAAATAATAGTCTTAATCCAATTCCCTGAAAAGAGAGTGCCAGAGTGAAAAAAGGCATTACCATATTAAGAGAAAAATATAGCCAAAGAATTTCCTTGACAATCAACTAAGTTCTTGAATCCGGGCCAGAGAACACACAGGGGATCCAGTTCTGAGAGTTTGGGGAACTGAAACGTTTCCCAAGCCAGAAGGAGCTGCAATCAAGAGCTTAGGAGCCACGTCCCCACCCGCCTCTGGACAAAGCCTGGCACAAAATAAAAGCCAGCTTCTACTTCACTGTCTGGCTTCACATTCCCTCATGAAATATTGATTCCCGTCCCCCTAAAAATGGTAAAAATCAATACAGTAATAGAAGCCTCATAACGTCAACACCGTCTGTGGCATCATTAGCAAATGCAATGGTAGCCCTCAGAGTTCTCGGAGAAAAAGAAGAGACCACAAAATGCCCAGTACAGAAGGCGTTGGGGGAAAGAATCCAAAATGGAAAAACACAGAAACAAGAGGGGAGCTGGGGCAGTGCGATGTGCATTCCAGGCTCCCAGGCGCTTCCTTCATGAGGATGAGTGACAGATGACTCCAGAAGAGGGCAGCGGGTGAGCCCAGGCCCTGTGTTCTCTGATTCGCTTTTGGACGAGCTCAGGCCACTGAGTCAGCGCATCTGACCATCCGGTTGCCTGAGGAGAACCGGCGTGAGTCATGGCAAGCACCACCCCAGTCCACTCCCCGCCACTGCCATGTCCCGGGGGGCTGCCTGAACCCCCTCACTCAGCTGACTCAGGGAAGATTCACCATGCGCAGGGCCAAGTTCTGGTGGCCTGGAGAAGAGTGGCCTGCTCAGCAGCTCCCGGGACATGTAAAAGGCCCCAGGCCCCTCACCCGCAGTGACCCCCGTCTGAACTTGATGAGGATCAGGGGTGTCGGCCTTCCTTCTCACTGCACCAGCCAGCTCAGCAGTAAGAGGACCCTCTGCAAACACAGCGGCCCCAGCGCCCAGAGGGCTCCCTCTGTGGCCACTTCAAACAGGTCTGTGGGTGCCATCTGGCCCAAAGGTGGCCGTGGGGTTGGGGGGGTGGCGCAGGCCTACAGGGGAGGGAGGAAAACCACCTCACAAGCCTCAACAAGGCCGTTTCCAAATATTTACCTGGTTGTTGGCGTCAGGGAAAAGCACCCACGGGAAAGCTCACTGTTTCACCAGCGCTTTCCGTTACCAAAGACCATAGACCTGCTGTAGCCCTGACAGGACCACGTGTCCATCAAACTCCAAGCAGGCAAAGCCGGGAGGCAGGGGCATCTGCAGCCAGCCTTCTGCAGGGTCATTTCCTCATTGAATATAGGAGGGAAGCTCGATGCAGGAGCCCCGGGTGCCTTCCCCTCAATTCCATCCATGTGGCGGGTGCCCTTGCTTCCTCCGGGGCAGACAGCTGTGAACGTCCTACTCTGAACAAGGTTGCCAAGCACCTCCTACCTGAGGACCGACAGCCGGATGTGCCCCCAACCCCGCAGTCCAGCTGCAGAGATGAACTTCATTTGACAAATGAGTGAGGCGACTCTAAATTGTGATAAATAGACGAGGAGGGAAAAACCAAGAGTGGAATGCAGTTGTCCCTGGGGTGATGTGTCCCCAAAGTGAGGCAGTGGAGTTGAGGGGACTGGGGCATGGGGCGCTACCTCACACAGCGGGGTGGGGAGAGATGTCTAAGGCAGAATTTAATCAGAGGCCTGAAGGACAGGAAGGTTGGCTGCATGAGGAGCTGGAGAGGGGCGCTCCTGGGAGGGGAACAGCCAAGGCCCCAGGGGACAGCCCTGGCCTGTGGGAAGCAACCAAGGAAGGGGTGTCTGAGCAGAGCAGGTGGGGGTGGAGAAAGGAGGGGAGGAGGGGAAGGGGAGGAGGGGCAGAGAGAGTGAGGGGTGCCCAATCAGGTGGGGCCCTCAAGGTCCTGGTAAGGAGTTCAGATCTCTCTCAGAACAGCAGGAAATCTGCAAAGGCTGTATATAAGATGGGAAGGACATGATTCCAAAGATGCTTTTCTCCAAGTTTCTTAATCAGCACAGCTGGACAAATAGCTGTAGCTAAAGTAACTTTCCCTCCTACCTTCTTCAATACATCCCATTACCTCTGCCTTGTACTCCAGCCTGAAGAAACCAAACTGCTCTCTTTTTACTTTTCTCTCTCCCTGTCCCCACCCCTGCCCCAAACTGCTCAGGAAAAAAAAACCCCGCAGGGACAAAATGCCACCATTGGATGAAAGCTTGACATATGCTGCGCACAGCCAGTGGCTCATGTTAAACGCATTTGGAAAGAGTTTGTAACTGAAGCTGAACTAGTCTGCCCTCAAAGCTGCTTTCTATTAACATGTTTACACGCACACTGTCCCGACTTTCTGCAGCTGGGATTCCCTCCCCAGGCAGGCTGGCCCCAGTCGTGGGTCCCAAGGAGAGGGGAATTTCAGATTTGGGCAGAAGCACAGAAAGGGATGCCTGGCCGGGGCTGCAGGTGGACACCTTCTCACCTCCTGCTTGGAGGGAGACAGCAGGGCAGGCAAGAGGGGGCTGGTCCGTGATTGTCTCCCAAAAGCTCTTCCGGGTCCCAAGACTCAGCAGGCAAAGTGAGCGCACATGTGTCTGCTCAGCAGTGAGAAGCAGAAAAGGAGTCATTTGGTCACAAGCCCAGAAACATCTCTGGCAACTTCAAGCCACTGGAGATGTGAGGGGAGCTCCAAGAATGGGAGGAAAAGCAGATATTAAACTGGACTCACAAAGTGCAAGAACTCAGGCAGTGCTGGGGGCTCAACAGCAGGGGCTACAGCAGCTTCACCATGTTAGTCTCTGTGGGTGGCATCCAGCTTCACTTTGCGATTCCAAGGGGAGCCTCTGCTTGCCCTAACTGGGTCCTGTGTCCACTCCTTGGCCACAGAGGGTAGGACACCATGACTGATGGTCCCACCTACGCTGTCCGATGATGGACATGTGAAATGCCGGCTGTTGCTGCCAGAAAAGGGGGTAGGTGAGTGGCAAGTGGACAATGACCACAGATGTCCGTGGCAATTCTTATTTCACTGAAAGTCTCAAGAATATCACGTTTACAGCCACGCGCAATGGCTCACACCTGTAATCCCAGCACTTTGGGAGGCTGAGGCAGGTGGATCACCTGAGGTCAGGAGTTTGAGACCAGCCTGGCCAACATGGCAAAACCCGGTCTCTACTAAAAATACAAAAAGTAGCCAGGCATGGTGGTGCACGCCTGTAGTCCCAGCCACTCAGGAGGCTGAGGCAGGAGAATCACTTGAGTCCTGGAGGTGGAGGTTGCAGTGAGCGGAGATGGCGCCACTGCACTCCAGCCTGGGCAACAGTAAAACTCTGTCTCAAAACATAAAAATAAAATGAAATAAACATGTTTATGAAGGACAACGGGGGCCCCTCCAAGTGAAATCAGGATGCCAGGGGAGGAGCTGGGCCCAGATGATAAGCCACCGAGTTAGTCACTGGGCCCACGGACGCGGCAGGCAGTCTCACCAGCTTCACTGGGTTACTCTTAAATGGCTTTGCAGGAGGCTGGGCCACAGTCTCATATGACAAGGAGCCGTGTAGGTGATTTTCATTCCTCAAGCACAGTTTCTGCTGGTTCTGTTCTGCCTTCTCGGTTTTCCTGATCTCTTTCATCCTCTTTGTTATCCCTAAGATGACACAAAGCAAGGCCAGCCAGAGCTTCCCCCGAAATAACCCATCATCAAAACAAGGGAACAAAAGAGAAAAAGCTGGAAGAGATGCTGTTACTCTCCCTACTTTCAACTACTATCAGCAAAAAAAAGCAGTTTAGTCAGTGGAAACCAGTCTTTTGTGTGGGTGTCTGCAATTTAATATCCTTTCATTTCCAATTCCATTTTGAAAAGCCACATCAGTTCAATTTTAAATTTCAAGCACCCTTTCTTGGGGGGCTTGAAACACATGTCAAACAGCATGCTGCTGGCTGAAGAGCTAAACTCCCAAGACAGCAGGAGTCAGGTCAGACACACTCTGCAAAGCTCGTCTATTGAGATCGTTCACGTCTTGCCAGGACATGCCAGGGATGGCACGAGGAGACAGTCTCCACCTTGGCTCAAAATTGGAAAAGAATATCCCCCGGCCAGAAGCAGCCGCACGGTATGTGCCCACGCATTCCAAACACGAAGTTACGCAGTGGGGGCGGCGTCCAGGCCAGCGCCTCGCCTGCACACAGCCCATGCCCTGCTGCTGGCTGCCTCCCAAAGCTCCATGAGGCTGAACAGGTCCCACGCGTGGCCACAGGCTGTGCTATTCTGACTGGCTCCTTCCGGTGAGACTACCACATCCTGGATACCTTTCTAGCAGCCTGTTCCTAAACCAGATGCACCCGCCTTCCCATGGGCTGTTTAAGGTCAAGCTGTCCCATCAAACCACGGGGCCGGCCTCTATCCCTCCAGCAGTAGCCATGGGCTGCCTTAGGAGGGCAGGGTCATGAGGTGTTTGCTGTGTGGCCTCACACAGGTTACTAGACTTCTCTGAGCCCCTGTTTCTTCTTCTCTAAAATGGGGATAACACAGCTATTATGCAGATTAGGTGAAAAAGAATGAAGGCAGAGGCTGGCCCAATAATCCTGTGACCAATAAACACACTTTGAAAGATTAGTTGTCGCTAGAAATTCCACAGTGACCTAATAGAAATAACACACAACTGCAGCCTCACTCAAGGCCAGTTACACACACCGGGCACAGAGCCTATATCTACCCAGAGCCTCTTCGGCCATGCCTGGCCACCCAGCCATAGAGAAGCTACAGGAACATCGGGGAAGGAGGGTAGTAAATGTGTTAGCTGGTGGTTTTCTGAAGACTGGCCGTAAAGGAGCCTGAGCTGGGCAGCAACTTGATGTTATAAAAAGACGGAGAAGGAGACCCGGAATCCTACCACCCAAACAGCACACGCAGAGTTGTTTCCAGAAGGAGGTGTAACCAGCGTGCCACTGAACAGCACAAACAGCCAGATTAATTCCACGCTTGTCTGGAATTACTCAGCCCACACCCAGGTAAAGCGAGGCAAGCAGAGGGCTGGACAAGAGACCCCACCTGGCTCAGCCTCTGGTCTTTTCCTTGGTCAGAGGCAGGATTCCAGCCTCCTCTGATTGTTCCCTCCATCTGAAGTCTAGAAAATTATAAGGATGTGAAGAAACTGGAAACCACGCTTTCACTGAACATGCCACACAGCAAACAAAACCTCTCTCATCGACGTGTCGAGTGGGGGTTTTTGATGAGTCAGTAAGAAATGGATATTGTCCCAGACATGAAGACTTTGCTAAGCAAATCAACAGAGCAAAAATGATTGCAAAGAGAATATTTAAATAGAAAGCATTTTCAAATACAGCATTTCCCAAACTGATTTTGGTATGTCTCAGTTCTGCCTGCCCCCACAAAAAGCTGTATACTCAAATGATTATAATTTGGGCAAATAGTTCAGTCAACACCCTTTTGTAGGCAAGCCACGTGCACACTAGCATACTAAAAGCTCTGAGAAGGTCTGGAAAGAAGAAATCCATTAGCTCTGTTTTAATTCAAGTTTTCCAAGATGTTTAAAGTACGAAACATTCTTTTGAAACACATCTCATAACCCCGCAAAACCCCAATTTGGGAGAGCTGGTTTGTTTTCAAAGTAACTGTTGACAAGTTAAGGATGGCTCAGTCTAAAACCCAGTAAATTCTATGTTCATTGTGAACGCATGATGTATCTGTGGAGGATAAATAAAATCTGTAACAAGAGTTGCCACAGGATTGGGAATGGGAAGGAGAATCAATTTTCACTACTTACCTACTAATTTCTTTACAAATCTATTGCTTTCTTTGACAAACATTTAAAACATTATTTTAAAAACTTTTATCTGGCTCCTTACAGAAGTTTTCCTGAGCCCCTTCCTCTCCCACACCCCCAGGCCATACTCAGCATCTCCTCAAGGCCCTCCTGTGACTGGCTCAGACTGGCTTCAGTGCCCCCCGAGAATCAGCTGCAATCAGAGAGCTCTGGTGCCTTTGCCAAGGGTGTTCCGGGGCATCTGAGAACTCACCTCTGCAGGCGAGAACACCCTTACCTGGTGGTCAATTTTGATGAGTGCGATGTCTGCTTTCTCATCCACATCCTTGATTTTGGCTTCGTAAGTGGCACCGTTCTTCAGCTCAACTTTGACCCGGTGCTTGTTGGTCACCACGTGGGCATTTGTCACGATCAGTCCATCTTCCGACACAATAAACCCAGACCCACTAGCCACCGGCACCTCTCGTTTAGAAAACGGAAGCCTAAAATCCAAAGGAGTACACACTTAAGCCTGTAGCACCTTAAAATGAACGCTTCAACGCATTGATTAATGGGTTGTGCAACAGCCACACACACCTAGCCATCGCTCCTTTATATATCGGGCTTAGCATTTAAACACTAAACATCCTGCCAATTTTTTGCATGCATCAAAAACTTCCACTTACAAAATATTCTTAGAGAATCTCTTCAGAGCCCGAGGTTCTTTAAACATTCAGAAGGGTCAAGAATGTAGATTTATATAGTCGAATAGGGAAAATGTTCTAAGGGAGACACACTTATCTTAAGTAGGAAGATATTCAGTGACACTTTGACACTTTAATGTATCTCAAAAATAGCTCTCATGTTTTGCTAGTGGCGGTGAAAGCTTCGGAGGTTATAGGAAAAAGGAAGGCTCTCTTTACTTGCGAAACAATTCGATATGAACCACGGCAGGGGCGATCTTCTCCACCACGTCCGCGATAAAGTTATATTTATGGCGCAAACTGTTGGGATCTTCCTGCCCTGAGAACAAAAGCAAAGAATAGATACTTAATGACACTCTGCTGTGGCCACCTAGAGAAAGACATGGGTTAGAGGAAGCCAAGATGCATGCCCAGCCTTTGGAATTCTGAAGGCGGAGTGAGCGCAATTCCCCCACCTGGGCTCAGCTGCAAATGTCCATCCACCTCCCAAGGGAGTGCCCACCCAGGTAAGGCAGTAAAATCCACTAATGATAACCTCTTTGCTCAGGTTCACCACAAAAACGTTGAGCAGAGGCACCAGCAAATGCTTCAACCTCACACCAGCCTTTCCAAGAAGCTGATGGCCCAAGTTTGTTTTTTGTTTTTTTTCAGTTTATTTTTAGATGGAGTCGCACTCTGTCACCCAGGCTGGAGTGCAATGGCGCAATCTTGGCTCATCACAACCTCCACCTCTCCGGTTCAAGCGATTCTTCTGCCTCAGCCTACTGAGTAACTGGGATTACAGGCACCCACCACCTTTGTATTTTTGTATTTTTACTAGGGACCGGGTTTCACCACGTTGGCCAGGCTGGTCTCGAACTCCTGACCTCAGGTGATCCACCTGCCTCGGCCTCCCAAAGTGCTAGGATTACAGGCGTAAGCCACCACACCCAGCCAAGGGTCCCTTTTTGATGTGGCATCACCCTCTGCCTGCGTCCCTTCCCTGAGTCCCCACCATTACAAAGAAGCAACAACCCTCCTGAGAAACACCGCAGGAGCAAAGAGCACCGGGGCTTTTTCTAGGAGAGGCCCACCAGACGGGTACATCTGAGATTATTACGAAGAAACACGAAGGCAAAGGGGCAGCTCCTATCTTTCCCACTGACACCCCAAGGCAAGCTGAGGCCATCGTCTGTCCCCAAAGCAGTTTCCGCCATGCCTTAACCACACGTTCCAACCCTGCCCGGGACATCCCAGACAAAAGGCATAAGAGGTGCCTTAAGACTGTGGGTGAGAAAAAGAGAAAAATCAAACAACTGTAATGCTTTATACCTACAGTCATGCACCACATAACGTTTCAGCCAGCCGCGGACCATAACACCATTGTTTTTACTATACCTTTTCTATGTTTGAATACACAAATACTCACCATTGTTACAACTGCCTACAGTATTCAGTACAGTAACCTACTGTACGGGCGTGCATCCTAGAAACAACAGGCTCTGCCATCTGGCCTAGGTGTGGAGTGGGCTCTGCCATCTAGGTTTGCGTAGGCACACTCTGTAACATTCCCACAGTGATGAAATCGCCTAACGACGCATTTCTCAGAACGTATCCCTGTTGCTCAGTGATGCATGACCGTTTATATTACAGTGAGTGGCCCCACGTGGTGGGCGTTTCCAAAGCTACTTTCAACAAAGCTGTCACATGTCCCGATGTGAGGCTCTCACCCAGCAGGGCTACAAGTTAGTTTCCATCAACCAGAGGCACATACCCAAGGTAACTGATTCAGAAACGGACTGCTAGAGATTCAGGGTCCTGGGCTCCCATTTTCGTGGCACGGGTGGTGGCAGAGGCAGTGTGTCCCTGGAAGTGCAGCCTTAGCCTACTACTCCGGCTCCTAATCTTGCCACCTGCTGCTACCTCTTAACAAGTCTCTGCTAAAGCAGGCTGGAGAGGTTCCAGGCTGGTCTGCAGCTGAGAGCCATGCACCCCATTCTTCCCCCTTGGACTAGCTCAGCGTTGCACAAGCAGGCTCCAGGGACCCGCACTCCTCTGCTAGCTGCTCACTACGAATTGACAGGAAGCTTTCGGAAACTTTCATAGCAATTTCACATGGTAATCTTATGTCTGTTGCACTGAAAAATGAGTAACTGGGGCTTGTATTTCCTGTCTCACATTTTGTATTTTGTAGGTATTTTGTGTCTCATTTACCAACAGGCCTGTGTGCCTGCCCCTAACACACATGCATATATACACAGAGATGCAAATGCACACACACACACAAACTCACACATACACACTATGCATACACACCCACAGATGTACATGCATAAACACACCCACACATACACCCACATTTACACACAAACTGTCACATAAACACCTATACACACTTCCACACACATTCATATACTCACAGATGTGCACATACATACAGTCACACATATATACATGCAAATGCACACATACATACAGACGCATACACACACACACACACACGCCTCTCTCATCACTAGAGTGGCAACCCTTCCCCAGGCTCTAGGCTATAAGTAAAAGCTGTGAGACGTCCCAGCCCTCTTGTGACCCGTCACAGCTTCACACCCACTGGTTCCCACATCCCTGCTGCACTGGGTCACGAAGGGCCATAGTAACCCAGCTTGACACCATGGGGCACAGGGACATCGGGAGGACCACCTGCCTCTCCCACGCTTGCTTTCTTGGAAGTGAGAGCGCTTCTGTGAACAAAGGGCCGTTTTCTGTCCTAGCCCCTGACCTCTGAGTTGCTTTATTTAAAGATTGGAATCATCTCCTTTTACATAGCATGGTTTTTTTCTAAGGTACAGAAAAAGATCTGCAACTACTTGGAAGAATAATTTAACAAATTCAGAACAGTATCATATTATTATTTTTGCTTTCAAAACCCTTTCATTGGCTGCCTTAATTTAATTTTTTCTACCTTCATGTGGAATAGGAAAATCAGGTATCCTTCCCATATTATATATGGGGAAACTGAGGCTCGCAGACTTTAAATAACTTCTCCATGGACACTGAAGTTTCTTAATAGAGAGTATAAGTAACAGATCTGGGCAAGCCCTCCCAAGCCCACAGTGTCACCAGATCTACAGCTTCTCACTTCAACACTGGCCTCCTACAGATCTGCTACCCTCCTAGGTTTCCAGGTAGTTGCAAATAATTGGTGTGTCCCCCCGAGCACTCCAATGGGAGGTGTAAATAAGGGAATGGAAATGTTCCTTCTGAAAACAGAGCCTGGCGAATGTCACCAGACAGCTGTAAACAAACGCATCTGGGCTTCCTCAGACCAGCTTCCTGGGGAAAGGCCAAGAAGAGGTTTAACTCCAGCCAGGCCAGAACACAGAGACAGCGTGGTGTTTCAGAAACTCTCACAAGAAGGACCATTACCAGCGCCTTCCCACTAAGGATCATTAACTCACTTCCTCTTTCTGGCTTCCTGAATTAGGTATGGGAGAATTTGCCCACACCAGGGGCAAAAATGAAGATGGATTGAAGGTGGATTTTGCTGGGTAAAATGAGAGGCAGTTCCCTTCTCACACAGTCACATAAAGTGGTTCCAGGGTCTTCCCACCAGGAAAGCAACAAGGGAGATCAAGGAGGATCTGGCCTGGCCACTGGAAGGCCCAGTTCCAGCCTCAGTCCACTGAGCAGCCTCCATTTCCTCATCTGTAAGATGGACCAAATGCCTCTGGAATGAGATGTGAAGTCTGTTCCAGCTCCAACCTTCTATGTCCCTGTCTCTTCCTCTCCCCAGCGTGCTGCAGGAAGATAAATAACATGTGAAATTTGAGATCAGGTCCAGGACTCTCCAAATTCTGCAGATGAGGAAACAGAAAGAAGGAGCAGTGGGAGCACAGACCATATGACAAGGCTGACTGACAAGCCTTCGTGGTGCATCTCAGATGAAAAAGCAACCATTGACTTCCATTCTTACCATCCCTGGGTGGACTAGTGGCAACAGGAAAATAGAACAGGAATAACTAAACAGAAGAAGCATCAACTAACAGTTCAAAGATGGACAAAATGTCAACTGAAAGAAGAAGAAATATTTGGCTTGTCCAAACGCCATTTCAGAGTGAGGAATAAAAGTGTGTCTAAAAGCAGCTTGGTTCAGTGTTAGATTCCTGTTCCATTAAAAGGGCTTGTCCATTAAACTACATGGAGTGGCCACTGCCTGATGGTCTACAGACACCCTGGCTGGCCCATCTGCTGTGATCTCAACTGTGGGTCAACTGTCTTCCTTCCAGAGGAGTCAATCCCGATGGAGAATTCCCATAGATGGGCCCAGGCTGGCTCTGCCACTGCCTACTCTCCAAGGGGTTCAGGGGACAGAGGGTGGGGGCGTCCACTGCTCCTTCTTTCTGTTTCCTCGTCTATCAGCATGAGGAGAAGGCTGGCACAGGCTCTGGCCTCAGATGGACCAGAGTGTGACCCTCAGCAGGGTACTCACTAGCTGTGTGGCCTTGGACATGTTACCTGACTCCTCCAAGTGTTAGCCTCTCATCCATAAAATGTGGTAACACCACCTACCTCAATGTGTTTTCTATGCTGATTTCATGATCTACTGTATATGAAATGCTTGATCAAGCCACGGCATACAATTTAGAAAGAAGAAAATCCAAAGGACTGGCCACAGTGCTGCTCAGTGGCAGCTCTGCATAGGTGTAAGCAAGTCACACATCAGTGGCACAGCAGAGAGGTAAAGGGAGGTGTCTGGAGACCCACTCAGCCACCTCGGCGCCTCCTAACGACGTCGTCATGTCACTGCGAAGGTATGATCCAGGGAAGCTGTGTGGCAGGCTGTTTTTTCTGGCCTTCACGTGTGTCTCTTCTCCCTAGCTTACAAGGGTACCCCACAGACACTACAGAAGGGAGACAGGGCCAGGTCAGCAGATAACCTAGCCTGAACTGCAGCCCAGGTGAGCTCTTAAACCTGACGAAGCAACCAACCTGAAGAAGGCCAAGTAACGCCCTAGTAGGTAAGGACCATGCCTCCTCCCCACACTGTTCTGTTAAGCCAGAACTGAGGCAGCAGAAGGCAATGAGGACGGGAAGCCCCCTGAAAGGTCAAGGCCTGGCCATTTTACCTGCTCCTTAATTGAACAGAAAGCTGGAACTGGCTGCCGTTCAGTAATGGACCACACAATGAGGCATGAGAAAGAAACAAAAGGCATAGAGATTGGAAAGGAAAATGTAAAACCGTCTTTATTTGCAGATGATATATATGATAGTCTATATAGAAAAATTCTAGAAATCTACGAATATATGACTGCGTTTATCAATGTCACAGGATAAGAGGTCAATAAATAATTTCATTTCTATGTATTAGCAACAATTGGAATCAAAATTTTTAAAATATAACTATAACAGCATCAAAAATAAATATCAAGTAATTAGGGAAATATTTAACAAGATATTTGCAAGATCTGTACATTGAAAGCTACAAAACGCTATCAAAATAAAGAAGACCTAAATAAATGGAGAGAAATACCACACTTGTAGATCAGAAGATTCACTATTGTTAAGCTATCAATTTCTCACAAATTAACCCATAGATTAAGCATACTCTCAGTGAAAATTCTGAGCAGGAGTTTTTGTAGAAATTCACAAACTATTTCAAAAATATATGTGGAGAGCACAGAGCCTAGACAATCCAGAGTAATTCTCCAAAATAAAAAACTGAATGACTTATACAGTGCTACATGATTTCATTTTTAAGCAGAAAAACTGAGTAACTAAGATTTGTAAAATGGTAAGTTACAACAATTTATAGAGATGGATCTTTCCACTTACCTAGTAAATATTTCTCATTACTGATTTTTAACACAACAAATGGCCCATTAAGAGCAGCCAACATTTCCTGTAACTTTATAGTTTAAAAATTGCCAAGATTCAATCCCAAGACAATAAATGATTCGTCTTTCCTCTTTATAAACTACTAGTCAAGCACACAACTTCATAAATGTTGCTTCCTTGAAGCACATCATCCCTGGAGTTTTACACATAATACTTCTTAATTACTTTCAACAACTTCTTTCAAGGTGGAAGAAAACAGACGTAGGCAGTGTAGATAAGCTTCAGTCATTATTCTCCAATATGTCATGTTACTGAAAAGAGCAAGGCATTAAGTGTTTGACATTCATTATCACACTGAACAAAATTTGTTGCAGTAAAAATGAAAATCACAGTATGGGGAGTATGAATTAAAGGATAGGCTTTTATCTGTGTTTCTCTCAAAAGAATAAGCACAAAATGAATATGTGCTTTTTTTTTTTTTTTTTTTTTTTTGAGACAGAGTCTTGCTCTGTAGCCCAGGCTGGAGTGCAGTGGTGCAATCTTGGTTCACTGCAACCTCTGCCTCCTGGGTTCAAGTGATTCTCCTGCCTCAGCCTCCTGAGTAGCTGGGATTACAGGCACATGCCACCACACCCAGCTATTTTTTGTATTTTTAGTAGAGATGGGGTTTCACCATGTTGGTCAGGCTGGTCTCAAACTTCCAACCTTGTGATCTGCCTGCCTCAGCCACCCAAAGTGCTGGGACTACAGGTGTGAGCCACCGCACCTGGCCGAATATGTGCTTTAAATACATCAAAATGTATGCTTCTTTCATCTTTAAGGCAAAAATGCCAGGTAAAGATTAGATCTGAGGCAGGAAGAAGCCAAAATCATATCCTTATGGTCCTAATCCCATGGTTCCCATAGTGTGCCCCAAGGGACCCCAGAGTGCCACAGAAAATTCATCGATATTTCAGGTTTTCTAGGGAAATACAGTGATACTTGATCACTGTTAGACACCTTGTAAACTAGCTCTAGATTGATCATAGTTTTGAAATCAGATCACACTACATCCCTTTTCATGATTCCATATGAAGTTGGATTTCTGGCAGTCACTGTGATAAAAAGCATGTACCACACAAAAATCAGAGTTGAACTGGAAATGGGCATGGTGGTGTCCAATCTGACTCCAAGATTTGAAAGGTCATGTGACACCCAACAGGTGCACATATCCCATTCATAAGTAATCATGCTTATTGAATAATGAAATTAAAATGTCTTTTTTTAATGACCACTGTGTTATAGGGACACAAATACTTATCAAATTGTTTGGCCTCCACTAATTGATAAATGGAACTGTTGGGTATTTTTTGGCCTTACTGGGGACCATGAAAAAATGACTGCACTACTGTATTAGTCCATTTTCACACTGCTGATAAAGACATACCTGAGACTGGGTGATTTACAAAAGAAGGAGGTTTTATTGGACTTCCAGTTCCACGTGGCTGGGGAAGCCTCACAATCATGGTGGGAGGCAAGGAGGAGCATGTCATGTCTTACATGGATGGCAGCAGTCAGAGAGAGAGCTTGTGCAGGGAAACTCCCCTTTATAAAGCCAACAGATCTTGGGAGACTTATTCACTATCATGAGAACAGTGCGGGAAAGATCTGCCCCCATGATTCAATTACCACCAACCGGGTCCCTCCCACAACATGTGGGAATTCAAGATGAGATTTGGGTGAGGACACAACCAAACCGTATCAACTACTAAAGGTGCCACCAATCATGACAGTTTGGGAACCTCTGCCTGATGCTCTTGGGCTCTCTGCAGTGGTTGGGCCTGAATCCCTGCATAGGCACAAGGAGCAGAGGTGGATAGACAGCAAACATCCACAAAGCTTCAGCGTGGAGCCCTCCATCTGCCCTGTGAGGGGCCCTAGCAAAGTGCTATCATCACAGCTTGTAGAGAGTATACAGAAATGAAAGAGTGAAGCTGCAGCTGGTTGGGGCCACGGTCTCTTGCCCTCTGTCACACATCTATCCCATCAGGGTGGCTGCCAGCATTTGGGGGAAGAGGCTAAGGGAAAAGTAAAACTGGATAATCATTTTGTTCAGGTTAAATGAGATATATTTGTGGCTTTGAAGTCCCTTCTGTGTCTAGTTAAATTGCTATATCTATCCTGCTATATGTGTGGTCTCCAGGGACACCCTATGGCAGGGGAAACTGCTGGTTCCCCTGGTGCAGGCCAGAGGTTGGACAGAAGACAGTGAGTGTGTGGGTAGCAGAAAAATATTGAATTGATCATAATAATAATCCAAAAACAATAAAAGTAATAATAAATTATTCTATTTTCTCTGTAGGAAATATTACAAAAGCATTGTCACATGAAAAGGTGAGCAAAGAGTTCACAGCCAAAAAATAGAGGAGGAGAGAGGGGCATTTTCAAGATGACGGAGTGTTCAGCAGTTAGCTTTTTTTAATCTTATTTTTCTGATTTTGTGATGTTTGCAGTATTTGTCTATTTTCTGAAGTTTGTCATTTTGGGCATTTTCTTTTTTCAATCTATATCAATAATAGTTTCATACCTAATGTTATATTCATAATTTTGAGGGGTGTTTTTCTTGAAGAGGGTATACTGAATTGTACAAGTTTCAGATTCCATAAAACCTGGACCTGCCAGTGGGAGAAGGTGCCAATTCCTGCTCAGGTGGCAGGTCCCACTGTCCCTTGTCCTCCCACCACCTCCCTCCAGAGCACAGGGCTGGCTCCCAGCATGAGGGGCACTCACGCCACGCCAGCAGGACACCAGAGCTATGCCTATAGGACATGCTGCCTCGGCCAGACAACTAGCAGGGACCCTCAATCACCAACACTCCATGGCCAGCATGGGGGCTTCACTTTAGGGGACCAAGGCAGCTTTCCCTGGCATTCCCATTAGACTCCCAGGCCAGCTCTCTCCCCACACTGGCCAGCAACTAACCCAGGTGTGCCAACCCCCTTCATTGCCCCTGCAGGACCCTGGGGCACTGCCCCTGTTCTTGGCTCTGTCCCTTGTCCCTTCTCCCTGCAGAGCTTCCTGCCCTCGCCCGCCCTGATGTGGCAACTGGGGTTCACAAACGCAGAGCATCTGGGATGGGTAGGAACACCAAGTTGTACTCCAACCCACACACGTTCCCCGTGGGGCCAGCCACACTAAGAAAGGTCACACCTTTCGGCTCTAAGTTAATGCCTCCATGCCCACTTCTGCCCCGTACAGCTGTGTGACTTCAGATCATGAATGTCCCTGCTTCAGCCTCAGTCTCCCTTTCTGTAACACGGAGCTAATATCACCTACTCCAAAGGGCTTGGGAGTCCTAGGTGAGATTGCACATAAAGCACTAAATATCATGCCCCATCTTCAAGGCCAAGGTCACCTGCGTTTCCGTCTCCCAGCTCTCAGCCCAGAGCTGGGTCCCCACGTCCCTCCCAGGTGCATTTCAACACCTCCAAGTGGCTCTTCTCAAGCTTCTGAAGCTTCCAAGAATCCCACTCTACGCTAATTCAGGCAGGCCTCACCTCTGTCTTCAGTGTCTCCCCCTAACTGATAATGCCACTTTGGGGCACATAAACTTCCTGCAGGATCCCCGCAGCCATCGCCATCTCCTCGGGCCCACGATCCCCTCTCATTCACCATGTGGCACTGATTCCTCCACTCTCCCCACGACTCCTTAATGCACAACTCCCACCCTGCAGACCTCTCCCCACACCTCCAAAGTGCTCCACCCCATCCCCCTGCATTCATGTCTCTTTTCCTTCCGGCCTGGATGATCTCATTCTCCTCGCCTCCAGCTAGTCAAATCCCACCCAACCTTCAATGTTAGCAATAAAATAATATTATCAATAAGAATAATAGGATCTATTTATTGTAGAGCATCTACTATATGTCAAGCCCAATAATAGGCACAAATATTACCTTTAATTACTCCTGCAAGCCTGCAAGCCTGCAGGGTGCATCTCATCACCAGTCTACAGAAAGATGAAAAAAACAAGGATCAGAGAATTAAATCATGTTGCCCTAAGCCTCAGAGCTGGCGAGTGGCAAAAGCAAGAGCCTAACCCCATCTGTCTGGCTCCCAGGCTAGCCTCCCTCCTTGGTCCCCACCTTCTCAGCCAGCCTCCAGCCCCCCGCAGCCCACACCATTGTGGGAACATGCTTCACACTCGGTGAGATCAGGGCCAGGATGCAGGATTAACAATCTAACCTTCCCTTCCAGCCAGAACAATCCCCGCTTCCAATTTCTCAGCTGAGTTGATACGTAGAGCTAATTTGGAAAACAGAACGCAGTGTATTCGAGGGAAAAGAAATGAATCCTCCTTTATTCACAGGAAACAGCATGTTCCCAAAATTCAAATCAGTTGCAAGAGCAGATTGATCCAATCAATGGCATTTTAATGCACTGTCCTAGATTCAAGACTAGCTACATAATATGCAGTACCCAGTACAAAATGAGTATGTGGGGCCCTTTGTTCAAAAATTATTAAGAATCTCAAGAGAGCAACAGCAGAGCATTAAAACAGGCACAGCACCCTTCTGAACACGGGGCAAGGTGTGACTGCACAGGTCCATGCCCATGGGGCCAGCTGTGCCTGCATTTCAAATTCATTTGATTTAATACCCCAAATCCAGATTTAGCACAGAAAAGCATCTCAGGAGCTGCTCAGGTGCCACTGGAGATGCTGCCTTAATCTGGTCAAACTCAGCCGGGCGAGTGGCTCAAGCCTGTAATCCCAGCACTTTGGGAGGCCAAGGCAGGCAGATCATGAGGTCAGGAAATCGAGACCATCCTGGCTAACACGGTGAAACCCTGTCTCTACTAAAAATACAAAAAATTAGCCAGGCGTGGTGGCAGGCGCCTGTAGTCCCAGCTACTCGGGAGGCTGAGGCAGGAGAATGGCGTGAACCCAGGAGGTGGAGCTTGCAGTGAGCCGAGATCGCACCACTGCACTCCAGCCTGGGCAACAGAGTGAGAGTCCGTCTCAAAAAAAAAAAAAAAAAATCTGTCAAACTCAGGAGCCCAGGAGCAGTCTGCGGGGGCTGATACAGTCCCCCACCTGCAGGGAGGCAAGGTACCCATCCTCTCTGCAATGCCAGAACAGTGCATACTCCAGCCAAGGCAAGCTGTGCAGCCCAGGCAAGCCCCTCATGCTGACGCTTCCTCACATTTACATTCTAATGTCTCTTCCAGTTTGCAAATCACTTGTGATTCTTCACCTGATTTCTTCCACTTTAAATACCAGCAAAGGTATTCCTACTTTAAAGATTACAAATAAGAATACAACCCAGTACCAACTATGGCCAGGATTCAGGGTTAAGGATGAGATGTGAAGACAGAAACTCAGCCAAAAATATGGCTGGATTGGGCCAGTGTCTGCTCACCAGGATGGAGGCCGGGATGAGCTAAGAAACTGGGCAGGTCTGTCAGCGGCAGCTTATCCGCCTCCCCTGTCCCAGCCTCCCTTCCTTCTGCCATGTGGGGTCTGGGCATAAATGACAAGAAAATAAAAGTTCTTTCAAAGGCAGGAGCATAAAATGCATCATGCAGAGGTTGGAAATTAAGGCCAATGGATAGCATGTCCCATCCTCACTTGAAGGGCCAGGCAGCAACCTCTCGACCATGAAAGGACAAGGAGAAGTAACCGTGCAGGAGACAGCCTGCTGGGCCCCCACAGCTATGTGCTCAAAGTCCTGCTCTAAAGCCTGAGACATTTCTCCTGGTCGCCTGCAGACACACTGCCGCTCTCTCTGGCAGGGCTGCTAGACACCAGTCAGAAACTGTAAATAAAGAAGGCCAGCACAGCAGGCCTCCAGTGCAGTGTCAGGAGAACTTGGAATAATCTTTGGGAATGGCTCAGTGAAGTCTGGGACACACTCCTCAGCTGCCATCAGTACTTTCCCAGTCCAGCAACCCAGCAGGAGTGAGGTCCAGCCTCGGGGCCCCATCCTCCAGGTGCCAGCAGCTTTTGGGAGGTCCAGAATCCAGTGACACCCAGAATTTCCTGGGGTGTATGTGGGAGGTACATACTGGAGGCCTCATCTTCATCTTTAGCCGTCTGAGGGGCTCATCTTATATTTCTTTGGCATCCCCTTCAGCCCCGAGCATGGCTAAATTAAAAGTAACTACAGGCCGGGCATGGTGGCTCACACCTGTAATCCCAGCGCTTTGGGAGGCCAAGGTGGGCAGATCATGAGGTCAGGAGATCGAGACCGTCCTGGCTAACACAGTGAAACCCAGTCTCTACTAAAAATACAAAAAATTAGCCAGGCATGGTGGCAGGCACCTGTGGTCCCAGCTACTCGGGAGGCTGAGGCAGGAGAATGGCGTGAACCTGGAAGGCGGAGCTTGCAGTGAGCCAAGATTGCGCCAGTGCACTCCAGCCTGGGTGACAAAGTGAAACTCCATCTCAAAAAAAAAAAAAAAAAAAAAGTAACTATAAAGAGGCTACTTGCTGAATAAATAAATCCAGACCCAAATCCAGATGGGACTCCCAGGAGGAGAAGACACACCGGGAAATTTATCGGCAGGTGCCCAAGGCCACTCTCATCCACTTGGTTCCACTCACAGCTCAGCACCTTCACAGAGAGGCGGGGGAGAGCGAATGCAGTCAGGGCTGGATGCAAGCGCAACCATCCCTCTAGCGCTCCCCTTACTACCCAGTCTCTCACTGTCCCAGCGGAAGGCCCCCCCACCTGCATTTCTGATGGGGCAGGGGTGCAATAGCAGAGACAAAGCAGAGAGAATGCAAGGGCTGCAGGCCCAGGACAACTGGGACCGAGTGCCTGCAAACGGCCAGTCGCTGGGTGGCAGGAAGAGAGGACCTGGAATATTGATCTTTACACTAAATGCAGGGTCCCCGCCACTGAACTTTACCTGTCAGGACTGGAATGTGGGCTCCACCCCTCTGGACGAGCCACAGGCACCTGAGGGCAAGTTGGATGCCTGCAGCAGGTGTGAGTAGGCCTGTCCAGACAGGACCCAGATGGAGGCAGGTGGTTAACTAACCTGATGCTGTGCAGCTGGGGAGAGGGGCTGGTCCACATTCGGGAGGCCAAGGATGACTCTTCCCTAAGAAAAGCTCCCTTTGTGAGGTTTCTCGCTGAATTTGAGAATGATCATGAGAAGCACAACGGGAGCAGGCAGAGGAGTGGGGAAAGACAGCACGTAGGCTGCATTTAACTGAGCCGTGAACTGCAGAGAAACACAGAGCGCTTCCTCCTCCTCCAGGGAACTTGGACTATGTTCTCTCTGAGGGTCAGGAGAGAAATCAGTTTTAAAAGGTTCCTAATGGCCAGTGAGGCATGAAGCGAAAGGGGAGGGGGCCTCCTGTCTGCAAGAGGGGTTGCCTGAGGAAAAGAAAAAGAAGCATATATGACCCAGTGAATGCAGCAAAGCTGCCCCACAACACTCATTTCTTTCCCAGGTTTTCAGTTTGAGTGGCTGCATGCTGTCTGGCCCGCTCCATTAAATTCCAAGGAAACTTGTCAGCCACGGCTCCAGCCCAGAGCCCGGCCCAGCACTGGTCTGGGGCATGGAGGCAGCAGAAACAGAAGCCAGACCTTGCACATTCCGGGAAACCAGACCCCCATTCTAATCGCTGCTGCTGGTACTGCACATTCCAGGGCGCCGGGGACATGGGCACAGAGGGGCCTGTGCGACTGGATTTCCTCGAATTCTGCAAAGAAAATGCACAGGAAGGACAATGGCATTGCTAAGTGGTGGCCCAGGCAGCCAGCTGAGGTCTAAAGGAAACCTGAAACCCTATGCACCATCAGGGCCGCTGTCTGCAAATCTAAGGAAAGACACGGCCAACGGCCCTCAGACCTACTCTTGTTAAAATACACTGAATTCACAAGCAGGAATTATTATTTGTTTAAAAAGGCTAAAATTTGAATGATGAATGACCACGCTCTGTCTTTTGCATAGAAACAAAGAAATGAAATTCAGGAGAGTTTCGTGTGGCCTCTTTCTTTCCTTTTAATGAATCAAGGAGGAAGAGGCGGGGGAGCCGGGAGCCTGGCCTCGACTTGCAGCACACATTGGCACTTCCAAGTGTTGGCAGCCCCTCTCTTTCCGGGACAGTCTCCCAGACGGCTCCAAGTGGGAAAAGCTCGCCGGACGCCAGACCTCAGGCTGCTCCCCCGTCCTGCATGTCCCGGGTGCCTTGAGCAGTAACTGTTGCAGGGGCTGGGCCAAGACTGCAGCAGATGGTGCCTGGAAAAGTCTGTGGCAGGTGAAGTGAAGGAGGAAGACTTACCCAAACAAGGCTAAGGCAGTCTCTCTCAAATAGAGTAGATTCGAAATGTGCTTTCGGGGGGCACCTGGCCAGCTGGCTGTGAACCCCTCACTGTGCTGTCAGTCACAAGCACAGCCTAGATCTGCATCTTTGGCTTTACTGGGAAAAGATGCCTCTTCCAGAACAACTATGTTGTTGTTTATGTTGTCTATGTTTAAAGGCGCCTGTCATTGAAAATCACTTTTCAGACTCACTGGCAAAGAAAAAAAAAATTGTGTTTTTCAGTCCTTGCTTGATCTATTGGGTTTGATCGGTGCTGTTACATTTGATAGTCTTTTCTGGCCTATTTTATGCATTAGGGAAAAGCTTCCAATCAATTCCACTGCACATTTTTTTTTTCAGATGCCTCCTGAATGCCCAACATGATGTGTCTATTATTATCTTCGGGGAAACAGCTGACTGCTCGGTTCACAAAAACCATTAACTTTGCTCTTGATAAGCGTCTGGCTCTGGTCCTGACCTTCGCAGATTTCTCAGCTGGGTTCGCTTCCTGCCCTGACTCCTCAACATAGGTTGTTATGTCTGGAGCTGCCGGGGCTGTTCAGTCTCCCTAGCCCTCCAGCCTCTGGCCACGGACTGGGAGGCAGTGCCCACCCGGGTTGAGTCTGCCCCCCTGGTGCAGGAGGAGGGCCTGAGGCTGCAGAGAGGCAGAAGAGACGTGAGGGAGGGAGGTGATGGTGAACGAGCCCCTGTATCAAGGAAGAAGCCAGTTCTTCCAAGCAGTACCCAGCCCCCATGCGAGGGGAACTTGTGAAACAGAGACAGACGCCAGAAGGAAGCTTTGGCTCAAATAAGAAATGAAGAGTGGTCCCGGACCCAAAACAAGCCACTTCCCCTTCCTGGGCCTCAGTTACCTCAGTGGTAAGATGAGGGGGTAGGCTAGACGGTTTCCGACATCCTTTCCAGCTCCAAAAAAGTTCTATGATCTAATAAATCTGAAAAGTGCATTTCCTCATGTTTTCCTTTCAGTGCGTAATCCCCATCCATATAGAATATTCTTGGTTTTAATGCTGGCTTCCTGAGTCAGGTGCTACAGTTTCTTCCAGTGGAAACAGTATCACCTCTGCAGTTTAGACTTTCGCAGTGACTTTCCAGGCTGAAATTAGGATTCCCCATCAGGGAGGGGAGATAAAATAGACGTCTGGTCTCCCTGTATCCCTTAAAAGGCATATTTTTAATCATAAAATGGAATGAAATAATGATCCATGCTACAATGTGGACAACCTTGAAAACATTATGCTAAGAGACAGAAGCCCGTTACGTATTCTTTGATTCCATTTATATGAAATGTCCAGAATAAGCAAATTCATAGAAATAGAAAATGAACCGGTGGTTTCCTAGGGCTGGGCAGAGGAGAAGTATGGGGTGGCTACTAATGGATACGGGGTTTCTTTTTACGGTGATGAAAGTGTCCTGGAGCTGGTAGTGATACGTGCATGATTGTGAATATATAAGAACAGCAAATTGTACACTTTAAAGGGGTAAATTTTATAGTATGTAAATTATCTCTCAATAAAGCTGTTTTAAAAAGAAAAATAATCGTGTTCTTTCTTTTTACTTTTTTAATGTGACTACTAGAAAATAATTTTGTATATGCAGCTCCTGTTATACTTCTGCCTATGAGTACAAAACATTTGAATAAATATTTTCATCACTTTTCAAAACAGACCAAATCAGTCTGGCCTCCTCCCGCATCCTGGACAGAGCTGGCATCCGAGAGGCTCAGTGCAGCGAGCTCTGGGCTGGGCTTCCTGAGACCTGGGTTCTCTGTCGCCTCTTAGCTTGTGACCTCCAGCCTTCAGGTCACCTCACTGGTCCCAGGCTGCTCGCCTGAGACACGAGTGTTAGAAGGACAAGCCGACAAACACCCAAGCCCCTCCCAGGTGAGACTGTCTGTGATCACAACTCACCCCCTCCCCAGGTAGAACCAAGTTTTAAAAGTGCTCGTTATTCTACCCCAAACATTGCTCAACTCTAAGAGCCATCAACCTGAGAATAAAAGTAACCTGTAAGACCAAAAAAGGAATCTAACAGTGAGCAGAATGGCTGGGGTTTGGCACCATCTTCTTCCATTATTCCTGAAGGATTGATTTTGGGAGAATTTCTTTCAGTGACTTACGAGGTTGAAATTCTAGAGCTGATGGCAACAAATATGGCTACAACCCTTCTGGAAAATAATTTGGCAATTTATACCAGATCCATAAAAATTCCATATCCTTCTTCCCAGTTTTTGTACTCCTTAGTACCTCTCCTAAGAGAATGACCCTAGATACAGAAATAGCCATAAACATGAAAATGTCCATCTCAGGATTGTTTAACATTGCAACCTTGGCCCAAATGGATGTGAACAGGGGAACAGTTAACCAAACGGTGGCAACACTTGGGACAGAAATGATGGAATTAGGCCAGGCATGGTAGCTCATGCCTGTAATCCCCACACTTTGGGAGGCTGAAGCAGGCCAATCACTTGAGGCCAGGAGTTCGAGACCAGTCTGGCCAACATGGCGAAACTGTCTCTACTTAAAAATATAAAAGGTAGCTGGGTGTGGTGGTGCAGGCCTGTAATCCCAGCTACTGAGGAGGCTGAGGCATGAGAACTGCTTGAACCTGGGAGGTGGAGGTTGCAGGGAGTCAAGATCGTGCCCCTTACTCCAGCCTGGGTGATGGAGCAAGACCCTGTCTCAAAATAATAATAATAATAATAATAATAATAATAATAATAATAATAGTAATAAAGAAATGATATTTCTGGGGAGATGATGGTGAAATATGAATCTTCTTTTCTTAATTTTTCATATGATTAAATTACATTTATAATTTTAAACAACTGAGATAGTACAATATGTCATCAAATGTATAAATGCATTTTCCATCATGTCTAAAAAGTAGAGAGAAAAGATACAAAAAAAAAGAGTCCTTATGCTAGGAGAGGAAAAACTTGTATATTCTGCTTAAAGAAAATCTAACCACAGCTGAAAAGACATGAAAGCATCTCAGTCCTCATTCCATGTGTCCACCATGATATTTATACTGATATTTTCCCTTCAGCAAAATTATTATAATTACCATTCAAAGGCATTTATATGTGCTTATAACTCTTGAAGGGAGACATCAGTCATCGGATGAATAGTCTTTTAGTCATCTTCTAACCCAAGGAAATTATTTTAGGGAGAAGTAGGGAGAAGGGTTTTCTGCAACCTCATTTTGATTAGAGAGACTAAGGGAACAAGGCCTGTTTCTCCAGCCTTACAGGAAAACCATGAGCATGGACCGTGGCCTCTCCCAAACACCTAACTGCTCCAACAGGAGGATGCGGCTGAGATGCGGAGGGCTCAAAGGCTCAGCCCTGGGTCTCAGGACAAACAGACTCCACACTGGCCCCTACAGATGAGCTGTGCAGCTTGTGAGAGTCATGTTCCCATTGGCTCCCTCAGTTTCCCCACCTGTGAAGTGAAGGGTTGAGCTCTAGGACCTGCCAGGACCCTTCACCCTCAGGTTTCATACTCTGGGATTCTGTCTTCTCTACAAGTCAGTTGGTGGCTTTGGGAAGCCACCAGTGTCTTTACAGGTAAAGTGGTGTCCTTCATCCACAAGATGCATGCAAACAGGGAGTTGATGTGGTCAGAGATGGGTGTGAAAGGTCGGAGCAGAATGATATTTTTCAGAGGACAGAAGGACTATATGTTTGGCCAATGATGAGAATTCCATGGGAACAGACTGTAAATGACAAGTGTCACAGAATCCCACAGACAGAACGATATCCAGGCACATGGTCCTTCCCAGATGCTCTCAAATCCTCACTCTTCCTCCTGTGCGTCTTCTGCTATTATCAGACTTTTCCTACTGGGTTTCATCCAGTGGGGCTAAACCACACTGGGCTATATTTTTCAGAGCCACAAATGCTGGTGGAGAAAGGTCAGACTGGGATCTGAAGAACCTCAGCTCAGGCCATTTCCTGACCAGCAAACATTAAACAGAAAGTCGGCCTGAGAAGAACACAGGATGCAGGCCACCCCAGGAGGAGCGTGTGCTCTCCACGGTGCAGGCAGAGACGGCTGTTTGCTTGGTATAATGATTGGGATGCTGATGTTCTGGACCAACGCATCTGCCCTTGGACATGATGGTAGTGAACCCTGCATTTGGCCTTCCTGAAACAGAGGGTCAAGTTCAGTCACTTTGGCCAAGAGCTATCATGTCTCAGTAGGACAAGAGAACATGCCCAGAGGAGACCCATGCTTTGACACCCAGGAGGCATTTTACTATTTCCATCCTTCTGGCTTCACTATTCTTGGTGTTGGCTCTATCAGGAGTCCTGGAAGAGTCTGGAATTGCCAACTAGAGGTCCTAATCTCTTACAGCTTCAATGCTTTAGGACTCCTAAAGCACTGAAGCTTTAGGAGTTGACAAAGCTCCTTCATATTCCTTGTATCATTGGACTTCAGTGCTTTAGGATTCCTAGCACTGAAGCATTGGGAGTTGATAAAACTCCTTCATATTCCTTATATCACTGGACTTCAATGCTTTAGGATTCCTAGCATTGAAGCTTTAGGAGTTGACAAAGCTCCTTCATATTCCTTATATCATTGGACTTTAATGCTTTAGGATTCCTAGCACTGAAGCATTAGGAATTGACAAAACTCCTTCATATTCCTTATATCTTTGGATTTCAATGCTTTAGGATTCCTAGCACTGAAGCTTTAGGAGTTGACGAAGCTCCTCCATACCCCTTATGCCACTGGACTTTCACAGTATCCTGCTGATGTCTCCTAGGCAGCATCATTGTCCCCCTGTTGTAGATGAGGAAACTGAGGCAGAAGGGAGTCATCCCAAAGGCCCAAATGGGGCTAGGACCCAGGTTTTCTAACTCTAGTGGTTCATCATGGAGACCGCAATTCAGTGTTTCAGAATAGACTCAGGAGACGTCAACACTTCTCTTTCAGGAATTGATAGATCAGTAGGCAGAAAATCAGGAAGGATACAGTTGACCTGAACCGCACTATCAATCCACTAGACCTAAGTGACATTTATAGAACACTCCATTCAACAATGACAGAACACACATTCCTCTCAAGCACACAGGGAACACTCACCAAGACAGACCACATTCTAGACCAGAAAATACACCCTAACAAACGTAATAGAATAGAAATCATACAAAATATATTCTCAGCCCACAATAGAATTAAACTAGAAATTAATAACAGAAAGATAGCTGGAAACACCCACCAAATATTTGATGAATAAACAAAACATTTCTAAATAACACTTGACTTAAAGAAATCTGAAGAATAGTTTGGGAGTGAAACAGACATGGGCTCAAATCCTGGCTCTGCCTCCTTGCACTGGCTGGCCTTGGACAAGTTACAGCTAACCTCTAGGAGCCTCTTCTGTGGCCTCAGCTAGGAAGCAAGGATAATGCCCTGCCTCTCTGGGTGGCTACAAGGTAAGAACAAAGCAAGGCCCATAACACAATGAGCACAGTGCCCAGCTCCCACAGAGCACCCAGTGGCAGTGGCTCTTTGGGTCACTGTTCTGTTTGATGACATTTCCCACTGCCCTAACTGTCCTGGAGAATACAATATTCCTGTATAGCTCACTCTGTGCCACAGAAAAGCAGATGTGACCGCTGAACATTGAGGCTTCCCTCCCCTATGTCTAGCTGGCAAGATTGCCCATCTGCCTGGGCAATCCCAACTGTGTCCATCCGTCTCCATCAAGTGGTGACTGCACTTAGAAAACTGGCACCAAAGAGACAGCTCTTCTTAGTCACAGGATATGAGATGACTCATGTGTTGGAAGATCGGGTAAAATCTTGCCCAAGACTATGTGAGAAGGAATTCTACGGCGAATCTCATCAAACTTTGAGAAAAAAAAACAGCTCATCACAGAGATAGGCCTACCATCTTTATTGCACAACTAATGAAAAAGATGTTCCTGAGGTTTGAAAATATTGCACAAGCCTCTGACTCATTAGGACTGAGGTTGTTCAATTTGGAAATTATCAGAAACTCCAGCCACAACAATATGCCCTCGGAGACTTTTGTGTGCACAAGGAGACATAATTATCCTGTGGCGAGGGACCAGCTGCTGTCACGGGATGCTGCGGAGGATTGTTTTTATGAAACGTGCTTATTCGACAATTTGTCCTGGAATCTAAAATAATAGGGTATCCATGGACTCCCAAATTTGCCTTTTTTTCCTTCCTTAAGATGTGACAAATCTTTCCTTGTGAGGAATTCCCAGTGCATAGAAACCAAACCAAGCATCATTCAAGAAGGTGCCAGGGCTTCTATAAACTGCCATCTCCTGGGTGTCACAAGCTCCAGGGAGAGTTAACGAGATGACATCTGTAAAATCCCAGGCAGTCCAGACATGCAGCTCTTAATTCAAGAGAAGCCACACACTGGTCACATGATATAGGCAACAACTGGGACCTCAAAGGGTGACAGGCAAAGTGACTTTGGATACCTCTGCCCAGAGAACCTTTTCCAACATATTAGATGGCAAATTCCGAGTCAGCTCCCGGACAGAAGTCTCACATCACCCTCCTTCTCTGTGAAGATTTCCTAACCCACCCACCCACCTCATCCCCAGGGAGACAAGAGTGTCCCAGCACTCCTCCCACACAGCTGACTCCTTTGTCAGTGCCTTGAAGATGATGATGATGATGATGATGATGATGATGATGATGATGACAATGACAACACGCTAATATTGCCTGAGTTCTAGCAATGCATCAGGCACAGTGCTTTGCGTTTCATATAAGGAGGTCCTTCCATTCTGCAATGCCCTAAGAGCTACGTATGTATCTGCTATTACTTCTCTTATCTTACTGATGGGGAAACTGAGACTTAGAGATGAAGTCACCCAAGAAACACCACACATCCAGAAAATGGCAATCCGACTTCAGAAGCCCAGCCCTTAAGCTGAGCATCATACTATCTACCACGAGTACCTTGAGATCAGGGGCCACCAGCCCTTACCTCTGAGTCCC
Organism: Homo sapiens; assembly: GCF_000001405.40. NCBI lineage: Eukaryota > Metazoa > Chordata > Mammalia > Primates > Hominidae > Homo > Homo sapiens. Next base: position 122,468,103 of record NC_000010.11, on the reverse strand, counting down.
CATACCTGATACACTTCTGAGCACACAGTAGGTGTTAAATAAATGCTCTGAATGAATTTAGAAATGGAACTCTCAGCACTGACTCCAAAAACTGAACTCTGCATCTTTCCGGCAGTGATGGACATGCCTCTTCGCAGCCACTTACTTCTGTCCTGAGGCGTGTTGTCCTGGCTAATGTCCCCCTGTGGTTCTAGGCACACGTCACCAAGTAGTGCTGAATCACTGTAACTTCCATGCCACTTCCAGGAGCCTTTTGGAAACACATTCAGAATGGCTACACTTCTCGGTTTCTCTATTAATAGGATTTTTCTCTTTCTTCTTTTTTTTTTAACGGCAGAGAAGGTGGAGAAGGAAAAGATGAAATGACACAAGGGTATCTCACTTCAGATGACCCAAAGGCCTTGGAGCCCCAGGGAAGGAGCAAGGGGTATGAGTCTCGTGGAAGCTCATCTCTTGGAGATGAACATGTCACCCCTGTGGTCTCCCGGGGACTTCAGCAGCCAGTACAAAGCTGAAACACAAAGCAACCAGGCTCAAGATGGATCACATCTATTCGATGCCAGCCTTGGCTTTAACCATCAATAATTTAGGAAAAAGAAGTAGCTCATAAGGAAGCCTCCCCAGGCTTTAAATTAGGAATGAGGTGACCACAACCTCCTCAAAGACTTGTTTTCTTAGAAAAATCCCAGACCATTCTAGTTAAAAGGAGCCTCAGAGATCAACTGGCCCAATCCCCTCACTGCCGAGGCTCCGAGAGGTCGAGGGAGCTGTTACCTGGTCAGGTAACACCCCAGGAAGGGCCAGAGCCGCTTGCCCTCAGCCCCTCCGCCCCAGTTGGCCTTCCAAGGAACCCTCACCCACTGCCAAGCTTACTTCTTCTTCAAATTAAGCCTGACCAGAGCTATTTATTCACTTGAAATATAAGCTCATGGAAAGTCTGATTTCTGAATCCAAGGCATGAAACTCATCCAGGATCACACAGCTCCAAACGGAGAATCCAGCCCCAAAGCGGAGGCCATCAGGCTTCTGACCACAGTTAGCTCATGGTGCCCGCCACCATCACTTACTCAATGCAGTTATTTTAAGTTCCAATGCAACCCATTTACAGCTCTCTCAGTGGAATGAAGTAACTCAAACACTTGGTTTTTGAGCTTGTTAACTTCCTAATTTTATGAAGCCTTAATATTTTAACTCTTTAGCAAAACCAACAGAGCAATAAAAGAAGGCAGCCGACCAGAGCAGGCAGAGACTCATAAACTGCTCAAAAGACCTCCAAGTTTCCAAGTTTCAGGTGACTAAAAGCTGGAGACTCACAAATGTTTCCACCCACCCTGCCCTAAGATGAAGCTCAGGTCCCTGGCACACTTGTTTTTTAACTGACAAAAGGTGTATTTGAATTGCCAATAGTGAAAATGACTCTCGAGCAAACTGCCCACTTTAACAATGGAAAAATACAACCCCAGGGAAGCAGTGATTGTATTTTCCCCCATTGTATTGAATATAAGTTACCTGTGGGCAGTGACTTTGTTTTATTCAACCCTGTCTCCCCAGAGCTCAGTACAGGGTCAGCACTCAGCTAGCAATGATTGCTTGTTTGAGGTTCCCACGAAAGAGTCACCTAAATAAAGTACATTTTGGCACGGGTGCAGTGGCTCACTCCTGTAATCCCAGCACTTTGGGAGGCCAAAGCGGGCGGATCACAAGGTCAGGAGATGGAGACCATCCTGGCTAACACGGTGAAACCCCGTCTCTACCAAAAAATACAAAAAAATTAGCTGGGCGTGGTGGCGGGTGCCTGTAGTCCCAGCTACTCTGGAGGCTAAGGCAGGAGAATGGCATGAACCCGGGAGGTGGAGCTTGCAGTGAGCCGAGATCGCGCCACTGCACTCCAGCGTAGGCGACAGAACGAGACACTGTCTCAAAAAAAAAAGTAAATTTTACAAACATTCCAGGGCTCCAAGAAGTAAAGCAACCATCTAAGCCCTTGGTTCTTCACCAGGTATGTACATACAGCCTCTGCCTTTAGAGGCTCTGGGGTGAGACCAGGAGCAGGCGATCCTAAAAACCTCCAGGGGTGGAGTTTCTGGGCACCCCTGCAGCTTGCAGACCTCCAAGCTTGTCTGGGCTGCTGCATGGAGTAGGGTGGGCTTTCCTGGAGGATGTACTAGCAGGAGAAATGGATGAGGCTTCTGCTGTTTGGGAAGTCTGTTTCAGGTCTCGTTCCTGGCTTCTTGTCCATGTTTTAGCAGAGGTCCGGAATCCCGGCTGGTCTTTTGGGACATGGGGGAATCTGGAAGGGCTTTCTCTCTTCAAGAGCAGTTTGTCTGGATCTCTGGCTTGGAAACAGCCTTCCTACAGTCCCTCGGCTCTTTTTGCTTTTCTTTAGTGAGGGCTGCACTGACGGCAACTGGAGGCAACCTTGTCTTCAGGCTCCTGAGCCTGCAGAGTGAAGGCTGTGATCTGTCCTGTTCCATCTCTAAGCCACAGCCATCTGGAGCCCTGTTTATTTCAGCTATTAGCTGGGGCTTAGCTGGGGTTGGTTTAAAATCTCTGTTGCTCTGTCAACAGCACAGCATGGTGGTTATGAACGAGGCTCTCCATCCAGTTGTGTGGGACCACCAGTCCTGAGCAAGGTACTTCTCTGTGACTTAGCTGCCCAGCTGTAACCCAGGGAAGACTACAGCACTCACTCATAGGACTGTCCGGAGGATCAAATGAATTAGTATGCACCCGGCATAGAATAAGCACAACATATATGTTAGCCCTCATTATTAGTACCCTATTAGTATTTCAATTCCTTTCTTTTTTGTAATCATCTGACCAGTACAGCTGGAGATGACAGATCTTTGTTCTCTAGCTGAATTGTATACTTTCCCATCCAAACCCTGCCAGTGCATTGACTTCTGAAATAGATGATTTGCCTTCATTTCCAGAGCGGTGAGCAGAGATGTTCTCTGAGGTCTATTCAATAAACAGCTTACAGATGAAAGTGCTTTCCTTTGAATGGTGACATGTTCCTCTATCCAAAGATCTACTGTGACCCAAAGTGCTAGTCACCTCCCTGGGGACCCCTGATCTGATGACATTTCTACCTCTCATCCCCTGGCATGCTCTGCCCCAGACAAAGCCACCTTATAATATTTGAAATCGCAGCACCCGCTCCTGCCTCGAGAGCTCTGTCTCCAGATCCGTGTATGACTTGCTCCAACTCCAGGCCTCTAGTCAAGTGGCACCCCTAGAAAAGGCTCATGTCCATGGCAGCTAAAGTGACTCTCCCGCCAATCTTCCAGCCAGAGCAGGCAGCCAATTCACCTCATTTAACAGTGACGTCAAGTGACCTGCCCGTGGGCACCAGCTGTTGAGTCCTGGAGCCTGGCTTGGACTGAATGAAGTCTGCTGGCTCCCAGGCGCCTGTCCTCGGAAACACCTCCGAAAAGTCAAGGGTGGAGTGTGAGATCCAGAGAGGGGGCGCAGCAAAGCAGTGCCTTCCACTAAGGAAAAACAGAATGGCTGTGTATCGCAAGCACCTCCCGTTTGTCTTCATTCATTCATTTATTCATTCACTAATCCACTCGTACCAAGTACCTCCGATGTGCCAGACAGACAAACATGCAAACGGTGTCAGACACCCTACAGAGCTCAATAAATATTTGCAAAAGAAGGAGGGAGGGATAAGAAAAGCATTGTACCCACTCTGTCTCTCCCTCCTTTCAAAGCCACCATGCTTATCCCTCTGTGGCTGTCCCCTCACTGGTACACCGGGGGCCCGCTGTGAGCCCGATGGCCAATGGGGGACCTGTTTTCCTCCACACAGGGACTCAGCCAACTCCAAAACTTGTTAAGCAACTTGCCTCACTAGCAATAAATTAGGCGGCTCGCATGGTGCCAGCAACTCAGGACCCCGTGCGATGAGACCACAAACAGCGAGACCAGTAACAGCTGGCTTGTTTTGGACAAAAACATGCTTTTTCAATGTTGTCGCCTCACACCCAGATTATTGCAGTAGTCTAAACTCTCCACCCTGGATGCATTCCGCACTCCACTGCTAGGTCAGCCCTACACTACACTAGGCTTTGAGTTGCTCCAGTTCAAGAACATCTGCGCACAGGGCACGGGGCACAGCCAGCCTCTTCAGCCCTGGGACTCTGGGCCACCAGCCTGGCTCACTCCTGCTGCCCTCCCAAAACGTTCCCCAGCCACACTGATCTATTCACCTCCAAACAAGTCTTAGGCTTTGTGTATGCTGTTCCCAGCTCTGAGGGGGATGCACGTCCAGCCCACCAGGAAATTTACAGCACCTGACCCCTCTCCCACACCCTTGGAGTTAAGTGCTGGGCTGACTCCTCTGAATGAGGCTGTCTGGGTTTAAATTCCAGCTGAATGACCTTGGGCAAGTTTTTCAACCTTAGCTCCGCTATCTGTAAAACGGGAATGAGAAGCTGGGTGTGGTGGCATCCGCCTGTAGTCCCAGCCACTTGGGAGGCTGAAGCAGGAGAATCATTGAGCCCAGGGGTCGGAGGCTGCAGTGAGCCATGATCACACCACTACACTCCAGCATGGGCGACAGAGGGAGACCCTGTCTCTTAAGAAAAAAAAAGAGAGAGAGAGGAGCAACTGCCTCCTCGTTTGACCAAATGAGGTCACAGAGGTAACACACCCGGCACACAGACTGGGTGCTCAACAGACGTGTGCTATCATCATGCCCCTTCTCGAGTCTGCAGGATCACTTCTCTCCGGGACAACTCTCTACTGCCTGACTAGGCTGAGTTTCCCGAGGGCTGTGCTCCTGTGTTGGTGAAATACGCAATCTCGAATTTCACCCAGTTCGGCTCTGGCATCTTCCCGTCCACGTAAGCCAAACTATGCTAAGCCCTAGTTGGTCACACCGAACCATATTCCTATAAAGTAAACTCTAGACCAGTCCCTCTGCACTGTGCTCCCCTATGCCCCTCTCCTGGCACTGCCCGTGTTGAGGAGGCAGCACTGGGGTCCGGCAGCAGCGGCACGGCTGCGCCCAAGCGCACTGCCAAGCCCCGCTGTCTGGTTCCTACAACGCGGGGCTGGCCGCTGCTGAACTCGATATTATTTTTCCACATGGCCTCTGCCTGAAGATGAGGAGCATCTCTCCGGAAGGTCCCGCGAGAGAGTTAGACATTGCTCCATTCCACTCCTTCCCCCATCACCACCGTCTCCCCTGCCAGAACAGGTCCTGTGTGCGGCTGTAGGAACAGAGGGGTAGACTTCTTCCTCATCACTAACCCGGTCCCTTCTCCGCCTCTGCAGATTTCGTGATCCAAAGCCCGATTCAGCTTATTCAAAAGGAGCCACTTTCATTTTTGTAGGGCTGGCTCAAAACGAGGAAAGCAAGACAGGCAGCAACGCCGCCGAAACGAGAGCGGTGCCAAACCGTTCCCTGCTCGGGGTAGACTTTTTGGAGAAACTCCGGGGCGGGCCGGCAAACACTGTTCCTTTCCAAAAGAGTTACATACAGTTTTCACTGAGCGGTCCCGTGATCAAAGCAGTGAATTTTAAAGGGGACGGAGGACGTAAATAGAAGAAAAAGCAACCGAAATGACTTCTTGTGGTCCTGAAGCCGCTCTGCGAGGCGCCAATTCCCAGTCCTGAACTTCTCTCCTTCCTTTATGCCCCCATTCCTCTTATTTGTCCTGGGGTCCCCGCGCTGTGTGGTTGCCCTCAGGGCACTCCATGGCCGGTCGCCCGGCGTCTCGAGCCCCAGAGTGCAGGCCGGGCGTACTGGCATCGTCTGGGCGCAGAACCGGCCCCGGGCTGGGCGCGAAGCTCGGTTCCGAGGCAGCCCGCGGAAATCCGCCACCCCGGGGCCCACCTGCCTGTCCCCGAGAGTTGCCCTGGCCACCCCACAACGCTTCGCTGCCCCTCAACCTGCCCACCAGTCCCGCAGAAGCAGGTCCGAGCTGGGATGGAGAGAGTGGGGAGCTGCCCAGGAGCGCGGCGGAGTACCTTGGCCGCAGGCTCCGCGCTGCAGGACGATGACCGGCGGCCGGTGCAGCCTCTCGGAGCGGCGGCTGGCGGCGCGCAGCTGGCACAGGTTGGCGTAGGTGTTGGCGTCGCTGCCGCACACCGGCTCGCTGCTGGCGCACACACAGAGGCCGGCCTGCGCGCGCCGCCGCACCGTGGCCGAGGCTGGCACCCCGAAGGGCACCACGCACTGCAGCCCCTCGCCGCACGGGCCCTCCTGCAGGCCGCACGCGGCGCCCTCGGGCGCGCCGCACACCTCGCAGCAGCCGCACGCGTCCCGGGCCCGGCCGCCCTCGCAGTGCTCCGGCTGCGGCGGGCAGCGCGCCGGCTCGCAGCGGTCTGGGCACCCGGCGGCCAAAGGCGCCGAGCGGCCGGCCCGGGACAGCTGCGCCGAGGCGGGCGCCGCCAGCAGCAGCAGCAGCAGCGGGAGAAGAGCGGCGCGCGGGATCTGCATGGCGACTCTGGCGGCGGCGGCGGTGGCGGCGGACAGGGCGAGGGCCGGAGAGCGGCGCCGGGGAGAGTGCAGGAGGGCCTCGGGGGCAGCGGGTGCGAGTGCGCGCGGCCGCGCGGCCCAGCCCATTGGCCTCGCAGCGGTGACGAGCCGCCTTGGGGACGGGCACGGCGCCCGGGATGGGGGCTGGCCGGATGGCGGGAGGGAGGGCGGGCGGCTGGACCGGGACCGCCCGCGGAGGGGGCAGGGCGGGCGCGCCCGGGCACGGCGGTGCTGGCGGGGCGCGGGCGGGGCAGCGCACAGGCCGGCCCTCTCGCGGGACTCAGTTTCCCCGTCTGCGCGCCCCACATATTCGCTTTCCGCAGGTTCTCTCGCTGAGATTCGCGTCCTTCAAACTAATGGAACTTTGCAAGGGGGCCCTGCGGCGGCTTCGCGTGGGAGCGCCGGGGAAAGTTCCTGCAAATCGCCGGACTGGGGGCCCGCCCGGGAAGCTCGGACTGGGCCGGGCAGGGACTGCAGGGGCCTCTGCGCAGACCCGGGGCGTTGCGGCACCGCGGACCCCGGTCACGCGCTGGTTCTGCCCCCGGTACCCCGCACGCGGGACCCTGACCGCGGGGCCTCTGCGGCCGGACGAAGGCAGCGTCCGCGGAGCTGGCAGAAAGCCCGCGCCCAGACCCACAGTGAAGTGATAAAAGCAGAGAGCAGAAGTAATTCGAATAGAATCCTTCACACGTCTGATTCTTTTAAAAAGTTGTTGTGGGTGGCATGCGTGTCCGTATTCGCAGAGAGCCTAGGAAGCGGCTCGGCAGCTCGTAACTGGCGAGGGTGGAGCGGTCTCAGATGGGAAAGGGGTTTTCCCCTCTTTTGATTTTTCACCAAGTGCGTGATTATTTCAAAACACTTGTTATCAAAAATTTGATTTCCCACTGGAGAATCTTTGGTGCATCCGTTGGGACAGATGCGAGTCCGAGAGTCATCAGGAGGGCTGAGGGCGACCCTGGAGGTGGGTCTGGGTGCCCAGGCAGCACCAGGCCTGTGGGCAGTAGTCCTGGGTCCACACTGAGCAGATGGGCACAGCTCGTGTCCAAGGACCTGAGAGGAGGCCCTTCGTCCAGCCCTCATCCCGAACCCTCAAACCTCCACCCCCACCCTGGGCAGAGGCACCCAGGGTTGGGTGAGCCGGCAGAGCTGACTTTGGGATAGAGTAGCATGGGAGGGGGCTGGGGGCTTGGGGATTTTAATATTCTTCTGTATTTGGGTTGTTCCCTTGTGCACACGTTATTTTTCCAATACAAATAGTTTAAAAAGTAAACTCCAAATACCTATAAGCCCCCTCAAAGCACCTTCCAAATATGAACCTTGTTAATGCCCAAGGTCCAGAGGGGTCCCCCAGAAAGGCCCAGGAGCCTGGGGCATGGGAAAGCTGTCGGGGTCCCCATGCTGACTCCCTGGACTCCAAGCGATATTCCATAAAGCCAGGGCCTCCTGGCTGCGGGAGGGAGGCCTTGACCCAAAATCCATTCGGCCCTGGATACTGGAGAGGCAGAGGCCTCTGCTGATGAGAAGCCCTGAGTTCCTGGCTAGCTGTGGTTAACCACAAAAAATGCGGGGGGTGATGATTTTCGAAGTCCATCGGCAAAGAAAGACTCCCCACTGCAGTCCTGGGGCAGATGGAATTAAAAGGACACGTGGTGGTGAATAAATTGGTGATAACTTATTTTTGTCGAATTTCCTTATTTTACAGAGGAGAAAACTGAGGGCCAGAAAGGGTGACTCCCCTGAGTGTCATGCCACAAGTTGAGTGCTGGAGCCAGGACACCTTCCAAACCGGCTGTGCCTGCCTGCAAGCCCCATCCTCCTCCATCCCCCTGAGCAGCCAGACTGCAGAGGGAATGAGCGGACCGAAAACAGTGTGGCCGCAACTTCCCCACTGCTTTGCGGGAGGTGGAGGGAGTTTCTAGGCTCTTTCCCTGTTGGGGAATTAAGTAGCTGGGGATCCCACTGAGTCTCCACCACCCTCTCACCCATTTTCCACCCCTCCCCCACCACATATACATTCTGCTCCCCCAGTGCCAAATAACTTGCATTTTCTGGAACACACCTGTCTGCTTACGGTCTCTGTGCCTTTCTTTGCCCACATCTCCCCTCTTCTTGAAACACCCCTCCTCCCCTCCAGCGTGGGCTCATGTGACCTAGAGAAGCACGTGGGAGCCCTGTCATCTGGGGGACTTGGGTTCAAATCCCACTTCTGGTCCTTAAGTCTGTGACTCTGGGCCTTTGTTTAATAACTGGAGGAGTTTCATTAGGAAAATGGCAGTGACCACATATGTCCCTGGAGTGACTGATGTGCCACCCACAAGCTTCTATTTGGTCAGTGCTGGGTCCCATCGTCCCATCTAGCATGCTCCTCTTCCATCCTCGTGCCCCCACTCAGTGCCATTGTCTCTGCCTCTCACCCTCTGTGCTGCTATTCCTGCCCTCATCACCTCCTCCCTAGGGCAGAGGCCCCGTCTTCTTTACCATGCCCCAGTGCCAGCACAGTGCTTTGGCAAGTTATTCAGCACTGGGGGAGTAGAGTGTATGTGTGGTGGGGGAGGGGGTGGAGAATGGGTAAGAGGGTGATGGAGACTCAGGGGGACCCCCAGCTACTTAATACCCCTGAGGAAGTGTCGGCCGAAGTGGACCCACTCCTGTGACAGTTCACAGCCTAGAAGAGGCGTCTGTAACCACGGTGACCAGTAAGTGCCAGCCCTGGGGCCACGTGGCTGTTCTAGAGAAGGAAGACAGCACTACCCTGAGAGCCATGCTGGTGGCTTCATCAGGAAGGGAGTCAGCAGGGGGAGGACTGGGGGACCAAGCGGTCCCTAAGAAGCAGAATTTGCAATACCCAAGGTTTTAGAAAGAGCAACCTGGCAGGGCCACTGCACAATGAGATCACAGACTCACCTCCCAGCTGTGAGTGCAGCTCACCCCACCTGCTCTGACCCAGGCACCGGTTATGAAGAAGACAAGCAGCTCTACAGAGGGGCCTCAAGAAATCCTTCGAAACAGAAATCAAAGTCTTGCTGGAAGGGTTCTGGGCACCCTGGACTGTCCACATGGGAGGCTGTTGGTGCGTGTGCCTACGTGTGTCCATCAGTGGATGCACGAAGAAGGAAATGGTAAGTCCATTGAAACCTGGCCTCGTGGGCCCATCTCTGACCTTCCCTTAGTCCTAACGTCTCCATATCTGGAGGTAATGCTTTCAACCTGCAAGCGTTGCTCTTTCTTTTAGATTCTTCCCCATCTGCTGCCATTTATAAAGACGTTTTCTTAAAAGAAGCATTTTTCTTTTGATACATCATGAAAACTCATTTCTCACTCACCAGGCCTTGGCACGGTATTCTAGAGAGGATTTTTCCAGAGGAAAGGGGGCAGTTTTGAAGCCAAACAGACGAGTTCCCCAACATCCTCTCTGCAGCCCTCATTTGCAGCATTGAAGCTTTAGTTTTGAACAGGGCCAAGTCTATTCATGAATAATGAACAATGAAACACCACAGATGCCAGAGCCTTAATCAGGAAACGAGGCTTCTGAATAGGAATGGAGCAGCCATGTTTGTGCTGCCCAGGAGGACGATTTCCCACTCCGGGCCTCTGTTCTCCCAAATGTACAAAGGACCCAGAATGCTCAGGGGCTCCTATTGCCTTTCCTAAGTCACAGGATCTAAGATCTAAGGAGCTACAGTAATAATTTTGGCTCCTCCTATAAGCTTAGCCTATCCCTCTACTGCTCAGTAGTTTCCAGGGGCTCTCCATGCCAGTAGAATGAAGTCCAAGCTTCTTACCCTGACTTCCAGCGTCCCCCATGCCCCTCAAGCCAGGTTGTCCTCTAGATCCAGGGTGGTGTAATCCATCCCTACTCACCCATTCTCCCATAGCAACAGAACCCTGGCTGGGGCCATGCCAGCAGGTAAAAGATGACTTCTCAGCTGGTTTCACCCCCTTTCCTCAGAGTGCCAGACCCACTCCCATCCCCTCTGGCCACCCCAGCATCAGAGGTCGTAACCTCCTTTAACAGCAGGTACACCCTGATGACAAACCCACATCAGTTCAGTTAGGTTCGGTTCAGGAAAAATTTCCTGAGCCCCTGCCACAGGGTAGACACTGCTAGACACTGTAAAGCAGTGTCGAATGATCAAGCCCCTGTCCTCAAGAAGCTCAAAGTCTAGAATTTTCTGCAGTGATGGAAATAATCTCTATCTGTGCTGTCCAAGAGGGTAGCCACTAACTACATGTGACTGCCAAGCATTTGAAATGCAGCAAGTGCAAGGATGATCTGAATTTTTATTTAATTTTAGTTAATGCCTATCACCCGGGAGAGAAAGGAGGGCAAGAAAACAAAGGCAGGATGACAGGAGGGAATGCAGTGACAGAGAGGAATCCAGATGTTAGGAGAAGATTGGGCTGCATCTCAAGGGTTGAGAAAGATTTCACCAGCTGCACAGAGCAGAAGATGCATCCAATTGGTGATGACGTGATGAGTCCGCCCAGGTGGGGAAATTCCAGGTTGCACAGTGTGGCCGCAGGTGGGAAGAGAGTCCTGTGGACAGTTGAGGCAGCTGGAGGGAAGGGGACCAGTCTAGGTTGTGAGGGACTCCCTCTGTCCTCCTAAGGATTTTTGGCTTCACATTGATGCTGATGAGAAGCTCCAGTTGGCTTTTAAGGAGATATGTTTTGGCAGAATCACCTTGCTGCAGTGTGGATGATAGACTGAAAAAAAAATAGATTTAGTAATATGCATTTTTAAAGACACATGACGATATTTTAGGTTGAGGAGCACTTTAAATTAAGTTGAAGATGCAGTTAATGTAACTCAATAGGGTAAGAAGTATAGACATTCCATTCCTTTTGTAACAATTAATTTATTTCTGTATGATCTCTTCAATGTAGACCCCCTCCTTCCAAAATAGGACAAAGGTGAGGAAGTTCAAAATACTTTTGAGAACTTTTTTTTTTTTTTTTTGAGATAGAGTCTCACTCTGTTGCCCAGGCTGGAGTGCAGTGGTGCGGTCTTGGCTCACTGCAACCTCCACCTCCCAGGTTCTAGCGATTCTCCTGCCTCAGCCTCCCAAGTAGCTGGGATTACAGGTGCTGCCACCATGCCTGGCTAATTTCTGTATTTTTAGTAGAGATGGGGTTTCACCATGTTGACCAGGCTGGTCTCAAACTCCTGACTGCAAGTGATTTGCCCACCTTGGCCTCCCAAAGTGCTGGTATACAGCCATGAGCCACCATGCCTGGCCTATTTTTGAGAATTTCTGAAGCACTTTAGAATTACAATACCAGCATTTCTTTTTTTCTTTTTTCTTTTTTTTTTTTGTTTTTTGTTTTTTAGATAGGGCATCCTCTCGAGCCAGAGTAGGCTCAGAGACTCCAGCACTAGCATTTCTAATATCAAATCAAAACATTCATGTCTATTAGTTAAATATAGATACTTAAAAGCCAACCCCAGGCCTGCTGCTGCTCAGTTTCCTTTTAAGCCTTTACATTCTATGTATTTGTTAAGATCTATAATTCAGATCTTTTATTAATTTAGGCGAACCCTTCCCCTAAATCAGTTGCATGAGACCAGCAGTCCATCTTTGCATTAATTGGCTCCTTCCAACATATTTGCTTTAGAAAATTAAAAGCATGGCATGTGATCAAATTTTTCACTCTCCATGGTAAAGTATCAGACAGATACAATTCAAACAGAGCCCCAGGCAGCCACCGAAAGGTCTTGAATGACAGCTTGTCAATTTCTGTCACTCGGGAGCAGCTTGAAAAGCTGAGCGCGCTCACATTTAGAACATGCTGCCATTTAGGCAAAATGGTTTAACATTGAATCAAGGACATTATGAGCCAGAATTTTAAATCTGCTTGTAAAAAACAAAAATTAAGAGAGGGAAGGGGTTCAACCTTTGTGTTCTCTCATTTGTCTAATTATATATACTATGGCAAGCACAAAGCGCCACAGTTCCGTAAGCATTAGAAAGCATTTACTAAGCTTATTTGGCAACATGGTCTCTAAGCTGCTTGATGTCTAAATTTTAAACCAACGTGACCTGTAAGGCCCAGATTCTTTCTCTACAAACTTGCATTGTTGTTTTCTTACACATACAGCCAAGGCATTTTTTTTAATCCATAAATGAGCAGGAAAAATGAGCACTGGAAAGCCGTGAGAATATTGAAAGAATGGTACAGCTTTCTAAATGACTCCTCTAACAACCCGGACGAGAAGCAGGCTGAGGTTTCCACCTCCTTCAGTAAACCCTAAAGCCAATTCACCGGCTTGAGGGGCCACTCAGATGGCCTTCTATAAGCTTTGGGTTTCTGCTCACCCCATCACTTTCTCAGACCTACTGCGTCTTCTTGTTTCCTTTTTCTGGCATGTAGCAGGTGCATTGGAAGTATTTACTGATATTCCCAATTCTCCAGCTATTCAACCAGAGGAAGGCTGAATTGCCTAGGCCTCCCTGTGGCCAGTGGTGCTCAAACCTGAGCATGCATCAGAAGCACCTGAAGGCTGGTTAAAATGCAAGCTGCAGGGCACCACTCCAGAATTTCTGATTCAATAGGTCTGGGGTAAGGCCTGATCATCTGCATTTCTTACCAGTGTCAGGTGGTGCTGAGGCTGCTGGAACCTCCTCTGGGTTCCAGCAGGAGAGAAGAAGGCTGGTAAGCAGAGCTCAGTGTGGATTTTAGCAGCTGGGATCATGGAGTGTGATAAAGACAGTTTGCTCCTCTGCTTGTCACTGGCTCCTTCTCCACCAACTCCAGGGTCCAGCACAGACTCTCGCAGAGTGGAAATGAAGGACACAGGAACCACCGAGGAGGACAGACTTGCCATCTCAGGCCCTCCTTTCCCCTCCGCCTCAGTTACCATCGGTCCTGGGTATAGGCGCAGCATGTAGGGTACAGGGACATAATGTGGTGACAAAGGTGCTGTCCCCTTGCCAAGCCAGCTGCCATCTCACTCAGCCAGGAGCATTGTCTTTTCCCGTCACACAAAAATGCCCCCAGGAGTCAGGGCGCCCTGATAACTCCACCCTGAATTGTTGGGTGGTCTCAGGGAGGGTCCACCCCTCAGTCCTGCTCTGCCAGAGGAGGCAACAGAGGTCCCTAGTATCCATTGAAATCATCTGTGAAGCTTTTAAAAAATGCAGAGACCCAGGGATTTGAAAAAAAAAAAAAACCTTGATTGTAGATCATAGTATTGAATCAATGTTGATTTTCCAATTTTGATCATGTTACTGTGGTATGAGAAAATTTTTTTTAAGAAAAACACACTGAAATATTTAGAAATAAAGGACGTGCAACTTAAAGCCTCCAACTTAAATGTTTTAAATGTTTCACATGCTTTAAATGTTTCCAAGAACTTGAATGATGTAGCGAGGGTGGTAAGCATTCGGGAAATCTGAGATAAGGGTCAATGAGAGTTTTGGGGGTTTTGGGATTTTTTGTTGTTTTTTTGTTGTTGTTGTTGTTTTACTATTTTTCAACTTTTCTCTAAACCTAAAATTATTTCAAAATAAAAAACTTTTTTTTTTGAGATGGGGTCTCATTCTGTTGTCCAGGCTGGTGTGCAGTGGTATGACCACAGCTTATTGTGGCCTCAACATCCTCGGGCTAAGGTGATCCTCCTACCTCAGCCACCTGAGTAGCTGGGACTACAGCTACAGACCACGCCCAGCTATTTTTTATGTTTTTTGTAGAGACCAGGTTTTGCCATGTTGCCAGGCTGGTATCGAACTCCGAGCTCAAGCAATCTACCTGCAAAAGTGCTAGGATTACAGGCATAATCCTAGCCCAGGCCCCCCAGCCTTTTTTTTTTTTTCTGAGACAGGGTCTCACTTTGTCACCCAGGCTGGAATCCAGTGGCATGATCATGGCTCACTGCAGCCTCATACTCCTCGGCTCAGGTGATCCTCCCACCTCAGCCTCCCAAGTAGCTGGGACCACAGGTGTGCAGCACCACGCCTGGCTAATTTACTTTTTTTTTTTTTTTTTGGAGATGGGGTCTTACTATGTTGCCCAGGCAGGTCTTGAAGTCCTGGGCTCAAGTGATCCTCCTGCCTCGGCCTCCCAAAGTGTTGGGATTACAGGTGTGAACCACTTCTCCCAGCCAAACACTTTTTTAAAAGGAAAAAAAAAGCCGGGCGCCATGGCTCACGCCTGTCATCCCACCACTTTGGGAAGCCAAGGTGGACAGATCACGAGCTCAGGAGATCGAGACCATCATGGCTAACATGGTGGAATCCTGGCTCTACTAAAAATACAAAAATTAGCTGGGCATGGTGGTGCGTGCCTGTAATCCCAGTTACTCGGGAGGCTGAGGCAGGAGAATAGCCCGAACCAGGGAGTCAGAGGTTGCAGTGAGCCAAGATCACGCCACTGCACTCCAGCTTGGTGACAGAGCAAGACTCTGTCTCAAAAAAATAAAAAATAAAAGGAAAAAAAAAACTATTCCAGACCAACTGAATTAAAAACTCTAAGAGCACAAATAAACACATGAGAAGATGCTTGGCATCTCTAGTCATCAGCAAATCAACAAATCAAAACCACATTGAGATACTACTTCATAGGCACTAAGGTAGCCAGAATCAAAAAGTCAGATGATAACAAGTATCAGCAAGGATGTGGAGAAATCAGAATCCTCATGCACTGCTAGTGGGATTGTAAAATGGTATAGCTGCTTTGGAAAACAGTCTGGCAGTTCTTCAAACAGAGTGAATATATGATCCAGCATTTCCATTCCTAGGTAGCTACCCAAGAGAAAGGAAAACATGTGTCCATACAGAAACTGGAACACACATGTTCATAGCAGCACTATTCATAACAGCCCAAAGGTAGAAACAACCCAAATGTCCATCAACTGATAACAGATAAATTATGGCATATCCATAAAATGAAATACTATTCAGCCATAAAAAAGAATAAAATACCCACTACAACATGGTGAACCCTGAAAGCATGGGGCTAAATGAAAGAAGCCAGATACAAAAGACAACATATTATATGATTTCATTCATAAGAAATGTGTATAACAGGAAAATCTACAGATACAGAAAATAGATTTGTGCTTGCTTAGGGCTAGAAGAGTGGGGAGAGGCTGGGAACAGTGGCTCATGCCTGTAATCACAGCACTTTGGGAGGATGAAGCAGGAGGATTGCTTGAGGCCAGGACTTTGAGACCAGCCTAGGCAACATAGCAAAAACCCATCCCTACAAAAAATAAATAAATAAAAAATAAAATAAAATAAAATAAAATTAGTTTTTTTTTTTTTTTTTAGTTTAGTGTGACTGTGCACACTTGTATTCCCAGCTACTCGGGGGGCTGAGGTGGGAGGATTGCTTGAGCCCAGGACTTTAAGGCTGAAGCCATGATCGTGCCACTGCACCAGACTGGGTGACAGAGTGAGACTCAGTCTCTTAAAATTTTTTAAAATAGTTGGCCAGGTGCGGTGGCTCACACCTGTAATCCCAGCACTTTGGGAGGCCGAGGCGGGCAGATCACTTGAGGTCAGGAGTTCCAGATCAGCCTGGCCAACATGGTGGAACCCTGTCTCTACTAAAAATACAAAAATTAGCAGGGCATGGTGGCGCGTGCCTGTAATTCCAGAGGCTGAGGCAAAAGAATTGCTTAAACCCACGAGGCAGAGGTTGCAGTGAGCCGAGATTGCGCCACTGAACTCCAGCCTGGGTGACAGAGCCAGATTCCATCTCAACAAAAAAAAAGAAAAAAAAAAAATTTAATAGAAAATAAAAAGAATAGCTGAAGAGTATGGGGTTTCTTTTTGAGATAAGGAAAATGTTTTAAAATTGACTGTGTTGGCTGGACTCGGTAGCTCAAGCCTGTAATCCCAGCACTTTGGGAGGCCAAACCAGGCAGATCACTTGAGGTCAGGAGTTCGAGACCAGCCTGGCCAACATGGTGACACCCCATCTCTACCAAAAATACAAAAATTAGCCGGGCGTGGTGGCACACACCTGTAATCCAAGCTACTCGAGAGGCTGAGGCAGGAGAATCACTTGAACCAGGGAGGCAGAGGTTGCAGTGAGCCAAAATCACACCATTGCACTCCAGCCTGGGCGACTCCATCTCAAAGAAAAAAAAAAAATTGACTGTGCTGTTGATGGTTGTCCATATCCATGAATATACTAAAAACCACTGAAATGTATACTTTAAATGGGTAGATTGTATTTTATTTGAATTGTATCGCAATAAAGCTATTTTTAAAAACTCAGGGGGAGGGGGCAGGGACTGAGCATCCCTAGCGTCTCTAATTTGAAGAGCTCCCAGGGACTCCAATGAGCAGCAGGGCTGAGAACCACACACAGGTAATTTCTGTGTACTGACACTATCTGGATCCACGTTTAAGCCACCCAGTTGGTCTAGAGCCAGAGTAATGTCCTTAGAGATGTGAAATTCAGCAGCACCAGGTATTTTATTTGTCTAACTCATAACCCTTATTTAATCAGCCAGTCTGTGTCGGGTGGGCCACCACATTGTCTTCCTCAGTCAGGTTGGGAGTTGCCTGGCACAGGAGCCTGCCTTGCCCACTATGCCCAGACAGCGCCCGCCACGTAGCAGGCGCTAGTCTCATGTTGCTTGTATTAAACAGATGCTTGCAGCAGAAGGTATAGCACTGAAGTAATGCATTTTTATCTTAACTTTCATTTACTTTCTTCCCGTAGAATTGATTCCATTCTTGATGTGACTTTCAGCTGTCAGCTGTCTGCACTCCCAGACGGGGTGATGGCCTGGCACCAACGGAGCATTACCCTGATGAATCATGGTCGAGGTACTTTTCCACTGGGCCAGCCGCCACAGCCCCTTCTCCATCCTTCGGAGAGCTCTGTCACCTCGCCTTGTAGCACTTGTGTCTCTCCCACTGGCCTCCACTTCTTGTGGGCACTTTCTGGATGCCCAGGCCTAATCCAGCGCTGGCACTCAGTTAATTCTCTCTTCCTTTAAAGGGAACAATTACCACCTTGAGGAAGGAGGCCTGAAAGCTAAGTCTTTGCTATTGCATCCGCCTTCTTCTCACGAAGACCTGCAGCTTGAAAGGAGGGGAGGGAGAAATAGCCCTAAGCTCCAGGAAGACCAAGCCCAGCCTCTGTGATGATTCCGAGGAAATTCAGGAAATCCTTGCTAATGGCCAAACTTCCCGGGTTTGAGATGCAAAAGGAAATCAGATCGCAGGGTAATGCTTTTACACTAAGCAAGAAATTGCAGGATATAAAGCTGTGCAGACCATTGCCTCTGATTAAGAAAGCGATTCTGAGATTCCAGCCTGGAAGGAACCGGGCCCCAGTGTTAACTGTGGTTAATTCTGGGTGGAGGGGTGATGGGTGATAATTTCTCCTTTTTCTTTTCTGTACTAACCATTAATACTGGGGGGATGGGCAGTTAAAAATCAAAGGAAGAAAACATAAAGAAAGCCAAATCCTTTTCCATCTGTAGCCATTCAAGCTACTGCCTGGACACGCTCTCCTTGAAGCTGGGGCTCCTCTCTCAGCCCCACCTAACATGGCCCACCTCCTTCCTGGGGTCACTCCGTGTTCCTCAAGCACTTCAAACTCATCCTCTCCTGCCTCTGAGCTGAGCATATGGGCCTCTCCCCTTCCTTTAAAAGCTCCATCCGTGACTGCCTTCTGGGGGTCAGCCACATAGCTGAGTGAGGACCACATGCTTCACACCAAATGATACAAGAAGCTTGTTCCAAATCTATGTGGGTTTTTTGACATTTTAGAGAGCAGATGCTTTCCCATGCTTTCTAATTCCCTATTACATCTATACATCTCTTTTAAAAGATCCTGCAAGTCCTTTTAGTGTCTGGACACAGGTTATTCCCTCCCTTTCTTTTTTCCCAATTTCACCTGCCCCAGTCCTCCTGGTCAGTGCTTCTGTTTCCTGCACAAGGAAACAGCCTTGCAAACATGGTGAACCCTGAAAGCATGCTGGAAATGAAAGAAGCCAGGTACAAAAGACAACATACTATATGATTTCATTCACAAGAAATGTGTGTAACAGAAAAATTTACAGAGACAGAAAATAAATTCCTAGTTGCTTAGGGCTGGGAGAGTGGGGTGAGGCCTCTCTACAGAGATGGCAATGCCCAGGATTCAATCTGAAGATGTTGTTTAGATATCACAGCATAGTCGGACAATAGTGAGGACAGTCTGGCATTGGCGTACAGATGAACAAATAGATTTGTGCAATAGAAGAAGCCAAACCAGATTCCAGCCTACCTCCAGTCACCTGATTTAACAAAGTCAAAGTCACAAATCAATAGGGAGAGGATGGTCTTTTCAGTAAATGATACCGTATCAATTGACTCGTCATATACAGAACAAAATGAACTTTGGTCCCATACACACACAAGTCATAAAAGTTCACTCAAAGTGAATGATAGACCTACATTTGAAAACAAAAGCAATGCAGGATCCAGGAGAAAGGGTCCAGGCAGGAGAATATTTTTATGACCTTGGACTAAGCAAGAGATTCATAAACAGGACACAAAACCACTAACCACCAAAAAAAAGGACTGATAAACATGACAATTAAAATGAAGAATTTATGTTTATCAAAAACAAAAAGGGGAACCATCGACTGGGAGAACATAGTTACAACACTTGTATCCAACTGAGAATTTATATTCAGGTTAGAAGACTCAAAAACAAAAAGGCAAGCAATCCACTAAGAACAAATTCTGGGCAGAAGACTTCACAAAAGATCTGCAAATGACCAATGACATCAGGTAAACATGGATTGAAACAACAAGAAGACACACCCACAAGATCCGTGACAATTTTGAAAATGAAACCCTGAGGCAGGCAGAATTCTAAGGTCATGTCCCAGATTCCCCCTCTTGGTGTCCGAGCCCTGCACAGTCCACTTGAGTAGGGGCCAGACCTGTGGATATGATGGATGTCTCTTCTGTGATCAGGTTACATCATATGCCAAAGATGGAGGGATTTTGTGATTAAGTCTCTAATCAGTTTACCTTCAAGTTCATCAAAAGCGAGAGTGGCCTAGGTTGGCCTGGCTTACTCAGGTGAGGCCTTTAAAAGAGAGCTCAAGCCTGCCCTGAGCTTGGAGAGATTTTCCTGCTAGCCTTGAAGAAACAAACAGCTGTGAGTTCTGCAGCTTCACAGAAATGAATTTGGCCGACAATCATGTGAGCTCCATTAGAAATGCACCCTAAGCTCTCTCAACCTCTCCCATCCCCCACAGCACCTATTTACTGATTATCTGTACATGATAGCAGGGCAGGAACTAGACTCTCAGCCCCCTGAGGACAGACCTTGTCTGTCAGTGCATTTCACTGTCTGTCCCAGCACCTTGCACAGAGCCTGGCACATATCAAGAACACGGCACATTTTTATTGAGACAGACTCCTCAAAGCTGGAATCTAAAACCAATGGCACCTAATCTCAGCCAAAAAGGTTAATGTGACACCTGTGCTTTTATTACCCATTTCTGCAGATGGAAGGGTTGGTTGTTTGTGGCTATCTCAAGTGAAATGCAGAATTAGTGAATAAAATTTTCATCTGAATTTAAAGAAAATCTTAATAAGATTTTGTTATTGCAATTTTGTTGGTACCACTATGGAGTAACTTACATTATTCAAATCATCATTGCCTTCCCTATAGAAGAATTATATTAGGTTAAGCCAAATACAGTTGAGATATTCAATCACTTTTGACTTCATAAAATGCCAATCTCATATGGTTCAACCTAATTCTTCCCTGCCCCTTTGATGTCCAACTTGATCATGCTATTTTCTCTGGCCAATAAAATGTGATCTTTAGTGGCACGTGTCACTTCTTAACAAAGTCTTAGTGATTGCATGTTGGCCAGCATGCCTTTTCTCTCTGCCATGACCACCAGAAATTTTCCAGATAGAGGTTTTTCAACTTGCTTGGGTCTCAGAGTGAAATGACAAAGAGCAGAGCCATAGCCAATCCATCTGGACATACAGCACAACTGAGCAATACACCTGCGTGGTTATAAGCCTCTGAGATTTTCATTACTGTGGCATAACCCAGCATGTTGTATCAATACATTCTCTTTTACTTTGCCTTGCAATAGAGGTACATTGTGTGTGTCTGCCTCACTTATATCCCAGAGTCCAGCAAAATTTCTTGTCCATAAGAAGCCCTTGAAAAATATTGATTGAATTTAATTAAGTGCTTTTTTTCTGCTTGGAAAAGAACTGGCTGAACACAACCAAAGACATTTTGTGGCATTTATTAATGCCTGTTCTACTTTTAAGCCTAAGGACAAGAACCACCCGTGAGCCAAGCTGTATTATGTCAGCAAAACTCCCAGAACAATTAAGCCTCCTTTAAAGCTGGCAGGGAGCTGTTTCCAGAATCAGCATGAAATCCAGTACTCAGCATGCCTCTGCTAGCTCCTCCTCTGGGGGCCCTCCTGTCACTCTGAGCAAGGCAGTAGGAAGTGGGAGGTGAGTTAGGACCAGATCATGTTAGGCCTTCACAGACCAGGAGATATAAAGCAGTGATAACCTATCAGTGGAAACTGTCAGAGGTTTTCATGCAGGGGAGTGACCACCTGATATTTTAAATGTTGTGACAGCTTACTGGCTAGAGAATAGATTAGAGAGAGACAGGAGTAGAAACAGGGATGGAATAGAAATTTTCTCAGAAATCATGAATTACCAATTTTGACAAAAGAAAAAGTCTTAAGTAAACCAGTATCTATGGTGAAAAAGAAATATTTGTAAAAACAAACAAACAAAAATCACCTCTGGAAAAATTCTTGAGGCTAAATAGTTTCATGGTTGAATTCTTTGAAACTTCACATAAACAGATTTTACATTCTTTCAACTGATATTGACCATGGGGAAAAAATGAAAAACTTCCCAATTCATTTGTAAAGCAAGCACATCGCAATACTAAAACTTGTCAAAAATTGGGAAGAAGGTAAAAGGATCATTTATTGCAGATGATACCATTGTATTACTGAAAACACAAGAGAATCAACTAAAAAAAAATGAATAATATGGTGACCAGTATAAAAAGTTAATTTATACAAGCATTAGTTTCCCTATAGACCAGCAATAAATAGCTAAAAAGTAATAGAAAAAAATTATATAGAACCAAAAATATAACTAGAAAAATTAATTATAATGAAAATATAAATAAATATTAACATTTTAAAAAATTAAACAGAACTACCTAGGAATTTACTAAACAAGAAAAATACAGGAGTTATATGAATACAATTACTGAAGGATTTAAATAAAGACTTGGCTAAATGGAATGACATACCGTAATATTCCTAGATGGGAAAAACATTATGTAACTGGAATTTTCCAACTCCTTCATCTGTAGATACAGAAATCTCACCAGCTCACAGGCCCCTCCTACATGACAGCAGGACCTTGGCCCTACCTTACAGTTTCCTGGGTTATTTCTGACAGTCCCCAGAGTATTCCACATCACACAAGTGCAGGAATCCTCTGCCCTTCCTTTGCAGTGATTCAAGTCAGCTGTTGGCATACCCTCTAGGGGCAAGCTCACAGTGCCTCCAGTGCCAGTGGTTCATGGGAGAGGGGAGGGCCTCCTCCCCAGGGTACTGCTGGACTCCCTCCTCCCATGTCCCCAATTCAGAAAACACTTGAAGTGGTGGTGTGCTGGCAGTTCTCTAGGAAAAAAAAAAAAGTTTATTATAAATTTTACTGACATAAGGGATATGTAGCATATGATTCACAAATCATAATAAATAGTCTCTAAAGCCAGTGTGTGCCATGATTTTCTACAGCCTGCCATAGAAAAATGGTTTTTATATTTTTGAATGACTGAAAAAAATCAAAAGAATAGTATTGCATGACACATGAAAATTATATGAAGTTTAAACTTCAGTATCCACAAATAAAGTTAGTACAAAAACCCAGGCTCACTCATGCATTTAGGTATTTTCTATGCTTTTGCTCTGTAAGAGCAGAATTAGTCATTGTGACAGAGACTGTGTGGCCTACAAAGCCTGAAACGCTGTCTGGCCCTTTACATAAAAATTTGCCATCCCCTCCTCTAGACAATCAGGAAAACAATCAATCAAGTCCTAATTTGTAGCATTTGCCAACTTTCATGGTGTAAATACTCCCACTGTGCCAGTGTCAAGTCTGCCATCACTGAATGTGGAATTAGGAAGGATGTACAGTAGCATATCATTACCTAGTATTTCCACCATATAGACAACAACAGATGTAAATAAGCATAGATTGTAGTAAGGTGTAGTGAAATGACTAACAAATGATGAATTTTGAATATTCATTACCTTTGTTCCTCACATAACTCATTTAATTGTAAGTTTATACGTTTAATTTTTAATAATGGTTCTGTTTAACAACCAGCTTGGAAAATTCTTGGAAATTTAACAGTTGGGTCTCAGGAGCCAGCCCCTGCACAGCACTGATTTGGAGTGACCAATGGCATGTCAGGGGTGGCAGCCCTTGTGGCTCTTGTCTGTACCAGGTGCCACAGAAATGGGGACAGTGCTCTTCTCTGTGCCCCATTCTGCCACCATTGTCCTGAAGAACAGGACTTCTTGTCTTCCCTATCTTCAAAATGCAGATTTTATTCACAGCCTTCTCTATCTTCAGAGCACCAATCCAATCTTCCTCTCCTTCCTTGTACACAGCCTCCTCAAGGCAAATCTCCTTCCTCCAAAGACAAACAGTTACCTGGAAAATCCGTAGGTGGGAGAATCATCTGTCCACAGTCACCAAACACAGCTAGTGCCACAGTCTGACTGTTGGTGTCCTCCCAAAATGCATATGGAACCTGATGCCCAATGTGATAGCGTTTGGGAAGGGGGGTACCTTTTGGGGAGTTATTGTCGTGAGGGCTCTACCTTCATAAATGCGATTACTGCCCATATAAAAGAGGCTCAAGCGAGCTCCTTCACCCCTTCTGCCATGTGAGGACACAGCAACAATGAGCCGTCTATGAAGCAGAGAGCAACCCTCACCAGACACCAAGTCTGCTGACACCTTGATCTTGGACTTCTCAGCCTCCAGAAATGTAAGAAATAGATTTCTGTTGTTTATAAATCACCCAGTCTATGGTATTTTTGTACAGCACCCCAAATGGACTAAGACAGCTAGACTCTGAGTTTCATCTCAGGTTTACAGGAACAAGCATCCTGACAATATTAAAAACTTAATGTAATTCCAAGTTTTTAAAAGTAGAATTTTTTGGAACTTCAAAATAAGCAGTTGGAAGTTCAAGAATACTGAGAATAGAAAAACATTTCTATCAGATATTAAAATATGTTATAAATAATAATTACTAATATATAATACTATAGAGAAATATTCACATTAGTGCTATAAAAAGTTGAGAAATGGACTCCTGTGTAAGTAATCAGTGCCTGATATAAGTAATATTCCAAATCAATGGGAGAAATAGATTTTAAAAACAAATAGCATAGAGAAAACTGGCTGAATTTCAGGTATGAGGTAGAAAAGTATATTAGATCTCTATGCTATTTGCCAAAATTATTCCACATGTATTTAACTTTTAGAAGTAAAAAATTAAAATACATGTATTGAAAGGTATTATAAGTATATATATAAAACCTTTGTGTGGTAAATTATTAAGTGTGACAACAAAGGCTAAATCCAAAAAGAAATTTAAAATAACCATATTTAAAATAAGAGACAAATGATGAACGAGAATATTTCAATACAGGACAAAGATAAGTAAATACAGAAAAAAGATTAATAGTTTATATATAAAGGATTCTTAGAAATAAATAAGAAAACTTCAAACAGCAATGAAAAGCTTGTGATAAAAACAGGCAATTCACAAAAAGGATAAATAGAAATGTTAACATTTAAAAAAACCTTATAGTTTTCAAATAAATATAAAAATCATAATATATCATTTTTCTTTAATCAGATTGCCAAAAATTAAAAGTATGGACAAAACCCAGTACTGTCAAGGATGTGCGGAAATGGGCACTTTTTTTTTTTTTTGAGACGCAGTTTCGCTCTTGTTGCCCAGGCTGGAGTGCAATGGTATGATCTCGGCTCACTGCAACCTCCGCCTCCCGGGTTCAAGCGATTCTCCTGCCTCAGCCTCCCAAGTAGCTAGGATTACAGGAATGTGCCACCACATCCGGCCAATTTTGTATTTTTAGTAGAGATGGGGTTTCTCCATGTTGGTGAGACTGATCTCGAACTCCCAACCTCAGGTGATCTCTCCACCTCAGCCTCCCAAAGTGCTGGGATTACAGGCGTAAGCCACCATGCCCGGCCTGCACTGTTATGCACTACTGATGGGAGCATAAATTTGTACATCCTTCCTATGTCATTTGACCATGGTAGGAAGTGCATATACCTTTGAGAGCAACAAACCCATGCCTGGGAGTGTATTACTAGTGGAGAAAAGACATGGCCTGCAGTATTGTTAAAATAGTGAATGGCCGGGCGTGGTGGCTCACGCCTGTAATCCCAGCACTTTGGGAGGCCAAGGCGGGCAGATCATGAAGTCAGGAGATCCAGACCAACCTGGCTAACACGGTGAAACCCCGTCTCTACTGAAAAAAAAATACAAAAACTTAGCTGAGCGTGGTGGCAGGCACCGTAGTCCCAGGTACTCGGGAGGCTGAAGCAGGAGAATGGCATGAACCCGGGAGGTGGAGCTGGCAGTGAGCCAAGATGGCACCACTGCACTCCAGCCTGGGCGACGGAGCAAGACTCCGTCTCAAAAAAAAAAAAAAAAAAAAAGTGAAGAAGTAGAAACAATCAAAATGTCCAGTAAAGGAATGGTTAAAGTTTTTTTCTGTATAAATACACAAGGGAAGACCAAAGTTTAAGCCTTTATAAATAGTGGTGTCCATATATTTATTGATAAGTGAGGGTGTCTGTAACATACTGCTACATGGAAAACAGGCTACAAAACAACATGTATGGCATGGTCCCAAATATGTCAACTTGCCAATGTCTATGTGTAAATAAGCACAAAGAGCCATCCAGAACAAAGTCGAGTCATGAGAAGTCTGGTGATTTTTGCTTTTATTGTTTTGTGTGGGGTGTATATGACATTTGGCTTGTTTACAGAGGCTACAGATTTTTACACACACAAAAATAAAGCTATTTACGTACACATTTAGTAAAAGACTTGGAAGTATAATCACTGAAATGTCAACACAGGTCATTTCTTGGAGAAATTACAAATCATTTTTATTTTTTTTCTTTTTGCTTACATGGATGTTCTACAATAGGGTGTTCACTTTAAAATCAGAAAAAAAAACATTAAGGCTATTCTTTTTTTAAACAAAACAAAGATTCTTGTCTTGAGGAAGGCTTAGGCTCACAAAAGAAAAAAAAAGTAAAGACTCTAGTACAGTTAACAGCGATGGTGGCTCTGTGTCCACGGCAGCATAGAGAACAAAGAAAGGAATGGTCAGTATCAGCAGTGGAAGCCAGGGAGGCTCCGTGTCACATGGAAAAGTGAGTCATGGAAGGTAATGAGGAGCTCACGAAATGGACAGACAGGGAAGCTATGGGTGTTTGAGTCAGAAGGAAATCATCTCCACGGAATTACACTCGAAGGGTTGTCCTTGCTTCTAAGGGTGAATATGGAAGACCACCTAAAAATTTTTCTACAAAAACTGTGAAGGACATTGGTCCCCACGTTACTCAGTGTCCCCTGTAGCACAATCCACATCATAAAAGATTCCAAACATTTAATACCTGGACGGTTCTCTAGCTCTAAAAGGTGATATGGTTAGTTGCATCAAACAACAAAGGCTATTCTAGAACTCAACGTTTTCCTTTTCAGTTGCCAGAAAGCTCAGAGTTTAGTTGGTGTTTATATGTGGTAACCACCTTTCTTTGATTCCTGATGAAATTCTGTCTATATGGAAGACCATCAAATAAAAAAATATTTTTATTCCAACCTGTGTTTCATGTTCAGTTGGTCAGAGCCGGTTCATGCACGCAGCCTCTTTCAGTGGGTTCTTTATCTGAACCACAGAACACAGGCAGTGATTTAGGTAACTGTTTTCTCAGCTCTAAGGATACTATGTAACAAAGGCCATCCTGGTCGCATAGGAGAGAAGTTAATTCCTTACATGTAATGGATAATGGATATCTTAGGGCAGAGGATCTCAAACTTTTTTTTTTTTTGAGACAGGGTCTCACTCTGTTGCCCAGGCTGGAGTGCAGTGACACTCAGGGCTCACTGCAGCCTTGATCTCCCAGGCTCAAGCGATCCTCTCACCTCAGCACGCAATGCAAGTCGCTGGGACTACAGACACACACCACCATGCCTAATTCTTTTTGAATTTTAGTAGAGACGATGTCTCACTATGTTACCTAGGCTCATCTCGAACTCCTGAACTCAAGCAATCTTCTCGCCTCGGCTTCCCAAAGTGCTGCGATTATAGGTGTGAGCAACCATGCCCAGCCGATCTCAAACTTTAATGGATGTCAGAATCACCTGTAGGCCTTGTTAAAACAGATTGCCTGCCCTAATCCCAGAAAATCTGATTCAGTAGGACTGGGATGGGAGCAATAATTTGCACTTCTAGCAAGTTCTCAGTAATGTTGACATTGTTGGTCTCAGGGACCACACTTTGAGAACCACTGCCTTAGGGGATTAGGATTTCTCTCACAGCAGACTTAAGAGGGGCCCATGAGGTAATTGTTAGCACCTAAAATTAAACGTAAAACCAAACATACATTAAGTATGAAAGGGGCCCAGGACCAGCTGCTGAAACCACTGCACTGGTGCAGTGCTTATACAGTGGCCATTACTACTAGAATTCGTTTGCATTTTGCTTGTCTTATTTATGTCCCCTTTGGGCCAATCTAATCAACAAAGAGCTGGATTTGGACTGTTTTCATTTTCTAATCTCTTCCAAATTTTGAAGTCTTTGGCTTTTAAAAGGGACTACAGTGAAAGGAGAAAAGCTATTTACTAGGCCAAAGTTTAAGAGCAAAGCTTAAAGTGAATTCTGTTCCAATGAACTGTACTGAACGTTGGCATGGGAAGGGAGAAGGGAATCCAGTGTTTTGGGGTCACCAAGGCTTGTGTGATGGGAAAGATGAGAAAGCAATTCCAACACTTCAAGGAGAAAGTGGCATTTTGGTGAGAATTGAAGGTGTGGAATTAACAGGCAACAATTATTAGGAAAGTGGCGTTCCAGGCAGAAGAAACAGCACAAATAATAGCAGGAAGGTGGGAAACAGGGAGATGGAAAGGTTCAGTTGAACTGGAGTGCCAGATATACACAGAAGCACTGTGTGAGAAGGTGGACATGGAAGGGCAATGAACGTAGGATAAGTTCAAATGCTATTCACTAGGACAGTGTTTCTCAAATGGGGAACCTAGACATGTTCTCCAGGAACCACATGTTCTTTACAAGAAATTATACTTTTTACATTGAATTTTGATAATTTTTTAAAGACTCCTAAATTTAATTTGGATGGCCTCCTGTTACCTGAGTACTACCACTTTAATCTGGTGGTATGTTTGTGATCACATTGCTTCCAGGTAAAAATCAGAAGATAGCACAACTTGTCATATAAGCAATCTTCACAGCATTGGATATTTTGAGTTGAAGAACAAAGTGGGATCTGCAGTAATGCATTTCTCCTTAAATAAGTTCTGTATATTGTGCTCAGCTCCATGCAAATACATTTAAAAACTTAGATAAAATGTATAATTTTCTATGGATATAATTGATCAAAACTGACCCCAGAAAAGATAGAAAGCCTAAGCATATCAATTCTCATAGAGGAAATGAGGAGGTTGTCAATGGCACACCCTCAAAAGAGCACCAGGTTGAGAGGATTTCCTAGCGGAAGTCCACTAACTCTTTAAGGAGTATAGAATACCAACTTTTTTTTTTTGAGATGGAGTTTCACTCTTGTCACCCAGGCTGGAGTGTAGTGGCACCATCTCAGCTTACTGCAACCTCTGCCTCCCGGGTTCAAGCAATTCTCCTGCCTCAGCCTCCCACGTAGCTGGGATTACAGGCACCTGCCACCATGCCTGGCTAATTTTTTGTATTTTTAGTAGAGACAGGGTTTCGCCATGTTGAGCAGGCTAGTCTCGAACTCCTGACCTCAGGTGATCCAGCCTGAGAAATGCCTTGGCCTCCCAAAATGCTAGGATTACAGGCGTGAGCCACTGTGCCCAGCCTAGAATACCAATTCTTTTGAAGCTGTTCTGTAACAGCTTAAAATTTAAAAAAAAAAAAAAACCTTTCAAGTATTTTCTATGAAGCTAGTAAAACACCACAAAACCTACAAAGACTAGAGCTACACAAAAGAAAAATGCAGACCAGTATCATTTATATTTATGCAAAAATCCCTAATAGCAAACAAAATCTAGCAGATTTTTAAAATAACATATCTTGACCAAATGGGATTTATTCCAGAAATGTAATGATGGTTAAATATTGAGAACTGGATTAACAGCTTTCACCAAATTAAAGAGGGATAAAAATATTATTTCCAGACATATTGAAGATATTTAACAAAATTCAATCACCATTCTTAAGAAAAAAACTCAACAAAATATGAATAGTTGGATACTTCTTTAACCTGATAAAATATTTCTCAGCCCAAAAGCCAGCAGCATGGGGAACCACTAGAGCAAGCTTGTCCAACCCACAGCCCACGGGCCGCATGTGGCCCAGGACGGCTTTGAATGCGGCCCAACACAGATTTGTAAACTTTCTTAAAAACATTATGAGATTTTTTTGCGATTTTTTTTTTTTTAGCTCATCAGCTATCATTAATGTTAGTGTATTTCATGTATGACCCAAGACAATTCTTCTTCTTCCACTGGGGCCCAGGGAAGCCAAAAGATTGGACATGCCTGCACTAGAGGCTTTTCCACTGAAGTCAGGAGCGTGACAAAAATGACTACAGTTATCAGTTATTGAACACTGTCATTCATGCACACAGAGCTCAGTGGGTTTTCAGTGCTGCTCAGAATATCCTAAATGTCCCTAGTCCATTCCTTCTCCCCAATCCTAGACATCTATTCTCTCATGCCTTTCACACCTTTCCCCACCTTACTTGCAGTTGCGAATTTTGTTTCCTAGTTTACTGAGACTAAGGCAGAGACTTTCAGAGACTTACCCCTCCACGTCTACCCACTTAACCAGTGGCTGCACCACATACTGTGCCTTCCTACCCCAGATAAACACCTGTGCATTTGAAGAAGTCAAGCCAACTTGTGCCCTAGCTTCCATCTCATCTCACCTCCTCAAGGACTTGTTCCAACAATTCTGTACTCTTCTACATCATCAATCTTTCTTTTCCTACTGGGTCATTTCATCAACAAATAAGCCACCATCTTTTGTTATTGTTTTCTGTTTGTTTTTTGAGACAGTGACTCACTCTATCACCCAGGCTAGAGTGCAGTGGCACAATCACAGCTCACTGTGGCCTCAACCTCCCCAGGCTCAGGTGATCCTCCCGCCTCAGCCTCCCAAGTAGCTGGGACTACAGATGCACGCCACCACACCCTGCTAATTTTTGTATTTTTTGTAGAAATGGGATTTTGCCATGTTGCCCAGGATGGTCTTGAACTCCTAGATTCAAGCTATTCTCCCACCTAGACCTCCAAAACTGGGATTACAGGCGTGAACCACCGTGTCTGGCCAAGCCACTGTCTTAAGAAGAAAAGACTACTTTTGCTACTAGCAACCGTCACCTTTCTCCAGTCCTCTTGCAGCAAAATGCCTCAAAAAGAGTTCTATTTGTCCCCACCACTCCATCAGAACAGGCCCTGGCAAGATCACCAATGACATCTGTACTGTCCACGTTGCCAAACACAAAGGGCATTTCTCAGGCTGCCTCTTAACTTGACCTGCGAGCAGAATTTGAAACATCCGATCTCCTCCTCACTTCATTTTCTTCACTTGGCTTCTAAGACACAACGTACTCTTGATATCCTGTTGATGTGGTGGTCACACCTTCTCATTCATCATGGCTACTTCCTCCTCTTCTTCCAAAGCTCTTAATATTGGAGCGCCCCAGGGCTCATTCCATGGTTCTCTTTTCTTCTTTCATCTTCATTCTCTCTAAAGATGATCTCATCCAGTTTCAAAGCCTTCAATAGCACCGAATACTTTGAAGACTCCCACATTTTTATTTCCAATAATGATTTCTCTCAATTCCAAATTTGCATATCCAACTGCCTGCCTGCCATTTCTACTTGGATGTCTGACATGTCAACCCTAACACTCAATACTGCAACCAATACTGCAATCATGATCTTTTCCATCAAACCTGCTCTACCTGCAATCTTTGCTACCTCAGTTCATGGCTTCTAGTTGTTCGGGCTGAAAACCTTGTCATTACCCTTAATTCTTCACTTCCTTTCACTTGCCATATCTGATTCATCGGAAAATCTTCCACCTTCAAACTAGACAGGCAAAAAGCAAATGGGAAGAAAAAATGGCATGAGTGACAATACGAACCAAGACCGTGAGCATGACGTATGTAGAAGTCAAAAAGAAACAGACGCCATTGGGACCAAAGGCCCTATTTGGAAATAATAATAAATGTTTCCACAGGGAATAGGTTACATTCATAACATGAAGATAAGGTACCAAAGACAGGCAAAAAAAAAAAAAAAAAAAAGGCTGATGTAAGTTCCTGACCATGGAAAGTTCTCCACAGCCCCTCCTTTCCTCCCCACTAAAGAAAACGTGCATTAGAGGTATACATACCACAGTTCGGGAGGGAAAGAGGCAATGGAGCCTTAAGAGAACAATGTAAACTTTCTCCATCACTTAGGACCCCTGAATCAACATTTAGAAATTTATAAAGTCACATGGCTTTTACTTAGAAGTACCTTTTTCTCTCATGGGACCCCCCAAAGGCCCTCTCCATCACAACACTTATCTTACCCACACCATCACCCATGGGCCATCTCAGTCTCTGATGCGTAGTTTTCCATGCTAGATTTTATCACATATTACTTTATATTTTCTTTCGGCAGATTCCTCGTGGACATCTTTGTCGTCTTCTTAGGTCTCCTGTGTGCTGCATGTCGTACACTGAAGACACCAATTGACCCAACTCCATCAGGTCAAAGCTTCTCCACATGGAAAAAACCTGTTAGCCTATACCAAGTGATTATCTTTATAACCAGGCCCTATAGCTGTTTCCAAAGCAAGAATCCAGCATCTTAAAGCTATTTCAATCTGTTACTTACTATTTATTCTGGTAACCTTATTTATCAAATGTCAGGGCTTGAAATCTTTCAGGGAAGTTGTAATTTGATACGTACCTATGATTGATTCTCAAATGTTAAATTTAAAGGTATGTATAAATAATATGTCATTTGAAATAGTATGGTTCTAGAAATGTTGAAAACAGACTGAATTCAACTCATTTAGTAATCTGGAAGTACTATTTTAAAAGAGAAGTTTTCAAGACTTCTACTGAGACAGTAGAAGTAGTGTGTTAAGAGCCCAAACTTTGGTATCAGAAAGATACATTTCAAGCCTAATCTGACTCTGGACAAGTGGCTAAGTCTGCTTCCAAACCTGCAGAATAGGAGATGGATGTGACTATAAAAAGAACAACAAAGAGGGGCCTTTGTGATGATGGAACTGTTCTGCATCTTGACTGTATCAGTGTCAGTATCTTGGTTATAATATTGTATTAGTTTTTCAAGATGCTGTTGGGGGGAAACTGAGTAAAGGGTACACAATATCTTTTTCTTTTCTTTTTTTTTTTTTGAGATGGTGTCTCATTATTCTGCCCAGGCTGATCTCAAACCCCTAAGCTCAAGTGTTCCAATTGCCTCAGCTTCCTGAATAGCTGGGACTACAGGCGTGTGGGTCTACATTATTTCTTACAGAAACAGAAATTGACAGGTAGGACATAATTAAAAAACCAAAACTTCATTTTCTAAACCCAGGTAAGTTCTTGGAAATAATTAAAGCTCTTTCCAAATAGGACCAAATACTAAATATTCCCCATTTTGAAAGTTTGGAAAGTTTTATTTCTTACAACTATATGTGAACCTACAATCATCTCTAAATAAAAAATTTATAATTTGTAAATGTTAGTTTGAATTTTATATTAATTTCAAAACTATCCTAGGCAATCACATATCTTATCTAATTTTCTACGATGGAGGCAATAAACAGACTCCAAATTTCCAAATTTTAAATTTAGCAATGATATAACCAGAAGGTGGCGCTATTACCACATGAATATACCACAGTAAGGCACTATTAAATGTATCAAAAAATACAGATTTCATCAATCAAAACTGTAAATGCTAGCCTCAATTCAGCCATATTTTCAACATGTGTCTTACTTGAGGTTTAAAACATACAATTTAATCATTTAAAAAATAGATAACATACACAAATCCTATATGGACTAAACTTCTGAACACTGAGATCTGGTATTAAGCTGTCATATCTTTGCATTTTTGATACAAATATTTCTTGCCTCACCAACTGTTAACAGAACTTTTGATAAAGGTACAAGCACCACTTACAGAAAATTCCTGAACTGCAACTAGAAGTGAAAGAAAAGCTAAGAAAGGGATTTCCTTTTTGTTAAAGCAAAAATGTTTACAGCTTTCCCTTCTTATTTTGGGTTTAGGATAAAAACATTAAAAATACTTTTCCCAAATGTCCAACAATGATCGACTGGATTAAGAAAATGTGGCACATATACACCATGGAATACTATGCAGCCATAAAAAATGATGAGTTCATGTCCTTTGTAGGGACATGGATGAAATTGGAAATCATCATTCTCAGTAAACTATCGCAAGGACAAAAAACCAAACACCGCATGTTCTCACTCATAGATGGGAATTGAACAATGAGAACACATGGACACAGGAAGGGGAACATCACACTCTGGGGACTGTTGGGGGGTGGGGGGAGGGGGGAGGGATAGCATTAGGAGATATACCTAATGCTAAATGACGAGTTAATGGGTGCAGCACACCAGCATGGCACATGTATACATATGTAACTAACCTGCACATTGTGCACATGTACCCTAAAACTTAAATAATAAAAAAAATACTTTTCAAAGGAAAAAAAGTTGCATCAGTTAATAATAATAATTACCAAGACAGATGTAGCTTTTATCCAATTCCATTTTATATAATGTAGAAAATGAAGTTCCGAAACACACACACTTGCCTAAAGTCACATACGGCAGAACTAGAGTTGAAGACAGGCGCCAGGATGCCGGGTCTAAGACAGCCATTATATTCAGACCAATGAGACACTAGGCAAGAAGAAACTTTTATTACAAAAGGCAGTATTTTTCCTTGAACCATGTATTGTTAGCCTAATTCTACTAGTCAAATTAGTTTAGATCTTTTCAAAAATGGACAAAATGTGTCCAGGAATAAGCTTTAAATAAAAATTATGTATCCAGAAAACACAGCTACATATTTGGAGCAGCATCAACAAGACCATAGCAGCAGTGGACAAACACCATGGTAACAATCAGGTGTCCAAGACCCAATGGGAAAGAAAGGAACACCGGAACATCAGTCACTTTCAAGGAAGCAGGCTCCTGGACAAGTATGACTGAAATTGTTACCCAGGCTATTATCACCTCCCATGGCTGGCGTGAACAAGAAAACATGGCTTACACACGCAATGGCACTTTTGGTAAGAAAATAATATTTCAGAAAAATAGGTAGGACATACTAAAAAAATTAAAGCTTCATTTGCTAAACCTAGATAAGTTCTTGGAAATAATTAAAAGCCCTTCCTAAATAGAACCAAATACTAAATGCTCTCCTTTTTGAAAGTGCTGAACATGCTGCAATAAAGGGGTATCAAACATAAACATATCCATCGTCTAACAGAACTACAGAAAACCTAACAGGTGAAACGCAGACACAAACCTCAAGGTCCTTGCATTCTAGGACAATGTATTCCATCCATTTGTAGCAGCAGCATATTAGAACACACACAGGAAGTACGTGAGCTGCTGTTGCATGGCTAGACATTCACAAGTCACTTGATTCAACAGAGATCTGAAGGTCTAAGATGAAGAAAGCCATTTCACACAACAAATGGCCTTCAGAAAAAGACTGAGAAAAAAAAAAAGAACACTAAGCCTATGTGTTTTGGAGAGGAGGTGCGGAATGCCATAGGTTATTAGGAAGCAACCTGGTATATTTGGCTGGATTACTCTAGCTACACCCTGGGCACAGATCCTAATGATGCTCCCAAGTACAGTGAGAAGCCAACAGTTACAGCTTCGTTGCTAACGTGCCCCATGGGCCAGGCAAATCCTCCTCCTTTCTGGGGTCTCAATTTATCTCAGTTAGCATTGATGGTGGGGGCTTGGCCTAGCTGATCTTTAAGTCGTCATTCAGCTTTTCAGGAAAAGGCAACAGATGAAGATGTCTACTTTGATACCTACTCTGCACAATGACAGGAATAGGGTAGTCCAGGAGAGCCCCAACAGGACATGAATAGGTGAGCAGACATACTGGTTCAAAGTCATTCCCGGCTGAATTTCAGAGAACAAGGTATGAACATGCCAGGGAAAAGCAGCAGGATCTGACAATGGATTAGACACAACAAGCAAAAGAAGGTATCTCGAATCATTGAAGGCAAGTTGCTTTAAGGAAAGAATA
Source organism: Homo sapiens (assembly GCF_000001405.40). NCBI lineage: Eukaryota > Metazoa > Chordata > Mammalia > Primates > Hominidae > Homo > Homo sapiens. Next base: position 122,432,993 of record NC_000010.11, on the reverse strand, counting down.
TTCCAGAAATTCAAAAGTACAATTTATCTAACAAATAGGTATACACTTTTCTCTAATGTGGGAAGTTCACACATTCTACAGTAATGCCTTGTCCTCACTGGAGAAGTATTTAAGCTTTACCAAGTGCACCAAGCACTGCACTAGGCCCTGTATATGGTGTTCACCGCAACAGACGTGGAATATTTATCACCAATAGGGAACGTTTGCAAGGAGCAGCCTCTAACACCCGACATAGTTTTTTGAGTGCATCTCAACTGCCCACCCGGAGATTAAGATGCCCTCTGCTTTCCGCCTTACATCATGCCGTCTAAATAATCATGGAGCACTGTGAGCAGCCCAGATGATCCACACGATGCTCTGAGGCTAACATATGATAATTCTGCTTTTGAGAACATGTTTTTTAATTAAGAAAAATAAGCAAGTTCTTTCCCCTATCAAAAAAAAATCATTTTTCCTTCTATAATTTCACATGCAGGGATGCATTAAGAATTCACAGATCTGAAGTTTCTTATTCTTGCAAAGATGACCAAATAATTACTCTGTCCTTAAATATGTAAACTGAAGTCAATTAACCAAACACACCCCTAATCATTGTATTTACTTCATCACACAAGGGCTGAACCAAACAAAATGAGAAATAAGTCAGAATAAACTCTGTGCAGTTTATTCTCATTACAGTGTTCAACCAGTTTGACATATAAAGATAACACACTTTAACAGTAAATGTTGGGAGGCACACATATATTCCCATTCTGAAAGAAGACATGTTATATATACGGAAAAAAATGCAGCAAATATTAAGGTATTCAAAGTAATTTTTTTGAACTCAGATGTGACATATTTACAAGAAAAGTGTGTACGTTTTAAAATAATTAAATAATTTCCATAGACTTATAAAAGAATTGAGATAAATATTAGGAGACCCTGACAATCACCAGAACATTTTCCTATGCTATCGAACAAGGATAGTTCTATTTTAAAATGTCCCAAAACAGAGCTAATATTTTGCCACCATGAAATATATCAAATTGCAAATACTAAAGTGAACATGCAATGTGGAAGCTGTACCAAAATTAAACAGCATTAGGTTCTTAAATATTGCAAAGTGTCTATTTAAGATTTCTCGGGTGTGTTCATGAAAAAGGAACTTTCAAAAAAGCCATTAAAATGAATATATCAGCTGAAAAAGTGATAACTCATTAAAATCTCTTTATTCTATCACTTTCAAATGTAGCTGCAAAAGAGAAAAAATCTTAATGTAACTTTAAAAAAATATTAGCTTATGAATAAAAAAGTTGAGTGGTGCATTCTTTATGCATACAGATTTTTAAACTGATATTGTATAATTCTAATACATCTTAACCTCTGGACTGCACTGCTGTAGTAGGAAATTTTTCTGTCTCAGACAAGAAGTCATCTAAGAAAATGAAAACGAGAAATTTTCAATGATATGCATGAATTCAAAACAAAACAGTACTGTAAAATGGCAAAATATAAAAATAGCAGCATGTGAAATTCAAGACTGTTTTCTTAAAGCAAATGTTTAAGACTGAACCTCAAAAACGGTACTTATGGGCCGGGCATGGTGGCTCACGCCTGTAATCCCAGCACTTTGGGAGGCTGAGATGGGTGGATCACCTGAAGTCAGGAGTTCGAGACGAGCCTGGCCAACATGGTGAAACCCCATCTCTACTAAAATACAAAAATTAGCCAGGTGTGGTGGCATGCACCTGTAATCCTAGCTACTCGGGAAGCTGAGGCAGCACAACTGTTTGAACCCACGAGGTGGAGGCTGTAGTGAGCTGAGATCACGCCACTGCACTCCAGCCTGAGCAACAGAGCGAGAGCCCGTCTCCAAAAAAAAAAAGCAGTACTTACTCAAACTGGTCTATAATTCAACGTCGGAAACTAAAGATTCTTTAGAGAGGTGCTTATATCTATATCCCTATGATTAAATGTATTCTCAAATTTGTTTTTTAAAACATATATATTGCACAAGTAGTAGAATACCAGCATTCTGGTATCTCTAACATAAAATCCTATCTTAACACATTCAACTATTCTACTGAAAATTAATTTTATCACAATGTTTAAAATCAGTCACGTAGGACTTTTAAGCACATTAATCTCAAAACATTCCTAAACAAGATGAAAAAACACAGGCACTTGAATGTAGGCTATTAGTGACAAAAAGTAGAGGTCACAACAATTTCATGACTAAGGGCAGTTATGTCTTTACATATAAACTTGAGGTCTTTCACCAATCCAAATATAGAAATAACAACTATTTACAAAACTTGGATAAGAAAATCAGATCTCCCAAAAATTTCCTACCAAATAATTTTTGCGGAATAAAGCAGTGACTGCTCCAAGGCCTGATGAAGCTTTTTCAAACAAATGTCTAAGACACAGTTGTTTCAATTCTAGTTTTCTTCTTTTCTCTATGCCGGTATAACCCACAACCCTTACTGTTGGTCTATCCATATCCTCTATGCAAAATAAGTCACCTCAAGATTCAGGGCATCAAAAATGGTTATAATTTCAAAATAGTCCACATTTTAGTATAAATTTTACAGCACCACAGACATCATGAGTTTAGGTATCTTGGTCTGGCAATATTTCATGTGGTAATATCAACCAATAAGAATGTGTAAATATTGAACCTTTAATAGGAAGTCATTGTAGCATTTTTTAAATGACCAAAGTTATTAATAAGCATTTTTAATGCTTTAAGTTGTTAAACATTTAAACTGTCAAAATCACTAAGAAAAAAATATTACACATACATTGTTACCACCCGAATGAGAACACACAATGCTTCAGACAGATGATACTGAGATATTTTGGATTTTTCCTTTTTCTTTCTTTTTTAAAGAAATTATATTTAGTTTGGCCACTCCCTAGATTCTTGGTTTACCAGCTTATAAAGAGTACACCTAAGAGGCAGTATAATATACGCACTAAAAACCATTTCCCCCTTTATCATCTTTGGCTAGAAGCCTCATGAAAGGAAACTGAGGACGGCAGAGGCAGGCAGGCTCCGTGCGCTTCTGCCTCACACGTCACTGACCGGAAGGCTCGCATCGTCCAAGTCTACTAGGTCACAATCTTTTTCCTGAGGGCCATTTTTACTTTGAGGTCTTAACAGAGCTTGTTCAGTCACTTTGGAAGCTGGTTCTCTTGGAGAGACAGTCTGGACCTTGAAGTTCCCTGGCTTGACCTTGGCAAGAGACTCGTAAAATCCTCGCTTCTCCATGGTAAAGGTTGAGACCAAAGAGTTGCTGCGAGAGGCTGTGGAATGTGAGGTGGCGGTGGCTGCGTTGGTAGGACGGAAAGCGTGTTTGGATTCTGAAGGACCGGGGGGATGCTCCTGCAAAAAGGAGTGGCAGTCAGACACGGTCAGTCACTCATGACCAGGTTAGTAACTCAGTGTGAGACTTGATTCTCTGAAAAACAAATAAAACACACACACACACACACACACACACACACACACACAAAGGCAGCAGCAGAAGCCATGCAGCATAAATGTGCAAGTTCTTTCCCAAAGCAACGCGTTTTTAGAGGTGAGTTTAAAGCAATGATAGCCAAAAACCATTTCCACTAGGAAACCAGTTCCGTCACCAAAGCTGAATTTGGCAGCCTATGACACTTTGAAGATTCAGCCAACCTAAACTGAAATACAGTGTTCCAGCTGCAACTGAACTGTGTTTAAAAGAGAACCTCCCAGCTGTATCATTTTATTTAAGAGTATATTCTCAGTCAACACTAGGAATTATCCCACATATTTTAGAATGAAAAAAATTAAAATATAGACTATAACAATGAAAGGCCATATTTCTTTAATAAGCACGAATCATCTTTCAAACATTATTCTGCTGATAAGACTTAGTTTTTACTTCCCTGAATTTCACTGCAACCAATAATAGCACAGTCTTTTCATTTTTTACTTAATTTTAGTTCTGAATAGGTCATATATTCATATGGCTTAATATTTTAAAGGTAACAAAGGGTACACATTTATCACATTTTAAACTGTGGTGAAATAATTAGTAGTTGAGAATGTTAATTTCAATATGCTTCTAACTAGATCAAATCTGAAAATATCCTTAAATATGACCATTCTAAATACATTGCTATATACTAGTATATTATATTCATTTATGATACCAGTGGCTTTGAAATCAAAGTGCTACAAATTACCAAAACACTACAGAGTCCTATTAGATGGCTAAATTTCAGAGATTTTTAAATGCCATGCAAACTATAGTAATGTACAGTTTATCCAATGCATATGCATGCATTAGTTTGCATATATTATTAGAACAATGGTGCATTTCGTAAGTATTGTATCTTAAAAATTTTTAAATACATAATATAAAATTGAAACTCTTGCAGCAGTTGAGTATATTAATTTTTATATGTTAATGTCTCTTTCTGTTAGTAAAGTTGTATGTTTTATTTTTTATTTTTAAATACACATATCCAACCTGATGACTACAGTGAAACAGTTTGCGTTAGTATTGACAAAATCAGTTATGATAACTGCAAAAGGCAGTTTGGTTAACTCAACTTTCTATGATCAGTTGTAAGTAGTAAGTCTGGGCCCTCCACTAAGAAGGCACGTTTGCGTGAGAGCCCACATACGTGCTGCATTCACCAGCTCTTGATGTATACCTCTGTATACAAGGGTTCGACAGCCTTCTGGCCTGCCGCATCTGGAACACAGTGCAAAGCTAAGATTAGAGTTAACCTATACTGGGTAGAGGGAGGAAAAGAGAAAGTTGTGCTGACAGTCATAGCTAGATAGTCCAATCTGCCCCCACCACAAAGCACAAAACACAAACATCCTTCTCCAACTTTTCCTCTTCCCAACAGACACTGTTTTTGCAGAGAGTCTCATACTTGACTGCTGAAAAAGTCACATAAAATACAGGCAGTTACAAAATGAACATCTATGAAAGTGACTTCTTAGATATTTCAAAAAGGATATAAAGAGAGAATGACTTAACAACTAAGAAATCAGAAACATTGATTTCTATTTATTTATCTGTAGTTATCACTACCAGAAAACTAATAAAAGGCGGTATTATAATACTATCAGAAAAAAATATTAAAAGTGTAAGTAACTAGCATATATGTCATAGTAAATCTAGATAATAAAGGCTATCATGCTACATATGAGACTACTTTCCGCAGATGGCAGTGTTACATTTTAAGATACTTTAAATTTTCAGACCTGAGATCAGTGGCCAAAGTATTCCAAATGCAAATCTAATTCTTATGTACTTGAACACAAGAAAAATCTTTTAAAAAAATATTTCTGAGCAGAATGTTTAGTTGTATTTCAATTTTATTATCATACTACCACAAAGATAATTATGGTAGTTTTCAGAAGCAGGCTGTTAAAGCAGGTTTTAAAATGAGAATTAAAACATGAAATGGAAACACTGGGAGCACTGAACTGTATTTAAGGCCCCAGCTGCTCAGTGATCTGATGGCATGGTTAAGCCAAAGGTAAAAAACAAAACAAAACCAAAAAACCTGAACTGAAATCAGAGGAAGTAAAGAGGAAATTGAGACGTTCACAAAACTGTGTAACGCTACAACTAAAAGTCTTACATGATCCTGATCACACACCATACTAAGAATCTGTCAGATTATGCCAAATCTAGAGCTACTGACAAGTAAGAACTCCTAAAACAAAGCAAGGAAATGTTTATTCTTTAGTTGCCCTACTTGTGCATTTAACACAATACAATGCACAGAAAGTTATGTATACATAATACTACAAGGAAGCATTAAATTAGAAATGCATTATTTTTTGCAAGTCCAATTGGTATAAAAGTCAACATGCAAATAAATCTCAAGAAAGAAAGAAACCGGATGGATTGGGAGAGAGGAAATTTGATAGGATGGGGGAGACGCAAGGGAGTATCACCCCAGAGAGCAGGAAACCTACAGAAGACGCAGATCTGCCGGGACCCCGCTGTGCTACAATGGCGCCAGAGACTGCTTTAATCCAACTGTGCATCTCTTCAGGGCTATCAGCCTAAAGGAAAAAAGAACTCATTCAAACAATTTTTTCTCAAAATCACCTACTTCTATACAGCCAATGTATTTATTTTGATAACTTAAAATACTGTCATCAACAAAATCACTCTAAGGCAACTGTTTCCAAAAAATTTAGAAATCATTTTTTTAAAGCCAGGTTTTGCTAGGTCTTAACTACACAGAGACATAAATTGAGCACTTCAATGTCAAGATCAGACCCATCAACAGGCGTCAATAATGAATACCTCCAGACAGAAAACAAGGAGAGGAGGAAGTCCAAGAAAAACCCTTCTTATTTCACTCTACCTACTGCTACACTGTCTGAATCTGCTACAAGAATATTTATGTAGTTGTGTAATTTTTAAAAATTCTGACATTCTTTTACATATTTTTCTGGAAATAATTTCTAGTAGTACCCTAAATCCTACAATAAGTATTGACAGATACGTCTGGCTTTCAATGTGAATTTTAAACCTTACTATGAAATTAATCCAATTAAATAAGGCCCCAATCGGGGTGCAGAGATACTGCCTCTTGTTTCTAGATTCTAGAATCCCTTACACTTCTAGAATCTAGAAATATGAAAAAGTTTAAAATGCAGAATATTTTTGAATAAGTAATATTAACAAAGACTAAAAAAAAAAAAAAATACAAGTAGCCAAAGGTAGAGTATACTTCATTCATTACTAATGGAAATACAATTCTAGAAATCAATTTGACAAAATAGAAAGGGTCATGCTCTGATAGTTAATCTCGATCTAGAAACTTACCCTAAAGAAATCAGGCAAAGTAATGCACAAAGATGTTTTTCATCATTTTATTACAGTAAATGTACAAAAACTATGCACATGAACAGAGTAACACAGACACAATACAGCAACAGAGTAATACAGACACAATTTACTGGTGGAACATCAATGGAGTATGGTGCAGTTCTAAAAGGTTTTCAGATAATTTTTAATGACATGGGAAAAAAATAACAATATATGAAACAAATAGGATATAACACTATATTTAGTATGACCCCACCTATTATAAAAATATATACCTTAAGAAAGGGAGCAAAATCATAAGAATGGTTGCCTCAATGTGGGACTGAATGTTTTATAAGCCACATTTTTCTGAAATCTTTCTATATTTTCCAAGTTTTCTGGAATAAGCATATTTAACTTCAATAAAACAAAAACAAATCATCCCTTTTTGATTTTTTTTTTTTTTTTTTTTTTGAGACAGGGTCTCTGTCACCCAGGCTGGAGTGCAGTAACACGATCTCAGCTCACTGTAACCACCTCCTGGGTTCAAGCGATTCTCGTGCCTCAGCCTCCCAAGTTGCTAGGATTACAAGCCTGCACACCACCACGGCTGGCTAATGTTTGTATTTTTAGTAGAGATGGGGTTTTGCCATGTTGCCCAGGCTGGTCTCGAACTCCTGGACTCAAGCGATGTGCCTGCCTTGGCCTCCCAAAGTGCTGGGATTACAGGTGTGAGCCAACACAGCCGGCCCAAATCTTTTTTTAAAATTTTCCATTTAAATAATTCAATGAAGTATGCAAAAAGTACAATTTAAACTTAAATACAGGATGCCTACTATTAGTGAAACTATATAAATCTACTGTCTACTTTTACTATGGGTTTTTTTAATAAGGTTACCAAAAAATGATATAATAGAAAAATCAAAATTCTAAAACATGTGCAAAAATAATCCAACTTGAAAGTACACACTTAACATCTAAATTAAAAGCATTTCCCTTTCTCTAAATACTTAGTTCTAGTTCACTAATTCATAACAAATACTCCCACTTCCTGAACATATAACCCCACCAATAACTCTATATACAGTACCCTTTTATTAAGCTGGTGAATTACAGTTGTCATATTTTTTTAACCTCAAGTGCAACAAGCTTGTTTATGTTTATTTCACCTCTAATATTATTAATTTCTTTTTAGGAGGATCTATTAATTGCCAAATAAGCATCTTACCTGCACATAGAAAGTTCGAGACGTTGTTACAATTTCAAAGAGGTTGTCCCTCATCATTATGTCGCTGTATGAAAAAAAAATCCAATTATACTTAAATAGCAGTTGTTTGAGTTTCTCTTTCATTTGTTTACCCAGTACCCAGTATGCGTCAATAAATAAATGAGGTAAAGCACTGATTTAGCAAACCCAAATTATCTTTTCCCATTTATTTTAATGTAAGATTTTACATATTTCATGTAGTTTCACTTTTAGAAAAAGTTCACAAAGCAACTTTAAAGTTCAGAGTTTTTAGTAATCAGTTTGGTGAAACACTGTCACAGCTAACACATTTTCTTGTGAAGCTCTATTCTACTGCATCTTTTAAACACTTAATACATCAATTTGTCAAATCTGATGGCCTAACCATAAGTTGTTCACATTAAATTTATTCCTTTCCATTAGTAAGCTGTTTCTGTATTTTTAGTTTTCAAAGAAACAAATAAACGATTCTTTCCTAATTTTTAGTTTTCAAATGAACAAAGTAGTTCAATACTTTACTCTGAGGGTTTTGAAAATTCTAGTGTATCTCAACTATAAAGAGTTAAAAATAACTACAATTAATATGGAAAAATGTAATCTGTAAGTACATTACTCAAACTAAGGCACTATTCTGTGTTTATAACTTGTGCCAGGCATCAAGTCAGAGCGGTTCCTTACCTTTGCTTACATTCCTGGACTTTATGAACCTCTTTAAGTGGTATTACACGAAGAGGTTCCTTTTCCTGGCAAAAAAAAAAAAAAAAAAAAAACAGTTACATGATGTTTATTCTTAAAATCCTTTCAAAGGTTAGCTGTCTTATTTGAAGACCCATGTGAAAATCACACTTCTTTTCTGAAGCACATCTCAGAAATAAATCTACCTTCTTAAACCATCCAGCATCTGAATAGCTCAAACACTATAACCTTATATACACTGTTGTTTGAAACAAGAAAAACTGCATACGGCCCTTATTCACATTATTTCTGGCCTTAAGGGCAGTGTAACTAATTAAAAGCTATTAGCCATCAGACTTTCCCCGACGGACCCACGTACCAGTATGCACAGCATCTCCTTTTCTGGAATGTCACTTTGATATACAAGGCAGCAGAGCAAGTGCACATCCTGCTTCTTTGACTTAAATTTGTGATTTTACAAATATCACTTTTATATAAATACAAAATTGAATGTTTACTAAGTGCTGAGACATCTGCTAGCTTTTAAATGTTTTATCTCACACTTTCCCCAACCCTACAACACATGTACTACTATTCATGTGCTGAAACTGCAGATTAGACATGTTAAGTATCTCACCCAAGGTTACAAAGTAGATATAAGATACAAATATAAAACTGGTTCCTAATAGCATATTTCTAGTATACATTCCATAAAATACAATATACATATTTCATTGAATATGACAGCGTGAGATTAAGACATACCATTACTTTATGTAGCACCAAAAATAAAACTAAACCATGACAGAGTGTTGTTGTTTTTTTTGTTTTTTTTTTTTTTGAGATGGAGTTTCGCTCTTGTTGCCCAGGCTAGAGTGCAATGGTACGATCTTGGCTCACTGCAACCTCCGCCTCCTGGGTTCAAGGCAATTCTCCTGCCTCAGCCTCCCAAGTAGCTGAAATTACAGGCGCCTGCCACCACGCCCAGCTAATTTTTGTACTTTTAGTAGAGATGGGGTTTTACCATGTTGGCTAGGCTGGTCTCAAACTCCTGACCTCTGGTGATCTGCCCACCTTGGCCTCCCAAAATGCTAGGATTACAGGCGTGAGCCACCACGCCCAGCTGGGAGTGCTTTTTTAAAAAAAAAAAAAAAAATCATAGATCTTTTTTAAAAAGTTTTACAAAATAGTTTAATTTTGAAATAATTTCACACTTAATAAGAGACTGAGAAAAACAGTACAAAGAATTTCTGCATAACCTACACCTTGTTTTCTAAACTGTTGATATTTTACATTTGCTTTATCATTATCTGTTTATGTTTATATATGTGTGTGACAGAGTATATGTATATATATAGATTCCTGAAATGCTTGAAGGTTAAGTTGTAAATATGATGTACCTTTACTAAACGCTTCAGTGTGTATTTCCTAAAACATGGATGTGCTCTTGCATAACCACAGTGCAATTATGAAAACTGGAAACTCAACACTGATGCAATACTATAATCTACAGACCATCTTCAGATTTCATTAATTGCCCTACCTGTATTCTTTACAGCACAAAAACCATTTTCTGATCCAGAGTTAAATCCAGGATCATACCATGTATGTAGCTGTCATGTCGCCTTTAACTGTGGAATAGTTCTTCATTCGTTTTTCAGAGTTTAAAGAAGTGCAGGCCAGTTATTTTTGTAGAACACCTCCCAGTCTGGGTTTGCCTGTTATTCGTGCTGAGATTCAGTTTATACACTTTTGACAGGAAGCCACAGACATGACACTGTTCTTCTCAGTGGACCACTATTAGGAGGTACACACCCGATGGTGGCTTGTCCTGTCACTGGTGTGTTAACCCTGATCTGTTGCTTAAGGTCATGTTTGCCAGTAGCTGTAAAATTACTTTTTCCCTTTGTCACTGTTAAGTATCTTGTGGGGAGATACCTGGAACCTATAGTAATACCAGGTTTCCCATCATAATTTTGCAACTAGTTTTATCAAACCCTGAAAACTCCTGCCTGAAACCATTACTAGTGGCTGCCAAATGGTGATTTTTCTAACCCCATCAATCCATCTACATATATTAAATAGAATTTTACTCTAAGGAAATATTTTTCCTTCTCCATTTATTTATTTATGACTCATTTTTATTCTATGGGTTATATTCCATTACTATCATTACTTATTTTGTTGTTTAAATTGTCTGCATTTTGGTCAGCTCCTTCAAGGTAATTTCTGTGTCCTTTTGACATGTTCCATTCATTCTCTGAGCCACTTCCTTATCCTCTGGCACAACTTCACTTTCTGAGCTCAGCTTGTACTTTATCTGCCCCAGCTCTGAAATCAGTCACATCACCAAGGGTTCCTGATTCCTTTTGTTTACAGAATGGCATTTACAGTTGCTTTTGGGCAGGGTGGGTGGGGATTTGCCAATCTCTTAACTCAGCCACAACCTTCTCATGACAGATGAGAATATTTCATTGCAGTTTTAATTTGCATTTCTCTAATTATCAGTGATGCTGAATTTTTTTAAATATTTTAAGACCTATTTTAATTTTTAAATGAATTGCCTATTCATGTCTTTTGTTCATTTGCCTACCAGGTATTTTCCCCTCCATTTTCTCTCTTTTTTTAATCTTTGAAACAAACACGAATTTATACAAGGATTGAAAATACAGCATAAAGAACTGATTTTCCTGAACCATTTCAGAGTGAGTTGCTGACCTGTCCCACACTACCCCTGAATACTTTTCCTACATTCTCTTACATAATCACAATACAATCATCAGAATCAGAAAACTGTGCCCAAAATGTCTTTTATTAGAGCAAAAGAATTCAGTTCAGAAGCACGAATACCATCTGCTTGTCAAATATTTTCTTTCCCTCAGTCTGGAACAGTTCCTCATTATTCCTTGACTTTCATAATCTTCACTCTATGAAGATTGCAAGGTAGTTATTTTGTAGAATGTCCCTCATTTGGGTGTGCCTCATGATGGGATTCTGATTACATACCTTGGGCAGGGATTTCACAGAAGTGATGCTGTCTTCGTCTTCCACTATCCTGTCAGGTGATTTCAATTTACCTCATTACCAATGACATTCACTTTAATCATCTGACCACCTGAGTAAAGTGGTATCTGCCAGGTTTCCTCACTGTAATGTTATTCTTTTCCCCCTTGTACAACACTTAATACCTATTTTAGTAGACAGGTACTTTGAAACTATGTAAATATTTCATTCCTCATCATACATACAGATATACATCCATTCACCAAAAAGTATTGTTTCTCTGACAAGATTTGGCTTCTATTATCCTTAATATAGTTCTTGATTTTATCAATCAGTGTGTATGTGACCATTCTCCCATCTCTGCCACCACCCCTCCCCATGTGGATGCCCTTCTCTCCCTACTCCGCGTGGGGCTAACCCCCCAAGAGGACAGCCTCCTTGTCCTGCGTGGGCTCTGACACCCACACAAAGCTACACTGGTTCCTCTTGGATGCCTATGTTGCTTTGCCTCACCTAATAAATTAGAGTCTGAGTCATTTCAGATTGATGGAAGGAAAAGAGAGCAAAGTAGGTGAGGAAAAATCCCCTCAGTTTTTAAGATTCCTTGTAAGTTTTATCTCTAATACATGTTGCAAATATTTTCACCAATTTTTCGGCTGTGCACTTAAGTCTTTTATACTTATTTTTAAAATTTTTAAATGATCTTTTAGAGATACACACTGAGATATTTACAGATGAAATGGGAGACATCTAGGATTTGCCTCAAAATATGAAGCAGGAAGTGGGTGGTGAAACAGAAGAAACAAGACAAGCTGAGCCATGTGTTAACAATTATGACATCTAGGTGATGGGTATATGCAGGTTCCATGTATTATTTCTATCTACTAAAAGGGTATGTTTACACTTTTCCATGATGAAAAGGTTTTATAAAAGAGCCCATTTACACTTTAAACATTTTTATCATATATTATTCTTGAGCATATATAAAAAAGAAAAATATAGACAAGATAAACTGGTTATAGTTTTTAAGATTTCACATTCAGATTCCAGATCTTCTGAATCACTTTTTGACTTGGAGCCACCAATGTCCATATTTTTCACTCCAAGCCATTCTTTGTGCCAAAAAGAGTGTTGGTGATGCAGTATTTAAGAATGTTTCATGGTGTCCCTGAGATTTCCTCCCAAGCTGCCAGCACCCTTTTCTGCACATGCTGATGCCGGTGTCTTCTGGATTTTACCCAAAGGTACTGTGCATATGGCAAGCAGTCAACTACAGCACAGCTGCAGCCTGGCTGCCCCTCGTCCTTAGCAACTCTAAGACATACTGCTAAGATTTCAGAAATGTTAAAACTGGGGGAGGGGGAGCTGAAACAAGAACTATTACAGAAATACTAAGTTTTGAAAACCTGTATGCTGGGCATTATTCTGTGAAATTTGAGAGGAAGAACAAAGAACTACCATAGGAGATAAACTATACTCCGTAAAATTAGGAAAACTTAAGTATAGTTATAATTACTGACCTTTAAAGGTTTTCAGCTTTATCTGCAATTTCTAAATACTAAAAATATTCCTAATTATTAAAACTACTGTTGATGATGGGGGCACACGTCAATTTCCCCACCAAAACTGAACTCCTGAAGGCCAGAGAACTTTGCTAATTATTCTCTTTTATTTTCAGTTCCCAGAACAGTGCACCAGGTTCATGGAGAGCTCAATGAATGTCTGCTGCATGAATGACTCTTCCCGGGAGTATTGGCTTTAAATAAAATCTATGAGACAACCTGCTAACCAAGCACAAGGATAGCCTCCTGAGACAACAAGGCAGGTACTTTCTGAACCAAGTAACTACTACTTCCAGTTGAGGCTCTTAAGCTTTGAGAAAGCCCCATACTAAAATGGCATTTCTTGCTATGCTATGCCATTTTTCATTCATTCAAAGACACTTATTGTCTATCAAGTGCCAGGCCCTGTGATCATAAAAGACTACAAGAGTCTTTACCCTTAAGAAGCTCATTTAATTTAGTTGCAAAGACAAGAATGCACGTGATTGCAAAACTCTGGGAAGAGCATTATGATACAAGTATGCATAGGGTACCACAGGGCATATAAAGAGAAGACACTTAACCCAGAGTCTAAAAGCTTCCCAGAAGAGCTGACTCCTGAGGTGAATCTTAAAATATCCCCTTCCTATACACTAGTGCTCTGCTGGCCAATACAGTGGCCATTGTGTGTAATGATGTAAATATAAATTAATTAAAATGAAATTAAGTCAGTTCCTCAGTCACACTAGCCACATTTCCAGCACTCAACAGCTACATGTAGCTAGTGCCCTTGGACAATACAGATACGGCACATTTCCATTTGTGCAGAAAGTTCTAATGGACAATGCTGTTCTGGTGACTTCATTCAAACAAAGTATAAGTTCCCTTCTCAAAGATCCCATACAAAAAGAAGACGTAGGATAGACATTTATACTACAGAATTGCATTCAATGTCTCCAATAAGCTATTTCAGGACTCAGATCACCCTACAATATTTTAAATAAGGATGCAACTCAAACAAGGCGAAGAGGGAATTTCAATTTCTGATTCTACCTTCAGGGAAGATAAAAACATCTTATGTGAAGTGATTTATGAGTCAATGTGAAATAGGTAAAGAAAATCTCAAGAGAAAGAAATACAGAGGGTTAAATATTGACTTTTACAGACAGAATTCTTTACACCACTTTCCTCACTGTAATGTTACTCTTTTTCCCCTTGTACAATACTTAATACCTATTTTAGTAGATAGGTACTTTGAAACTATGTAAATATCTCATTCCTCATCATATATACAGATATACATTCATTCACCAAAAAGTATTGTTTCTCTGAAAAGACTTGGCTTCTATTATACTTAATATAGTTCCTGATTTTATAAATCACTGTGTATGTGACCATTCTCCCATCTCTGCCACCACCCCTTCCCCATGTGGATGCCCTTCTCTCCCTACTCCACGTGGGGCTAACCCCCCAAGAGGACAGCCCCTTTAGAGGAAATTTATAGACTAGAGGATTCTGAGATCTTCAGATCTTTCAAGGTGGAATGCTGCTTTGAAGATAGGATCTTTTTACTTAAAAATGTATTTAAGAAAAATATCATTAACCAAAAGCATCACAACCAAATAAACTATATTTACCTCTAAAAACTAGACTTATTCTGAAACTACAGAACAGTACAAGAAATTATATATAATCACTACATTGCAACACTTTTCAAACATTCTTATAGCAACATTTATGACGTAACAACATACCAGTTCAGATTTGAAGTAGCCTATTGTGTTTTCATCCAATTGAAAATATCTTCTCTTCCAGTTTTTCATCTACCAGAGATGAACACAGACATAAGACTTGTGTTTCTAAGAATGTCAAATGTTAGTCACCACTTAATTACCCTGATATGAACCCACAATCAGACATGCCAAGCAGTGAAAAATCTCATTACTTCCCTTAGAGATGCGATAAATTAAACCTCATCCCTCTCTAGCTACCCAGGCTTTGAATTCCTAATTCAATTTCTGGTGCCTGGCTTTCATCTTTTATTGTATGATTTTATGTGTTTTTTTTTTTTTTTTTTGAGACAGAGTCTTGCTCTGTCACCCAGGCTGGAGTGCAATGGCGCGATCTCGGCTCACTGCCTCTGCCTTCTGGGTTCAAGCAATTCTCCTGCATCAGCCTCTCGAGTAGCTGGGATTACAGGCTCCCATCACTATGCCCAGCTAATTTTTGTATTTTTAGTAGAGACAGGGTTTCACCATGTTAGTCAGGCTGGTCTCAAACTCCTGACCTCAGGTGATCCGCCCACCTTGGCCTCCCAAAATGCTGGGATTACAGGCGTGAGCCACCATGCCTGGCCTATTTCATATTTTTAATGTTGAAACTTTTTTTTTTTTTAAAAGCACTTCCCCTTCCTCCTACTCCTCGCCCCCGCCAACCCCATGTAAAGAGCAAACACAGGAAATGTTATTAAACCACATCAAGTTTCTCCATCTGTAAAAACATATGAATTCTTCCACAAGTACTTTATACATAGTAGTAAAGCACTAAATATTTAATAAAGTAAACCTATTTTGTACAAATATTTTTTGTCAATAAAATAACAGTTTTTGCAGAAGCACTTAAATATCTCTGACTGGTATTTTGGACTTAAGAGTAAAACAAAAAGGAACCATCAGGCTATGATCCTCAGTTGTGTGTAAAATTAGGGCTTTCAATCTACACACAACTGAGCATCACAGCCTGATGAGAATTCTGACTCTACCTGCAGACATTGTACAGTAAGAAACCCCTGCCCTCACCATCATTTTCCTCAGCCTAAAGCAGGTCAAACAGGTGAAAGGACATTCCCCTGGCTGCCCTAAAAAAATTAAGAGTTGCCAAAAAGTGATGAGAAGTCAAACAGAACCACCAAAATAATTTTAAGTATTTCTTTACTCACAGACTTAAAAAACATTTTCAAACTTTAAAGTTAATTTTCTCATGAAATTCTAAAGATTTAGTTCACATAGAAAGAATGGCTTAGATACTAAGGTATGTTGCAACCTTAGAAATATTGGTAAATTTACTTGCTCTTGCAAAAAATTCATCATGGAACTGATTATATGGGAATACCTGGGCTAACCCATAACAGCTTTTACTAAGTACCAGGTGCTGTGCAAAGGGAAACACACCTTTCTTATTTACATCTCTTAAAAAACAAAAACAAAACAAAACAAAACCCTAGATGGTAGGTTTTATATGATATTCCTTAAGACAGAAACTGAGGGCCTGAGAGGTTAAGTAAGTAGCCCAAGGTCAGAGAGCTTACCACGGAGGTCAGGCCAATGCCTAAACAAGGAAGAGACCTCCTAGGCACCACTCCTTCTCCTGCCGCTGGCCTGCCATCTCCCCACAACAGCTCTCTTTCCCTGACCCACTCCTGAGTATGAGTAAAGATGAATAGAAACACTTTCTAAAACATTAAACTGTTAGGAAAGCTCATTTAAACTGAAAGTCAGTGGTAATGGGCATTAACTTTCCTGGCCCCCTGCAAACCAAGCAAATAACAGCATTGAATTATAAACAGAGAATATCCCCTATTTTATCTCCTGACTCTCCTCAGCATGCCGGTCTCTCACTTTGGGTCTTTCATAAAATAAAGCAAACAATTTCCATGTTAATTTGAGTTTGCTAGAACGTAATCCTTTTTCATTATTTCATGTATTTTGTTAAGCTACTCACCACTGCTCCTTGTTTTACACAATATCCAGCTTTGATAACCGCACTATCTTGAGGTGGTTTAGGAGTAAAGTAAGGAAGATGGCTTTGTGACCGTTTCAGATTATTTCTGTCAATACTTTCACCACATTCATTTACTTCTTCTTTCTAAAATGAAGCAAAATAAATAAATTATTTTCTTGCTTGTTTAGCATACTTTTATTTCATATTATCCCAGTAGAAAATCTTAAAATCCACCTTAGATTAGTCAGAAACAGATTTTTGAAGAGTTTTCTAATTAATCTGAGATACTTACTCTTAATTTTCCTGTCACTGATTAAAGCACAAATTTCCATTCCTCTTGTTTTGCACAAGTCCTGCCACCAGTGCTCTTTTTTGGGGAAGGAGTTAACTTTTTATTTTGAAATAATTATAAGGATTCACCAGAAGCTGCCCAAAAAAAGTACAACAGGTCCTATGTACCCTTTCACTAGTTTCCCCTCAAAGGGAAACGGCGTAACATTATCAAAAAACAAGAAATGGACATTGGCACAACCCACAAACTTTATTCGGATTCCACCAGTTTTACATACATTCATCTATGTGTGTCTATACAGTTCTATGCAGTTTTATCACATGTGTAGATCTGTGTAACTACTACCACATTTAAGACCCAGAATTGGTCATCACCCCAAGGCTCCTTTGTGAACTTTAGAGTTCCTACCCCTAAATCCCCTGGCAGCCACTAATCTGTTCTCCAAGACTATAATTTTGACATTTTGAAAATGTAATGTAAATGGAAGCATACAGAAGGTTATCTTTTGAGATTATCTTTTTTCACTCAGCATAATTCTCTAGAGATTCGTCCAGACTGTTCCTTGTATCTAGAGTTCATTCCTTTTTATTGCTATATTTCCATGGTATGGATGGATGACCAGTTGTTTAACTGTTCACCCATTAAAGGACATTTGAGTTGTTTCCCACTTTTAGCTATTAGGAAAAAAGCTGCTATCAACATTCATGCACAAGTTTTTATGTGAATGTAATTTTCCCTTTCTCTACGATAAACACCTAGTCCTGCAAATGCTGGGTTGTACAGTAATCACAAGCTTACTTTTATTATTAAAAAAAAAACAAAACATAAACACTAAACTGTTTTTCAGAGTGGCTAATTTTCATTCCCACCAGCAACACCTGAGAGATTATGTTTCTCCTCAACCTTGGCAGCATTTGTGTCGTCACTTTTATTTCAGCCATTCTGAGAGGTGTGCAGTGATCTTTTATTGTGCTCTTAATTTGTATTTTTTCCCTGCTAGCTAATGATGGTGAACATCTTTTCATGTGCTTACTTACCATCTGTTTATCTTTTATCTTTTGATGAAATATCTGTTCATGAATTTTCTAATTGGATTTCTTGGGCTTTTTACTGTTGGGTTCTGAGTTCTTTCTATGTTCTAGATAAAAGTCCTTTGTTGGACATGTGGTTTGCAAATATTTTCTCCCAGTTTGTAGCTTTTCTTTTCATCCTCTTAAGAAGGTCTTTCATAGAGCAAGTATTTTTTATTTTGATGAGGTCCAATTTACCAATTTTTGCCTTTTATGATAGACATATATTATTTTATAATTTTTAAAACTATACTACAAAATAAATGATGCAATAAAATTATACCCTCCATAAAATCCTAGAAACTACTGAAATATCTATACCAAAATTACAATGCAACAAAATCTTAACTCTAGACAAAATTAAAACAGCCACAGATACAAACTAATACAGTGTCTTAACACAACTACAGGAAAATAGTCTTACCCCTTATGTCAACATAGGTCATAATACCAGTGAAAGAAGCTTAATCTAGGTACATAGTAACCAGAAGGTTAACAGTTTAAAATCATTACTTTTGGAAAAAGTAAACACACAATCCTAGCTTATTTTTTTATCCAACTTTGGTGGAAAATGTATGCTCTATGACAGCAGGGAATTTCTGTTCATTAACATACCCTTTGCCAAGCATAAAGAAAGCACTCAATAGTTAATTAATTAATTAATGTTGTAAGATTTCTAATCCCACTAATCACCCTCCCGTAGCAAAAGACCTGAAAAATGTGGGGAATGATACAATTTGATTTAAAAGATTTATAAAGTGTCAAAGTCTTTTGAGTTCAAAAGGCACACTGGTAATGAAAATACCCAAGCTTGGCAATACCAATTGATTACTTTAAAATTCTTGGTTTCTCAACTACTAGTAACTTAATATCCATTACAAATTCATCCTTTTCAATAGCAAAACAAGAAATTCAAGCTCAGACAAGAGTTTTAATTTCATCAAAAATTGTATGTAAATTTATATTTTTCCTAAAACTCAAATAAAGACTTAATTTAGCATATTAGTACTTCTGAGATATAACTTAGTTAAAATTCCAGTCTTCTGTTTAGCTCACTTAGGCCAGGTTGTAGAAAAAATAGATTTTAAAAATTACTACTTGCAAACTCTTGACTCAGCAATTTTATTTCTAGGAATTTCTCCTTTAAGAATATTCATCATAGCATTGTTTATAAAGTAAAAGAAACAAAAAGGAAAAGGAACTCTATTTGTCCAATAGAGGATTTGTAATTTATGGTAAATCCATGGAAGAACTACTATGCACTCATTAAAAATGATATAAAAGGATTTCTGATGACTTGGAAAATGTTCATGATACAAGTGAAAAAATCTGTTTACAAAATGTAATATACAACTCATATCTCCATTTCTGAGGTGAAAAGTACATGAAGAAAGGCTCAGAGAAATCATGAGAAGTTTTAAATGTTATGTAATTTCCAAATTTTTTATAATAAATACTTTTGAAATAAACAAAAATATTTTATAGTAATTGTATATTATACCAATTAAGCAAAGATGCACTGTTTTAGTTTTAATAATATAAAAATCAATATACAATAATTAGACCCTCACACAATAGAAGAGTTACTTAATTACCTGAGTGGGAGTAATGATGGGTACGCCACCAACAATATCAGTTCTGTAAGACACTTGCTTTTTCCCACATTCACCATGGCGACTTAGGTTATCAGAATTAGGCTGTGAGTCTGACTGCTTTGGTACCTGAAATAGTAAATAAAATGAATCATTTTGCAACCAGCATTATACATGTGAACCTGTTTTCTCGCAGAATTTCTAATTATTCATCCGTTTGCATACGGTTGACAGATACATATAAAAATTATAGTCCATGTATGTACTCCTTAAGTTATCACACTAATTTTTCTGTTAGAATAATATTTTATAATATAGCTATCACGTAATGAGTGCTTACTCGGGCAGGTACTAGTTCACACATTTTTCTCCTTTACTACTCCTGTCTACCCTATGCATAGGGGCTCTACCCCCACCTAAGAGGTAAGGAAATAGGCTCAGGGGCATTAGGGAATATAGATTCAGATCCTGACTATAATACATTCTAGCCAAGTGTGTGTAACTCTTCCAAGCCCAACTGCTGTGCTCTAGACCCTGTTTATTGGCACACTTACTATTGGCTTACAGCTCTTTGCTGTTTTCTTCCCTTTCTCCATTCCTACCCATGATTCTGGGATTGTGGCATATTCAGTCTTTCCTGGCTTCAAGACAGAGACTATTACCAAAACCATAGTGTATTCAATAAATGTTGAAAGACTCAATGGATGAATCCAAAGTCAGCAGAAAAAAGAATAGCAAAATTCTTAAAACAAATCAGAAGTTTCAAAACAAAACTTTTCATTAGAAATTTAAAGAAGGAATTCCAATACTTGGATCAATGATAAATCGTTCACAAGTACAGGAAAACAATGACTGTGGTAACAGCAGAATCTCACATTAACACCTCACTAAAGTGGATGAAAGAATCAGAGGTATCATAAATTTTTAACATATATTTTTGCTTTTCTTATGTGATCTATTCAGTAAATAAGG
This sequence comes from Homo sapiens, assembly GCF_000001405.40. Lineage (NCBI taxonomy): Eukaryota > Metazoa > Chordata > Mammalia > Primates > Hominidae > Homo > Homo sapiens. The sequence goes on along the minus strand of NC_000010.11, from coordinate 122,412,076 downwards.
TACTCAGTTAATCATTATTTCTATCTGTAGACTGTTTAGCACATAGTCTGTATTTAAATTATACATTTTTAAGGCTGTGAATAAAATGTAATAAAATCTGCTCAGCATCAATTATAATGTTGAACATGATTTAGTCTTCTCCAATGATTTAAAGGGCACGTGGAACCTTGCAGTCTTTCAGAAACACTATGACAAATACTACTGACAATCACTGAAGTAGTGGTGTAGAAACATTTAACTTAAATAGTTTGCTTGTCATATAGCTAATTCCTGTTAATAGAGTACTGGTAGAACTACAGGACACCACTCACATTGTATTCAAAGGCTCAAACCGTTTATTAGTGTGATTCCAAAGCAGTGTGATTTCTCAAACTTTAGAGTGCATAAAGTATCACCCAGGAACATTATTTAAAACTTCAGATTCCCCTGCTTCGAACCCAGAAATTCTGACTCAACATATCTATAGTGCAGCCCAAAAACCTGCACTTTAAGCAAGAACACCAGACATTTTTGAGGCAGGAGTTTCATAAACCACACTTTGAGAAACACTGCTCTAAAACCTGTGCTCTTCTTCCATACGATGCTACTCCCACCAGATTTGTAGAAAAGAGGGTATACAATGCAGATAAGGATTTGCAAAGCAGCTTTCTGCAAAATATTGAGCAAACATGGTCCATGTGTATATGAAAGGATGCTGAGCTACAGTAAGTCCCAATCCACACAAATGTAATTTATGGATATAATAAATGACTTGTCTCTTAAGTGACTTCTAAAACTCCCTCTCCCTTCCTTCTCCACCTGCCTCCCTTGAAGAGGTTTCTCTCAGGCCCCAGGCCCAATCCTCCAGCCTCTGGTTCGTATTCATACTACAATGCCCTCATCCGCAGAAACAAAAGAGAGAGAAAACAGGAAAGAGAAGAGAATCCTGAATACCTCTTGAATTCTTCTAAGAACTTGCACACTTTGGAGTGCTTTTTAAAGACAATAAAATAATGAAGAGAATTTTCCTTGTCAAATAAAATTAGGATAGTATACCCTGGAATGATTTGCTAGGGAAGCCCATTATATTTTCTAATGAATAGCACCATATATTTCAATTATTCTGACAGAGAAAATATGGCCCAGTTATCTCATTGAGAAGAACAGCAACTAGCATTAAGAGAACCTGAAACCAGAGAGAAAACAATCTATTCAACTAGATAAAATGAGAGGTGCTGCTAAGAGGTGACCCATAAGAAAACTAGCAGTTATTCTCTCAAGAAGTTTAGTCAGACCTGGGAATTATTAGGAAAAACCTTTAAAATCATTCTAAAAAATACCGAAATTTATATTGGTTTTTCCATTTTTCTTAAATTACAGTATATTAAAAGTCCTTGCTTATGCTGTTAAGCTCACTGCTTCTAATTTGTCTTTATAATAAAATCAAATGCTAGTAGTTAACTTAGAACTGCATTTTACTATAAAAATTATCTAACTTGTAATCATCTTATTCCCTAAGAACAAGAAAAGTTCAAGCAAAATACCCATGAACATGGATAACTCCTCTAAAAACAATATGTACCTCTGTAAAACTTGGTCTAAATTCAGCCATTAAGATAGACATTTTCAGGACACACCCCTGCCCCAAACCATCCAACTGTCCAATGAAAATCAGAAAAGTGATCTCACTGGGCAGTTGGCACATGTCAGACACTGAATCCACTTGGTTTCTTTGTCTACTGCCTCTCTCCCTTTCCTTGGCTTTCTATCCTTTTTTATGTCCCAGCATTTTTTGTAGGAGATCTGAATGTAATCTTGGCAGGCATTTGCATGTGATCCTAGTAGTAGGAAATTCTAATAGTAGGAAAAGAAAAGGTAAAAATAACTAGAGAATAAAAAGATGAACAAGACAGATTTAAGTATTTATGAGTGAAATACATAAAAACGCTGCAGGTTTCTCAAAAGTTAAAGGGAAAGTTGATATTCAATTCACCAAGAATGAAAATATAATGTTGGGCTAGGCGCGGTGGCTCACGCCTGTAATCCCAGCACTTTGGGAGGCCAAGCTGGGCGGATCACTTGAGGCCAGGAGTTTTAAAACCAACCTGGACAACATGGCGAAACCCAGTCTCTACTAAAAGTACAAAAATTAGCTGGCTGTGGTGGCACACACCTGTAATCCCAGCTACTTAGGAGGCTGAGGGCTCAAGAATCACTTGAACCCCGGTGGCGGAGGCTGCAGTGAGCTGGGATAGCACCACTGTACTCCAGCCTGGGCAACACAGCGAGACTCTGTCTCAAAAAAAAAAAAAAGGATAAAAAGAAAGAATGAAATTGTCATAATGTTCAATTCACTGAGGATAAAAACGTGCAGACACAAACTCCTGGGTCTTACAATCTTTCTGAGAATTCTACATCTACTTGTTTCCAGTTTCTATTAAAAATATATCAAACTTGTGGAGTTTCTGCCACAAATTCAAAGTACTAATTTTTAGATTCAAATCGAACATTTATTTTTAAATTTTAAAAAAGACATGTTTAAAAATAATGGATCTCTGTTCAGGAATAAACCATATATATCTTAGACATTCCTTAATAATCAATAAGGGAACAGAAACCACCATATTTATGTTGTTTCCACTATATTTCCACTATATATATTTCCACTATAAATGAACAGTGGAAAGCATACTTTAAAATTTGATTTTCCTCACTCCAGTCATTGATACTCCCCCTTCGGGGCTGATTCTCCCACTGTTGCTCTTTTCCTTTTTGTGCGTATGTTTAATACAGATGGTCCAGGACTTACAATGGTTCAATTTTTCAACTTTACAAGTGGGTTTGTTGGGGTATTAAATGGATTTTCAACTTGTGTTTTTGACTTACAATAGGTTTATAAGGATGTAACCCCATCATAAGTTGAAAAGCAACTGTAAAGGGAAAAGAATTTCAAGTGGCACCCACCTAGACTCAAGTAAGGAAAGTCACAGACTATAGCGTTAGAGGATAATGGATTAAAATGGCAAGATATTATAACTAGGAAATAGTTTAAAAATCATCATTCCCTTACCCATTGCCCTCTAACCACCTCTATTTTGAAACCACACACTTCCAAACTCTAATTTTGGATTTCCAAAATTTTAAAATTTATATATCACACAGTACTTAGCAGACCACTAAATTAGAGTTGACCAAAATGAGAGTGATCCCATAGAAAGATTTATGTATTAAGTACATACATCAAAATGTACATTTTAAGTTTTCAAATAATCTACATGTAAATCATCAGCAATGTTCACAGGAAAATATAACAAATTGGAGATTCCACACTTTAATACACTTAAATGTATAAAATGCACATGAAACTGGTAAGATATTTTTAAGGAATAAAATTAACATAAAGCATCTTATTAAAGCATAGGAAATTATTTCATTGCTATCCTATGAGTTAAATGTGTGTCTATCAAAAGTTTATTTTTAATAAGTACTATCAAATCTATACTCACTTTAATGCAGTTATAACCACTTTATTAAGTAATAAGGATTTCTATAACTTCTATGTATTTATATTTTCCAAATGTGAATTATAAAAACATTAAAATCATTTACCAACAAATTTATCTTAAAAACTATAAAAATTTCAACAGGTAAAATAAAATTGCAAGACCACAAAAGCTACTTAGAAGTCTTTTTAGAATTCTATTTAGAATCTCTAACCTGTTTTTCCTTCATGCTGAAAAGCTTACCAGTGTCATTTGTATAAGACTGTTTCATACCATTGATAAATCAGACATAGCAATTCAAGACCCCCCAAAATGGTAAAAAGCCTGAGACCATTCACTACTTTTTCTCTTAAAGCACTAAGAAACCAGTGCTGCTTGTTATTGCAAATGGTAAAACATGAATTTAGTACAGTTACGAGATATTATCTTTCTAAAGAAATTTTTCAAGCAGGGAATATTTATTAGAAGAGTTAAAATGATTAGCTAAAAGCTTTTAAGAATATGTATGTCTGAATCAGGTTAAAAAATTGCTTTCCTGACACTGCACAAACCTAAAATAACTTCTGCTTCATGTACAGATCAGATGCGGTGCGTAGGCGTTTTCTGTCATGTGGTAACAAGCTGTTCTAGAGCAAAACAAAAAGATTCGACTAAACTCTGAGAACAGCTTTAACTATATTGACTCTTTATTGTGTTGTGATATAAATAGGAAATTATTCATTTTAGATGGAAACTAATGAGTGACTAACATATGCTGACTTTCAGGGCACATGTTCTTTGAGAATAAGTCACTTAGGGTCAGTATATAACTGCACTTTCTTTAAAAAAAACAAAAACAAAAACGCAATTGACACAAATCTCACAACACAAGAACTCCTTCCCAACATTTTCCAGGCAGGCCTGCTATGTATTTCTCTACAAAAGTGTAAAGGGAAAGGTGAGGCAAGGTATAATCAAAATAGAGCCTATCTACGTGCTGCTCATCATCACTAGCAAACTCTCTCAGTAAAGGTTGTTGTTGGCTTTAGGAACAAAAGAGTAAGGAGAGGGCTGTTCTTGTTCAGGAAGCAGTAAGGCACTGCACTTCAGAGTTCGGGCTCCAGAGGCCAAAAAACTGGACTGGGCTTCCAGCTCCATAATCTACCAGCTATAACACTGGTAGATTAATCTTTCTAAGCCTCACTTTTCCAGTTCATTTAAGTAAAACCTTCGGTCTAAGATCTGGCACAGTGTTAATAATCAATAAATATTCATCAGGAAACCAAAAAAGAAAAGAAGCACACATTAGAAGCAAGAAATTGTAGCATGGGAAAGGAGGGCAAGGGTACCAAGCCCTGGAATGCAAGGAAAAAAATCAGACATGGGAAGAAGTTTAGAGCCTGAGACAAACTTCTCAAGGGTCACATGGACAGGACCCTCTGGCTGCCGCAACCCTTCAGACACTATTCCTATCCCTAACCCTCATTTTTCAGCCTTCATCTCCCCTTGTCCTGCTCCTGTTTTCAACTCTTTCCCTATCTGACCCCAATCCCAGTCATGGCTTAGAAGAGAGAAGTGCCTATTCCCCAGGTAGGTGACAGGAAATCTCTTACACTATATTGGAAGAAAAATATATATCCTCCCGGTAGAACTCTACGTGCTAAGCGCATTTTCTCCTAGAAACGTTGCAAGAAGTGATTAAGATCTGCAGTAATATATCTCCTTATTAGGTGCATAAGTTAAAAAGACAATCATGGGCTGATTAAAGTGCCAACAGTCACCAAGTACAAGAAAACATATTCACATTCTGAACACCTGTCTTTTAAACAAAGCTTGAGTATGAAACCTGTTGGTAAGCTGGGAACATTTGGTAGGTGTATTTTCAAAATGAAAAGATTAATTCCAGACATCGAACGTTTTTCAAAAAAATACATATACTTACTGTAATTTTTATAGCTTTGTTTAACACATTTACCCATTCCACTAGGTCCTGCTGATCATTGGCTTGTAGGAAGTACTTCCTCATTCCTGCATTCATAACTGTTGACAGAAAAAAATAACACACCAAATATTGTACTTATTACCTCTAAATTTATGTTTGCAGTAGCTGAAAAACCTTGCTAAGTTCAACACCGTGACTCTCGTGGATTTGACAAAATATATCAGACCACATGTAATACAGCTTTTATCACACAATAACACAGGTAAAACTCTTATTTTGTTATGGCCATTTTGTTTATTAAATGGATACACCACAATACATTTAGTCAATCCCCTAATGATAGACACTTAGGCTATTTCCGGTTTTTGAAATTATATAAAATATCACAATGAAACATCATATACATATATTTCTCCACACTTGGCTAGCATTTCTGGGTGATAAATTTCTTGACATAGATTTGTTGGGTCAAAGACAATTGACATTTAAACTTTTTATAGGTATTTCCAAATCATCTTCCCACAAAGTTGAATCCATTCACATTCCTACCAACCACATACACATTTTATTTCATCGAATACCCCTCACCAGAACTGGTTGTTAGCACCTGTGGATACCTCTAGTTTCTAGTTTTCAAAGGCTCTGTGGCACTGGGGCTGGTAGTCTGCAAACAATATTTCCTAGACCCCATCTGAGGCCATTCTCTGCCACTGGGAGGTACTGATGAGAGACTGTAAGGTGGGAGAGGGGAGAAGGAAAGAGGAGACTCTCCTTGACTCCTGCTGTTGTTGACCTCTCTCCAACAGCAGCACACAACTAGCTACTGTTAGGAGCCTTTTCCTGCCCCCTATGCCAGCCTTGCAGAGTCCCCTTGGATACTAATAGCTCCATGGTGGCTTCTACTCCACTGCCCTAGGTTATAGTAATACTACTACCCCTTCTCTTTTGTCTCTCTAGCCCTTGAGTAGTAGTTGCTTCATGCGTCTAATTCCTGGGTTACTTCAGCATTCCCTTCATGTTCTTTCAGCCTTCCAATATTTGGGTAACCAATTCCCCATAACAAATCCCTTAGGTTTGAAATATCTAGTGTGCTGTTTTCCTGGCTAATACTCTTTAACAACCTAATTGGTAAATAATTGTACCTTGTTCAAATTTTAATTTCTTTGGTTATTGAGATAAATTAGTTTTGTAAGTTTATTGGCCATCTGCATTTATTTTGTAAGTTTTGTTTACTTTCTTTACCCACGTTTCTCCTGAATTCATTATTAATTTATAGCAACTTCTTTATTAATCTTTTCTGCTTTATTACCAATACTTTACCCAGTCTGTTTTACTTTAACAGTATTTTTGATCAGACAGAAATATACTATGAATCTTTTCTATAAATGCATCCAGATTTCATATCATCTAGAAAATCTCCCTAACTTAAGATCTATTTTTCTAGACCTTATGAATTTCCTTTATATTTTGAATCTTAATACATTTGGAACTTTTATGCAATTTAGTTTCTATATTCCCCTTTAGGGACTAGGTACTTTTATCAAGCAAAGCACATGTGCACATACAGTTGTCTATAAACTATCATAGTCCACTCTTGAATTAAAGCTATTTATTATACACCATCTGCATTTATTTTTAAAAGCATAAATATTATTCTAGGAGCTAAGTATCTGAATAGTTATACTGTTGCAATTGTTCAAATATAAAAATAACTTCCAAACGTCTCCACCAAAATTTTAAAAGATATACTAGCACACAGTTCAATGTGACTGAGAAGGGGAAATGCAAACTCTCAAGGAAAACACACAAGATTTTGAAATTGGGACTGAGACCAAAACACTCTAAACTACAGCTTCCTTGAATTGAGATGAAGGTCTCAGAAAGGAAGTCAAAGCCTATCTTGTAAAGTGCTACAAAACAACCAGTCTATAACCTTAAAAGAAATTTAACACACTGGAAATCTGTTCTTGTACATCTTTCTAGAGACTGGAAAAGTTATAACTGCCATAAATATGTATTAAGATAAATCCATAATTCACTAGGATGCTATATCTATCAATAAATAACTTGTTTTTAATTTCTAGCCATCGGTAAGGCTTCCTTTTATAATCTTTTTTCAGCTTAGGCTGAAGCAGAGCTCTCCTCATTCATAATGGCTTCTTCCCCTCAATGTTATTTTGGGCATCTGCCCAGAATATCTGAAGAATTTAAAAATCTATGCACTTACTAATATACTACACTTGGTACACAGTAAATGCTTAATACATATACTTTTGAATAAATATATAAGGATCTTTTCTAAGGGAAGGAAGAGATGCAAATATATATCTAAAAAAGACCCCTAGTATACCTTGCAATCTGAATAAAATCTCATGTACTTTAAGAATTACTTCATGGCAAGACGTAGATATATAGGTATGATCTAGAAAAAAAAAATCAGTCTGGAATCAATCCAACCTGACTAGCTTATGCACTTACAAGCAATATCATCTTTTAAACATTATTTAATTTCTCTGAGCCCGATACTCCTCATCTGTGAAATGGGAATGTCACTCATTCCACCTCCTTAAGAGGTGACGATCATATATGTAAAGAAACTAACACAGTGCTTGGTATAGAATATTCTTCACTGCCATCATCTGGAGATTTCTAAGGAGTAAGGAAGCACTATAAAAAATGTAAAGCAGGGCACAGTGGCTCACGCCTGTAATCCCAGCATTTTGGGAGGCCAAGGCAGGCCAGTCACTTGAGGTCAGGGGTTCGAGACAAGCCTGGCCAACATGGTGAAACCCTGTCTCTACTCAAAATACAAAAATTAGCCAGGCGTGGTGGTGGGCACCTGTAATCCCAGCTACTTGGGCGGCTAAGGCAGGAGAATCGCTTGAACCCAGGAGGTGGAGGTTGCAGTGAGCCAAGATTACACCATTGCATTCCGGCCTGGGGGAGTGAGGCTCCATCTCAAAAGAAAAAAAAAGGGGAAAGCAAGTTACTGAAATGTGGTGTATTAGCAATATTGGTGGTGAGGGGAGAAAGGGAAAGAAATAAAATCTTTGAACAATAAAAAAAAAAAAACTCTGACACTGCTAAGTTGCCATAAAAACCCTAAAGCAAGGGTTTCATTGTGAATAATACATGCATCCCTAGAAGCTTGTATCCTTCCTATCTTTTCCACTTGAGTATTTAACTTCAAATCTTTATGATTAGAATGAATACATAAAATGGATAAAACTTGAAGCATAAACATTAGCTTAACTGCAAACAAAAATCATCTCACAACCTGAGATCAACTGGTTATGAATATACGGTTTTGGATCAAGAGGTTCTAAGGTATTTTATCATATTCTTTGTCAATTTTCCCCACTCTGTTTTCTCTATTCTGTACTTTCCTCTGTCCTCTCAGTCTCTATCAGATGTTGGACTTCCTTGATGGTTTTTATCTCTTTTCCATTATCTATCTTTACCTTTGTTGTACTTTCAGATTTCTTTGACTTTTTCAAAGAAATGCAAAATGAGTTTTGCATTGTCTCATGTTCCTTCTCCTGTTTGATAATCCGCTCTCATCAAATGTTCAGTAATCCTGGGCTGTCTATTCATATTTTAAAAGAAAGTGCTAAAAAGACTGATGAAAAGCTCTCTTGCATTGTCGTAGGGCTGTTGATTGTGGACCTTACTAGTCAACTATGGCAAGCTCTTCTAGTAGAAATGCCCAGATGTCAGTCAGTATCTATGGATCTTTTCTCTAGGGTAGTCAGATCTTACTCACCTAAACCTGGCTGCCCAGTGCTCTGGGGCTGGGGTTGCACTGATTGTGCAGACTTTCATTTAAGATATCTTCCTATTTTCAGTTTCGTGCCTCATTCCTTTCGTTCTCTGGGACTAGTGCCCCTAAATATACAGCCTCACTGATTCTATTTCTGGAGACACCACACATCCCATTACCTGCTGGGACAGAAGAAGGGTGTCTGCCCGATTGGAGGTAGGGAACAGAGGTTGTTTCTGATACAGATATGCAAACAAAGTCCCTGTTTTTGGTCCTTCCTCACTGTTGCTTCCCCAGAAAATGTATCTCCTATACCTAAGCCTATCTAGAGTTGGGGTGGGGGCAGAACACTTAAATGGTTAGCTTTTCATTGGCCTCTTCCTCCACTCTGCTAAATTATCTACCATTCCTCTATCTACTTTCCAACTTTATACACTGAGGGTTACAGATACTCTGCTCCCTCCATCAAAAATGGCTTGCACGTTTCTTGTTCTCACTGGTTTGGGACAATCTGAGAGAAGATATGTTGCCACTTTGAATGAAAGTTGTGGTTCTATTTTAGAAGTCAGTGCTTCTCTCTCTGAAGGTAAGCATTTCATGAATCTTTACTCCCACTAACAGTAGAGGACTAATAAACTATTGCCTGACCAATGAACGACTAATCTTAGTTTTTGATTCCAACTAAAATCACCCATTCTAAATACTCCAATAACTATGAATGTCAAGTCTATTACTGTATGTTACTATTCCTGTAAGTTTGAGATTTTAGAAAAAAAAGGGTTGTCAAAAGTATGTGCATTATACATTCTAAAATACAAAGTTCTCAGTTATTTGACTTGCAATACCCATTCAATTACAAGGCTCTGAGGCATTTTCCTGTTTCGTAACCAAAATTATAATTAGTAATAAACATGTAACTTTTAAAAATAGCTTCATAGTGAGATAAAAGCATTTTAGAGGATTCCCTTGACAGCCACGTTTCATCTTGCTCATATCAAGATGCTATTCCTAACTACTGCCTAAAGAAATCTGCCCTTTTCAAGCAAAAGAGAGCAAAGAACTTCAATTCTACTCCCAAAAGTATCTCTCACTTTAATGTGAAAGTCTCTTTTGATGTTAGTTGACCACTCCAAATATTCGTTCCTTCAGTCACTCATGTCCACTAACATACTCTCTGAGAGGGTATCAATTCTCCTAGCTTCGACTACCACCCACTTTTCAACAGACTCCGAATTTCTCCATTCTTGACCCTAAAGCTCCATCCAGTCCTCGATTACTGTCAACAGAACATTTCCATTTGGAAGTTCCCCACCATTTCAACTCCATAGCAAACATTTTACCCTATGTAACCAGCTCTCCCTGATTTCTCATTTCTTTACTTGAAGCAAACTTCCCTGCTACCTCTCTCTTCCCTCCAATTCCCCCATATCCACCAAGCCCCTGCACTTTTCCTTCTTTTCACCCTTCCTCCTTCTCCTATTGCCACCACCCTAACTCAGGACCTTACATAAGTACAGTAGTTCAAAAGACACTTACCCAGTCTACCTATATCAAAACTTTCCTATGCATACAAAAAAACAAACAAACAAACAAAACCCTCCTTCACCTTATGTCTGCTTTCCAGATGCTCTCTTTTTCTTCTCCTTTGTTCAAAGTAATAAAACCTATTGCTCGTCAAAACACAGCACCCTGGCTTCTGCCTGCCTTTTTACTCTCTAGCCATTTATCATACCCTCTAGCTTCAGAGTGTTCAGCTCCAGAGACACCACGCTCTTCTCCCCACAAGCCTCTGCATGTAGTCCTCCTGCCTTTTCTCTGCAGTGGTAAAGGATATAAGCAGGAGGCTAGCTGGCCACCAACGTAAGCATCTCCTCCTCCAGTGAGGCTCCCCGACTCCTGAGCTCCCCAATAAAGATTTGAAGGTCATTCTTTGTGCTTTAATAGACTGCATATCCCTTTATCTACAGGTTGTGACAACTGCAATATTAATTGCCTGGTATTTTTTATTTATGAGCCAACCAGCCTTAAGGGCAGCAACTGTTTCTTATTCATCTTACAGCTCCAGTGCCAAGCACAGTGCCTGGCATATACTAAACATTTGCTGGGTAAGTTAATCCAATACCCTCAACTACTCCTACCCCAAACTGAGCATTTCTCACTACCCAAAAGCTAAAGACCAAATCCTTTTAATTATTTATATGTTTAATATAGAATAACATGACGTAGAAAGTTTAAAATTCCCTGAAATCTCACTGGAGGTGATCATTATAAATGCCAAAATAACAGTTACATATGGGTAGAAGGAGATGTTTGTAACTAGGACCGCACACAGGAAAGAGGCTTCAGGGTTAGGGGAGAGGGGGTGCAAAATGTTATTTCCTTATCTGTATAGCAGTTACAAGGGAATTCACTTTAGAATAATTCATTAAGCCCTAGGTTTTGTGTGGTTTTCTGCAACAGTTTTCTTTTACAATATGATACAATTATATCAGTCTATTTAAAATATATATAACATGGCTACTTACCAAAACAGAACTCCGCCTTTGGCCTTAGCTTAGTAGCATCGCTAACCTAAAAAGAAAAATAGAGACGGGTTCCTCACTTCTCCATATAATCCTAAAACCAACCTTATATACTATGTAAACTTCCACATGTATGATTCCCCAATAATCATACACATTTAGTAAACAGACTTAAAATTAAAGACAACTAAAAGAGGATGGCAAATTTAAATACATAGGATGCAGTTCCCAACTGTAAGAGGTAACAAATAATACTTCCATATTTTCTTTGAACAACTTGTTTTCTCTTCAAAGAAATGTCAGAGAGAAGCTGAAAGTAAACCATTAGGCTTTATGTCATACACACAAGTATTTTTAGTTTAAAATAATTTTCAAAATATCCTCAATGAATATTCTACAAGAACTATGCATTCTTCCCAAATAACATATTTCTAAATTAGCTATGATTTTTAAGCAAAAATGGGGCTGGGTAAAGAGGAGACTGTGTATTTAAAGTCCACAAATCTAGGCTGGGCACAGTGGCTCACGCCTGTAATCCCAGCACTTTGAGAGGCCAAGGCGGGCGGATCACGAGGTCAGGAGATCAAGACCATCCTGGCCAACACGGTGAAACCCCGTCTCTACTAAAAATACAAAAAAAAATTAGCTGGGCATGGTGGCGGGCGCCTGTAGTCCCAGCTACTCAGGAGGCTGAGGCAGGAGAATGGCGTGAACCCAGGGGACGGAGCTTGCAGTGAGCCGAGATCGCGCCACTGCACTCCAGCCTGGGAGACAGTGAGACTTCATCTCAAAAAATAAAAATAAAAATAAAAATAAAGTCCACAAATCCAGGCATTTAATTGAATTAATCTTAATCTTAATAATTAAGATTAAGACATTAATCTGCTATGAGGAGATCAAAATGGGACTGGATCCTCTCTTGTACAGGAGAATGCCCTAGGATAATGGGATCACTTTATTAAATGCAGCTCATGGTTCATTTTAGAAGATGAGGCAACTAGCTGCATTTGGTTGCTGCTATCCCTTTAAATCAAGTACCTCCCAGAAGCTCATTCACAACTATTGCCATGCTGTTGTCCAGTGATAGAACTTATAATTGTAGCATCCGTTTTGCACCTTCAAAAGGAATTCTAAGCCTGGGGTTCCTCATTGATCCCAACTACAAACTCACAGTTCTGAGTCACACAAAAGTTTGTTCCAGAAATAAATTTTTGGAACAATAAATTTTTTTTTGGAAAAAAAGTGGTACGTCCAAAGTAGAGTACAAACTGCACAATTTAAACTTCAGGAAGCAGGAGGACAAGATGAAAGTTACAGAACTGCACAGAAAAAAGGTTCTATTTTAAAAGAAGAGCAATGGAGGAGAGGAAAGCAGCTGGCCAGTTACCCCACCTACTTTACTGATTTCAAGAAAGAGCTTCCATACAATATTTGTCGTATGTAAATTTACATAGTATGATCTTAACAGAAAAATGTTTCCTTTTAAATGTGTAATCTTTATTGTCCAAGGGCTCTTTTCTTTTCTTTTTGGTCAATGAGAATGAATACCTCTACTGTAATACTAATATAAAGTATTTTATTTATATAACATCTATCTTCTAAACAGAGGCACATTTGTAAATTGGTCTTCTGTTGAAGTGATCTACCTTTGCCAACAGATCTCAGTATATGCATAACAGTACCCATATTATTTAATAATACTGTTGCTACCTTTTGCATCTCATATATAAGTAATCAACAAACTTTTATTACTTTTATGTAACACACATGCACACACACACACACACACACACACACAAACCCATAGGGTTAGCACCTCAGCATCACTTAGTTCCCTAAACATTAATAGAAGAAAATAAGAAAAAAATGTACCTGACAAACATAAAATCAAAATTTTAAAAAATAAAAAATAGTATTGCAAAATTACCAGAAAAACAAATAAGAAAACAGAAATGAAAAGAGACAAAGTGAAAAGAGGGGGAAAATCATCCTTTCAACATGAAAATGGTCCATATTTTCCTCAAAATAAAACATTAAGAAACAAAGTATCAAAGACAATGGGATTTAAAAGTTGAAAACAGTCTAAATAAACATAATACAGACTTAGAAAAATCTCCAGACTTTCTCAAGATAGAATTTGTTTCACTGATTTCTCCCTTTCTGATGTTCATATACCTGATCATAAAAGTTAATGTTAACTTTTGCAATTTGCCACATCCTGTAAGTTAAAATCATATTCTTCATAACTGTATCGATTTAAAGAATTTCCTAAACGTAGTAATCAGGTACCATTTCAGTATGATAGGAATCTGAACATCACTGTTAAAGGACATGGAAAGGAAACTGCTGCTTCTATTCATACTCTCATTCACAGGGATTTTAATTCACACGAGTATAAGACAATGTATAAAGACTACCTTTGAAATGTAGGTAAGCTTAATGGCTCCAACACGTGATGATCCAGAAGGTAGGTTCTAGAAACAAAGTATTAATATATACTTAATATCCAATATTATGAATTCATTTTATAATATAATGTTCCACATATACTTCTGAAAAGTTAAAAACTCAATTTTTTAATATCACATTTTACAAATGAACTTTTCTTCTGTTCAAATTTTTACTAGGTCTGAAATCAAGTCCATAGCTTGGATAACAAAACTGAATCCTACTCTGTTCCATTATCATGCATTCTATGACTAAAAGGCTATTTTTATCACTGGAGCTAAACTAATACTTTCTCATGAGCTTAAAAAGCCATGAACAAGATCAGATTTTGTTCCTGAAAGCAAGGGGGAAATATTTACAGGCAGAAAACAAATATAATTGTAAGATACTTAAAAAGACTATACATATTACTTTGTTCTATTAAAATTTCTTTATCAAGTATCTCTTGACAAAAATGGACTGCATTTCCCCCCATTTAAATGGTTTACTGTTTTTTATGCCATATTAATCTACATTGATACTTTTTTTTCCACAAAAAAATGTTTGCTTCTCTTTATCATATGCAGGGAATGTAGGCACTTTCACACACAGTATTTTCATTCTTCCCGTAAGTTTCAGATGTGGTTTGCATCAAAAGAGCTAAAGGTAAACATAGAGGGAGAATCATCTCTGGTTGAAGCTATCCAGAAAGACTGAAGTGATGAACAACATTTAGGCTGGAGGTTAAGGAAAATTTTGAAACACAAAAAGCAGGGGAGAATATTCCAAGCAGAGAAAATGGACAAACTATAGCAAACAATGGAAGATGCACAGCTCTGTACTAGAAAGAGAGAGGGGGGCTATGTGGGGCTGTAATGCAGTGTCCTGTAAGATTGTAGTACAAAATGGTGGTCTGAAAACTTGAACTGAGAACCTAATCATAGAGGACCTAAATAAAAAAGTAGCAAAGAATTTATATCGTAGAGAATTTGAGGCCAACGAAGAAGGCTTATGAGCAGATCTGGAATCAAAATTATGCTCTTTTTATAATATATCTTATAATAAACTGAAGGGATTATAGAAGAGGAAGATAGAGGTAGGAAAACCAGACAAAAGAATCTGGGGAAAACAAATCAAGAATATAAATTTCATTTCTATGATAGAAGACTGATAAAAGACTGATAGAAGATTTCAGAAGTAAAAATGAAAACATTAGTTTTAGTTGATTTTGAAAATTATTTCTGCTGGAGATAAGACAGGATCAACTTTTCAACTGACTTTATAATAACGTACTTAAAAATATAAAAATCTATTGGCTTGTTCTAATGAATGATTAGGAGGTAACTGGAAGCCTAGACATTTCAAAGACTTAAGAGTCCCAAACATGAACTGCTTATTGTTGACAGGGACAGATCTTTTAAAAACTTTCACACCTATATATTGTAAAACTCCATTAATTATGTTCTGCTTTAAACTATATACTACGTACAAGCTTCCAAATATAAATCATCAATAGTAAATATGCATATAAAATAAAATTATAATTCATTAATGTATAACATTAAAAAGCTATTTGTATTCTTATGTATAACGTTTTAGATTTATGGGTTTTTGGTTTTTAACTTTAAAGAAGGAAAAGAAATGTAAATATGTCTTCAAGAATCTCTAACTACCACCAAAGTGATTTTTTCAAAAACTGTTACCCTTCCATTTAAGGGTAATAATTTATTTCTTTTCAGTTTTTCATGAGCCTATTATTTTAACTGCTGAATAGAGCTCTAAGCCTTTGTGGAAGGAAGACAAATGAGAAACCAAAGCATGACATAAAGTGTCACAGTAATAGTAGTACACTATGGGGAAATTTAAGTAGCTGAGAGAAAAACAATATTCAAAATACGCAGTTTCTGTGGACTAGTATGATTACCATCAGGTTCGACTGGAAAAAAATGAGATTCAAAATTTGTTACTTGACAATGAACAAGAAATAACAAACTAATAGAACATTTAAGAAAAAAAGGGAAATAGGCCATTTGTTGATTATGAGTTCCTAAACTCATTTTGCCAAATACTTTTTCGAATATCTTCAAATGCACTCCCTCGTACAGCAACTTAATTATTTCATTCTCCATGATTACCAACCTCCTGGACAAAACACAGGAAGCCCCAAAGTGATCCCTAATAAACACTAGAAAGAATTTTTAAACCCATGGTTAGTGGTAAAGGAAGCAGTGGTCAGGGGAAGAAGTGGCTTCCTAATAATAGAGGAATCAAACTAATTTTCTTTCTTTACCAAGGTTATTATGATCAGTATAACCATGTTATTATACTTTGACATAAGCAACTAGATTGAACCATATGACATTGCCATTTTTTTAGTAATTCAAAATGGCTGTATATTAGCAATTTCATATGGTTCAATCTAATTGCTTATGTCAAGATGCAATAACACGGTTATACTGAACATAATAACCTTGATAAAGAAAGAAAATAATATAATAATCTTAGCAAGACATTTTACTAAAGTTTTCAAGAGTAGGTATGTCTTGATTATTACATTTAAAAGTGACACCAAGTTGGTACTAATGGCTAATACACTGGCTGGCAGAATCAAGATTTCCTAAGTTGGAAAGAAGATATAAAATTAATAAGAACAAACTAAAAAATATTTAAATTCTGTACTTAAAAAAAAAACTGGCACTGTGTCCAGAAAAGCCAATGCATTAATTCTAACATAGAGATCTGGATTTTAAAAGTTTATGTGGACAAGACCTAGCTGAGTGCTATAGCCAAAGTGATCTAGTCTCCAAACACGCCATAGGCTCTCTTGCTTTGATCTCTGCCCACACTGTTCTTTGAGCACTGGAATACTCAACTTTTCCATCTCTTAGCCAATATTATATCCAAACTTCTAAGTCAATTTCAAATGTTACCACTTCCATGAAGACTTCAACTCCTTCTACTAGCTGTGTAACTTTCCTCTGAATTCCAAGTTCAAGTTTTATTCAGGGTAATAAATATATTCTATTTTGTACTTAACTCCTTTTAGCTCTGCTAAATGGGTAGTACTGATAAAGGAAGAATGACAAGAAGAATCTATTATGTAGGAACACAGAAAAATAATCAAGGAGCTTCAAGTAAAATTCAGGAGAAACCATACATATGTCAACCAGACCTTGTGAAGAGAGAGAAAAATCAGGGAGAGAAAATAGGCAGAACTGTGCAATGGCTCATATGGGTGAGGAGAGGTCCCTTACAACTCAAATTCTACATAAATAAACATACACACATTAGTATCTACTATAGACACATATATATCTTGTCTAATCTAAAATCAGTATATAGTGAAGAATACTAGACTACTTATCAGCAGACCTAGTTCCTGCTCTGTGAAACAGAACAGAACCTTGTATAAGTCTCTGCTCTTCCCTAGACCTTCCATTCCTCACCCACACGAGAAGCCTACTGGACAAAAATCAGCTTAGAAGTCTGCTAGAGATTCATCCCTTGCTTTGCACATACTTCCTTGCAACATACAACCCCATTTTTAACTTCTACACCAATTTTTATTTGAAGATAAAAAGTTCCAAAAGGCCGGGCGCGGTGGCTCATGCCTGTAATCTCAGCACTTTGGGAGGCTGAGGCTGGAGGATCACCTGACATCAGGAGTTCAACACCAGCCTGGCCAAGACGGAAAAACCCTGTCTCTACTAAAAATACAAAAAATTAGCCAGGTGTGGTGGCACACCCCTGTAGTCCCAGCTACTCGGGAGGCTGAGGCATGAGAATCACTTGAACCCAGGAGGCAGAGGCTGCAGTGAGTCAAAATCATACCGCTGCATTCCAGCCTGGGTGATAAGAGACTCCATCTCAAAAAAAAAAAAAAAAAAAAAAAAAAGTAGAGAAAGTTGAAAGTTTAAAACTACTTCACAGATGATATCTAATCTCAGGCCTCTTAAGGCTGGGATTCCAATTTTTTAAATTGTAGCATTTACCCCTGTGTTTTGCAAGGCAACAATAAAATCAAACTGCATTTCAGTTCATGGATGGCATTACAATGACTGACTCAAATCTGACACTACAAAATAAAAGGACTACATATGTGCAAGAGTATCATGTGGTTAAGTCATTTATTTATTTAAAAATAATAGTCTCTATCCTAGATGCAGCATCTTAAACCTAAATTTAATCTCACTAAAGGGACCCTGGTATTAAGCCTCCTTAATGCAAGAAAATCATCTATCCCTGGTCTTTATTTTAGCTGTTGTTTGAAATACATGTTACAAAAAAAGTATTTCTTATTTTTGGGACAGCTTCAATTGTTATTTTTTTCTGTGACTCAAGTTCTAATTTTCTAAAACCTAATTTGCCACCAGAGAGAGTATTTCTCTCTCGAGGGAAAAATATATACAGAAGCATTAATTTTTATCAAATAAACTTAGTTTCACCTTCTGAAATTCAAACAAAACAGTAGAGGTCAGGGGTGCAGGGCAGAGAGGACAGCCAGTAGAAATAAATCTAAAAATATACTGCTTAAGAAGACAAATCTAAAGCCTGTATAGTATGTTAAATACTTAAATACAACTTTCTGTGCTTTTAAAAGATAATCCTTGGGATTTTACAAACCTGTGGATTATCCATGTACCACACGAAACTATCTTCTCTGGTATCCAGTATGAAGTACCTTCGAAGAAATTTCCCACTGTTTTCATTTTCTTCAATGTCTAGAAAACCACAAATGCGATTCTGACGATCCACATAAGGCATTTCTGAGCTTGAACATTACACTGTAAAATAAAAATATTAACAGTAAGCTCCCTATGAAACAGGAAAGTATTTCTCATGGACTGCAAATCTGTTCAATGAGGGGGCAACTTGCCAACATTAGGTAAGGTCAATTAAAATGAACACACACCAACATCTGAGGCATTGACAAAAATCACTTTTGAAATTCAGTTTGTGAAGAGTGGTTACTAAATGTAACTATTTATTCACTGTGATGGGGACAACAGAGAGCTACTCACCTCAGCTGAATAATTTACTTACTTTTTCCCTAAAAAAACCCCAGGTGAGCCAAAAAAAATAGTTATCCAAATTTTAATTTCCTCACAAATCAAGATAATCTATCCTTTAGATTATTTTAGAATATTTTTAAATTCACAAAACAACAAAAGTTAAAATTTAGTGACCACTTGCTACATGCTAGGCTCTGTACAAGGTTCTTTTCCATATGTTAACTCTTTTAATCTTCTAAACAATCCTAGGAGTAGGCATAATCATCCCCAGCAGATAAGGAACTTAATACACAGGGGAAGTGATTTTCCAAAATTCCAAAACTAGTAGGCCAAGAGTCAAAGCCTGAATCCAGATTACCGCACTCTAGATCTCCTATCTTATGCTCTACACCATCCTCTCTAAAAAACCCTTGAATTGTTAAAACTAAAGTGAATCAAAATAAACTAGTTAATGTACTGGAAAGAGAGATAAGCAGGTATGATGTGCCTCCTGATGGAAGACACAAACATCACCTATCATGTGAACATAAAGCAACAAGAAAAAATGTTTTTTAGATCCCCTCTATATCCAAATACCAACCTACAGGAGATGCAGAACACAGAGGAACATGCTAAACTGCACCAAAGGAATTCAATCAGCAAGAGCCAGACTATAAGAAACAAAGGAAAAAAAAAAGTTTCTTTAGCAAGTAAATTATTACAAGAAAAAAAAGAAAAAGAGAGACATTATAGATTAAAATAGACTTAAAAGGTGTATCATATTCTGGTCCTAAAGTACTGCAACTTTTATTGTACTGATTAAAGTTAAAAAACCATTAGGTGCCAAGAACTGTTTCTCTAGAGACTACAGACATGTGATTCCTTCTTGATGTGATGCTTAGCCCAAATCTGCACCAGACAGCTGTTACTATTCTGGTACTTCTATAGCTGGCACCATCACATCTTTTGGCAGGATGAATTTACATAACTATTTATTTAGAGGCTCAAGGTAAATTTAACTTACAGTGAAAATTCAATTACAATGCACACTGATATACTATGTATCTGCATCACTATTCCATATGCAGTCAGAGAAATGATAAAATACACCAAAAAGTTTTAAATAAAACCATCCAATAAGTTTGTGTGTTGTTGCTGTTATTGTTCTTATAAATCTGATACTTTAAAGGAAATAATTTCTTTAATAAATTTACCATGTTTGTAAAAAAAAAAAAGTTTACAATGTAATCAAAGCTTGAAAAATCAATACTCTATACTACCATATACCACAGGTAAAAGCTATCAACTTGCCATGAGAATAGACATAGATCAGTGGAAAAGAATTAAGAGCACAGAAATAAACCTATACATCTATAGTCAACTGATTTCAACCTATACATCTATAGTCAACTGATTTCAACAAGGGTGCTAATACCATTCAATGTGGGGGAAAAAAGCCTCTTCAACAACTGGTGCTGGTACAACTGGATATCCACATAGAATGAAGCTGGACCCCCTACCTCACACCATTTATAAAAATTAACTCAAAATGGATTAACAATTTAAGAGCTAAAACCAGAAAACTTTCAGAAGAAAATATAGGGTAAATCTTACTTTGGAATTGGCAATGAATTCTTAGATATAATACCAAAAGCATGAGCAACAACAAAAATTATATTGGACTTCATCAAATTTTAAAACTTTTTTTGCATCAAACAACTTCAAGAAAGTCAAAAGAAAATCTATAGAAGGAAAGAAAATATTTGCAAACTATATATCTGACAAGGATCTAGTATCCAGAATACATAAGTAACTTTCAGAACTCAAAAACTTTAGTCCAAGTTTAAAATGGGCAAATGACTTGAAGAGACATTTATCCAAAGAAGATAAACAAATGGTCAACGAGAACTTTGATACTCAATATCATCAGTCATTAGGGAAATCCAAATAAAAACCACAATGAGATAAAACTTCACCCCCACTAGGATGGCTATAATTAAAAGAGAGGAAAATAACAAGTGTTGGCAAGGACATGGAGAAACTGGAACCCTCCTACGTTGCTGGTGGGAATGTAAAATGGTACAACAGCTGTGTAAAACAATTTGGCAGCTCTTCAAGAGTTAAACATAGAATTACCATATGATCCAGCCATTCTACTCCTAGGTACACACACACCTCGTTTTACTGTGCTTCATTTTATTGCACTTCACAGATATTGGAGTTTTTACAAATTGAAGGTTTGTGGCAACCCTGCAGCCTCAAACTACTGGGCTCAAGAAATCCTCCTGTCTCAGCCTCCCAAATAGGTGGGAGAACTACATGCATGTACCACCATGCCCAGCTAACTTTTTTATTTTTTGTAAAGACAGGATCTCACTATGCTGCCCAGGCTAGTCTTGAGCTCCTGGCCTCAAGCAATCCTCTTGCCTCGGCCTCTCAAAGTGCTGGGATTACAGGCATGAGCCACCATGCCCAGCCAAGTGTCTCGCTTTAAACCAAAAGCCAGAAATGTCTAAGCTTAGTAAGTGAAGCATGTCAAAAGCTGAGACAGACCAAAAATGAGGTTTCTTGCACCAAACAGCCAAGTTATGAATGCAAAGGTAAAGTTCCTGAAGGAAATTAAAAGTGCTACTTCAGTGAACACAAGAATGGTAAGTGAAACAGCTTTATTGCTGATATGAAGAAAGCTTTACTGGTCTCGACAGAACATCAAATTAGCTACAGTATTCCCCTTAAGTCAAAGCCTAACCTAAAGAAAGGCTTTCTTCAGTTATTTGAAGGCTGAGAGAGGTGAGAAGCTACAGGAAGAAAGCTGGAAGCCAGCAGAGGTTGTTGGTTCATGACTTTTAAAGAAAGAAGCCATCTCTATAACATAAAAGTGCAAGGTGAAGCAGCAAGTGCTGATATAGAAGCTTCCACAAGTTATCCAGGAAGATCTAGCTGACATCAAGGAGGTGGGTACAGTAAAGAGATTTTGAATGTATGTGAAAGTCTTCTATTGGAAGATGCCATCTAGGACTTTCACAGTTCTAGAGAAGTCAATGCCTGATTCAAAGCTTCAAAGGACAAGCTGACTCTTGTTAGGGGCTAATGTAGCTGCTGACTTTAAGTTGAAGTCACTGCTCACTTACCATTCCGAAAAAAATCCTAGAGCCCTCAAGAATTATGCAAAGTCTACTCTGCCTGTACTCTAAAAATGGAATAACAAAATCTGGATGACAGCACACCTGTTTACAGCATGTTTTACTGAAAAAAAAATTTTTTTTTTGAGATGGAGTCTTGCTGTCACCCAGGCTAGAGTGGTGGCGCAATCTTGGCTCACTGCAACCTCCACCTCCCAGGTTCAAGCAATTCTCCTGCCTCAGCCTGCCTCAGCCTCCCAAGTAACTGGGATTACAGGCACATGCCATCATGCCTGACTAATTTTTGTATTT
Source organism: Homo sapiens (assembly GCF_000001405.40). Taxonomy (NCBI): domain Eukaryota; kingdom Metazoa; phylum Chordata; class Mammalia; order Primates; family Hominidae; genus Homo; species Homo sapiens. The sequence goes on along the minus strand of NC_000010.11, from coordinate 122,389,539 downwards.
TTAGTAGAAACAGGGTTTCACCACATTGGCCGGGCTGCTCTCAAACTCCTGACCTCAGGTGATCCGCTTGCCTTGGCCTCCCAAAGTGTTGGAATTACAGGTGTTAGCCACCACGCCCAGCCACTGAATATTTTAAGCCCACTATTGAGACTTACTCCTCAGAAGATTCCTTTCCAAATATCACTGCTCACTGACAATGCACGTGGTCACCCAAGAGCTCTGATGAAAATGTGCAAGGTGATTATGTTGTTTCCACACCTGTTAACACAACATCCATTCTGCAGCTCATGCATCAAAGAGTAATTTCAACTTTCAAGAAACACATTTTGTGATATTGAAATATATATTTGTGATTTGAAATATAGCTGCCATAGACAGTGATTCCTCTGATAGATCTGGGCAAAGTAAATTGAAAATTTTCTGGAGAGGATTCATCATTCTAGATGCTGTTCAGAACATTCATGATTCACAAGAGGAGGTCCAAATATCAACATTAACAAGGTTTTGAAAGAAGTTGATTCCAACTCTCGTGGATGACTTGGGAGGGTTCAAGACTTCAGTGGAGGAAGTAACTACAAATATGGCAGAAACAGCAAAAGGACTAGAATTAGAAGGGCCTGAAAATGTGACTAAATTACTATAATCTCATGCTAAAACTTGAACAGATGAGAAGTTGCTTCTATGGATGAGCAAACAAAAGTGGTTTCTTGAAATGCCACAGCCACCCCTACCTTCAGCAACCACTATCCTAATCAGTCAGCAGCCACCAACATTGAGTTAAAACTCTCCACTAGCAAAAAATTACAACTCATTTGAAGAGGCTGAGATGACTGTTAGCATTTTTAAGCAATAAAATATTTTTAAATTATAGTATATACATTTTTTACATATAATGCTATAGCATACTTAATAGGTTACAGTATAGTGTAAACATAGTTTTTATATGTACTGGGAAACCAAAAAATTAGTGTGATTCATTCTATTGCAACATTTATCTTATTGCCATGGACTGAAACTGAACCCACGTATCTCTGAGATTCAGATATTCAGAATTGAACACAGGTAGTCAAATAAACCCTTGTATATGAAATGTTCATAGCAGCACTACTCACAAATAGCCAAAAGGTGGAAACAACCCCAACAAATGAATGAAATGTGGTATATGCATACAATGGAATATTTTTCAGACATAAAAAGGAATGAAGTACTGATACATGCTACTACCTAGATAAACCTCAGAAACATGCTAAATGAAAAAAGCCACCAACAAAAAGGTACATGTTGTATGATTCTATTTATATGAAAGATCCTAAATAGATAAATCCAGAGCAACAAGGAATAGATTGGTGGTTGCCAGAGGCTGAAGAGAGTGGGAAATGCAGAAGAGCTGCTTAACAGGTGATGAAAATGTTTTGACAGTAGATATAGGTGATAGTTGCACAACACTGACACTGTGAAAGTATGAAATGTCATTGGGTTGTACGCACTAAAATGGGTAATCTCATGCTAATTTCACCTCGACTAAAAAAATAAAAGGATGCTGTAACGTTACTTACCAGGCAGTTTCTACAATGACTGGCCCCATACATTTATCTTACTTCTTAGTTTGAAAGAGTAGAGCAAATAAATTATCTACTTGAAAAAACTCAATGTCTTAGAATGCTCACTCTAGAAGTCAGCTGTCATGTAGGAAATCTGACTGCCTTCAGACTGCCCCGTTGTGTGAAAGCCAACTAGTCCCATGAAGAAGCTGTGCGGAGAGAGGTGACCAGCCCACACCCAGCTGTCCCAGTCATTCTAGCAGAGTGAGTGAAGAGGCTATCTTGACCATCCAGCCCAGTCAAGCCTTCAGATGACTCTCATTCCAGCTGCCATCTGACTGCAACTACAAGAGAGAGACCCCCAAGATGGAGCTGCCCAAATGAGCTCCTTCAACCCAGAGAACAGTGAAAAATAATGAACTGTTCTTTTATGCTACAGAAAAGCCCTCAGGTATATACCATATAAATACAATATACAGAGCATTCAAGGAATTTTATAAACAAATATATGTCAGAATTTTCATTGGTTTTTAGTGCTATAGATGAAATTATCACCTGAATAGCTATTTGAAAATTAAAATACACTTTTAAATAAAATATGGGTAAAAGAAGAAATCAAAAGGGAAATCAGAAAACATTCTTAACTAAATGAAAAATTTTAAAAGTCAAAATTTGTAGTATGCAGCTAAAGGTGATTTTGAAAGAAAATTTATAGTCTTAAGATATTTTTATTAGAAAAGGTCTAATATGAATGGCATAAACTCCACCCTAAAAAGCTAGAAAAAGGTAAAGTAAACCCAAAATAGAAAGGGAATAATAAATATCAGAAAAGAAACTAATAAAATTGAAAACAAACAATACAAATTAAAACCAAAAGCTGTTTCTTGAAAAGATCAAATTGATAAATCTATAGCTATGTGAACCAAGTGAAAGAGAGAAAGCAAATCACCAATATTAGGAAGTACACACTACACACCCTATAGACATTAAGTGGGTAATAAGAATTCATGCAAACAAATTTGACAATTTAGAAGTAAACAAATTCTTTGAAAAAACACAACTTTGAAAAAACTGACACAAGACAAAAAAGAAAATCTGAAGTACCTATTTCTACTAAAGCAAATGAATTCACTACTAAAACCCCAAAAAGAAAAGTCAAAGCCTAGAAATAGTTCATATGTGAATTCTACCAATCCCTTAAGGAAAAAAATAACACCGGTCTTTTAAAAATTCTTCTAGTAAACAGGAAGAGAGAACAGTTAATTTTCAACCAAGGTGCCAAGGCAATTTTGTAGAGAAAGGACAGTCTTTTCAACAAACAAGACTGGAATAATCGACTGTCTATGAGGAAAAAAACTAACTCAAATGGATCACTGACTCAATGTAAAATGTCAAAGCTTCCAGAACAAAATATAGGACAAAGTCTTCAGGACCTTAGGGGTAGACAAATATTTCTTAGATAAGACACAAAAAGCCTGAACCATATAATAGTTGATATATCTGAAACGTAATCAAACTTTAAAATTGCTCTTCAAAAGACACCATAAAGAAATGAAAAGACAAGCCATAAAAATGAAGAAAATATTCAATATATATGTATCCAGACAGCAAATGATACCCTAGAACAGGCAGGTAATTATTACAATTCAATAATAAGACAACCAAATACGAAAATGGTAAAAAAAAAAAACTTGGAACACACAAGCTGACTAAGAACATATAAAAATAGTAAATAAGCACACGAATAGATGCCTACTATAATTAGTCAGGAAAGTGAATGCAAATAAAAACCACAAGATACTATAACATACCTACTAAAATGTCTAAAACAAACAAAAAAAACCCTGACAACACTAAATGCTGTCAAAGATGTGAAATAAACGAACTATCATATATTGCTGGTGGAAATGCAAAATGACATAGCAACTTTGGAAAACAGTTTGGCAGTTTTTACAGTTAAACAGATCCTTAGCGAACAACCCGGCAATCCCACTCCTAGGTATTTATCCAAATGAATTGAAGGCTTATGTTCACACCAAATATTGGATACAAATGTTTATAGCAGTATTAGTCATAACTGGCAAAAAAACACGAACAACCCAAATGTCCTTCAACTGGTGTACGAATAAACAAAATGTGGTGCATCCAATACAATAAAATATTACTTGGCAAAATAAAGGAACAAACTATTGATACATGCGCAACTAATAAATGTCAAATGTATTTTGGTATGTGAAAGAAGCCAGACCAAAAAGGATATGGGACATAGAACAAATCAGTAGAGATGGAATACTGCTCTACCGTAAAAAGGAACTACTGACAGATGCAACAACATGAATAAATCTCAAAATCGTAATATTAAGTACAAAAAAGGCCAGAAATAGGCTGGGCACAGTGGCTCACGCCTATAATCCCAACACTTTGGGAGGCCAAAGCAGGCAGATCACCTGAGGTTGGGAGTTCAAGACCAGCCTGACCAACACGGAGAAGCCCCGTCTCTACTAAAAATTCAAAATTAGCCGGGCATGGTGGTGCATGCTCTAATCCCAGCTACTCAGGAGGCTGAGGCAGGAGAATTGCTTGAACCCGGGAGGCGGAGGTTGCAGTGGGCCTAGATCACGCCACTGCACTCCAGCCTGAGCAGCAAGAGCGAAACTCCGCCTCAAAAAAAAAAAAAAAAAAAAAAAGCCAGACACAAAAGGATACAGCCTTTGATAATAATTCTGCTTCCTAACATTTCAACTAGTGGTTTTAGTGTTATTTATTTATAGAAATAATTATATTTCTATAAAATTCTGAAAACTGCAAACCAATCTATAGGGATGGAATGCAGATCAGTAGTTGCTTGGAGCTGAGGGTGAAGGGAAGGACTGTAAGTGGCATGAGGATACTTCTCAGAGTTATGGAAATGTTCTGTATCTTAATGTGCTGCAGACATGGTCAAAACTCATCAAATTATACATTTTAAACAGATAGAGTTTATTGAATGTAACTTCAAAAGGTTAAAAATCCAGTACCAATTTAAAAAAAAATTCTTTTTTTGAGGTAGAGTCTCACTCTGTTGCCCAGACTGCAGTGCAGTCGCGTGATACTCGGCTCACTGCAACCTCCACCTCACAGGCTCAAGCAATTCTCATGCCTCAGCCTCCTGAGTAGCTAAGATTACAGGCACTGAGCCACTACCACCCGGCTAATTTCTGTATTTTCAGTAGAGACAGGGTTTCACCATGTTTGGCCAGGCTGGTCTCAAAGTCCTGACCACAAATGATCCACCTGCATTGGCCTCCCAAAGTGCTGGGATTACAGGTGTGAGCCACCACACCTGGAGCAGTAACAATTTTAAAAACTCATTTATAAATGACTACAAGTCATTTTTTTTTTTTTTTTTTTGAGACAGAGTCTCGCTCTGTCACCCAGGCTGGAGTGCAGTGGCACGATCTCGGCGCACTGCAGGCTCTGCCCCCTGGGGTTCACACCATTCTCCTGCCTCAGCCTCCCGAGCAGCTGGGACTACAGGCGCCCACCACCTCACCCGGCTAATTTTTTGTATTTTTAGTAGAGACGGGGTTTCACCGTGTTAGCCAGGATGGTCTCAATCTCCTGACCACGTGATCCGCCCATCTCGGCCTCCCAAAGTGCTGGGATTACAGGCGTGAGCCACCGCGCCCAGCCAAATAAAGTTTTTTAAAAGCTTTCCATGGCAAAAACCTGATAAGCAAAGTCAAAGCCAGTAGAAAATATTTGCAACTTATATCATAAACAAAGGGCTAATCTCCCTAGCATTTAAAGAGCTTGCAAAAAATGTTAAGGGAAATATATCAAACGTTCAATAGAAAAATGAGTAAAAGACATGAACATTGTACCAAGAGAGATATAAAAATGGCCTTTAAATATATGATGAGATATTCAGTATCACTCATAACAGGACAAATACAAAAAAACCATACCGAGATGTAGCCATTGCCAATGACATCCCAAGAACAGAACAACACGAGAGACTACCACAGGGATTCAAATATCAAAATCTATACAGTAAGAAATGGCTCAGGAAAGATAACTGGTTTCTTTAAAATTAAATTCAAAAGCAGGAGAAGAAAAGGAACTAGAGGAGAAACCTATGAATTAAAAAAGACTTTAGATATCTGGACCAATCACGACATGTGGATTTTATTTAAATCCTGTTTCTTTAAAAATAAAAACAAAAACAAACAAAAAAACACTGACATACTTAAAATCGGAAATTTGAATATTGTCTGATGATATTAAGAAAACAGACACATTATTTTTGGTGTGATAACGGCATTGTGATTGTTACCAAAAAAAGGAGGAGTCCTTTTCATTTAGAGATATTTACTGATATAAAATAAATGTTATTTATCTGGGGCCAGGCATGATGGCTCACAATTGTAATCCCAGCACTTTGGGAGGCTGAGGCAGGAGGATTGTGTGAGCTCAGCAATTCAAGCCTACAAAATGACAAGACATTATCTCTGCCAAAAAAAAAAAAAAAAATTAGCCAGGCATGGTGGTGTGTGCCTGTAGTCCCAGCTACTTGGGAAGCTGAGGTGGGATAATCGCTTCAGCCCAGGAGATTGAGTCTGCAGTAAGCTATGATTGTGCCACTGTACTCCAGCCTGGGCAATAGAGCAAGACCCATTCTAAAAAAAAAAAAGAAAAAAAAAAAACAGAAAGAAAGAAAAGAAAAAAGCAAGAAAGAAAAGAAAAAAATGTTATCTGGGATTTGTTTCAAAATAATTTTTAGAGAAGGGAATAAACGGAGGCACTGGTGGCAGGGTTGGTAGTTGCTGGGGCTAAATGATGGTGTTCATGGGATTGGTTACACTATTCTATTTTTGTGGATGTTCACAAATCTCCATAATAGAAAAGTTTTTTAAATCTATACTATACAGATATACCATTTCTCATCTATTAGACTGGCAAAAATTCAAAAGTTTGACAACACACTATACTGATGAGGCTGTAAGAAAACAGAAACTCTTACATTGCTGGCAAGAAGGCAAAATGGTAAAACCCTACTGGGTGAATCTGGTACTATTTAACAAAATCATATATGCTTTTATCCTATGATCCAGCATTCCTACTTGGTACTGTAATGTGAAACATTTTAGGTATAACAAGACTTCCAGACCATTATAATGTACATTATTGGATAATGTAAATATGTTGATATGATTATATTTAAAATAAAAGAAAACATTTATTTGTTATTAGGAACCAAGACTTTCACAGTGAGAGAAAAGAGGTACAAACAAAAAACAAAAGAACAAACTGTGTACAATACATCTGAATTAGAAATAATATGAACTACATCATTTCTGAAGATATGACAGTAATAGAAAATCACCACTTTGTAATCCCAATGTCTCACTGATTTACACAAGCATCTTCAATGAACACTAAAACCACTAGATGAAATGCTGTTAGGAAACAGAATATTCATAGTCTCAAAATATCACCCCACAGTTTTGTTACTAATTGCAAACAGGAAATGTATCTTTACATTGGAGAGATCTTATAGCCCCCACCTTTACCAAGTAACTTGGTATCTATTGAATCTAGAAGCTAGGTACTAATGGATACCACTTCTCTCTAAACAAACCAAGTATAGTATGATTCCACTGACATGAAATATGCAGAATGGGCAAATCTATAAAGCTAGAAGGTAGATTACTAGTTGCCTAGGTACAGGGGAAATGAGTTGTTGTCTAAGGATAGGAGGGTACAGGGTTTCTTTGGGGATGATACTAATATTCTAAAATTGATTGTGGTGTTGTCCACGTAACTGTGAATGCACTAAATCATACATTTTAAATAAGTGATTTATATAGTGTGAATTATCTCAATAAAGCTTTTTCTAAAAAAAGAAACGATTACAATTGTCTTTCATTCTAGAGTACATAAGAAACCCTAAGGAATATTTCATCTCCCAGACCTCTATTGTTGGAGTATCCCAGAGGGTGGTCTGTGGATCTCTTTCCTATATATACTCAGTGTCTTGGTGAGGTTACTCATTCTCACAGGCCTAAATATTGATGACTTCCAGACTGTTATCTCCAGCCTTGAACACTGTTGACCTCCAGACCCATGTATACAACTGCCTATTCTACGGTTCCACTTATCTAACAAGCTATCTCAAACTTAACAAACTGAGCTCCAGATATTCCCCTCAGAATCCTGATCCAGCCTTCCCTAGCTCAGTAAAGGGCCACTCCCTTCTTCCAGTTGTTCAGGAAAAGTATCTTGAAGTCATACTTAAGTTTTTCTCACCCTGTGGTAGTCCGTTCTTGCATTGCTATAAAGAACTACCTGAGGCTGGGTAATTTACAAAGAAAAGAGGTTTAATTAGCTCACAGTTCCACAGTCTGTACAGGAGGCATGACTGGGGACGCCTCAAGAAACTTACAATCATGGTGGAAGGCAAAGAGGGAGGAGTTACCTCTTACATCGCAGGAGCAGGAGGAAGAAAGAGAGAAGAGAGAGGTACACACTTTTAAACAACCAGATCTCAGGAGAACTCACTCACTATCATGAGAACAGAAAGTAGGGATGTCTGTCCCATGAACCAACCGCCTCCCAACAGGCGCCTCCTCCAACACTGGGGATTACAATTCGACATGAGATTTGGGTGGGGACACAAATCCAAACCATATCCTACCCCATGTCCAATCCATCAGCAAATCCTGTTATCTCCATCTTCAAATTATAACCAGAATCCTACTTCTCACCACTTGCTACCTCTCTGGTCCAAGTGACCATGACCTCCCACCTGGATTATTGCCAAGGGCCTCTCCTGGATCTGGCCCTTACCCCACTTCAATCTATTCTCAACATGGCAGTCAAAGTGATCCCATTAAAACATTTATTCAAGTGTTCACTCAATAAACACGTACACATATTACTACTCACAAAGCACTTTTCTAAATACCTAAATATTAGTTTATTTAATCCTTATAACAATTTTACAGATGAGAAAACTAATAAGGCACTTGCTCAAGGTCACATGCTTGGGAGTGGCAGTGCCAGGAGTCAAACTGGAGGAGTCTGGCTCTAGAGTCACACTCCTCAATACTATGTAATACCTCACTCTGCTCAAAACTCTTCAGTGCAATAGATGTCAACCTTGGCCACTTATCAGAATTACCTGGGAATTTTAAAAATTCCTGATGCCTACGTTAAAACACCACCTCCCCCACCACCGCCGACCAATTAAATCAGAAATTCTGGGATGGGATCCAGGCATCAGTACTTTTTTAAAGCTTCCCCAATCATTCTAATGTTCGGCCAAGGTTGACAACCTGTTTCAATGGGATCCCATCTCACTCAAAGTAAAAACCTAAAAACCAAAGCCCTCATAAAGACCACTAAGCCTCGTCTGCCCTGTTACCCCATCCCAATACCCACCTTACTCATTCATTTGGCCGCTGGACTCACCAGACAAGATTCCCACTCGGGGACTTGTAACTCAAAGTCACGTTCTCAGTGAACACTGCCTTTTAGATCTTATCTAAAATTGCAAATCCTCCAAACCGTTTTGCTACTTCCACCTTGGTTCCCCATGTTATTCTTCTCCTTAGCATTTATTGATTATCTAATGAATGATACAGTTTACTTATTTACCTGATTCTTGTCTGTTTCCCCACACTGTAATGTAGGCTCCATGACAGCAGGGATTTGTTATTTACTGTTGTTTCTCCAATGCCTAACACAGTGGCTGTCACATGCAAGACCCTCAGTAACTATTTGTTGAACGACGGATGAAGTAACCCATAATTACTGCATCAAAGATTAACGTTAAGTTTCCAGATAGAAAGTTGTTTCTTCCTCATCAGACAAGAATCATTTACCAGATTTAACTGATTTATTTAAATAATGGAAGGAAAAAGTTTCAAATACTGTATTTCCACTTAAATTTATATTTTTAGTGAAACTTACATGAGGCAAAACCAGACACAATTATATTATTAACATGCCTCCCAACCCAAATTTCTCCTTCAGCTTTACTCATACTCTAAGGTATAGTTAGATCTTACAAATCAGTCATAAATTAACATAATTACAGTTAACACCTCATCAGTCAGGAACCAGGAAGCCAAAAAATAAGGCAAAACACAGAAACAGCCTGAGTGATATAAGAAAAAGCAAAGAAAAATTAAATTCTGTACAGTGAGACCTCAACAGGCCCACAAGACTTCACTATTATTTGTTAAAACATGTCGAGTGGGACTAGTCCTGTTGCCCCACAATCACTGACAAACACAAAGCTGAGGATATATAGACATAGAGGATCAAATATCTGTAGAGTCAGGCATGGCTCTGGCACCCTAATCAGCACCATCCTTCCACTCTGCAAGAGCAGTTGACAGAAGAGAGGGAAAGAACTGTAAGTCTTCAGGGAGAACGCAGGGAAAAGAAGGAGGTCTTCACCAAAACAGTGGCAGGGGCCTCTAACAGAAATCACTCATGAAGATCAGAGGAGCCTAGAACAGACTTGCATCCCATTCTCCAGTTCCACATCTGCTTATGCAGCAGACTGAGTGACTGACCCCATGTGTCTACTTGAAAAGGGGGACAAAGAGAATTGATGAGAAATGGCAGGGCACAGAAAGAAGGCAGACTTAAGTAGTCTGTATGCCACTATTCGACATCACAAGGAAGTGAGTTTCCAGTGGGTTGAATAGAAACCACAGCGTACCTGGATTGAAGTTGTTTTGCCATTATCAAAATATCTCGCTGCAGAGAGAAAAGATCTCCACCCCGACTCACACACATTCACGTAACCAGTGGGTAAACTGACAGGATGGGAGCAAGCAGATGGGTGTGTAGGTTGGAAAAGGTTTAGCTACAGAAAATTTCATACCCAGAAACTGTGCAGCAGGAGTCTCCCTGCAAGATCTCACCAAAAATGCCAGTTTGGTTGCCTATTAGTAGACTGCAATGGCCTGCCACTGTTAATCAAGAGAGGACTCTAATAGCACCAGATAACAAACACTTGTCTTTTTCTACTTCTCTTCTTGACACATTTGTATCCAAATAGATCCCTTAAGAGGGAAAGGAAAGAAGTATCCCAGGAGCTTACCACAAGCCGTCCATACCCCAAGTGCTTCAGTAAGTAAGTGGCCTGACCACAGGGTAAGGAAGGGAAAAAAAACCTTTAAATTGAATATATATGAGATTGAATGTTCAAACTGGAATAGACTGCAATTTTTTGTTTTTGTTTTTCTGTTTTTTTTTTTTTTTTGGAGACAGGGTCTCACTCTCCTGTCACCCAGGCTGGAGTGCCACAGCACAGTCTCTGTTCACTGGAACCTCTGCCTCCCAGGCTCAAGGGATCCTCCTACAACAGCCTCCCAACTAGCTGGGACTACAGGCACATGCCACCACGCCCGGCTGATTTTTCTATTTTCTGTAGAGACAAGGTTTCGTCATGTTGCCCAGGCTGGTCTCAAACTCCTGGGCTCAAGCTATCCTCCCACCTCGGCTTTCTGAAGTGCTGGGATTACAGGCATGAGCCACTGAGCCCAGCCTAGAGCTTTTTGATAACTGTAAATGACAGAAAAGCTATCATTTACCCATGATGTTATGGGGGGTGGGGGACAGGGGGGTGGGAAAGAGCCTACAAAATACAGTTAAAGGCAGTGAATAGTGAAAATTAAAACTCATTAAAACTCTTGTGTTTGTTCTCAGTAAGCTTGGACTGCTGAATAACCTGATGACATATGCAATAGCATTCTCATCCTTAATAATGGGAGGGAACACCTGACATGGAAATTCTCAGGAGGGATTTACTGTACCGGGTAAGATGCTACATTAGAAGCCCTCTGACATCACTTCCAATTCTAGTGCCTGTGATCGTCTTTTCCTTCAAGAGGTTAAATTCAATCCAGAATCTAGAGTTCAATGGTTAAACCATAAAAGGCTAGGCTGCCTAAAGGGCTAAAAACCACAACTTTCTGGAGAATAAAGCTATCAGACTGACAAGCCTGGTAAGAGTTCCATGTAGGAAACAATATTTTGCTCTAAAACTTATTTAACTTAAAAAAATCTTAAATGACTAATTTTCTTTTATATCCAACAGAAATTCCAGTTCAAAGAAAGCTTATAAAATCCCAAAAACCCTATCTTCCTGAATATTATCAATTCAACTAATTAAAAGGCTTACTAAAATAAATAGCAAACATATGTTTGCTTAAGCATCTTCTAGGAATCACAAACTCACATATCCCTTATTAGACAGTACCCACAAGAAAAAAAGTTACTTAGGGTCAAATGGTTTAATATTGCTCAGTAAGTGTAAGAGAGTTCTAGTGCTATAACAAATAACAGGATGCTTTATGTTTACATAAAAACATCCCATATTTTTATGTTTCTAAAAATAATTAAGCATTATAAACAATCATCTAAAGCTACCAAGTTTTCTGCCCTTTCTGAAAGCATTCCTTTCAGACACCATGTCAATAAATTCTTAAATGCTGGATGTGTACTCACAAATGGTCAAAAAACCTAAAACCAAATCTTAATATTTAACTCCTATTGAAGTCATTTTATTGTATCATTGCAGATCTAAAACAAGATTTTTTAATCTTGAAATTTAAATTTTAATATTAACAAAAGTAAACTGCTCCAGCATGAGAAAAGTAATTATTTGCATATTACCTCAGCTCACAGTTGGAATCAAATAGGAAATACTTTAAGGCAGTTAGTTATATCAACCCAAAATTTTCTAATAAAAGCAATGTTACTATTGTCACAAATAATTACTACACTATATTCAGAAAACTATCTTCCCCATTCTCAAATAAGTTATTTAAACAATAATGACTTGACATCAAGCAATATGTCAATGTCAAAGTATGACTTAAATTATATTAATAAACTATTTATTAGATTTCATTCTGGGTTACAAATTATCACACAATTAAAATAACTTCGGGATTTGCAGCATGACTAATAATAATAAAGAACTTCCAGGCTTAAGTCAAAAAGCCACTTTGTTTAAATCTCCATTAAATGTTTTTTGTGGGGGGAAGTCCCCATAAAAATGTAAAATGTTTCCACCTTTCCCAAGTATCTTCCTAGGAGTGGTCAATATTGTCATATCCTATATGTTAGCAAACGATACTTGAATGACTTTTAAAGAAAAGAATCCAATGCTATTCTTAACATCCTTAAACACTTCTAAAAAGGTCCTTCCGGCTTATGAACTCATGGCAGTTTCCTCACAATTGTATACTTATCCTGTTTCACTGTCTCTCCTAGTCTATGACAAACTCAATTTTACACACCATCTTTCCTATTTTGTTACACTGCTAAAACTGGGGAGAAAAAAAGATACAAACCTGCTACTTTCCCCCCTCCCAAAGCGACAATGAAAATACTAATTAACAAGATAAAGATTGGAAGCTCTGCGCGCGCCCGCGCGGTGTGTATACACATATATTTATATTATATATATATATATATATATATATATATATATCTTCTTAATGTCACTAAATTCACAGCCATATATCTTGATACAGGTATACGCTACAAGAGAAAACTGTCAGTAGATACAGTGTAAGGTTTACGGCAGTATAAAATAAATTAACTACTTTATTAATTCAAATTCTGTCAAACTTAAATACTCTTTTTTAAATGTATCAGTACTCTAAAATGCAATTTTCCTTGGGAAAATTGGCCAAGATAAAAAATACTTTAACTCCACTAGGGGAAATATTTCTTTTGCCACAAGTGTGTCAACAGGAAAAATTAAGAGCATGAAAAGTAAACAGGTATTTTGATCAGAATAAATCTTATTATTTTAATATAACGGGTCTTCAAGTTCTTCAGATTGTGAAGAAAAACACAGTTTCACAAAACAATCACATAACTCTTACCCAAACTTTGCTGTAAATGGTTTCAGTGGCATCAAATTAACATAGAAAGTATGCAAGCTGAGTACTTGGGAAAATAAAGCAGATTGATCAGGAGTTCTAAGATGAAAGACAATGGTGTAAACCTCATAGTGCACTATTTGTTCCAGTCATTAAACACACAGGAAATAAGATTTTCTATTTAGAAAACTAACTCACAAGGGGCAATGACTTCATTAAAACAAAGAAAATCTTATTAAAACAACGATCAATTGTAAAATAAGAAAACCAGTACTGCAGAATTGGAAGGTGAAACAAACAGACGAGGAAAACGCAGAAACTGCCTGGATATTTATTTGTTCCTTGAACCTCTTCTTGTACTGCCCCCAGAGAGCAAAGGAGTTTCATTATTTATACGCCCAGACCACGGTAGATGCTCTGCGCGGGGGCACAGCCTCACCAGAATTCTACCAAAGGCGGTAAACACTATAAGCAACAGGACCGCTTTCATTATGACACACTTTCCCCTCTTTCCAGGAGGTCAATAGAAAGCATCTGAAACAAACCACAAACCACTCAAGACGGCCCCAAAGCTCTGCGGTTGGCAGCTGGCCTCGGCGTCGAAAGACCTGGGTCTGGTCGCCTCCCCGGTGCCACCTGCGTGACCTTGGGCAAGTCGCTTTCAACGCTGCCTCTGGCCACCTGCCCCGAAGGTGCGGAGGTAAATCGCGGACACCGCCCGACTTCAGGGCCCAGGGCGGAGCCGGCTTCGGCCTCGGCAAGTCCTGAAGCCAAAATGCATTAAACACCAGGAAAGGATGCCCGGGGACGCGCGCCCCGCGGGCACAGCCCTGGAGGGAGGCGCTCCGACCGGCGCCACCGGGAATCCCCGGGCAGCTGCGCGCACCGCGCCCCGAGCGGGATTTCTCGGGGGGCGGAGACGCCGAGGAGCTCGTCGGCCCCGCGACCGCCGCGGGCCTCCCGCCCTCCCCCGCCGGGCGCCGCTGAGGGCTGACGTCGGGAAAACAATCGGGGACCCACGGGAAGAAGACGCCGCCCCCTCCCGCTGCCCCAAGCCAGGGCAGGTGAGCCGGCCCGGCGGCCTCCAGGTGCTGTGGCGCGTGGCGCGGACGTGCGCAGAGGGGGCGCCGGCTCCGCACTCACCAGCACCCACCGCCCCTCTGCGGACGCCTCCCCGCTCGCCACAGCGGGAACCGCGCTCCAGCAGCCCGGCAGCCCCGCAGCCGCCGCCACCTCGCGCCTGGCCCCGTCCACCACCCCTGCTCCAGCGCGGCCGCGTTCTTCAAGCTAAACTTTACCGCGGCCTCGGCCCGGAGCACCCGCGCCGCCGCGGCCCCGGCTCCCACAGAGGCTCGGCTGCCCGGAGCGGCGTCCGCGACGGCCAGCCCGCGCACTGCGCACGCGTCCCCACGCTGCCTCAGCCCTCAGACGGCGGCTGAGATTCCGGAGCGGGCGCTCCCAGCCCGCAGAGACTACGAGTCCCGGCAGGCCCCGCGCGGGTCCCTGCGGCGTGGCGGGCCGAGTTTCTGGCGTCTTCCTGGTTCCAGCGGCGGCGGCCTCGGCGCGCCGGGGAGGCCTGCGCGCGGAGCTCTGGGCCGCCGCGCCGCGGTGCTTCCTGGTATTCGTAGTTTTTGACCACCACTGGGCTTGGCTCGGAGGTAGAACTCCGGGTTCTCTGATGTCATCGCCTAGAGCTGCGAGGAACAGGGATCTTTAAAAATAGGCTTCGTTAGTTTGCAGATAATTTGTTTGCAAGCTGTCCCATAATCGGTCCAAGTGTCACAAATTTACAGGCTGCGGTGTGACCTGGAGAAAAACGCTTTACAGCTCTGCGCGCCAATTTTTCGCTCTTCTCTCTCCCTGCAAATGTAGCTCCACTGCCTACTTACAATGGTGTTAATAGTACAGGAGGGTAAGAGAGACTTAAAGAAGGGTTAGTCGAAATTCTTTCAGCAACGGTGGAGCATAAATATGTATTCTGGTAAATATTCGTTGAGTGTTTAGCAATTTCTCGAGCACTTAACTGTGTGCCAAGTACGCGATAGGCAACCCGGCATTCATCTGAGAAAGAGACACTGTCACTGCCCTTATGGAGCCTGCAGCTTGGGGGAAACTCGTCCGCAAACTAGCAAAATCGTTCCAGATTTTAATAGAATGGCCAGACTGAGAAAGTTCAAGAGACAGTAGCGGTGGCGGGGACGGGGGGAGGCTCTTCAGAGAGAGTGGCAAGGCAAGTTCTCTGAGGATGTGATATCTGAGCTGAAACCTGAAGAATGAGAAATATTCAGACAGGCAAAGAACTGGGAAAGAATTACATGCCACGCCTTTCACAGCGCATGCCACTCTAGGCTCTTAATAAATATTTGTTCTTTTTGTGTGCTTCTTCCTTTCCTCTCCTTGCACAACCTTAGATCACATCCTATCCCCTTCAAACCCTTTAAAAAATCTTTATCAACATCTTTTAGAATATCCTTCCTATGTGAAAATGTACATGAAACAAATGTCCAGTGGTAAGACAAGCTGTACAGCTGCTAGGACAGAAGACACAACCCTGGTGACAGGCTGGAATCTATCTACTTTGCCACTTTCTTTATTTGCGAACTGGGTTAGAAGTCTGGGGGCTCAGCCTGGCCTCCTGACTTGTTTCTCTTCATGGGGCATCATACAGGATTTTGAGTTTGTCTTTATTAAAATCTTAGAGGAAGCCTACCTGTTATCTGAATCAGAGGTGTAGTGAAGAACAGCCCTAGATTTTCCTGTGTAGACTTACCTATGTGACTTTATGCAGAGAGTGACACTTTGCCCTTCTGACCCTCAGTGACCTCGACTGTAAATGAGTGTCATCCACCCTGCCTGCCTTGCAGAATGTTCTCAGAGTCTGATAAATTGATGGAGGTGAAAACATCTTGCAAACTGCATAGAACGGCTCTCTGACTGCCTCTTTGAGACTTAGCATTTTCAATTGCCTTTCATCCAACGTGATATTTTGGTTATCTTTTGAGAAACCTTAGCTATGCAGCCTTGCTGACATCTG
Organism: Homo sapiens; assembly: GCF_000001405.40. Taxonomy (NCBI): domain Eukaryota; kingdom Metazoa; phylum Chordata; class Mammalia; order Primates; family Hominidae; genus Homo; species Homo sapiens. The sequence continues at coordinate 122,373,070 of NC_000010.11, read as the reverse complement.
TCCCTTTTGGGGTCCTCATCTGTATAATGGTTGAAAGGGTTTGGCCTCACTATAGTTTATAAAGTAGCCAGAGCAGATTGTTTCCTTTGGTCCACACAGTGGGTTTTTGTTGATTTAACTGAATGTGTGGTTAACATTTAAAAATAAAAATCTAGGTGTCACCTGTCTTATCCCTGTAGGCATTTGAGTTTGCCTTCCCTGGCTAGAAGGTCTGGAAGGAGTCTCTAGCTTGTCAGTGCTAGAATCCTAGAAGATTCCAGATGGGAAATTTGTTTATTTGAAATTCAAAGTCAAATTCACATCTTTTATTTGATCTGAAAATACTGGTCCTGAGAATAGAACACTTAGGCCAAGAGCCTCTCACCCTCTCCAGGCTGGACCCGCCGGATCTCTCTCCTAAATGTTGTTTGACATCATTGATGAGTGGTTTGAAATTGTTCCTTTGGCCAATGTGATGGCTCCTGCTTGTAATCCCAGCACTTTGGGAGGCCAAGGTGGGCGGATCACTTGAGGTCAGGAGTTTGAGACCAGCCTGGCCAACATGGTGAAACCCCCTCTACTTAGCCAGGCATGGTGGTGGGCACCTGTAGTCCCAGCTACTCGGGAGGCTGAGGCAGGAGAATCAACTGAACCCACGTGATGGAGGTTGCAGTGAGCTGAGATCGTGCCACTCTACTCCAGCCTGGGGGACAGAACGGGACTCAAGAAAAAAAAATTGCTCCTTTGTTCTTTTTGCATAACAAGTCCCCAAAACTGTTTATCATTGAGAGCCATATTTACATACAGTAAAGAAAGCCAGAAAAGTAACTCAGTTTGCCCAAGGACACACAACAAGATAATCCCAGGACTGCTTTGAGGTTGCAGTATAACCAGAACTTCATAGCTCCCGATCAGCCAATAAATACAGAGACAAAAAAAAAAAGCTCTCTGCTTTTCTTCCAGCCTCTTTTTTTTTGGATGCAGAGGTTTATTACATAACAGTGCTTTCAGTGCTATTTAAAAAAAAAATAGTACAGGGAAATTACAGTCTGGGAGCAAACCAAGAACACTCAGGACTCACTGAAGGCACTGAGGAATGCTGGAATATTCCATGGCTACTTTTCATCTGAAGAAAAAGGAGGAGTCTGAATTCAAGGATCTATAGTTTAGCTGTTTACTTTTTTTTTTTTTTCTGCCGGAAGGGACAGAGTCTCGCTCTGTCGCCCAGGCTGGAGTGTGGTGGCACAATCCCAGCTCACTGCAACCGCTGCCTCTGAATTCAAGTGATTCTCCTGCCTCAGCCTCCCAAGTAGCTGGGATTACAGGTGCCTGCCACCATGACAGGCTAATTTTTGTATTTTTAGTAGAGTCAGGGTTTCTCCATGTTGGTCAGGCTGATCTCGAACTCCTGACCTCAAGTGATCTACCCCCCTCCTCAGCCTCCCAAAGTTCTGGGATTACAGGTGTGAGCCACTGCCCCAGCCTGCAGTTTACCTTTAAAGTATCACTGTCATCATTATCATCATGCTTTGCACGTGTGAAGTACGTTGATGTTTCATTCAAAAATAGCTCTTGGGCCCCTTCCATATGCTTAGTGCTGGGCTCTGGGGCTTCCAGACAGACGTCAGCCCCTCTGACAACACAAAAAGCAGCGTACAGAGGCACGCAGAAAGCTCCTGAATGCTAGTCACCTCTCTAATATTTGATGTCTGCAGCATTTCCTGCATTATCTTTTTCCCCTTAGCAATGGTCACTTTTGTACATATTATATATGTGCATATATATTTTTTTTTCTGCATATCCCTCTAAACTGTAACCTCCACGTGGCCAGGGATTTTATGTTTTGTTCCTGCTTGTATCCTTAGTGCCTACAACAGAAGTATGTGTTGAATGATGAATGCCACAGTCCCCTTTATGGACAGAGCCAGCATCAGAAGCCAAGCAGAAGGAGTACCTCCAGAAGCAAACCTCTGTTCTAACCAGAAATCAGAACCAAGATAGAACAAGAATTAAACATGAACTGAACACTCTCTGAACCCGGCTTTGTTCTTTTTGTGTCCCCTCCAGAAACTGGGTAGCAGAGAGTTAAAAACGGCTTTTCCCTATTTTTTAGTGTAAAAATGGCACAAGAACTCCAGGCAGCGAGTCAGTGGAGTTGCTTCTGTGGGTGAAGAGTCGGAGCTGGCTTTCTGACCCTGCCTCACAACTGGCAATGACCAAGTGAGGGGAAGCATGATTCTCAGTAATCACCCCAAGCAGGCACAGATTAAGTGACCTTCCCAGATTACCAATCAGGTGACTGGAGTCTCCTTCTGGAGCTAATTCTTGCATCCCAGGGCTGGGGCAGAACAATCCTCCTTCAGGAAGGTGCCACGAAAGATTGTCCACATTTTATGCTTACCAAGGTGGAAGAATAGGATTTCTGAAAAAGTCAGCAACCAGCCCAAATTCCAGGCCCACACAGGAAAAAAAACAAAAAACAAAAAACAAAAAACTGGGCATCCGGGGAGATGCTTGCCTCCAAGACTTGTAGAGAGCAGAACTAGGTCTTTCCTGCCTTAGGATTATCAGACAAGGAAGGGAGCCCAACACTGAACATCTGGGTTGGACAGGATCTAAAGTTGCTGAAAGCCACTGGAGTTCTAAAGGTCCCCAGCAACCCTATGATCTCTGGGGGTCTGGTGGGTTCCAGCTGCATCTACACCCTAGTTAGGTCATACATTAATTACCCTGACCACATGTGGCAGGCCTGGGATGGTGGTAAACCCTAAAATTGCAGAGCACAGGATGCTTGCTGTCATCCAAACATACGGACTCTTGCTCCAATGTGGTGTGAAAACTTGAAAAACAAGATTTTCTGAATCAAGATGATCATCCAGGGCCACACTTGGGTTGCTAATTGCAGCACTGAAGTAGGGAGCATTCTAGAAGGTGAAGACTCCTTGCAAACAAAGCTGGGAGAGAGGATCTGGGAACAAGTCCATCTTGGGCTTCACAAGCTCCTTGGCCTGGGGGAATTGTACCCTCAGACCCCTTCCCCTTACCAGACAGGGCACAGTGGCTCACGCCTGTAATTCCAGCACTTTGAGAGCGAGATGCAGGCGGATCACAAGGTCAGGAGTTCAAGACCAGCCTGGCCAATATGATGAAACCCCATCTCTACTAAAAATATAAAAATTAGCTGGGTGTGGTGGCGGGCACCTGTAATCCCAGCTACTCAGGAGGCTGAAGCAAGAGAATCGTTTGAACCTGGGAGGCGGAGGTTGCAGTGAGCCGAGATCGCCTCACTGCAGCACTCCAGCCTGGGCAACAGAGTGAGACTTCGTCTCAAAAAAAAAAAAAAAAAAAAAAAAAAAAAAGGAAGAGAAGCACAGAAGTCACTGCTTCCACCAGGAGAGTCTGGATGTCATGGGCCCCAGCCCAGGAAAGGAAAGTAAGAAGCTGGGGCCCTGGAGTCCATCTGCCCTGACTAGCTGGGTGACCTCAAACATGTTACCTCATTTCTCTGGCAATAGTTCCCACTTCACAGCCCCATCATTAGTCCTAAATAAAATAATGCAACAAAGGTCTGGCAGGTATTAGTGGCTCCATCAGTGTCAGCATTTCTATGATTTAGTTCGGCCTGATTCCCTGAGCCCACCTGACCAAGGCGATAATACATTCAGAGTCTCTTACATGGGCAGTGGGTAGGTTCTAAAAGTACTTTGACTGCTGTGGTCCTTGTTCATATGAGGGTGACTGGGATGGGATTGTGGTGTAGGATCTCGTGGAATTTGGTGCAATGGGGGAACAGGGCCGTGTGGATATGGTGCTGGGGACGTAGCAGAGACCTGACTTGGAAGGGCTCAGGCCGCCAAGCTAAGGGGGCACTTGAATTTGTTTCCCCACAAATCTAAGACTTTTGAAAAGCACTCCCAATGATTCTAATGTGCAGTAGATGTTTGGTTGTGCACCTGACCCCCACCCTCTCCTGGCCCAAAAATAAATAAGTATAAATGAACTGACGTGGGAAGACTAGAGCAGGGCTGTGATGACATCATCATTTCCCATCTTGTCTGGCTCCTTCAGAAACATTTCACTTTCATCTAAAACCTCCAGCTTGCCCTCCTTCCCCTACAACCTACCTGCCCTTAGACTAACAGCAGGGGCAGCTTTAGAAATAGCGTGCCTTCCCTGACCCCCTGGCATGTAAGTACATCTTTGTTCCTGAATGGCATTTAATAACAGTACTTTATGGTGAAACAAAAGCTGTAATCAGAGCCCAACAATGGAAGCTGCAGTCAGCGCTGAACAATACTCAGAATTCCCATGGTGATCCCCCCCATCCGCAGCTGTGAGAACCAGAAGTCACAAGCACGAATTCCATTCACAATTATTTGCCCAGTCCCATTGCAAGTTATGCGAATCACGGCTTTCCTGACCCCTTGGCGTGGCTTTCGAGGGGCTGAGAAGGGATGCCAAGCCTGGTCCCCAGCCAAGGGCAGCCAGTGCAGGTGTGCACATGGGGCTGACTCTGAGAAGCCAGTGCGGCAGCACGGTGACAGAGCCAGACTGCTCCCACGCTGGAGACTCCAGCAGCCATCTCTGCACCAGCACTTCATGCAAAACTTCCTTCACATAAAAGAAAGCTTTCTACCTATTTCCTTATCTGAAACTGCAGTCTGCACATTCCAGGATAAGCCTAGCAGCAGACTTCTCCTGCACCAAGTCCTGGATCCTTGGGGAAAGAAGGTCTTTAAGAGGGACTGCTCTCATGGGTGTCACGCACATTAGAATATGCTTCACATTAGAACTACTGGGAGTGCTTTAAAAAAATTCTTAAGACCCTACCCCAGCCCAATCTGAATCTCTGGTCACAAGAAACTGGGATTACTATTATTTTTTCCTTCTTTTCTTTTTGCTTTGTTTTGAGGTATAACTTAAATATAGTAAAGCCTACAACTCTTAAGTATAAAGCTCAATAAACTATGTGTCCATCATCCAGGGCAAGATACATTTCAACACCCCAGAAGGCTTCCTCTAGCTCTGGAAGCCAGAGGTAACCACTATTCTGATTTCTAGCTACATAGATTAGTTCTGTCTGTTCTTGAACTTCATATAATTGTCATTACACAGTATGGATTATACTCTTTTGGATCTAACTTCTTTTGCTCAACATTGTGTCTATAAAATTTATCCTCGTCAATGTGTGTTGTATTGCTGTGTAATATTCTCTTTTGCACACAAAGCACAATTTGTCTATATTCCAGTTGACGGACATTTGAATTTCCAGTTTTGAGCTATTATGAATAAAGCTGCTATGAACATTTTTATGCAAGTCTTTGGTGGACAATTGTACTCTTTTCTCTTGGATATTGGGTGGAGTTGCTGGGTTATATAGTAAGAGTACATTTAGCTTTATAAGAAGCAGTGAAACTGTTTTCCAGATTGGTACACCAGTTTTACTCCCACCAGCAGTGTATGAGAGTTCCAGTTGCTCCAAATTCTCACCAGCATTTGATACTGCCAACCTTTTTATTTTAGCCTTTCTAGTAGATGTGTAATGGAATCTCACTGTGGCATCAGTAGTTTTAAAAGACCTTCAGATGATGCTAATGCAAAGCCAGGGCTGGGACCCAAGGATATTATCTGCCTCTGTTTACAGACAGGAAACTGAAGATAAGAGGAGAAAGAGTCAAAGTCAAACTCGGAGCTCCCCACTCCTGGTCCAGGAATCTTCCCATGATACCTCTCCCTGGATGCTTAGTATTTGTCTGCCTTCCTGTCAGAACAAGGACAGATCTGGGCCAGAAACTGGGCATGACTTTAGCATCTTAGCACCACTGAGAGGGAGCAGAAGGAATTGGCAAAGCCCCTCAGGCTGGCTCCAGGGAGAGCATGTAGGTGGTCTGAAGCACCACAGCCCAAAAGCAGAGAAACTCCAAGCTGCTGTCAGTACCTGGAGAAGCCCTGGAGACAGCAGTCAGCATCCTGAGGGTAGCACCTGGCAAAGCCAAGCCCCTTAGGAGTTCTCATCTCAGTTCTGCCAGTTCCTAGTCACCCATACAGAAGCCTGATCACCACCTTTGACTCCTTCCCGTCTTCCTTCCCCATATCCAGTGAGAGACCAAGTCCTGCCAATTCTGACTCCTAAACATCTTTTGAATCCATCAATCCTCTCTGTCTCACTTTTCCTAGGTCCTCCCATCTGTGCCTGGACTCCTCACCAGCCTCTCTCCAGAAAAATCATTTTCCCATACAAACCTGATAAAGCCATTATCCTGCTTAAAAGCCTTCAATGGCTCCCAATTGCCTCAGAATAAAATCCAAGCTCCTTGCCGCAACTCTCCCTGGGCCTCTAAGCTTTCAGACCCTTTGTTTCAGTCTAACCCAACTGCCTGGAGTTCCCCACACCCCAGCTATTCCAGGTTCCCTGCCTTAAAAAAGAAAACAGCTTTATTGAGATATACTTGATATGCAATAAACTGGTGGACATATAGAAAGAGTACAATTTGGTAAGATTTGACCTATAAATACACCTGTGAAAACATTGCCACAATCAAGACCATGAACAAGTCCAGGTGCGGTGGCTCACGCCTGTAATCCCAGCACTTTGGAGGCTGAGGCATGTGGATCACTTGAGGTCAGGAGTTCAAGACCAGCCTGGCCAACATGATGAAACCCCATCTCTACTAAAAATACAAAAATTAGCCAGACGTGGTGGTGCACGCTTGTAATCCCAGCTACTTGGGAAGCTGAAGCAGGAGGATCGCTTAAACCCAGGAGGTGGAAGTTGCAGTGAGCCAAGATTATGGCACTGCTCTCCAGCCTGGGTGACAGACAGAGCAAGACTCTGCCTCAAAAAAAAAAAAAAAGGCGATGAACACATCTGTCACCCCCAGAACTGCCCTCTGCCCCTTTATCATTCCCCCTGACTACCTTCTCCACCCCAACCACAACCACTGGTCTGCTTTCTGTTACTACAGTTTGCATGTTCTACAACTTTCTGTAAATGGACTCATACAGTATGTACTCTTTTATGTGTGGCTTCCTTGGCTCAGCCTGAGTATTTTGAGATTCCTCTGTGTTCCATGTATCAGTTCATTCTTCTCTGTTGCTGGATAGTGCTCCCTTGTGTGGATACACCACAGTTTGTTTCTCCATTCACCTGTTGGAGGATATTGGGTTGTTTCCTCTCCTGTGTCTTTTTTCACGTTGCTTCCTCTGCCCAGAGTGGGTTTTTCCTTCAGCCCCACCCCACCCCCTAACCTCCCACAAATAAAATCTGCCTACACCAGAACACAAACATTAACTCCAATCAAAACTCATTGACTCTGAGACATCTTTCTGAGCTTACAGAAGTGGCCCTCTCTCCTCTGCAACCCCACTGCTCCCCATTTTTAGATTATAGTGGTGTTTTCCCCTGGGGATCATGATTTCCTCAAGAGCAGGCACCATGTCTTAATTACCTCAATAGTGTCAGCCACTAGTACAGTGTCCAGGATGAGAGATGGGGCGATGGGGGCGGGGGTCATCAAGGGATAGTGGCATGGTGGATGAGCCTGGGGGCAAATCTGGCTTTCAGAAGGGAGGTTGGCAGAAACAAGGCAAGCCCCAGGCCTGGAAAGGGACTGGAGACCCCTATGGACAGTCTGACAGGAAATCCAGTGGAACAAACTCAGCTTGAATGTGATGTGCAGTTGCCCAGGGCTCACTCCTGGTAGCAGCTCCAGGTGACTTAATTCTAAGCCCCTAGGCTTCACATCAGATGCTGAGCCCCAGGCCTGGAAAGGGACTGGAGACCCCTATGGACAGTCTGACAGGAAATCCAGTGCAACAAACTCAGCTTGAATGTGATGTGCAGTTGCCCAGGGCTCACTCCTGGTAGCAGCTCCAGGTGACTTAATTCTAAGCCCCTAGGCTTCACATCAGATGCTGAGCCCCATATGGCCCCTGTGGAGATGGGCTTAAGAGCCTGGGAGAATGGAGCCCCTAGGTGGGGCATAAGTGAGCCCACCTACAAGGGACTGGCGGCTGGAGTCCTGGCATGGCCCTGAGCTCCATCGTGGGCACTGCTACATGGCCCTGATCTCTCCATTACTGCCCCCCTTCCACTGGGGAATGTGGAGCTGCCCAGAAAGCTGGTCAAAGGGGACCATTCTGGGATTCATTGTGGGATTCCTTCTCTGATTTCTCTTGTCCTTTCTCTTGTCAATTAAATAAGCCCATCAGTATAGTTCTCAATCCAGTATGGCAACCCAGCAGCACCACTCAGAAAGCCTAATGTCCTGGTTCAATAGTTCTCCATCCATTTAGGCTTTTTGTCCTGAAGATATGATTGGCACATTGTTTAGGAAAACTGCTCTAAAAATATGAAAATGATTGATCTTTTGCAAAGACCTAAATGATCACATCTCTGCGATCTAAGCTCTTTGGCCCATGATGCTGTTGCAAAGGGTGCTGTTGGTGCCGGACAAACCCGAGTTCAAATCGACTGCTTGCTGGCTTGTGGAACTTTGAGCCACCGGCTAAAGGGTTCTGAGCTTCGGTTTCCTCCTTGGGCAAATGATCCCTCTGCTGCATAGAAGTTGTGAAGATGGGACTTAGAACACAATAAGTGCTCAGTAAGTGGCTTTTATTATGGTGTCTATTGGGCCATTAGAGGAGTTACACACCCACGCCTGCCCAGGCCTGTTTCTGGGTTCAGCATCTTTACTTCCTAACGACAAGTGAGCTTTTCTCTGGAAGCTCTCCTGGTTATCCTGAAATGCCCTTCTCTTAATTCTGGGGCCCACATGCTGCCTGCCAGACTGTTTGTTTTGGATGGAAGAGGCCAGCCAGGGAGTGGCGGGCCTGCCCATACGGTTCCTTGAAACAAAAGTTGCTCCCTGAGTCACTGCTGGGAGAAGCCACTGCATCCAGGCACCTACACAGACATGTTAGAGGTAGGATGCCCTGTGGGCAGGGCTGCTGGGGGTCGGCCAGGTGCACAGACAGAGGGACAGGGACAGAGGGCCCTGTAAACCAGGCAAAGGGTGTGGGTTTTATCCTGAAGAAATGGAGAGGGGATATTGAAGAGTTTTAGATAAGAGAGAGACACAGTCAGATTTGTGGATTACTTAAGTCCCCTGGACTCTTTGAGCAGTCTTTCTGGAAGGTGAGGCCCCACCTACATTCCATCTTCCTTTGCCCAACACAGGTGTCCTGCTGTAGCCAAACCCCTAAACAGACTCTACACCTCTGCCTCATTTGGAGTGCTCTCCACCTGGCAACATTCCCTAGTCCTTCAAGCCTGGCTTGGCTCTCTCTCCTTTATAAATCCTCCCCTGCCCCCAGCACATGATCATCACCCCCTCCCGAGAACCCAGGGTTCTTTCCCATATACCCAGTAAACAGAGCCACTCAGAACTTGCTACTCCATGTGGCTAATTCTTGGAGCACACAATGCTGTGGAAAGAACAAAACCTTTGCATTCAGAAGACCTGAGTTCAAGTTCTAATTTTGTCCTTAGCCACCGTGTGGCCTCCAGCATCTCACAACCTCCCTGAGCCACGCTCTCCTCATTTGCACAGTAGGGCAATATGATGCATCTCCCAGGATTGTGGTAAGTATCACAGGAATACCAAAGCACTTTGTAGATAGTGATGATAAACAGAAACTGGAAAAGACATGGGCTAAAGAGCTAGGAAGACCTGGGTTGGAACCTTGGCTCTGTCTCCTACTGGTTGACTGTCTCTAGACAGGTCATCCAGTTTCTCTGGCCTTACTTTCCTCCTCTGTAGGTGGGAAGCATAATACTTGCCTCTGGGATTAATGTGAAAATCAAATACGTTAAGAGGTTGGCACTGTACCTGGCACATAGTAATCTGGCAATGGATGTTAGTGCCCTTCCCTCCTTGCTCCCAAAAGACAGTGCTTTGGATATTGGAGTACATATGCATCTATTGATTGCCTGGCTAGTTTAATTCTTGACTGACCAAATGAAAGGATGGATGGATGGGTGGATGGAGGAATGGGGAGATGGGTGGATGGAGGGATGGATGAATGAGAAGATTGGTGGACAAATGAATGTCTAACTGAATAACTGAATGAATGAATCAATGGATGGATGACCAAACTGATAGTTGAATAAAACCAAGGAGCAAATGAGTGCCTGAATGAATGAACAATGAATGGAGAGAATGAGTCACTGAATGCAGGACAGGATAGACATAGTGGTAAATGACTGTTCTCCTGTGGCCCTGAGGCCAACCCCGCTGGTCTGGCCTCTGTGGTGTGTTTAAAGCACTAGTTACCATCAAGGGCCTCCCCCTGTGGCAGACAGATGTCCCTGCCAGGTAACCAGGGTAACAAAGTTCCTGAAGAGAAGCAGCTTCTGGTTTCTTTGAAAGTGCATCCGGGCCTATCTTGGTAACAAAGGCAAACATTCTGGGGCTATGTGGACCAGAGGAAGTGCCCACTCCAAGCTGCCACTGGAGAAGAACATCAGCCCAGGTGCCCTCCCATCCTGAGGTGGGGCTGTCCTTTTGCAGCCACCAACCTCCTTCTGGGAAAGAAAGAACATCATTTGCTTCATTAGTGAAGATGAAACTGACATCAGCAAGCCAGGGAAGCAGGTTAGAATCCCAGGAAGAGGGAGTCTGGAGGTGGGGCACAGCCCTCATCCTACCATCTGTGAACCTGTGGGTTGGAGATGGCTCTGTCAGTCACCGCATCACCCTCATTTGGCATGTCTGCAAGGCACCCCAACTGAGGAGCCATTCACAAGTGCTGCCTCTCATAGCCATGCTAGGAGGGAGGCAGCAAGGGAGTGCCAGCTTCTCTTTCCACCCTTATACAGATAAGGAGCCCCCTCCATGGGAAAAGACGTGCTCAAGGTTAGGGAGTGACAGCGGAGCCTGAGCAATCCCCTTGAGTCTCTTGATGCCCCCATCTTCTCTACAGGCTCACAGGATAAAGCTGAGACCCAGTTCCAATTCAATTAAAGCTTCCTATCAACTCATTGAACAGTCAGTCAGTTCTGCAAGCCACGCACCTGCACCTGCTGCCTGAGTCTCTCAACTAGAGCCCTTTGCATCTTTGCACCTAGACTTTTACTTCTTTAAGGCAATGGACTTGTTATGTCTTCTTTGATGATGGACCCTCAGACAAGTGGAGCAAAACCAAAGTACTGTGTGGGCCACACTGTTTTAGATTCAGTTTTGCACATGTAGTTTCATTTAGAGCTTGGTACAACCCTGCCAGGTGTGTGTCCCATTTTACAGAGGAGGAAAGAGGAGCATATTATGCACCTAGGAAATGGAAGAACTGGGACTCAAGGTCTAGCATTTCCTGCCATGTCTACCATGACAATCTTAAAAGACACAAAAGAGTGCTGGGCTTAACAGAAACACACACACAAACACACACACACACACACACACACACACACACACACACACACACACCACAGTTCAACTTAACATCATAATCCTGCACACACAAATTCCCCACTGGGAAAATCAAAACAAATCCTTGCTCTTCAAAATGAAGAAAAATGCCATCAGATTTCCATGTGTTTATCTAATTAACCTGCATGAAAGGATCCTTTTATAATGTATTGAGTTGCTGGTAACATTACTTAGCACACTGGGGATCAAAAAATTATGATTACATTATTAGTGTTGTTACTAGTTGGAAGTGTTAATATCCACCAGTCTAAAAAGACAGCAGGATCTCTATTGTCTGTTTTAAATTTGGGTTTTAAACTAAATTTAAGAATTGCTGGCTCAAGTGAGAGTTAGAAATTATCTGAGTTAATTAACTGAGACATTCTCAAGGGCATAGTGAAGAGGGGTGAGGGGATGACGCAGGTTAATTGCCTGGGAAATTAGTTGTCCTGATCAATGATCAGGAAAGCAATTGGTGCTGTACTGGGCTCTTCAGAGAGGCTATCTCATAATGAAAGTGGCAAGAATCCCTCCTGGGGCTCTGGGCCTCAAATCCATCCAATCACCCATAGTCCATGCCCACCACAGGCCAAGGCAAAATGGAATGTGTCCTTTCCATTTTCCCTCCCTCTTCCCAGTGCCTGTCAGGGCCCTTTTATCTACTTTAGATGTTAAATTAAAATAACTCAAATAATGAATAGAATATGAAGAAAGTGAAAATCACTCCTCAATGTCACCTTTCCGTAATAATCACTCAAAAACTAGGTAAACATCCTTCTAGATACCTCTCCACACAGATACATTCACCTGTAGATAAAGCTAAGAGATTTTACAAAAGGACATCATGTTCTGAATACTTATTTGTCAAAAAGCTTTTTATTTTGAAATAAAGATTCATAGGAAGTTGCAAAGATAGTACAAAGAGACCCCCTGTACACTTCACCGAGTTTCCCCCAATGGTTACATCTTACACAATTATATTACGATAGCAAAACCAGAAAATTGACATTGGTACAATGTGGGTGTATAGCTCTATGCCATTTTGTTACATTTGTGTAACTACCAATGCAATCACGATGTGGAACTAGTCCATCACCACAACAATCTCCCTTGTGCTACACTTTGTAGTCTCAAACACTCCTCCCCACCCCATCCCCCAACATCCTTAGCGCCTGGAAACCACTAACGTCCTACATGTCTATCCTGTATCCCTATAGTTTTGGCATTTTGAGAATGATACGTACATGGAATCATATAGCATGTAACCTTTCGAGATTGATCTTCAGAGCTATCCAAGTTGTTGTGTGTATTAATAGTCCATTCCTTTTTATTGCTGAGTAGTATCCCATGGTACAGATGTACTGCAGTGTGCTTAATCATTCACTTGTTGAGGGACATTTTGGTTGTTTCCAGCTTAGGGCTTTTACAAATAAAGCTATTATGGGCCTGGCACGGTGGCTCACGCCTGTAATCCCAGCACTTTGGAAAGCCAAGGCAGGTGGATCATCTGAGGTCAGGAGTTTGAGATTAGCCAGGCCAACATGGTGAAACCCCATATCTACTAAAGATACAAAATTAGCTAGGTGTGGTGTTGCACACCTGTAATCCCAGCTACTCGGGAGGCTGAGGCAGGAGAATTGCTTGAACCCGGGAGGTGGAGGTTGCAGTAAGCTGAGTCGTGCCATTGCACTCCAGCCTGGGCAACAAGAGTGAAACTCTGTATCAAAAATAAATAAATAAATAAATAAATAAAGCTGTTATGAACAATAATGTACAGATTTTTATGGGAACATAGCCTTCATTTTTCTGTGATAAACACCCAAGAATGAAATTGCTGGGTCACATGGTAAGCATATGCTTAGTTTTTAAGGAACTGCAAAATCATTTTCCAGAGTGGCTGTACCGTTTTGCACTTGCATCAGCAATATAGGAGAGATCCAGTTTCTCCACATCCTCACCAGTATTTGTTCTTGTCAGTTTTTAAAATATTAGCTATTCTAATAGGTGTGTAATATGCAAGATTTCTTCTTCATCATTTCTTTGTGTTTAGAGAACTTCCTTTAGCTATTCTTTTAGAGTATGTCTGCAAGTGACAAATTCTCTTGGGTTTCTTTATCTGAGAACATCTTGATTTTCCCTTCTTTTTTTTTTTTTTTTTTGAGACAGAGTCTTGCTCTGTTTTCCAGGCTGGAGTGCAATGGTGCAGTCTTGGCTCACTGCAACCTCTGCCTCCCAGGTTCAAGCGATTCTCCGGCCTCATCCTCCTGAGTAGCTGGGACCACAGGCACAGGCACGCATCACCACACGCGGCTAATTTTTGTATTTTTAGTAGAAATGGATTTTCACCATGTTGGCCAGGCTGGTCTCGAACTGCTGATCTCAAGTGATCCTGCTGCCTTGGCCTCCCAAAGTGCTGGGATTACAGGCATGGGCCACTGTGTCTGGCCTTCTCTTCATTCTTAAAAGGTATTTCACTGGATATAGAATTGTAGGTTGATGGTTTTTTTCTTTCAGCACTTGAAAAAATGTTTGCCACATCCTTCTGGCCTCCATGGTTTCTGATGGAAAAATCTGCTGTCATTCAAATACAGCTTTTGTTTGTTTGTTTGTTGTTTGCTTTTTGTTCCGCCCCCACCTCCATAGGTAAAGCATCATTTCTCTCTAGCTGCTTTCAAGATATTTTACTTGTCTTTAGTTTCCAGAAGTTGGCTATGATGATTCTTGCCATGGATTACTCTGAGTTTATCCCATTTGGGGTCCATTCAGCTAGCTTTTTGAATCTAGGTTTATGTCTTTTGCTAAATCAGGGACATTTTCAGTCATTATTTCTTTGGTCCCTTTCTGCCCCACTCTCTTTCCCCTCTCCTCCTGGGGTTCTGATGACATATAACGATATTTTTGTTATAGTGCCGTAGGTCCCTTAGGCTCTGTTTATTTTTCAGTCTATTTTCTCTCTTTTGGGTAATTTCTATGTTTCTATTATCAAAATCATGATTTTTTTTTTTGAGATAGGTTCTCACTCCGTCACCTAGGCTGGAGTGCAGTTACATGATCATGGCTAACTGCAATCTAGACTTCTCAGGCTCAGTTGATTCTCCCACTTCAGCCTCCAGAGTAGCTGGGACTACAAGATCATGATTCTTTTCTCTGTCTTTTCCATTCTGTTCTTGAATCCATTCACAGAGTTTTAAATTTTGCTTATTGTATTTTTCAGCTCTAAAATTTCCATTTGGGTCTTCTTTGAATCTTTTATTTATTTGTTGAAACTTCTATTTCTGGGCTGAGAATTTCTGTTTTTAAAAATTTATTCCAAGCACGTTTGCAATTGCTTGTTGAAGCATTTTTATGCTGGCTGTTTTAAAATCTTTGTCAGATAATTCTAAATCTGTGTCATCTTAGTGTCGGTGTCTGTTGATTGTCTTTTTTAACTCGAGATTTTCTTGGTTCTTAGTATGATTAGTAATTTTTTACCGAAACCTGGACATTTTGATATGAGACTCTGGAACTTATTTAACCCTTGTATTTTAGCAGGTCTTCTGTGACACCACTGCGGCACGTGGCAAGGTGTGTCACTTTGTTACTGCTAGATAAGGGTGGAATCCCAGGTTCTCGACTTGACCTTCATTGACACCCAGAGGGGAGGAGCTTTTTGTTACTGCTGAGCAGGAGTGGAAGTTCCAGCTCTCCATTAGCCTTCCTCTGACACCACACCAGTAAGGAAGGGGAGCGGCACCCCATCATCTCTGGATGGCAGTGGAAGTCCAGGTTCCCTGGGTGTTCTCAACCAACATTGTGGGTGGGGCGAGGGGTCAGGGGTTTGTTGCTGCAAGTCCTATCCTCCCACCTGGCCTGCTCTGTAGGCAGCCCAGTGTGTGTGTGTGTGGAGGCGGGTGGAATTGGAGCAACTCATTGCAGCCTGCTGATGGGGGAAATCTAAGCTTTCCACTCAGCTTTGCTGGCTTGAGTGGTAGTGGGGCCACAGCTTTTCCTATAGTCTGGCTGCAGTAGAGTGGCTGCTGTCTAAGAGTTTTCGGTGTTGCTTGGCTGCCCCTTCCCTGGTCCTCTGGCTATAGAGAGTCCGCTTTTCTTGGGAGTTTCTTTGTTTGCATCCATTGGTATTTCCATGTTGCCAGCTTCTCCAGTGTGCATTCTGGAACATGGGAGACAAAAAGAAGACCAAGGAACTCACTACCATGTCATTCCTCGGGTCCTAAAGTGTCTAGCCAATTTGTCTTCTTTTCTCCACCACACAGTCTTCTGATGTTGTTTTAAATAGATTTCTAATGGCAGGATTCCAGGCAGTGGGACAGGCTTGGGGGTGGAGGGGAGCAATTAGGCCAAAGGCTCTTTTCTGAAATGTCATTAGTGGGCATCACCTGTACTGCCAGTGGATCACTTTCTATTTTCCTTAGGATAAAATAACTCTTCTACACCATCTTCATTGGCCTTTCATTCAGGAAGAGAGGGCAAAAATGTCCTTTAGTTAACCAAGAATGCCTTTTAAATACATTGACCAACTTAGGCCTGTCAGGAAGATAGTGATTCTTTGCCCTTATAATGACAGAGTGAATGACAGCCAGAATGAATTTAAATCCTGTCATGGGCTGTAGCTTTTTATTAATATCAACAGTCCCAAGGAAGCCATCAACATTCCAAAGCTCCTGACTTTCTCACAGTATCTCTTACCTTGCTCAAAGCCAGCTGCAAGCACAGTTGCAGCTGGATGACGAGGGTGGGCCTTTGTCTCCAGCAAGGCAGTGACTGGCAGCTCTGCAGCCTGATAGTCCCAGGATCAAATCCTGGCTCTGCTGCTGCTTAGCTGTGTGACTTAGGGCCTGCTCCTTAATCTCTCTGTGCCCCCTTTTCCTCATTTGTAAAATGAAGTTAAAAATAGAACCTGGAACATCACAAGTTTATTTAAAGATGAAACAAAATGTTGTATATAAGGTATTCAACACAGCGCCTGTCACGTAGTAAAGTCAATGAATCTTAGCTATCATTACTAATACAAATGTGACATTATTGTTGTTGTTACTAGGGTCTCTCTTTTGTTCTTAATGCCACCACTACTCCCTTTTCCCATGCCTCCCAGTTGTGGATGGGTTGATTTTGGGGTCAGAGGAAACCAGAAAATGTTCCCTGTCATATGCGGTACAAGATGCAGCTGGAAATTGAACCATGGGCTCTGTGGATTCCTGGTGGGTGTGCCTGGAGCTCAGTGGCAGGGTCTCCCTCAGCCCCACAGGCTCTCAGTGAGGCCATGAGCACCCAGCTCAGAGATTCTCTAGGAGAATCCTTGGGTCCAGAGCTTTTCCAGCTGCTGAGAACATCACTGCCCACCTAGGATTCCAGGTGGTATGCCTGGGGTACATTAAGAACACACAGTAAAGGTGGGGGACAAATAATTATTGATATTAAAACAAATGCACATATAATGGCCCAGAGGGAAAATTGATGGTGACTTTTGAAGATACGACATAGACGATTTCAACAACACTCTATGCACATGAGGGACAGAACAAGTCTGGGAAGGGGCACTTCATGAAGACTGCAGAAGTATGTTCCAGAAGTATGACTCCCTTTGTTACCTCCTTGCCATCTGGCCATCAGAGGCAACTAGGCCGTCTAGCTCAAGGAGGCACCAGATGACATTTACCTGAATTGGACTTCCCTGCACACAACTAAAGCCATCCTGCCTGCACAACCCCAGTTTTGAGTTCAAGCTCTGGCAGTTAGGGCACTGAAACAACACCCAGACCTTCCTCACCCCCCAGGTAAAGCTTGGCCAACAGCTCTCCTAGATATTATTATGCAAGAGAAGCTTCTGTCTCCTTCCTTGGCTTCAGGTCACATAAGGAAAAGCCCCCACTTAGTATCTTGACCCCTAGCTGCAATTAGATGTGCACTTCTACCCAACAAATATTTATTAAGTGCCAGGCATGTTTCTGGGTACCTGGGATAAAAACAAAGCCCTGAGTCCTCTTGCAGCTTCTGTTCTATCTGAATGGAGTAGGTGGGGCTGGGCTGGGAGGGACATACAATAAACAGTACACATGATAAGTGAGTACATGTCATGATCTGTTGAAGGTGGCAAAGGCAAGCAGAGTAAAGTGGATTGGGGAGGCCAAGGAAGGGAGAGTGTGGCCAGGGCTGGCCTCATGGTGAAGGTGACGCTTGTGCTCACAATTGGTAGAAAGGAGGGAATGAGCTTCACAGACTTCCACAGGAGAGTGCCCAGGCTGAGGCATTTGCGGAAGAGCATCCCTACCTGTGGCAGGAATATTTTAACCTGTAGGCACTAAAAAGCCAGTGCCTGGTCCTGCAAGCCTTTGGACATGATTAAACGCTGAAGGAAAAAAAAAATCTATTAGCTCTAAAATAAGAAATAACAACATTGAAATTAATACATATTTAATTAAATATTCACACATAATTTTTTTGAGATGGAGTTATGCTCTTGTCGCCCAGGCTGGAGTGCAGTGGTGCAATCTTGGCTCACTGCAACCTCCGCCTCCTGGGTTCAAGTGATTCTCCTGCCTCAGCCTCCCAAGTAGCTGGGATTACAGGCATCCACCACAATGCCTGGCTAAATTTTTGTATTTTTAGTAGAGACGGGGTTTCACCATGTTGGCCAGGCTGGTCTCGAACTCCTGACCTCAGGTGATCCACCTGCCTCAGCCTCCCAAAGTGCTGGGATTACAGGCATGAGCCACCATGCCCAGCCTAGATTTCTTTCAATTCACAAAAAGTTCCTGAATATACAAGACCGCTAAGGAATCATGGCCAGTTATACATTAAATATTTCTTACAGCTAAATAATTCCAAAAGCACAATTATAAAAAATCCTTTCAAAACTGACAACAGAATAGGTTAGATGTAATATGGAAGGGGCTGAGTTTTCACATGTTTGCTGTGATATGAGGTGGACCCTCTAAAAAGTAAGATCAGGTCCAAGAGGGTCCTAAAATAATAGTGCCATCTGTCAAGTCTAATGTTGTTTTGTTGCACAGAGCAATTCACTTTTCAGGCAGAAGTCAATTGCCTGTCTCAACACAGTGTCACCCACTGTGTGCAGGTTAGATTCTAGTGCACTGAGAGCCTGTCTGCCTGGGCTGTAGGAGTGCTGAGTTGATTTACTCATTCTCTTGCATAAAATTTCAACTTCCCTGTGGAATCTCATTTTCCATTGCCTTCCCATGTGTCTTAGTCTGTTTTGCATTGCTATAAGGGAATACCTGAGGCTGGTAATTTATTTTTAAAAAGAGGTTTATGGCCGGGTGCCGTGGCTCATGCCTGTAATCCCAGCACTTTGGGAGGCCGAGATGGGCGGATCACAAGGTCAGGAGATTGAGACCATCCTGGCTAACACAGTGAAAACCCGTCTCTACTAAAAATTCAAAACTTAGCCAGACACGATGGCAGGTGCCTGTAGTCCCAGCTACACAGGAGGCTGAGGCAGGAGAATGGTGTGAACCTGGAAGGTGGAGCTTGCAGTGAGCCGAGATCGCACCACTGCACTCCAGCCTGGGCGACACAGCAAGACTCCGTCTCAAAAAAACAAACAAACAAAAAGAGGTTTATTTGGCTCATGGTTCTGGAGGCTGTACAGGGATCATGGTGCTGGCATCTGCTTGGCTTGTTGTGGGGGCCTAGGAAGCTTCCAATCATGGTAGAAGGCAAAGGGGAAACAGGTATGTCACATGGTGAGAGAGGGAGCAAGAGGAAGGAGGAGGAGCCAGGCTCTGTTTAACAACCAGCTCTCACATGAGCTAATAGAACAAGAACTCACTCATTACCATGGGGAGGGCACCAAGCCATTCACAAGAGATCTGCCCCCTTGACCTAAACACCTCCCATCAGGCTCCATGTCCAACACTGGGGATCACATTTCAACATGGAATTTGGAGGGGACAAATATCTACACCGTATCACCTTGTCACTTCTGAGCTGAGTCAGTACATCTCCAATTTTAAAAATAAGTAAAATAATGTCGGGAGGAGGAAAAGTATCAGCTCTTTCTACCACCCAGGGGATATCTAGGAATTCACAGGATTTGCTAATCGAAGAGAATCTACTTGGGCACTTAGTAAACATCTAATCTGCACCTGGCACGGGGCTAGCAACATAGTCCAAGAGGTATCAGAGCATCTGCTTTTGAGCCCTCATGCCCCAAAGCTGAGTACGGCTGTGTTGCATTTAGAGAGACTGGTCATTTGCAAAGGGGTGATGGGAGGATGTCTGGAGTGGACAGTGGAGCTATCAGCAGGCTTTTCACCTGCACCCCCTCAGGACCGCCTCACCCAGGGAGTAACAATCCTATTCAGACCATGTCCCAGAGCACAGTCCTGCCTGTCTCTCCACCAGGGACTCCCAAAGTGTGAGCCAGGGACCAGCAGCCTCGACATCACCTGCTGCTTTGCTGAATGCAAATTCTCCCATCTCACCCAGACCTACTGAGTCAGAATTGCCGGGGTTGGGAGCCAGCAGTCTGTGTGATTACAAGCCCTCCAGGTAATTCTGATGCATGCTCAAGTTTGAGAACTATTGCTCTACGTGACTTCTGTGGCTGAATTCTTGCTCTTACACAGTTTCAATGCACAGAGATGGCCTTTGACTCCAGGGAGCCCTGTGCTAGGGAATATTTTTCCAAAGCGTCCTGAATAGCCCCTTTCACGTTCCTGGGAGGCGGCCTGATGCAGCAGATAAGGGTGCCCTGAAGCCAGATGGTCCCTGTTTAGATCCCAGCTGCCATGCACAAGCTTCACCTCATTGGCTGGGCCCTCTGGCTCTTTGAGGCCAGTTGCCTTATCTGTGAAGTGACAATGATAACAATGGCAACAACCAAATAGGGTAGCTGAAGATGACACCTTGGGAGCCGACCACATAGTAATCACTCAAGCCATCCTAGGTACCAATGACCTTTTTTTTTGAGACGCTCTTGTCACCCAGGCTGGAGTGCAATGGTGCTATCGCAGCTCACTGCAATCTCCACCTCCCCGGTTCAAGCGATTCTCCTGCCTCAGCCTCCCAAGTAGCTGGGATTACAGGCATGAGTCACCATGCCAAGCTAATTTTTGTATTTTTAGTAGAGACATTGTTTCGCCATGTTAGCCAGGGTGGTCTCAAACTCCTGACCTCAGGTGATCCACCTGCCTCAGCCTCCCAAAGTGCTGGGATTACAGGCATGAGCCACCATTCCTAGCCGTCCAATATCATTTTTTAAATGGAGTTATCACGACTTTGAAATCATGGCACAAAATTCATGCCAATCCTCAGAACTAATGTGGCAGTAACCATTCCTCTCACATGGGCCAGCTTCCCTGCCAGGACCAGTGGAGGGCACCATGACACACCCCGTTTCCCACCCAACATGACCTCCAGTGTTCCCTCATGGCAGAAGTGTGGCTTCTCCCTTTTCTGACAGTCCTGGACAACCAAACAGGGCCCCCTCTCTGTCTGCTGCCAAGGAGACAGTGGCTTAGTGACCCTCTGTTTGTTGGAGCTCACTTTTTCCCTGTAGCAAGACCAGGGTGAGTGGGAAAGCATCAGAGTGGCTTTTCTTTTTCCTTCTCTACTGAGGAAGTCTTTGGCTGCAGATTCATATACTAAAGAATAAAGAACACTTGCAGGACTCTAGCCTTAAACAGGCAGTCTGTCCATGAATCTATACCGTGAGCTCCAAGTGTGTTCGCAGACTGGTACCAGTGCACAGACAGTTATTGTCCATGCTCAATGGGATAGCTGCAGAAATGGGGAGTAAGCATTTAGAAACCTTTAGAGCACTGGGGTGTTGCCACACACAAACGCGCCATGAGCGAGGTTGTATTTTGTATATCTTTGAGTTACTCATTTTTCTTTGTACTTCATACAAGTGTCCATCTAAGATGAACTAGGGAAAAAAAATTGGTTCCTATCACACACAAGCATTACCCATGTAGGGCTTTGAGAGTCTCAGAGATCAAGAACAGTTGGGATTTTGTGGACTGACTTCCAGAAAGAGAAAACCTTGAATCAATGAAGAAGTCCTCTGCCTCTTTCTTTCCCCTTTTCTTCCTCCTTCCACCTTGGTACCACAAATTTTAGTACCAGAATGATTCAAGATGGAAAACACAGTGATGCTAAGATCCTCTTGTGAGATTTTCTTAAGCACTGGGTGACCCAGAAGGAACTTTCCAGAACACTCTTAACACTTGGCTGGAGGAGTCAAGCCTGAGAAGGGAGGACAGGCAGGATGGCGGTGGGGACGGAAGATGCAGTCTGTAACGATGCTACAAAACGAGGCCAAGGAGGAGAAGGCAGGAAGAGAAAGACCCCAAAGGAGAAACCCCGCTTGCTTCCTCCTCCCTCCCCCATCCCCAGTCTGTCCAGCACCCTCAGGGAAGAGGAAGCTGTCATGTGACGGGAGGACCAGGTCAGTTTCTCCCATAGCTTTCCACTGACCCTCCCTCAGGCCACTGCAACGGAAGAATCGCTCTGTGGGCTTCCTGTGCCGTTTCCACATAGCTCGTTTCTGAAATCTTCCAGCCCAGTGCGCAGTGGACCTGGAGATGTGCCACACGTCTTTCAAGTCCCAGGCATCCGCCCTCCACCCTCAGTATGCTTGGGGCGTCAACTAATTAATTCACTGAGATATGAGTGCTGTGATGTGTTGTGCAGCTGTGTCAGAGCCAGGCGTTCCACGAGGGAAAAGGCAAAGTCCACGCTCTTGTGGAGTCATGATGAACAAGCCAGAAATGAGCAAGATCAGTCTAGAGAGTGGCAAGAAGCAAGAAAATAAGATAGAGTGAAGACACAGGGCCAGAAGGAGAAGCCTGGTGGCATCTGGCCTGCCACTTGCCATCGAGTTTCGTGGCTCTCCAGGTGGATCAGAATACGTGTTGCGGTAGGGAGGAGTAATAAGAACTGGAAAGCATTTGTCCCAGAGAATCATACATGATTTCCTTACAAAATGGGAGGTGTGGTCATGTCTGTGCTGGGGACTCAGGTCAGTGGGTCCATAGGGAACAGGTGTCCCAGAGAGAAACCTTGGTGGATGCCAAAAGCAGGCCCTGCAGTGGCCTGGGGGTCCCAAGGCCTTATCTGTGGGTGGGCACCAACACACATTAATCCAAATGCCAGTGGCTTTTGCTTAACCACCTGCAATGGTATCTTCAGGGGAGCGTCATATCTCTGGCTCAAACCTCTTGGTGCTGCCTGCTGCCTGCAGGAAGACATTTCTCCACTGCCACCTGGGCAGTGATCAAGATTGAGGTCGGCTAGTGGTCTTGAGATGTCTGTAGACTTCAGGGTGTCAGAACACATCAGGTGGTGTCTATCCGGCTGTAGCCATGCCATAAAGTGTGCAACAGACATGGAACAAATGTCCCTGCCCCCTTCCACATCTCACCTGTCATCTGGGCCCCAAAGCAGCACAGCTTGTACCCACAAGCTGTCAGAGTCCTTTGGAGAACAGTTCCTTCACCTCTGTCCATGGAGTCTCTCCTCACTGGGCTTGGGCTCATATCTGGGTGACCAGGCCGGGTCAGGCAGCAGGCATAATCCAGCCTCACAGGCAGCACCCTGCAAATAAGCTCATGCAAATGGACACCTGCAGGCTGACACGTTCCTGGCTTATCAGGCACACCCACCCCTTTGGGCCTCACCTGGCTCTGGCTACATTGCAGGAGATTCTTCCATTTTCACAGGAGGACTTTACAAATCAGCCTGCATTAGTTTCCTGCAGCTGCTGTAACAAATCACAAACTTGATGGCTTAAAATAATACCAATTTATTCTCTTACAGTTCTGGAGGCCAGAAGTCCAAAATCAGTTTCACTTGGCTAAAGTCAAGGTCAGCAGGGCTGGCTGCTTCCAAGACTCTAGGGAAGAGTCTGTTCCTCTAGGGCCTGCTTGCATCCCCCAGCTTGTGACCACATCACTCTCATCTCTGCTTCGGTAGTCTCATTGCCTTCTGCCTCTCTGAGTGTGTGCCTCCCTCTTATAAAGACCCCTTGAGTATATTGGGCCCACCTGGATAATCTAGGATCATTTTCCCATCTCAAAATCCTTAACTTCATCATATTTGCAGAGCTCCATTTGTCACATAAGCTAACTTTCCCAGGTTCTGGGGATTGGAGCAAGGATGTCTTTGGGGCCATTATTCTGCCTATCACATGTCCCCATTCTGCCCCTCATTTTGTGTTCACAATGGTTCTGTGAGGATGAGAAACTGAGGCTCAGAAAAGATAGAAAATTTGCCAAAAGTCACCCAGCCAGAGAGTGGTAGGGAAGGAGGGGGTGGAATCTAGATCTATGGGTTCTTAACTAAGTTGAACAGATTGAACAATAGAGTAAGAGAGGATAAGGCAGCCACCATGTGAAAAGGGCCTGCTGCTTTTCCCTCCACAATTTCTGCGTCTCCAGCATGCCCGAGCAGGCCTTTGTTCCTACTTCTTTCTTTCAAGGGTTAAGAGTTGAGTGTTTGTCTGAGCACAATGGGAACACCTGCAGACTGTCCTAGTTCAAGGAGTGACCCACATTGGAAGAAAAGAGCTAAGCAGGCCACAGCTGGGTCCAATTTTCCCTCCCTATTCCTGGCCTCTATGGCAGTCCAAGGGTCGCTTGCACAGCACACACTCATGTGGTTTCGTCAATGATTTTCTTAATTAACCCACGAGTTAATATACTTCCTGTTACTTACGGAGATGCCCCACATCCCAGGGACCCTCAGCCGTGACCCAACAGCCAGGAAAAGAAATGGGAACCTATCCCTCTGGCACTGAACAAGCAAAAAAAAAAAAAAAAAAAGGAGTCTTAGAGCAATATTCACTTGTTATTAAAATAGTAAACCATTGATTCAATGTTCAGTTGGTGTTGGAGGGGGACAACAAGCATTATTCATTTCCTAGGTATCTCAAAGGCACATACAGGAACAGTCGCACCTGCTTGGAATAAAACGTGCTCAGTCCACATTAAGACATTGAGTGACTCATGACTCTTATTGGGGAAGCCAAGCAATTGGCTGTGCTGTGCAGTGATGCGTAGATTAAAGAGAAGTTAATCACTGTGTTCAAGACTCACTGAACCCTTTCTGGTGGCTCAGGGCAGACAAATGACAACCCCCCTGCTCCCAGCTGCAGTTCCATCTGACTCTCAGAAGCCTGGCTTCCTGCTTACAATTCGTGATGCTGCACCCAAAGTTTCTCTCTCCTTAAAGGAGTCCAGGAGCACATCAGGCCCCTTCGGTTGGATGAGAAATGAGTCCCAAGAAGGTGTCTCTGGGTGGCCAAGAAACCAGGGAATCCTGCTAAGTGAAATAAAGGTTGAAGCTTCCTTTGCCTTAACTCATATCAGCTCTGTGCATGGATTGACCAGCCTCTCAAATGTGTCAGTCAAGGGCCCTTTACCACCAGCAACAGCGACAGAAAGCAGCAGCAAGGTTCCTCAGTGTTGGGAGGAAGACGAATTATCACATCCACATTAGAGAGCGAGTTTATACTATCAGATCAAAGTTGCATATGCTTTTGGACCCATCAATTTCATTAAAATATATTTAGAATATGCATATTTTAATAGATCATATTTGCATACTTTAAAAAATTGTTTTAGTTTTCCAGTTAACAGTATATTCTGGAAATCTTGCCACTAGGTTGCTTCAACAAAAACTTTGTAATGATTGTCTAGTGTACAGATCTACCCTATTCTGTTTAATTCCTGCTGTTAGGCACCTAAAATCACGCTGATGCTTTGTATTACAACAATGCTATAAGGAATGCCTTTGTACCTAAATCATGGGCTATTTTCTGGATTTTTATTTTCTAAGTATAAACTACTAAAGTGGATTTGCTTAATTCAAAAGGTATGTATTTCAGTTAGCTCTTGCAGGGTAATAAACCACCCCCAAACTTAGTGATTTAAAACAACAATTAATTACTTCTTATGATTCTGAGGGTTGGCTGAAGAAATCCTTTGCAGGGTTTCTTCTGGAGTCACTCATGAGGCTGCATTCCACAGGAGGGTCGACTGGGCTAGAAGGTTCCAGATGGCCTTACTCACATGTCTGGCAATTGGGGCTGGTGGTCGGGCTGAGGTTCTCCTCCACATGGCCGCGTTCCCTCCAGCAGGTTAGTAGAGGCCCCTGCACTACACGGTCCCAAGACTCCAAGAGGCCAGAGCAGAAGCTGCAAGGCACATTGAGCTCCAAACTACTGAATGCTACCATGTTACTTCTGCCACACTCTGTTGGCCAAAGCAAGCTCCAGGGCCAACCCAGACTCAAGAGGATGTAGAAATAGACTCCATCTGTTGATGGGTGGCACCGCAAAGCCAAGGGGTGTGGACACAGGGAGGTGTGATTCACCGGAGCCATCGTTATCATCATCTACCACAGTAATTAACATCCTAAGATCTTTTCTAATATGCTGCCACACTGATCTCAGAAAGGCAGTGCCAATTTATACTGCCACCAGCCAGTGTCCTTTGGGAATGTGTGCCTTTAAACAAACTGGTGCAACCACTTTGTGATATGTGATAGCAGAGGAGCTTTCTGCCCCAAGGGGCCACAGTCACACCCCTCAGTGGTAACTCAGGACCAGGGCAAGTTGAGGAATCATGCAGGGAAGTTAAGGGATCCTCCCTCCCTCTCTGGGACAGGGCAGGGGCTCTACATTTCTCCCAGCCTGTCCTCCTGTGGAGTCCTAATTAGGGAAAAGGAGTCAGGCTGGTGGGAGCAAAGGAAAGCAAAAAGAAGAGGCAGGTAAGCCGCAAATCTGCCTTTCTTCATGGCCCAGAACAGGTACCCCTCGTGCACCCAGCTTATCACCAGACACCTGCAAGTTGGCTCACTGCAACCTTGCATTATTAGTATTGCACAAAGCCCTCTTCGGCATATAGCATAAGCATTATTCTATAAAATCTCCAGCCAGCCTTTGTTTCCTTGCAGTCAGCTCCTCTTCTGCTGGCCTGCCCATTGCCTTCTCACTACATAGTTTCATACTTTCTCTAGTAAATTTGCCTTTCATTATCTACAACTGTCTTGGTAAATTCTTTTACCCCTGCATCACTGGTCCAGATAGTCATTGCTCACCCACAACACATCCCACACCATGTTGACACCTGGCATTCTTTCCCAAGCCCCCCTCACCTCTGCTGACAAACAGCATCTAGAAAAACTTTTTCAAAACCCAGGTTTCATCAGGGTGGCCCCAGGCCTGAAACTCTTGAATACTAGGTGGTCTTGAGAAAGAGACCAAAATCCAGGGATGTCCCAGCTGCCCACATCTCCAGCCTCTGCTGCTGGCTCTGCTGGCTCTGCCCACTGGGGCCTTCTCCCGTGTTTTTTAAAGGTACCAGGCTCACTTTCACATGTTGTCTGGGCTTGAATCTTCTCCTGAGCCCCCAATTCCTCCTTTTTTTTTTTTTTCAAAAAAGCCCCAGTTTTATTGAGATAGAATTAATGTATCATACAATTCGCCCACTTAAGTGTACAGTTTAGTGGTTTCCAGCATATTCACAGAGTTGTCCAGCCATCACCATTGTTCAATTTTAAAACATTTTCATCACCTGAAATGGAAACCCTGTGCCCTTTAGTGGCCATCCTCTTATCTTCCAGCCCTAAGCAACCACGAATCTACTTTCTGTCTGTAGACATTCCTCCTCTGGACATTTCGTATGAATGGAGTTATATAATACGTGTTTTTCTGTGACTGCCTTCTTTCACTTAGCATGATCTTTTTAAGGTTTATCCATGTAGCACGTGCCAGTCCTACATTCCTTTTTAGGGCTGAGTAATGTTCTATTGCATGGATAGACCACACTTTGTTTATCCATGCATCCACTGATGGACATTTAGGTTGTTTCCATTTCTCTTTTTTTCTTTTTCTTTTACTTTTTTTTTAATTTAAAAAATTTATTAAAAACATGGAACATTTCACAAATTTGTATGTCATCTTTTTGCAGGGGTGATGCTAATCTCTGTATCATTCCAATTTTAGTATATCTGCTACCAAAGTGAGCATTTTATTTTATTTTTTGTAAAGGACGGTCTCATTCTGTCACCCAGGCTGGAGTCCAGTAGTGTGATCATGGGTCACTGCAGACTCCACTTCCTGGGCTCAAGTGATCCTCCCACCTCAGCCTCCCAAGCAGCTGGGACTACAGGCATGAGCCAACCCCCTTTCTACAGGCGCCTCACCCCTTTTGCAGGTGCACGCCATCGCTCCTGGCTAATTTCCATGTTTTGCCTGTTGTGAATAATACTGCTACGAACATTCGTGTTCACGTTTCTGGGAGGGCATATATTTTCATTTTCTCTGGGGTATGTAACTAGAGGTGAGAATTGCTGGGTCACATGGTACTGTACGTTAATTGTTTGAGGAGCCACCAGTTTTCCAAAGCAGCTGCACCATTTCACCCTCCCACTAGCAGCATATGAGTAGTCGTTTCTCTACATCCTCACCTAAACCTGTTTCAATTCCCACTCCGACTTCAGCTCTCTGTGTAAGCGTTGCTTCCCCTGGGAGGGCTCTCCTTGGGCCTTGATCCCCACACCAGGATCTAGGTCAGCTTTCTTTGCTTTATGCTCTCTGGAAACAGTGCTCCAGGCAACTGTGCTCTTCAGGGCACACAGGCATTCTTTAGTGCATATTCCACTAATAACTGTCTTTCCCCACACACTGTAGGCTCTGAGATGGCGGAGACTGTGTGTTTTGTTCACCTTCACAACCTCACCCGAAGCCTGGCCTGCAGCAGCTCACTGTAAATCTGTGGTGTGAGTAAAGTCAAGGAATGAAAGCACAAAGGTCACATGACTCATTCAAAGTCACAGAGCTCAAAGTCATGAGGAGCAGCCATAGGAGCCCTTTGTCCCACATCTGCCAAGCCCACAGGGCAGCCACTAGCCATTGAGTCCACGGAGCACTTGAAACGCGGCTTGGCCGACTCTGGGCACACCGCCTGTGAGTTAGTGCTCCTCTGCAAGGAGGAGTTAAAAAAAAAAAAAGGAAGAAAGAAACATGGCTAGAGTGACAAAGAGTGAAATTTTAAATTTTATTTCATTTTCATTTATTTAAATTTAAGTGGTTAGCGCAAGTAGAAGGAGCAAGATAAGAATAATATCAATACAGAGCTGAACTCCGCTTCCCCAGCATGGGAACCTTCCTGTTCCACAGCACGACTTTCTCCAGAAAGAAGTCTGAGGTGGCCTCAGGCTGAGCCACAGGCATGGGCACAGCCTGCCACTGAGGCTCCACTCATCGGGGGCCTGGGAAGAGACTGAGAGGCTCGGAACCCTAGAGAGTCTGCAAAGCCAGGAAGCATCCAGTTCTGGTTTCATGTTGGGTGCTGTCGTTACCTTGCTTCTTCTACTTAAGCTTATGGCAATTTAAATTTAAATTAATTAAAATGAAATAAAATTGAAAACTCAGTTTCTCAGTTAGCTCCAACCCCATTTGAAGTGCTCAAAGGCCACGCATGACTAACGGCTACATCGGATACCACATCGGATACCACATCAGATACCACATCGGATGGAGCAGATGTGGGACATTCCCATCATTGCGGAAAGTTCAGTTGGCTGGTGCTGCCCTCAGGGTCTGTCTCACAGAGGTTTCTTCTGTCTCTCTCTCCTCCAGGAGAACCTCCTTCTATACCCGCCAGCTCTCAAGGCCTCAGGGCCCAGAGGCCCAATTCCCCATATCCTACACCTACCCCCGTGTGCAAGCAGGGCCTGGGACTTCTGGTACCCAGGTCATCCCTGGGAAGCTCACTCTTCTCCCCAACAGCATGGCGAACCCCAAACAGTAGCCTAGGCTTACAAGAGCAAGAACAAACTCTCTCCTCCCCGGTATTACAAGATGCTCCAGTCTCCCGGATGCAAAACCCTATAAAGAGGGGCGAGGAAAAACCTTCTCCTACTCTTTCCAATTCATTCCCATTCTGATGAGCCCACGGGAAAATAAGACAGTTCCTTTCCCCAGATCCTCCTCCTTCTGGTTCACAGGCTCAACAACTCACATCTGTTCTTTCGTATTCACAGAATTTGAGAATCTGATGATTGCAGCTGGAAAGACTGCAGAGAGCACCTGGGTCAACCTTTTCATTTTGCATAAAGGGAAATAGGCCCAGAGAAAGAAAAGGGACTGTCCCAAGATCGCACAGCAACCATTTTGACCTTCAACAAGTACTCCCTGACTCCAAGCAATAAGGGTGAAAAAATAAGGAATAAATTGTATAAAGCACGTATTATGTGGTAGGTGCTTTACAAAAAACATCAACTTATTTAATTTTTACCATGAGTTTGATTGCCTATCTCAGATCAGTCTCTGAGGCTCAGAGAGGTTAGATGGCTTGCCTAAGGCCATACAGCTGATAAGGGGCAGCGCTGAGACTCAAACCCAGGTCAGTTGTACTCTAGAACCCGAAAGACTTGGTGTGCACCAAATGAGTCCAGGGCCATCTCCCCCGTTGGAGGGGAGGGGATAGGAGGTGAGCGGCTAGGAGGTGAGCCAGAAGGGCATCAGGAGAAGTGAACGAGGCGTTTCAGACATGGCACATAAGAGGTTTCGTTAACCAGTGCTCATGGCCACTGCTTTGGGCATTGGGACTTTGGGCTTTAAAATTCAAGTTCTCCCTTGAATCTCTACGAATTTCTCCCTTGTAAGAAAAGCTTGTAAAATTATTTTAAGATTTTTTTGTCTCAAGACTAACACTTCTCAAGTTCAGAGATTTTATGATGTGCATACTGTGGATGTTTGGATAAACAGAGCCTCTCCCAGGACGAACAGCTCCACTTTCAACCACAAAGCAAGGGGACTCCCTGCTGTAAAACGAGTTTTTAGGTTGCAAATTTTTGCCACTAAAATTTTTGAGGTGGACCATGCCCCCTAGTGGAAAGGGGTGGACTGTGAATTATGGCTCACCCACAGGAGGGGCCTCATTACTAAGTTCTGTTTATTTCATATTCTAGGAAATCAGTTTTGCTTTGTTTCGAATCAGCCAGTGTGGTGAAATCAATTCACAGGTTTTTTGTTATTGTTTGGATTTTGTTTTGGCACTGGGTAAGGAAGACAATTGGGTGTATGGAGCACAGTAAGAAACCCTGCTGTGGAATTGACACACAGATCAGTTTCTGGATGTGATCCACAGACACCCTGCATCAGCATCCCCCAGGAAGCCTGTTATAGTGCAGATTTCTGAGTGTCTCTCAGACTTCAAAATCAGCCTCTCTCAGCCGGGGCCCAGGATCTGCGCAAGCACAAAGTCCCAGGTAATTCAGATGCATATTCAGTCCTAGAGCCATGAGGCTGGAACACCACCTGTGTACCGTTTCCCTCCATCCCCACCTACAAGGACAGCCCCCCATCCTTCCAGGCCCAGGTACGTGCCACTCTCCCACCCTTGCCCCTGCTCAAGTCCCCATCATAATCGAATGAGATATCATATGAGGCACACCCTGCACACCGCAGCCAGGCGCGTAGCATATGCTCCGTGCGCATTGCTTTTGAACAGATAGGTGTTCAAGAAATACTTGAATGAAACACCCTAAAACATTTCCACTCTTCTCAGTGGGCCATCAGGGGAAATAGAAACAGATAGGCCTGTGGCCAGGCCTGAGCTGGACTCCCAACTCTGCCACACTGAGGAGACTTGGATGAATAAATTTACTTTCTCTGGGCCCAGACTGGAGTGCAGTGGTGCAATCTCAGGTCACTGCAACCTCCACCTTCCTGGTTCAAGCAATCCTCCCACCTCAGCCTCCCAAGTAGCCGGGATCACAGACATGCATCACCAAACCCAGCTAATTTTTGTATTTTTAGTAGAGACAGGGTTTCACCATGTTGGCCAGGCTGGTCTTGAACTCTTAACCTCAGGTGATCCACCCACCTTGGCCTCCCAAAGTACTGAGATTACAGGTGTGAGCCACCATGCCCGGCCTCAGCTTCCTTCTTATCAGACATGGAAAATACACCTACTTCATGGGGTCGGGAGGATTCAGTGAGACGGTGCTTACCAAGCATTTTCCCACCAGAATCATTACTCCACCTTGCTGGGGCTCCATTTCCCCCTTGTACAATTAGGAGGTGGAAATGACATCACAGGGCCCCTCCCTGACACTCCAAGTCCTACTGTCTCTAGTACCTTCCTGTTGCCCAAGAGGAAGGGGAGGCAGCCCAATCCTTCAATCCTTCCCTTTTCCTTTTGGGGCTGCCTTCCTCCTGCCACCCCAGCCCCCCGCAGGTTTTGGGGCTGCCTTCCTCCTGCCCGCCCCAGCCCCTCCCTAACATTCCCCACTCTGCTTTACTGCTCACCTTACAGACACATTTTTGGCATCGCTCCTTGGCAAGTTTCTCCCACTCTTGCAAACTCCTGGCGCATGAGTTTACGTATTTCAAATACCTAACCGTTGTTTCCCCTAGAGACCGGGCAATCATTCATGTTTCAGAGACGCTTCCAAACAACCTCTCCTCTCTTAGACATCTGCAGATTTGCTTGTCAGTGTTTTTAGTTCTTGTCATCCCTGTTATCCTACAGAACTGTGGTAAAATGCCACAAGGTTGCATTTTTTCTTGAGCCAGTAACACCAAGCCCCCAGGCGTCTGCACAGGGACTGGTCCATAAAGAGGCCTTACATACAGTGCTGCCTGCGGGGCTCACAGCCCCTGAGAGGGAGGCAGAGGGGTAAGTTTATGTCCCTTTTAAAGATAAGAAAATGACAGTCATGGAAGGTAAGTGACAAGTGACTTTTCTGATGCCCCGCAATTTGAAGGTGAAACAAATACACCATCTCCTTCCTCCGCAAACACTGTGCTCGCTATGAAAGAAATCATCCTGTTATCCTGTTTAACTTCCCCCGCATTCCCTGCTTTTTTTTTTTCTTTTTTTTTTTTTTTTAATTGAGACAGGGTTTTGCTCTGTTGCCCAGGCTGGAGTGCAGTGGCACAACCGCAGCTCACTGCAGCCTCAACTGCCTGGGCTCAAATGATCCTCCCACCCCAGCCTCTCAAGTAGCTGGGACTACAGCTGCCCACCACCATGCCCGGCTGAGTTTTATATCTTTTGTAGAGATGGGGTTTCACCATGTTGCCCAAGCTGGTCTTGAACTCCTGGGCTCGAGGGATCCACCCACCTCAGCATCCCAAAGTGTTGGGATTACAGGCATGAGCCACTACACCCTGCCATCCTGTTTAGCTCTCTCAAGAGAAGAATGAGGCTCTGAACTGCAAATCCCATTTTAAATGGAAAGAAAACTATAAATGCACCTAAAATTCCTCCTGGAAGGTCGCCTACCAAACATCTCAGTGTCAGCAGTCCCAGGCTGTTTGATTTTCTTCTTTGTATTTTCTCCCTTTTCTGTGACAACATGTATTATTTTATTGAAGTAACGTTTAGTTTTTAAAAAGTAAAAAAGTGAAACCATCATGTTATTTGAAAATAAACTACATCTCCCGGTGAAAACCTGGATGAATCTCTTAAATGTGATGTTGAACAAAAGCGTGCAGGCATGAAAGAGTGTGCACTGTCAGATTGTTTGCAAGATATTCAAACTAAAGGGCCAAACTAATTCATGGAGATGGACGTCGGTGTTGTATTCACCTTGGGGGGTCCACTGGGGGTGTCTGGGGTGCTGGTTATGTTCTTTTTGTTTTTGATCTGGGTGCTGGTTATATGGGTGTGTTCACCTCATGACAATTCACCAAGCTCTATCATAAATTTGTGTGGGTTGATTTTGGTTTTTTAAAACATTGAATCAAAATACTATTTATCTGTATTACTAAGTATTTCGGTGCCCCTTTAGGTTATATGCCCGAGCAAGTGCCTCGCTTGCCTCACCCTAGACCCCGCCCGGCAGGGATGGGAAGAATCATTGAGGCTGTGTTATCCAATCATCCACCCCACTGAGCCACATCTGCCAACTCATCAAAACCCTTTACATTAGGGACTAACCTGGAAACATAAACTAGTCTAGGGGTTTCAAACAATCAATATAATACAGAGAACTGGTTCCCAGATGAAGTAAAACTCAAGAAGCTAAGCAGGGAATGAGACGACCCAGAGACTGCAGTGAAGGAAGTCCTCACTGCCCCAGAGCCTGGAGGGACACAGGGACGAGGTGGTATCAGAACCAGAAGCAGGGACCTTTGATGGGTGCTGAAACCCTGGCAGGAGGCTATGGGCATGAGCTGGGGCACAAGCTGGGCAGCGGAGGAAGGAGACACAGTTACTGCTGGAAAACGTCCTCTGAGCCCAGAGGGTACAAACTACCCAGGCCTCTCCTGTTCTCTCTCTTCCAAGCTCCCATCTCCACCTCTCATTGACTGGACATGGCCGGAAGCAAGCCGGTGAGGCAGCCTGGGAAACAGGGCTTGGGGAAGGGCGGGGAGAACCTGCCAACAGGCTCCCAACACCCAGTTCCTTTGCGCCTCCCTGCCAGGTCACACTGCACAGATTCCTCTGCTGGGAAGGAGGCTCCCTCAGCTGTGTCTGACTCTAAGGTGATTGTTAGACTAAACTTATCCACCTCACTGTCTGCAGAGCGTCATCGACTCTCCATCACTTTTCCAAAGACAATGGGTAATACAGTGTGGTGGACACACCCTCAGGTGACCCCTTGTATAATTCTCTCCCCTTGGGTGTGGGTGGAGCGTGTGACTTCCTTCTAGTCCAGAGAGTAGGGCAGAGGGGAGGGGCTGCCACTCCTATGATTACCTTACATTATATAAGATGCTACCTTAGCAGACTAGAGTGAGAGATTCTTCTGCTGGCCTTGAAGAAGCAAATAGCCATGATTTGAAATGTCTGTAGAGAGTCACATGGCAGGGAACTGCAGGGCGCCACTGGGGCCTGCGCAACCTTCTCTCTACCCCAGTAGCAGCCGGGGCCCTTGGTCATACAGCTGCAAGAAAATGAATCTGCCAACAACCTGAACGCGCTCGGACATGAATTCTCCCCGCCATCTCTTCAGATGAGAAGACAGCCTGCCTGCCACTAAACCGTAGTCTTATGAGGCCCTGAGTATTGGTCCCAGTGAAGCTACCCCTGAATTCCTCAACCATGAAAACTGAAGTAATCAATGTGTTGTTTTAAGTCACTAAATTTGTGGTCCTTTGTGACACTGCAATAGAAAATAAATAAAGTGGGAAGGAAGGCTCTCTACTTCTCTCTTTCCAAACTGCAGAGCTTCAGTTTTAAAGGTGGGATAATAAATAAGTCACTCTGTACTTAAGAATCACTTCCTTCCCCTCCTATCTCTTGTTCTGTCTGAGCCCAAACTGCCAGGGACGATTGGCAGGCATGTTGTTCTGTGTAGCAGGCAGAGCTGCATTTAAGGGAAGTCTTCCATGCTCCTGGCTGCAGTCTGTTGCCACTGCTGTTGCTTCCCTGGTGCTGGGAGAGGGCAAAAAGTCAGGGCTGGACTCAGGGTTCTGTGGGGCAGGGCTGGTAAATGCACTCTCGGGTCTGGCACGTTCCACCCTCAAATGATACAAATGTGGACAAAAGTTCGAACAAGACCATAATGAACTAGGAAAGGCAACGGAATGCTTGAGTGCTCCCTTTTATGTCATTTTATTTTCTTTTATGCAGACCAGTGGGGGGAAAATCCCATAGATTCTTCTGGAAACTGTCAAGATGCTGGGAAGATGAATGCAAAACTTACATAGATTGGGATGCCCACAGTTTGGATTTTCAAGGTCTAAAACATGAAAAAAAACAAAGTGAATGTGACTTTTAGGATGAACACAATTGCCCCCCAGAAGGGGAAAGAGGAAGGACTAACAGTTGTAGAAAATGCTGGCTCTCAACTATGGTTGCACATCAGAATAACCTGCAGAGGTTATTTGAAATAAACTGCCAATAAATTAGGAATAACTTAAACACAATAACGTGCACAAATCTGAAGAGGACAGCTTGATAAATTCTCACCAAGTAAATGCTCCTGTGTAACCATCACCCTGAACAAGACAAATATTTCATCCCAGCACTTTGGGAGGCCGAGGTGGATGGATCACGAGGTCAGGAGATCGAGACCATCCTGGCTAATATGGTGAAACCCTGTCTGTACTAAAAAACACAAAAAATTAGCCGGGTGTGGTGTCAGGCTCCTGTAGTCCCAGCTAATCAGGAGGCTGAGGCAGGAGAATGGCGTGAACCCGGGAGGTGGAGCTTGCAGTGAGCCGAGATTGTGCCACTGCACTCCAGCCTGGGCGATAGAGCGAGACTCCGTCTCAAAAAACAAAACAAAACAAAACGAACAAAAAAAAACAAATATTTCCAGCCCCACAGAAATGTCCTTCATGTTCTCTGTCAGTTAATTTCCCAGCCCCTCTCCCTCACCCCCACAAAGGAAATTGTTACTGTGATTTCTAACGTCATAGAAAACAACCTGGAAGCTTTTAAAAATACTGATACCCTGGCCCGATCCATGGAGTATCTATCTGGTCTGGTGATCTGGGTGGGGCTCTGGCCTTGGTAGTTATAAGGCCCCCAGGTGATTCTGATGTGCAATCAGGACCAGGAATTACTCACTGGCTTGTAGCAAAGTCTTATTCTGGTCAGAAGCCAGGCCAGGCAGTGGATCTGCCTAGATGCTGGCAACCACCTACTGAGGTAGATGGGCCCAGCCCTTCCCCAGTGGGCCTGAGTGAGGCAGGTGGGTCTGGGCTGTGGATTTCAGGGAAATTAATGTGCCACTCACAGGCATCAGTGGAGGTAGTGATGACAAATACACTCCACGGAGCCTCCTCACCTAAAAAAAAAATACCCTTTGATGCTTATAAAATAGATCTGGTGTGATCCAAATCAGGTAGTCTGATTTGGGTTATAGTTACCTGTATCCATGGTTTTTCATTCTAGAAGAGATTTCTCTTTAGCGTTATTTGAGGCTGTGATAATCCTTAAGAAACTGAGCCAGATTTTCCAGGGATCTTCAGTGTAGAGCACTGGAGATTAGAAGCCAGTGATCCCCAAAAGGATGGGGGAGAGAAAGAGCAAAAAGGAAATAAAGGAAAAGACAACGTGAACACTTGCATGGCTTTTGCAGGATGACGTGGTCAACCCAAACTTCTGCTTGATCTGGTTTGTCCTGAACTCCTGCCACTTGCCGTCAACCAGGGCCTCTGCTCTGATCTCATACTTCACCAGGCGTGCCGCTCGCAGGCTGACGTGGTTGTGCTCGTAGACCGCAGAGGGAGATTCCAGGTCTGTGTGCTTTATTCTCTGCAAAGAGAGTGATTCACCTTAGGTGGAACTGCAATCGGGGTGGCCCAGAGTTAGGGAAAGCTGGAGCCTGGCATATAGACCCTGGTATATAATGTGTGCAGGCAGCAAGAGGGCATTTCCCAATTGGCACCATCTCCTAAAAGTTGCTGCTGCTGAGTCAGTTGTCATTGGAGCCCCCACCATACATAAACCTGTGGCTGATGGCCTGGGCTTTGGCCAATCTAGGAAAACACCATCAAGTCAAGCTTTATGATGCCTTTGCCAGAATTAAAAAACCAATGTAGTACTCATAAGGGCATTTGGACTGTTGCTGTCACATAATTCATCTCTTCCACCCAGAAGAATTCATTGTGTAGGGAGATGCCTGAGTCAGTGGGGACCAAGAGCTGAGGCCCATGGAAGAGAAATGACTTGCTCCAGGGGACATATGAGGTACTGGAAAATCTGGGACTAAAACTCTGGTTTCTTCATTCATGCATTAATTCACTCGTTTATCCATTCATTTATTCAGTCAGTCATTTAAAGCCCCTTTATATGGAGGTTGCAGTAACCCAAGATTGTGCCACTGCACTGCAGCCTGGGCAACAGAGTGAGACTCCATCTCAAAAAATATAGAAAAATAAAAAAATAAAGCTCCTCTATGTTCTCGGTACTGTGATTGGCAGTAGTAATAAAAAGATTAATAAGATATGGCCTCTCAAAAGCTTGCAGTTTAGAGAAGAGACTTGTAAGCAAATCTTAAGTGGAACACAGCAATCTTTCATCATAGTTGTCATTGTCATCGTCAACATCATCATCCTCATCTTCCCTAATGCACATAGTGCTTTGTGTGTCAAGCTTGTTCCAAGCCACCCTGCACAGATTAACACATTTAAACTCACAACAATCCGGTGAGGTATGTCCTGTTACCTTCTCTGCCTTAAAGGTGAGGAAACTGCACAGAGGAGAGTTCCTGGCACTTGCCCAGGTCCTATAGCTCGCAAGGCCGTTCACCTGCGGACTCTCCACTCCTAAATATGACATTCTCCTGCCTCTCCTAAAGTCCAGCAGGAGCACTACGGAGAAGTCAAGCACCCTCCTGACTTTTCTGGGGTCCTGCCCACAGCCTGCTTTGCAGCTTAACAAAATTACCCCCTCTCCCAGTTGGGGGCATTACCGGTTATCTTCATGGGAGAATAACTGAATTGTATGTATAAATTGAAGATGAAGTGAGCTCCACATGTAGAGATAGAAGACTAGAATCTAATCCTGACTTTACCAATAGAGTCCATATGAACACAAAGACGCTCAGTTTTCAGATCCTCATCCGCTAAATGGGCTACCAATACCTACTTCCCAAGGTTGTTGTAAAAATCAAATGACATCACATACATGAGCGTGGTTAGCACTTACAATACATTTCATGTCAATGAGTAATTAATGATGAATCAATTATTATTAATTCAACATGAATTGACTCTAACTCTAAAAGACTGTCTCAGAGACATAACTTTCATGCACTCTATCCTTACCTGCATGTAAAAACTATAAGAGGTAGTATCATGTTTGAGTCCCTTTATCTTAAAGAAGAATCCATATAGAGCAATCGTTTTCGAATAAGTTGTATTCTCCTAAATTGGGAAAGAGAAACAACAAAGTGAAGGGGGGAAAATATTTAGTATTCAAAGTCACCCGGGCGTGGTGGTTCACACCTGTAATCCCAGCACTTTGGGAGGCTGAGGCGGGCAGATCATCTGAGGTCAGGAGTTCAAGACCAGCCTGGCCAATGTGGCAAAACCCCATCTCTACCAAAAATACCAAAAAAAAAAAAAAAAAAATTAGCCAGGCGTGGTGGTGCGTGCCTGTAGTCCCAGCTACTCAGGAGGCTGAGGTAGGAGAATCACTTGAATCGGGGAGGCAGATGTTGCAGTGAGCTGAGATTGTGTTACTGCACTCCAGCCTGGGTGACAGAGTAAGACTCTATCTCAAAAAAAAAAAAAAAAAAAAAAAAAAAAAAGGCCGGGCACGGTGGCTCACACCTGTAATCCCAGCACTTTGGGAGGCTGAGGCGGGCCGATCACGAGGTCAGAAGATCAAGACCATCCTGGCTAACATGGTGAAACCTCGTCTCTACTAAAAATACAAAAAATTAGCCAGGCGTGGTGGCGGGCGCCTGTAGTCCCAGCTACTCAGGAGGCTGAGGCAAGAGAATAGCATGAACCCAGGAGGCAGAGCTTGCAGTGAGCCGAGATTGCGCCACTGCACTCCAGCCTGGGTGACAGAGCAAGACTCCATCTCAAAAAAAAAAAAAAAAAAAGTCAAGAGGACATGGTAAAACAAAGTATAGCAACAATAACAACCGTCACTTATTCAGCAACTGATTTGAAAGTGAAAATACAATGGCAATTTTAACCTAGGAAACATGGGGAAAGCTAAACTGAAATCCTTGGTAGTAGTAATTACTAGTAACAATTTGAATGAATTCACTCCAAATTGGATGGCAATATCAACCTGAGTTAAAAAAAAATTCTATACCACATATTAATGCTTTTAATTGTAATTTATATTATTTTGAATGAAATATACTTTCAATAATCATGCAAGAAGGTACCACTGCCCAGTGAACCCTGGAGGCTACCTCGAGAACTATTGTTAAAGGAAAAGCCATCAGTGGCCCTTGAAGGTCAGCTTTGACTGATCCATCTTATTCTTTAAAAATATTTCAGTTATCACAATACTACAAAAAAAAAATTACAAAGCAAAAAGGAAGAAGATATTTAGGCTGCACATGGCTCCATTTAAAATTTCTTCTATTTTTATGTTTTTCCCCATACTTTTCCCTATATCTCCCTTCACAGGTCCCTGGGAACCCATCAAGTTTGCAAAAGTTACAGTGTTCCCCCAAAACCATGCCTCACCCCAACATTCACCATGCCCTGGCTGCAATCCTGCTTGGCAAAGAAGGTTTGAGATCAGGTAATCAGTGTTTCTGGAGGGTTTAGACCCTCCTTTCCTTGGTCTCCCTACAAACAGTTGGTACAGTTAGTAGAAGTTAGTAGTAGACTTAGTAGTAGCTACTGAACAGTGACGATATTATTTACTCTTCATGTTCCTTAGTGAGGTAAAGAATAGGTTAGGTATGTTCTTAGATGACCTGTGGTCTATAGACCTTTGAAACAAAGCATGTTGTTTCAATTTGATGGGCCCAAGAGCCACTCATAGCATTTGCAGGAAGTCCTGGCTCTGTGATCTCCATCTGCCCACTTAGGCACGATGTCTCTGCAACCAAAAGGCTGAGCCAGCCTCTCCAGGGATGACTCAGAGGGGACTCTCTGATGATGCATTCAGCACCCCTAGTTCTTGAAACGTGAATTCTTTTGAGATCACTGCGGGGGTGCCTTGAAATAATCAAAGGAGATCACTGATTTCTTGGAGAATTGCTTCCATCACAGGGAACCCAGCATGGAGCACAGCTACCAACTCCAAGGTTCCCCTGGTCACTAAGTGCCAAGATGCCTTGCAATCAAGCTCCTTGACCCACTGCAGTTTTATTCTGAAATCCATCAAAATAGCTGCCCAGACTGAGTTCACCCCTATAAGCTTAAACATGGACTTGGCATGGAGTCTCTTGTTGAGCCAGTTTGCAACTGTTGGTGTTTGTGGGAAATAGAAAGACCAACCCTTCCCAGTTTGCCTTGGCCTTTCCTGGTTTTAGAATTGAAGTCCTACATCCCAGGGCAACTCCTCCATTCCAGTACCACCAGGACTGCTGGTCCTCTTAGTGGGGAAATTATTAAATGGCCCGCCCCAGGCCCCTCCCTTGTGAATTTTATTTCCTGGGAGCTGATGACCATGCAGGAGAGACACCTGTGGTTCTCTCTTCTGGACCCCTGACCTTCCTACCAGGAGCCAGAAGTGATCATGGCTGCCCTCCAAAGGTTCTTAACTAAGCACGAGAGGAACAGTTCTTCCCCTTGTTCGGGTACAGTTCTCAGTACCTGGTTAAAGAGCAGCCCAAATCTCACAGCCTGGGTGTTAAGATCTTTCAGGTGGACCATGTCGCCCCCATTCTCCAGCTGAAAGGAAAATGCACACAGCTGACCACGGTGGGATCCTCTGGACACGAGCGCCTCTCTTCATCTTCATGCCTCTTCCTTGACCCCTGCCCCCCTCACCAGGTTTGAAAAAGAGTTTTGCCTCTAGACTTACATTCAGCCATTCATTCAGTTCACAGACATTTATTGAAAACTTACTGTGTCTGGCACTGTGTCCAGTGCTCTCAGAGGATGCAAGGAGAAGACAAAAAAGTATCTGAGCAGTCTCACATGGGAAATAAAATGTGTGC
Source organism: Homo sapiens (assembly GCF_000001405.40). Lineage (NCBI taxonomy): Eukaryota > Metazoa > Chordata > Mammalia > Primates > Hominidae > Homo > Homo sapiens. Next base: position 122,332,166 of record NC_000010.11, on the reverse strand, counting down.
ATGGGGCAGAGATGATCACAGTCACAAAATCAAGAGCAAGCAAGGCCCCTCATGGGAGGCTCCAAGGTGAGGGCTGGGGAGGAGAGGGAGCGGAATTGGAGAGGATGACGTTGGCAGCGGGGGACAAAAGGAAGGAGGTGGGCAGAGTCAGAGGACCAAGAGGAAGGTGGGGACTTCCCGAGATGTCTGCACAGACTGTCCCCTCTCTGTCAGTCCTCTGCTGCTCTGTTAGAGCATGGTCCTGAGTTATGTCCCAGAAAAGCACCTCCTTCCACGGAGTCGAGATCTATGGTGCGGGGAGCGCTGAGCACTGTGGCTTGCATATTACAATAGGTATTTGTTGAGCAGGATTGAATTTTAACTAGTGACTCATACATCTTCAGAACTCACACACTGCCCCTCTTCATCTCTAAAAACGCGAGATTGAAAACACATAAGAACTACCACAGTTTGCATGGACAATTCACAAAGGGGAAATGCCGCATGGAAAACATTCATAGTCACCAGTAATAAAAGAAATACATGTTAAAAAATGAGACGCGGTTGTTCCCCTCTCAACTAAGAAAAGTGATTTGAAATTTAAATGCCCTATGTTGCTGAGGGTGCACAGAGAGAGACATGCTCATTTATTACTGGAGGAAGAGTTATTTGGTCCAAACGTTTGTTAATCTGTACCAAGAACAAAAATGCATATGATGGGAGCTCGAACTACCCGGATTCCAAGGCTGGGTCTCCTCCCTTCTCTCCTTCCCAGGCACTGCTCTCCCCACTTTCCCTGGAAGATGATCCAGATATGTCCTGACCTCAGAGGTTTAGAGGTTTCAAATGTGAAACACATCTCCAGAAAAAACAAAGTCAGAGAGGCAATAAACTTCGACAACTGTGTCCTTGCAGAGCAGGCAACTCACTGCGTGGTAATGGTTGACTGTAACCTGGTCGAGCCATGACTCTGGGAAGAAGTTAAGGTGCCGCAGCACCTCCAGATCCTTGCCTGGGAAGAAACGCAAAGAGAATGTTTTTTAGTTTTATTCACACCAGAGCCTCAAAAGTCTCATTTACAGAAAGGAAAAGGAAGAAGTCCGGAGCTGAGGGAAGGGAAAGGGGTGGATGGTCTCCTTTAAGGTTTGATTGACAAAGTGGAAATAAAACGTCTCAGGGTCACTGTGGTTATGTTCAGAGTCAATTACTTTTATATTCCAAATCGATTCTCTTTTAAAAACGTACAGAAATACCAGCCTGGCCAACATGGCGAAACCCCACCACTACTAAAACTAGCTGCGCGTGGTGGTGCACATCTTTAATCCCAGCTACCTGGGAGGCTGAGGCAGGAGAATCTCTTGAACCCAGGAGGCAGAGGCTGCAGTGAGCCAAGATTGCACCAGTGCACTCCAGCCTTGGGGGACAGAGTGAAACTCCATCTCAAAAAAACAAAACAAAACAAAACAACACAAAAAACCACCTTATACAAACAAACTTCCAAAGGAACCAATACATTCACTCCAAATTGGATGGCCATTTCAACTTCAGTTTAAAAAAATGTCTATACTACATATTAATGTACAATTTAAGTGTAACATATTATTTTGAATGAAATATACTCTTAACAATCCTGCAAGAAGATATTGCTGCCCAGTGAACCCTGGAAGGTACCTTGAGAACTATTGTTAAAGGAAATGCCATCAGTGGCCCTCGAAGGTCAGCTTTGACCAGTCCTCCTTATTCTTTAAAGATATTTCAGTTCTCACAATATTATCAAAAAAATTACAAAGTAAAAAGGAAGAAGATATTTAGGCTGCACATAGCTCCAATTTAAAATTTCTATTTTTATTTTTTTCCCCAAACTTTTCTCTAGATCTCTCTTCCCAGGTCCCTGGGGAAGAGTTAGTGTTCCCCTACAACCACGCCTCACCCCAACATTCACGGCCCCCTGGCTGCAATCCTGCCTGGGAAAGGAGGTTTGAGATCAGGTAATCAGTGTTTCTGGAGTGTTTAGAAGCAACTTGGACAAAACTACCTGGCCCCATCAACCAGTCCTGAATTCTAGAGCTACTTATTATATCTGGATAGCTGGAAATGGCTTTGAAAATGTTCTCAGAGGTCCTTTCAGATGCAAAGATCTCACTGGGTGGCCTCCTGGACTGCTGAAAACATACTCCCCAACATTTCCCTCCTCTTTCCCAGTTACAGGTACCATCCCCTGTGCCCAGAGCATGAGGTTAAGGGAGCACAAATTCAGAGTTTTCTCCCAAACTGCAGAACAAGGGGCCTAGAAGTGAAGCATGTGAAGAGGTAGGACATACAATTAGATGCCAATAAAACAGCCCTTGGCAGCCGTACACTGCTTCACAATATATAAGCCCATTCTAGCCATCACTATATTTCATCAGAGCTCAGATTACCCTCGTTTTACAGACAGGGAAAGTAAGACCAAGAGGCTACATGACTTTCCCGAAGTCACACAGCTTGGAAGTGACAATGCCACGATTCAGGTGATTCCCTTGGAAACATCAGGTGGGGCTCCCCCGGCAGTGGCTGGGGGGTGGGCAGGTGCCCAGCAGCTTTCCCGTGGATGCGCTCGCCTGGACTGGGGCTTACCTTTGGTGATGCCGTGCAGACGCAAGCAGAGGAAGAGCGGCCTCAAGCTCCGTCCTATGTCCCGGTCCAGAAAGCAACAGTTCTCAGGAAAGCTTAGCAGAGGCATAAAGAAGAATAACAGACCTTCAGCAAACTCCTCTCTGGAATTAGCTCGGGCTAGGGAAAGCCATGTTGTAGAGACTAGTGGCTTCACTAGCCAGGGGGAGATGGGGCCTCGGTCCCTCTGGAGGGGTCAGGTACATGGAAGCAGATGGTGGCTTAGACGACATTTTATAAAGTCCAGCCCCAGAGATGGTAATGGAGACAAATGCTTATAGTCCCCTCGGCATCTACCACTGAGTTCTGCACATAGTAGGTGCTCGATAAATGTGTATTAAGTGACTGATGGGAACACATGTTACTTTACAGAGGACCTCAATATGCATTTTCTCACTTGAGTCTCACAAACTTCTTGTGGGGCAGACGGGGCAAGGATAGTGAGCTCCATTTTACAGATGGGAAAAAGAGGCTCAGCTCGGACTGGAACCCGGGACTCCTGACTCCCCCTGTACATACGCTGCCCTTCCAGTAAGTGACCAAATTAGGCGCTGCAAAAGTGCTTTCTGAAAAAATTAAAAAGAAGAAGAGAACGGCTGTGTGGGGAACTAGTTTTAGCAGCTGGTTTCAGGATCAGTTCTGCTATACTCAGTGTTAATACCAAGCTCCAGTTAACTTCCTCACGGAGCTGAAGTTCAGCGCTGGGTTGAGAAGATCCAGTTCTTTTTGAGAAGACACGCACACACAGACACGCATTCCCTGCCCTTCTTTTGAAATAACTCACTTCACAAAAATGGTCACTTTTCATAAATGGGGACAATGGGGAACAATCTTTCCAAGTCCCTTTGGAAATGCAGTCACTCCCTCAAGGCAGAGCCTGCATAGGACCCACCCAGGGTACTTGTAGATTATTTTTCCGTAAATCAAGAGTGGTGTCCAAGTCACACCCTGTCCCAGCTGGACAGAGGGCACCACTGGCCCTGTGGTCCCTTCTGTCAGAGATGCCCGCCAGCTTTCCCGGAACCGTTTATTTTCATAAGATCTGGGAATTCCTGGGACCGCCCAACTGCTCCACGCCAGTGATCCCAGAAGATAGGCCTAGAGGTGCAGAAAAGTTGTAGGCACAAAGACAAGTGAGTTCTGATTCAATTCAAGGGTTATTTACCAGTATCTACCCTGTGCCTGTCTCTGGAGGTGGACAGAGCAGCCATAAATAAGGTCAGGCGGATGCTTTCAGGAGTGCAGAACTATTGGTTCTGGAACCAGCCCTCCATTACCGAGGGTAAGTGGAGCCGGGGCTGGTGGGTGCGGTGCCTGTGCCCTGAAAACACTGACATCTTCGTGGGACAAATAACACTCGCTCACTTCCTTTCCTCAGATGATCTGAGCCTCCTCCTTCTTCTGCCTATTTTTCATCATGTCATGGAGGAACAGCTGAGGCGTCATCATGGCTGGGCAGCAGGTTCCAAGGGGCAAGAAGGGGCCAAGCTGACGCCGTCCTCCCTAGCCTTGCCCAGTGCTCTGGGGACAAGCCAGCACCTATGGCCAGCGCTCCACAGCCGGGTGCTGCCCTAAGCAGTGGGCCCCGGCTGGAGCTGTGGCTGAAATACAGATTCAGTTCCAGAAAGGAAAGGCCCCATCTGGAGGAAAGCATTGCCCTCCACCAGGAAGCTCCAGACGCCGGTTCTGCTGATGTGCCTTGGCATGGCAAGGCTGCTGGCAGGGGCAAGAGGAACCGAGACCCTGATCCTCCCTTTGAGAGGCACTCAGACTCGAAGGCCATTCAGCCAGGGCCTCTCTGGACAGCCATCCTGTCCCAGAGGATTTGGAAACAGCTTTGTTGAGACAGCTTGTTGGACTTTATGACCCCTTGGGGCCTCTGGGAAGTGGCAATGATGCCCACTTTTGTGGATGACATGGAGAGGCCATGAGTCATCTCATCATCCAACCAAGCTGGGACCCCCGAGGCAGGCAGACCAGGGTCCCGTCCCAGCCCAGCCAGCCACAGTCCTGTGACCGGGCCTCTCAGAGCTTCACTCTCCTCTGTCAAGTGGGAGCAGTAGCCACAGGTGGTGCCTTGGGGAGAAGGGAGGAGTAAAGCTGACAGTGTTTGGGAAGGGCTTGGGCCAGCTGCTGGCTCCCAGTGAGTCCTCAACATCTATAAGCACCACCATTGTCCTCCCGCCCCAGGGAAAGTGAATGGACTCAAGCAGCATCAAATGCAGGCAATTGTTCCTGGTGGTATTCATCATCATTGCCACCCTCCAAATCACCCAAGTTATGGGCCACCTCAAAGATAGAAAGTGGTGTCCTCAGCTTCTGATTTCCTGAAATCTCAAAGGATCTAAGGGTTGTGGTCCACCCTCAGAACTGATCAATATAACCCGGCTCTGGGAGCCTAGCAAGGTCCACTGTCTTAGAGCCAGTGTCCTACACAGGCCACTCAGGGCTAGTCCAGCACATTTTCCATTTTACTTGGCGCCACTTAACTGTCTGGGAGCGGAGGCACCTGCTCCTCTCTGGTCCAGTGGTGAGTACATTCACATGGTGTCACGTAAGATGGGAGGGAGCAAGCAGCTGCTAAGTCTGGGGACTACAGTGCTTGGCTACACTGGTGGACTCAAAGACTGGCATGGTTTCCCTGGTACTGCGCTCTGTTTGTGCAAAGACCTCTTTTGGTTTAGCACTTATTTTTTTGAGACACCTTCAGGCGATGGTCTATGCCTCCCAAAGTTCACTGAGAAACCCTGGGGCATGACCCCTCTAGGGAAGACAGTTCACAGTTCCTTGCTACTGAAAGATACATCCAGGTTGGCCCTGGGTCCTACTTGCCAGACCCTGGGGACAAATCTCCCATAGACTCGGAAAGACAGTACCTGGGGACAAGTCTCCCTCTGATGGGTACATATTGTATTTTAGAGGTGCTCTTCGCCACAACTTTCTCACTTCCTCTACCCTGTCATCTGCTGGAGCCTTCCACCCTTCCTGCGAGTATCAGGCCCACAGCTCTGATAGTCCAAGCACTTCAGATTTTAGCCTTAACATACATATATGCTACAGCATGATGAACCTGGAAGCAGTAAGCCAGGCGCAAGGGTGAATGCTGGATGATTCTACTCTATGAGGTACCTAGAGTCATCAAATTCGTAGAGACAGAAAGTAGAACGGTGGCTGCCAGGGGCTGGGGAAGGGGAATGGGAGTTGTTTCATGGGTAGAGTTTCAGTTTGGGAAGATGGAAAAGTTCTGGAGATGGCTGCACAACAATGCGAATAAACTTAACGCCACTGAACTGAACACGTAAGAATGGTTCACATGGGAAAAATTCATGCTATGCATATTTTGCCCCAGTTGAAAAAAGACATTAGGGTTAAAAGTGACTTTGCTTATTTGAGAAACACCTGAACTAACATATTAAATTTTAAGACAACGTTTGAAAAAAATACACATTTTAGGGCAATAACTCACAATGAGAAGAGAAAATGGCTTTTTTTTTTTCTCAAAATATAACTCAGCATAGAAGACTTGGGACACTCCTGAAATCAAAGAACCAGAAAATGGAGGCCAGCCACAGTGGCTCACGCCTGTAATCCCAGCACTTTGGGAGGCCGAGGTGGGTGAATCACCTGAGGTCAGGAGTTGGAGACCAGCCTGGCCAATATGGTAAAACCCCATCTCTACTAAAAATACAAAAATTAGCCAGGCATGGTGGTGGGTGCCTGTAATCCCAGCTACTCGGGTGGCTGAGGCAGGAGCATTGCTTGAACATGGGAGGCAGCAGTTGCAGTGAGCCAAGATCATGCTACTGCACTCCAGCCTGGGCAACACAGCGAGACTCCATCTCAAAAAAAAAAAAATCTATCTATCTATATATACAAAACCAGGAAATGGTCCTCTTGGCTCCTAACACTCAAGTGTGGTAAATGAAACAATAATTCCTGCTGCCACCCCCACATCATAACCTACCAAAGGTCACCACATTTTAGAACCCCTGTCACATGCTGTCCTGGGCCTTTTCTTTGAGTCAGGGCTGACCTACCCATCAGTCCTGGTGAGTGTGTGTTGTTACCTCCATGCACGGTGCTTAGGGTGCTTGCCCAAAGTCTACAGGCAGTGAATGGCAGAGGTGGGGCTGAGACTCGGGGCTGACTTCTTCTAACATACATCTGATTTATTGCTTGTCTCTGCTCCTAGATTGCAAGCTCCATGATGACAGGGTTTGTGTCTGCATTGTTTATTGTTGTACTCTTGGTGTCTTTTATAGTGCCTGGCACTTAACTTGCAATATGTTGGGTGAATTAATTGGATGAATGACCTGGTCCCTGCCAACTTTCCAGCCTCATTTCCATCATCCCATCCCTCCATTCACCCACAACTTATCTTCTAGGCCAGTAGGGCCAGCCCTGGTGCACATGCTCACACACACTTGCTGCACATACAGGCCAGTCTATGCCACTATCTCCATGCCCATGTGGTCCTGTCTGCTGTCACCATGACCTATCAGCTTTTCACTGAGACCAAGTTCAATGTCCTTCTGTCTGTCAAGATGGTCCTGACCCTAGCACAAAGGGAAATCCTGTCTAATCATAACCACAGCTGCCCTTTTTAAGAAACTCCTACACCCAGACTCTTGTGCTCCTTCCACTTCTCCATGCTTATTGTTGAAGGTATGTTTTGGTGCTTCTCAATATGCCTGGGAAGCCAAGAAGCAACATGGCGGAAGTGGAAAGTTAGTAAGAACTAAGCATAATATTTAGGGACCTTGAGAACAAGAGAGACTCAGGTTCCAGAGATCCAAGTTAAAGGGGAGCAGAGTCATCACCTCTCAGAGCAAGAGAAGACACAACAAGGCAAGAAGCATGAACGTCAGATAATGAGAAATCCTCTTGACCCAGAATATACCAACCTCCCTGCACAAGGCTTTGTTGAGCTATTCTAAAAGAGAACAATTTAATGGCCCTAATGTCCATGACTCATGGGATATTTCAAAATTAATGTGCTGGTAAAGAGATCAGTGTTGACACACCAGGGTTGCCCAGTTTCATGCTAACTCTGGCTACATCTGCAAATGCCATTCATGAATCACAAGAGGCACATGGCCTCGCCCACCCTGGGGACACAGCATCATAGCACATTGCCCTCAAGAAATCAGTGGGCTCAGGGCACCCATGGTACAGGGCATGGCAGGGAAGCTCTCCTTAAAAGTTTCCCCCTGCGGTCCCTTGGGAATAGTATGTGGGGGGAATGGGTGGGGGAAGGTGCTGTTGGGTTCACCAGTGCACACCCATGCAGCCAGCACATGCTCTTTTTCTCTCCGCAAAGAGGAGCTAAGAGGAGGAATTCATCCAGTGCACAAGTGAGATCAGAGAAGGCTTTCTGGAACCGGCTTTGTCAAGCTCTGTAAAGGCTGGGTCAGATTTGGGTAGGGCACAGGAAAGAAGAGACTCAGCTGGAGAATCAGGGGAATCTAGAAGTTGGGATCATATGGGAATTGGCTTCATTGGCTACATTCAAATTACTTCCCTCTGGTGAGGTGGAAGCTCATTGCCAGAATCTACCCTTCAGTGTCTGAGAGATACCTATTTAGTGATTATAAATCAGCTAAGGATTAGAATTACATGTCTGTTATGATTTGCCCTTGATCCTAAGAGCTAAGAGTGTCAGAAGACCTAGAAGACCAAGGTCAACCCCAGGACCACCATCAATTTGCAAAAGGAGCCTAAGTAACCTCCTCATTATCCCTGGGCCTTAGCTTATTCAACTGCAAAATGAAAGGGTGAGACCAGATGATCTCTAAGGCACTTTCCAGCATCGACCTTCTTTGATTTAGTAAAGTGAGTAATTTACAAACTGACATGAACTGAATGCATTTTGCTGTCCTGTAGCTCCCAAACTGCCACTCATTTCAATTAGTATAATCACAAGAAGAGTTCTACACTATCCTCCTGCAGAAGGGTTTTTGAAGGTGGGAAGACATTTTCTGCTTCTAATAATACTGACCAATTTCACCTGATTGAGGACTGAATTCTCCACCCTTCTAGCAGTCATTCAGATCCAGCCCTGTCCCACATACCATAAAAGGACACATAAGAAGCAACAAGAAGCTACTTGTCAATCTCCTGCTGAGCCTGAGCATACACAAAGCAACTGGAGAGTCATCCCTAGGCCCTGAGAAGACTGTTCCACTTGAAATGTAGCACACACACCGTAATGCCTAAGGCTGGAGGGAGAAAGTTGCAAATCAAGATCAAATCCATACCCAGCAGGACTGAAACCAGCCCATGCTTTGTGCACTTCAAGCTATCACTCTGTAAACATGACACTTGTTTCCATTTAACACTAAACAACTGGCCAGAAAGTCACTATATTCCTTCTTACACTGTGTACCTGACATGCAATTTAGAGTAATTTTCAGAGTTAAAGTGAAATATTTCAGAGGTTAAAACCACCATTAAAGAACATTCAAAGCACCATTCATTCAGTACTTAGTCAACAGCTAGAAGCTGTTCTTTAATGAAAGATTGAGGACTGGGAGGGTAAAGGGAGTAAGACACAGCCCTTGCTGCAAATGGCCAGTGCGGGAGCCATGCTTAGGAACAGATAATCCCAATAATTATTTTATTTACAAGTGAGAAAGCTTACAGAGATGGGCATGCAATACTATGGAGCCCAGAGACTGAGCATCTGAATCAGACTGTGGGGAGAGAGGGTACTCTTGGAGGGTTTCCTTGGGGATAACTGAGCCAAGTGTGGAGGCACAGTGGATCACTCTAGCAAGATGGCTTCTGAAATACACCAAACCCCTGAGCTCCTGATAAACGAGTTGATCTCTCTAAATTCACCATAATTAATCCAAAATAAGATCATCTTCCACAGGTGCCATATTTCTGTATAAATCACCGTGGATTCCAAACTGCAATGGGCTGCTTCTCACATCTTCTTTCATCTCCTTCTCTAGCTAGGTGAACCAGATGAATAATTAATTCTCTTGCTACCATATTTGTTCTTATGGACACTCTTTCCACTCCATCTTCTTGATATCACCAGAGCTCAGACCCTTTGCCCCTCATGGAGAGAGTGGCAACTGTTCCCTAGGCCTCCTCACTTTCTCCACCCACCTGTCTCCTACTAGAATGTCCGATAAAGCCACCCCCACTCCTGACCCAATACACCATACTCATGCATATTATATCAAAACTCGTGGGATGCAGTTAAAGGAAACGTATAGCTCTAAATCAGAAAAGAAGAAAGCCTGGAAATCAGATATCTAAATACCCATTTCAAGAGGTTAGAAAAAGAATATCAATTCTTGAAGAAAGTAGAAGGAAATAACGAAGAGAAAAATTAATGAAATAGAAAACATACAATTGAAAAATATCAACAGGTGTGTCAAGTCAAAAGGTGTTTTTTAAAAAAATGAATAAAATAAACCTCTATCAATGCTGATCGAGGAAAGAAAGAAGAGAAATATACAAATTATCAATATCTGATATGAAAAGAGGGCCATCACAACAAATTCTATAGATACTAAAAACATAATAAACATTTACCAAGTGGATTAAAGACTTAAATGTAAGGCCTAAAACTATAAAAATCCTAGAAGAAACCTAGGAAATATCTTTCTGGATATCAGTCTTTTCAAAAAATTTTGTGATTGTCCTCAAAAGCAATTGCAATAAAAACAAAAATTGACAAGTGGAACCTAATCAAACTTAAGAGCTTCTGCCCAGCAAAAGAAACTATCAACAGAGTAAACACAAAAACTATGCATCCAACAAAGGTATAATACCCCCAAATCTATAAGGAACTTAAACAAATCAACAAGCAAAAAACAACTCCATTAAAAAGTAGAAAAAGTACACGAGCAAATACTTTTCAACAGAAGATATACAAGTGGCCAACAAACATATGCAAAAATGTTTAACATCACTGATCATCGGAAAAATGCAAATCAAAACCACAGTGAGATACCATCTTATATTAGCCAGAATGGCTATTATTAAAAAGTCAAAAAGTAAGAAATGTTGGCAAGGCTGTGGAGAAAAGGGAACACTTACACACTGTTGGTGGGAATGTAAATTAGTTCAGCCACTGTGGAAAGCAGTTTGGAGATTTCTCAAAGAACTGAAAATTGCACTATACCATTTGACCCAACAAGCCCATCACTGGGTATATACCCACAGGAAAATAAATCATTCTACCAAGAAGACACATGCAGGCATATGTTCATCACAGCACTATTCACAATAGCAAAGACATGGAATCAACCTAGGTGTCCATCAGTGGTGGATTGGATAAAGAAAATGTAGTGCATATATACCATGGAATCCCACACAGCCATTAAAAAATATATATATTATGTTCTTTGCAGCAACATGAATGCAGATGGAGACCATTATCCTAAGTGAATTAATGCAGAAACAGAAAACCAAATACCGTATGTTCTCACTTATAAATGGAAGCTAAACATTGGGTACACATGAACATAAAGATGGGAATAATAGAAAGTAGGGACTACTAGAGTGGGGAGGGAGGGAGACAAAGGCTGGAAAACTACCTATTGAGTACTATGCTCAGTACCTGGGTGACAGGGTCCATTGTACCGCACCTGAGCATCATGTAATATATCCATGTAACAGACCTGTACATGTACCCCCTAAATCTGAAATAAAAGTTGAAATTTTTAAAAATAGACATAAAATACAATCATAAAGACTTTTAAAAAATTTTTACCAAGAGAGATCATATTGTGAGCCATAAAACAGGTCTCAATAATTTAAAAGAACTAAAATCATACAAAGCATTTTCTCTGATAACAATGGAATTAAGTTAGAAAACAGTAACAGGAAGATATCTAGAAAATCCTCAAATATTTGCAGAACAAAGAACACAGTTCTAAATAATCCATAGGTCAAAGAAGAACTCAAAGGGAAAATTAGAAAGTATTTTGAACTGAATGAAGTTTAAAACACAACATATCAAAATTTCTGAGATGCAGCTAAAGCAATAATTAGAGGGAAATTTATAGCACTAAACACTTAGAAAAAAAAGTCTTAAACCAATGACTTAAATTTCCACCTGTGAAACTAGGAAAAGAAGGGCAAACTAAACATTTGATAAAATAAAACATCTATTCCTGATAAAATTTATCATCAAACTAGATATAAAAGGAACCTCCTCAACATGATAAAGGGTATCTATAAAAAACCTATAGTTAAAATTTTATTTAATAATGAAAGATTAAATTATTTCCTCCTGTATTCTAGAACAAGGCAAGAAGGTCCACTCTCTCACCACTTCTGATCAACAATGTACTGAATATTGTATTCAGTGTAATAAGGCAAGAACAAAAACAGGCATACAGATAGAAAGGAAGAAATAAAATTGTCTTTTTTTACAGGTGATATGATTGCCTATGTAGATTCCTAAGGAATCTATAAAAAAGTTTCTAGAAGTACAATTGAGTTCTACTAAGGTTGTATAATACAAAGTCAATGTAAAAAAATTAATACTGTATTTCTACATAATAGCAAAGAACAATCAGAAATCAAAGTTAAAATAATACCTCTTACAATAGTGTTAATATGAAAGCCTTAGAGATAAATTTTCTAAACACTGTGCAAAACTACAGGAAACATTTATGAAAGACATTTAAACGGACCTAAATGAATGGAAAGATATACCATATTCATGGATCAGAAGACTCAATCTTGTTAAGATGTAAATTCTTCCCAAATTGGCCTGTACATTGAAGACAATCCTTATCAAAATTCCACGAGATTTTTCTACAAAAACTGTCAAGCTGATTTTAAAATTAATATGAAAGTGCAAAGGAGCTAGAGTAGTCAAAATAACTTTGAAAAAAATGAACAAAGCTAGAGAACTTACATTACCTTATGTCAAGACTTAGTAAAAATGAATTATCTAATCAAGATAATATATTAGTATAAAATAGGAATATGGTTTAAAGGAACAGAATATTGAGTCCCAAAATAAACACACACATATGGTTGATGTTTGACAACGGTGCCAAAAGCAATTCAAGGGAAATAGAATACTCTTTTCAACACATCATACTGAATAATTGGATATCTATATGCAAAACATGAATCTTAACCCTTACCTCACATATATATTTAAAACTTAACTCAAAATTAATCATAAATATAAATGTGAGAGCTAAAACAATAAATCTCCCAGAAGAAAACATAGAGGAAAAATCATAGTCATCTTGCTTTGGCAAGATTATTAAGTAGGACACACAAGGAATGAACTGAAAAGAAGAAAAAAGTCAACACATTGAACATCAAAATAAAAAACTTCTGATATTCAAACTACACTATTTTGAAAATGAAAATATAAGTAATAGATTTGGAGAAAGTATCTACGAAATATGTATCTGACAAAGGACTTGTATCCAGAATATTTAAAGAATACTCACAAGTCAATAATAAAACAACCCGGTTTTAAAAATATGGGCCAAAGGTTTGAACAGACTTTTCACTAAAGAAGATAAATGAAGGACAAATAAGCATATGAAACAATGCTCACCATCCTTAGTCACTGGGGAAATGAAAGTTAAAATCACAATGAGATACCATTACAAATGGATTAAATTGGCAAGAATCAAAAAGGCTGACCAAATGTTAGCAAGGATGTGGAGCAAATGAACGCCTGTAATCCCAGCACTTTGGGAGGCCGAGGCAGGTGGATCACCTGAGGTCAGGAGTTTGAGACCAGCCTGGCCACCATGGCAAAACCCTGTCTCTACTAAATATACAAAAATTAGCCGGGCGTGTTGGCATGTGCCTGTAATCCCAGCTACTCGGGAGGCTGAGGCAGGAGAATCACTTGAACCTGGGAGGCAGAGGTTGCAGTGAGCCAAGATCATGCCACTGCACTCCAGCCTGGGCAACAGAGTGAGACGCTGTCTCAAAAACAAAACAAAAAAAATAGTCCAACCACATTGGAAAACAGTTTGGCAGATTCTTAAAAAGTTAAACATACACCTACTGTTTTACCTAGCCATTCTATTCCCAGGAATTTATTTACTTAAAAGAAATGAAAGTATATTCTCCCATACAGACTTGTACAGGAATATTTATAGTAACTTTATAAAGTTACTAAAAACAACCCAAATGTCTATGAAAAGATGAATAGAAAAACAAATTTTGGTAATCCATGAATGGAATATCACTCAGCAATCAACAAAAAGACCTACTGATACATGCAACAACATGGGTGAATCTCTGAATAATTATGATGCATGAAAGAATCCAGAAAAAAAGGAGTACAGACTCCATGATTTATTTATATAACATTCTATATATACAGTCAGGCACCACTTAACAACGTTTCAGTCTACAACAGACCACATATAAGATAGTGGTCCCAAAGGATTATAATGGAGCTGAAAAGACAGGACTGAAAAAGTCCTATTGTCTAGTGATTCTATAGCACAACACATGTGTTTGTGGTGTGGTTGGTGTAAAAAAAAACCCTACTGTGCGTCTGTTGGATAAAAGTGTAATACATGCAATTACATTCAGTACATAATACTTAATAATGAATAATAAATGACTGTTACTGGCTTATGTACTATTATATACTTTTAATCTTTATTTTATAGTGTTTTCCTTCTACTTATAAAAAAAAAGTTCACAGCCTCAAGCAGGACCTTCAGGAGGTATTCCAGAAGAAGCCATTGTTATCATAGGAGATGGCTTCATGGGTGTCATTGCCCCTGAAGGCCTTCCAGTGGGACAAGATGTGGAGGTGGAAGATAGTGACATTGATGGTCCTGACCCTGTGTGGACCTAGGCTAATACGTGTGTTTGTGGCTTAGTTTTTTTTGTTGTTTTTTTGTTTTTTTTGTTTTTTTGTGTTTTTTTGAGACAGAGTCTCGCTCTGTCACCCAGGCTGGAGTTCAGTGGTGCGATCTCGGCTCACTGCAAGCTCCGCCTCCCAGGTTCACGCCATTCTCCTGCCTCAGCCTCCCAAGTAGCTGGGACTACAGCTGCCCGCCACCATGCCCGGCTAATTTTTTGTATTTTTAGTAGAGACAGGGTTTCACCGTGTTAGCCAGGATGGTCTCGATCTCCTGACCTCATGATCCACCAGCCTCGGCCTCCCAAAGTGTTGGGATTACAGGCATGAGCCACCACACCCGGCCTGTGGCTTAGTTTTTAACAAAAAGGTTTAAAAAGTAAAAAATTAACATAAACTTTTTAGAAACAGGATAAGAGCTTATAGAACAGATTATAAAGAAAATATTTTTGTACACTTGTATAACGTGTTTGTGTTTTAAGCTAAGTGTTATGAAAAAGTCAAGTTTTAAAAATTAAAAAAATTATAAAGTAAATACTTGTAGTAAGCTAAAGTTTATTTGTTATTGAAGAAAGAACATTTGAGTGTAGCCTAAGTACACAGCGTTTATAAAGTCTACAGTAGGCTGGGTGCAGTGACTCACGCCTGTAATCCCAACACTTTGGGAGGCCAAGGCGGGTGGATCACCTGAGGTCGGGAGTTTGAGATCAGCCTGACCAACATGGAGAAACCCCGTCTCTACTAAAATTACAAAAAATTAGCCGGGCGCACTGACACATGCCTGTAATCCCAGCTACTCAGGAGGCTGAGGCAGGAGAATCAGTTGAACCGGAGAGGCGGAGATGCGGTGAACCGAGATTGCGCCGTTGCACTCCAGCCTAGGCAACAAGAGTGAAACTCCGTTTCAAAAAAAAAAAAAAAGTCTACAGTGCTGCCCAGTAACGTCCTAGGCCTTAACATTCACGCACCATTCACTCACTGACTCACCAGAGCAACTTCTAGTCCTGCAAGTTCCATGCATGATAAGTGCCCTGTACAGGTGTATCCTTTTTTTTTATCTTTTACATCATATATGTTTAGATACATGAATACTTACCATTGTGTTACAACTGCCTATGATATTCAGTACAGGAACATGCTGTACAGGTTTGTAGTCCAGGAGGGATACACTGTACCATATAGCCCAGGTGTGTAGTAGGCTATGCCATCTAGGTTTGTGTAAGCACCCCCTATGATGTTTGCACGAGGATGAAACAGCCTAACAATGCATGTCTCAGAACACATCCTAGTTGTTCAGTGACGCATGAGACTGTATAACATTCTAGAAAATGCAAACAAATCTAGAGTGATAGAAGCAGATCTGTGTTTGCCCACCAATGGTGGTGGTGGGGCTGGAGCAAAGAGGACAAGTGGATTTTTGTTTTGTTTTGTTTTGTTTTGTTTTTGAGTTGGAGTCTCGTTCAGTCACCCAGGCTGGAATGCAATAGCACAATCTCGGCTCACTGCAACCTCTGCCTCCCAGGTTCAAGCGATTCTCTTGCCTCAGCCTCCCAAGTAGCTGGAATTACAGACGTGCACCACCATGCCTGGCTAATTTTTGTATTTTTAGTAGAGAAGGGGTTCCACCATGTTGGTCAGGCTGGTCTCAAACTCCCAACCTCAGGTGATCTGCCTGCCTCGGCTTCCCAAGGTGCTGGGATTACAGGCATGAGCCACCGTGCCCGGCCTATGAGTGGACTATTTAGTGTCATAAGGAAACCTTTGTGTGAGATGGATATTTTCATTATTTTTATTGTAATGATCATTTTATGGGTACTTATGTATATTAGAACTCATCAAATTGAAGCATTAGCTATGTGTAGTTTATTGAGTTCCAATTATTCCTCAAAAAAGCTCTAAAAAGATAAAGTTTGTTAATTACTGGTGTCAATAAATTTAAAACAATTTAGATGAAAAGTACACGTTCCTTGAAAAACAGAACATAACTAAAATTGACACAAAAAGACCCATAAAATCTTAATAATACTATATATAAAGAACATTCTATCTATAACTAAAAGTCTTCCAAAATCTCAAGCCCAAATGGCTTCACTGAAAAGTTCTTCCAAATATTTAGGAAGACAGAACAGCAGTCTCTCCCAAACTCTTCTAGAAAATGGAAAAAGAGGGACTGCTTTGAAATGTATTTGATGAAATTAGTATAACCTCAAAATTAATTAAAAGCTGGTAAGGATAAACCAAGAAAGGAAAATTTCAAGCTAATATCTCTCATGAATATATAGGCAAAAATTCTAAACAGTCAGCAAATAGAATTCAGTGACATAAAAGAGGATAATATTGCTTGACCTAGTTGGTTTCATTCCAGGGATACAAAGTTGGTTTACCATTAAAAAATAAATCAACAATTCTCTATCTTGATTGCAGTGCTGGTTATACAGGCATATCTGTTTATCAAAGTCATCAAACTGTATGTTTAAAACGTACTCACTTTGCTGTAATTAAATCCCACCTCAAAGTTTATTGCTTTGAAAAATTAATATATTTTACCACATTCATAGCAAAAAGGAGAAAACTATATATCATTTTGAGAAAATCTGAGAACCATTTAGTAAAGTTGGTAAGATTCACTCGTGATTAAAAACTCTAGAAATAGAAGGGGATTTTCAAAATTTGATAAAGAGTATCTACACCAAACCCACAGCAAACATCATACACAGATTGGGGAATTACTGAAAGCTTTTTCCTTGAGACTGGGAAGAAAAAAAAGATGTTCATTATCAGATGACGTTCATGTCATTATCAAAAGATGTTCATGTCTACTCAACATGATACTGGAGAGTCTACCTAGTGCAATAAGGGAAGAAAAATAAGTGAAAGACACAAGATTTGGAGAGAAAGAGATAAATCTAGTATTATTCTTAAAAATCACATAATTATATGTAGAAAACATACAAGAGAATGTACAGTCTATTAAAATAAGAAAATCTATCAATATATGAACACAAAGTCAATATACAAAACTATTGTACTTCTATATATCAGCACCAAACAATTAGAATATAAAAATGTTTAAATGATACTATTTACAATAGAGTCAGCAAACATTATACACTTAGGAATAAATACAACGGAAGATGAGCAAGACCTCCATACAATAAACTATTAAATTTTATTGAGAGAAATTTTATTTTTATTTTTAATTTTTTTTGAGACAGGGTCTCACTTTGCCATCTAGGCTGGAGTGCATCGGCACAATCACAGCTTACTGCAGCCTCAACCTCCCAGGCTCAAGTGATCCTCCTGCCTCAGCCTCTCAAGTAGTTGGGACTACAGGAGTGTGCCACCATGCCCAGCTAATTTTTTACATTTTTTTTGTGAACAGGTCCCACTATGTTGCCCAGGCTGGTCTCTAACTCCTGGCCTCAGGCCTCCCCAAAGTGCTGAAATTACTGGTGTGAGCCACTGAGCCTGGTCAAGAAATTTTAAAAGACAAATAAATGGAGATTTATACCATTTTCATGGATTACAAATCTCAGTATTCTAAAGAGGTCAATTTTCCCCAAATTGATCTACATATTCAATGTCTTCCCAGTCAAAATCTCAGCATTTTCTTCTCTTGTCTTTTTTGGTGGAATTTGACAATCTGATTATAAAGTAAATATGTGAAAATCCAAAGGACCAAGAATGACCAAAGTAATCTTGGAGAAGAACAAAATT
The DNA here is from genome assembly GCF_000001405.40 of Homo sapiens. Classification (NCBI taxonomy): domain Eukaryota; kingdom Metazoa; phylum Chordata; class Mammalia; order Primates; family Hominidae; genus Homo; species Homo sapiens. The sequence continues at coordinate 122,313,994 of NC_000010.11, read as the reverse complement.
GGGGGATGTCTTATTCCATCTCAAGATTTATAATGAAACAGTAATTAAGAAAGTGTGGTATTGGTTCAAGGATAGACAAGACTAATGGCACAGAATAGAGATACTAAAAATGATGTATATGTCATACATATAGTCGTATGACACTAACATTTAACACATAGCATGTAAAATACGTTATGACAAAGGTGACAGACACTGCAGAGCAGTGAGCAAAGCATGGCCTTTCCAGTAAACGGTGCTGGATCAATTGTGCATCCTTATGAAAAGAAGGACCGTGACCATGGTCCCTCCCTCACACCATACTTAAAAAAATACTTCTGGATGGACTCTAGATCTAAATGCAAGGTAAAACAATAGAGCTTCTAGAAGAAAATAGGAGAATATCCACATGGCACTGGAATAGGCAAAGATTCTTAAATAGCACTAACTATAGGCCAGGCCCAGTGGCTCATGCCTGTAATCCCAGCACTTTGGGAGGCCGAGGCGGGCGGATCACAAGGTCAGGAGTTCGAGACCAGCCTGACCAACATGGTGAAACCCCATCTCTACTAAAAATACAAAAAGTAGCGAGGTGTGGTGGCACGTGCCTGTAATCCCAGCTACTCAGGAGGCTGAGGGAGCAGAATCGTTTGAACCCGGGAGGCAGAGATGGCAGTGAACTGAGATCGCACCATTACACTCTAGCTTGGGTGACACAGTGAGACTCCATCTCAAAAAAAAAAACAAAAAAAAAAAAACAGCACTAACTATAAAAGAAAGGCTTGATAGATTATAATGCCTTAAAATTTAAAATTTTGTTCATCAAACGAGCATTATGAGGCCAGGCACAGTGGCTCACGCCTGTAATCCCAGCACTTTGGGAGGCTGATTCAGGCAGATCACCTGGATCAGGAGTTCGAGACCAGCCTGGCCAACATGGTGAAACCCCGTCTCTACTAAAAATACAAAAAATTAGCCAGGCGTGGTAGCACATGCCTGTAATCCCAGCTACTCAGGAGGCTGAGGCAAGAGAATCGTTTGAACCTGAGAGGCAGAGTTTGCAGTGAGCTGAGATCACACCACTGCACTCCAGCCTGGGCAACAGAGTGAGACTCTCTCAACAACAACAACAAAAGACCATTCTGAAAGTGAGAAAGCCAGCCACAGAGGGAAGGTATTTGGAATTCATATATCCAACAAGGACGTGGACCAGAACGTAGCAGAACATAGAAAAGAACAAAGAAAAGATGGGGAAAGGACTTGTGCAGGCACCTCACTAAAAAGATACCCAATGGCTAACAAATATATAAAGAAATGCTCAACCTCATTAGCAGGGGAATGTAAATTAAAAGGGAATAGGCAAATTAGTTCCACTCTCCATCCATTAGAAAAGTGAAAGACTGGCCAGAAGCGGTGGCTCACACCTATAATCCCAGCACTTTGGGAGACCAAGGCGGGTGGATCACTTAAGGTTGGGAGTTCAAGACCAGCCTGGCCAACATAGTGAAACCCCCGTCTTTACTAAAAATACAAAAATTAGCTGGGTGTGGTGGCGTATGCCTATAGTCCCAGCTACTCAGGAGGCTGAGGCAGGAGAATCACTTGAACCCGGGAGGTGGAGGTTGCAGTGAGCTGAGACTATGCCACCGCACTCCAGCCTGGGAGACAGAGCGAGACTGTCTCAAAAAAAAAAAAAAAAAAAAAAAGAAAAAGAAAAAGAAAAGTGAAAGACTGAAGATACCTAGTGTTGGCAAGGATATGGAAAAACCAGAATTCTCATGCACTGCTGGTTAGGGAATAAATTAGCACAGCCACTTTGCAAAACTGTTTGGCAGTATTTACTAAAGTTGAACTCATCCATACCCTATGACATAGTAATTCTATTCCTAGGTTTTTACCCAATAGAAGCACATAATTATGTGTACCACAAGACATGTACATGGTTGTATATAGCAATACTATTCCTAGTGGCTGAACATGTCCACCAACATCTGAATAAATTGTGGTATAATCATATAATGAAATATCCTATGAGAATGAACAAGCTATTGCTACATGCAGCCACGTGGATGGATTTTACAGATACATTATTGTGTGAAAGAAGCCAGACATTTAAAGGTGTATGCTACAGAATTCTATTTATACAAAGCTCAAGAAAAGGGAAGATGTATTGGTAGTAAAAGAGGTCAGGATACTGTTTACTTTTGGTGGAAGAAGTAGGTACTGAGATAAGGGGCTTTAGAGACTGGCCATGTCCCCTGTTCTGGTCTGGGTGCTGGTTACACAGGTGTGCTCACTTTGTGGAAATTCATTGAGCTCTTCATTTAAGGTTCATGCACCTTTCTGTATTTTATGCCTTGATTTTAAAATGTTCTTTTAAAAAGTTGAAAATTTGCCTGCTTCTGCCCTTTCTCCGATTACAAGTTTTTACAGCTTTCCTGAACTTCTCAGACTACCAAGTGGAATGAAATGATGACTTTTCCTTCATAGATGAAGGCAACAGCTTTGCTTACATTTTTTGTTTTTCCTACAAGGAGATGTTAAATTTAATTCGGGACAGCCTATTTGTTTTTCTCAACTAGCTATTGCCAGAAAAACAGGCTGTAGAGTGTAGAGTGGTGTGTGTATGTGTGTTTATGCTTTAGATGTGTGTAGTTGTGTATGCATTTATGTGCACACAGGTGTGTGTTTGTATGTGTTTGCAAGCCACACACGACCGTGCGTGTTTGTTTCCTTCTTACATTGATGTTCTTGGATAGCAACAAAAATAAACTTGAAGTTGTTTCTAAACATCTGGCTAGGCAAAGAAACTGCCCCTTCAACATTATGTCAGTGTCTGAGGCACAAAGCACATGTTCAAAAAATATTTGTTGAATGAAAGATTGAAAAAAAAATTAATGAACAAAAGAAAATGGGAGAGTAGAAATGGCTTGGACGTATGTCTTTATTTTTGGGTATAGTCGTTGCTGGAGAAGTCAGTTATTCAACTACGTTCCCTCCTAGCCTGTCTTCCGGACACTGCTGAGACAGATGAGGAAAGGGGCGTCTGACTCATTTTACTCAGTTAATGGCTCTCGACCCTCCTTTCCGGATTCTGGGCCAGCCAAGGCCATGCCCGCAGTTGCTGCTCAGCTTCTTTCCTGGTAGGGTCAAGGTCCGGGTGAGCTAATATTTGTTCAGCTTGTCCCACTACTGACATGTTAGGGAAGTGCAGTTCCAACTTGTCAGTTCCCATAATGTGACGGCCTCAACATGTCCCCCTCCCCGGGAAGTAGATTGCTCTGTCATTGAAGTTATTTTATCAATATTTGCAATTTTTAAAATTGGGCCAAATTGCTCCCTCTCTTCTCATTTCCGAGCCTGTTTACTGTCTCCCCTGGGGTCTGCTCCTCTGTCTCACTTTGAAATGCTCCTGGCACATCCCTGTCAGCGACCACTGGAGCTTCCTTGATTAGCTGCTCCCTTTGCCCCTTTGAACTTTGTAGCTCAACTCCCCTGGTGACGCAATGCTGGCCCAGGCTGTCCGTGACTCCCTGCAGTCTCCCTCCACCTCCACAGGGAGCAGAGGTACCTCGGGGCAGCTGGAGCCCTCCGGCCACCAGCCCTGCTAGGCCAGCAGCTACAAAGCCTCCGCACTGTTGCTGGTCAGCCCTGGGGATCCTCGGCAGGGGATGGCAAACATGGACCCAGGGCGCCACCAAGCCTGGCTCCTGCAGCCAGGATAGACACCGCTAATCTACTGCGACATTCTTCTTCTCAGAGCCTACAGAAAAGCTGAGAATCCTTCTTGGGCTGGTGCACTCAACGGGCACCACCCATCAATAGAAACGGAAATGTGTCTGCTATCTCAATGTTGTCAAGTTGCCACATGCATGACATTCTCTGAATTTTCCATCAGCATTTAAGACCCACTTCTGTGAGAAGAACTGAGCTACATAAAAATGGACCCAGCACGGTGGCTCACGCCTGCAATCCCAGTGCTTTGGGAGGCCGAGGTGGGAGGATCACTTGAGGGCAGGAGTTTGAGACCAGCCTGGCCAGCATGATGAAACCCCACCCCTACTAAAAATACAAAAATTAGCTGGGCGTGGTGGCACGTGCCTGTAGTCCCAGCTACTTGGGAGGCTGAGGCACTAGAATTGCTTGAACCCAGGAGGCAGAGGTTGCAGCAAGCCGAGATCGTGCCATTGCACTCCAGCCTGGGCAACAAGTGAGACACTGCCTCAAAAAAAAAAAAAAAATGTACTCAGCACAGTGGCTCATGCTTGTAATCCCAGTGCTTTGGGAGGCCAAGTGGGAGGATCACTTGAGACCAGGAGTTTGAGATCAGCCTGGGCAACAGAGTGGCCCTGTTTCTACAAATAATAATTTTAGGCTGGGCGCAGTGGCTCACGCCTGTAATGCCAGCACTTTGGGAGGCCGAGGCGGGTGGATCGCGAGGTCAAGAGATCGAGACCATTCTGGCCAACATGTTGAAACCCCATCTCTATTAAAAGTACAAAAATTAGCTGGGTGTGGTGGCGCTTGCCTGTAGTCCCAGCTACTCAGGAGGCTGAGGCAGGAGAATTGCTTGAACCTGGGAGGCGGAGGTTGAAGTGAGCTGAGATGGCGCTACTGCACTCCAGCCTGGCGACAGAGCGAGACTCTTTCTCAAAAAAAAAAACAAAAACAAAAACCAAAAAACAAACAAACAAAAAATAATAATAGTAATAATTTTAAAAATTAGCCAGATGTGGCTACATGCTCTTGTAGTCCCACCTACTCAGGAGGCTGAGGCGAGAGGATCACTTGAACCTAGGAGTTTGAGGCTGCAGTGAGCTATGATCACGCCACTGTACTCCAACCTGGATGACAGAGCAAGACCCTGTCTCAAAAAAAGAGAAAAAAAAGTCTGACAGAGACTCACAGTCCAGCAAGGTGCCAGGCAAGTTGGGGCAAGAGAAAGGATCATAAGCCCTTTGTTGAAGCTGCTTATGATGTCCCTGGGAGGGGCAGGACATATACATGAACTGAGGGGTTCAGCAGGGGCTGGGCAGAGCAGCTCTGGTGGGTGGCCCCCATCACGGATGGACAGAGAGGAGGCAGAGCAGGCAGGGACTGGGGGAAGCAGGAGCACCCAGAGCAGACCCCCAGGTGAAGGAGCCCGGGGCTCAGGAGATGCATTTGGGAGATGGAGGCCAATGACAAAGACACAACTGCGAGGTGCTACCACCCTGGAGCAGCTGAGCTGGGCAGGAGAAGAACCATCCACAGTGCTAAAAGTGGGCCACAAGGTCCTCCATGATGACAGAGTGGGCCTGGACAGTGTGCAGGGGAGAGCATCCAAGCCCTACACTTTCCCATCTTTTCTCCCAGTCTGACCCAAAGCTCGCTGGAGAAAGGAGAGGGCCAAGCAGGGAAGGAGGGAGGTTGGGGAAGGGACACAGCAGGCTCTGGCTGTCTGGAGCCACCCCCACTCTACATTGAGAGGACTCTGGCCCCTGTTGAAAGATTTGTCATCACTGCTTAGGTCGGGGCAATGACATGACTTGGAAAGAAGCAAATGGTTTCCAACGAAGAAAATTATACAGGATCAGGGGGCTTGGGGAAATGCATGGCGATGTGAGGTCTGGGACAAATCAACGTAGATTCGAAAAGAAAATGGAAAAGCTGTGGTGGTGAGAAACACCCCTGTGCCTGCCACTCCAGGGAAGAGCTGTGGCGTCTCTGGCTCAGGAGTGCAAGCAAAGGCCTTGGAAACAGCAACTTTGGCAGGGGGCCCACACCTTAACTCCCTTCTCCTCACTTGCTTCTTCCATATTAAAAACACAGCTCTAATGAATCACCACATTCTAGCTCTTTTTCCTATCTCCCAGTGCTAAGACGTTTCCAGTAGGAGAGCTGACCTGGAGCCAAACAGCAATTCCTCCTGGTGTGCATGACTCATTGGAAAAAGTGTCTCATAGGCTATTAAAAGAGTGGGGGAGGGCGGGTAAAACATTTGGGTTCAAAGCAAATTATATGGAAACTAAACACAGTACATATAATTCCGACACTGAATGCTGCTTTCCTCAAATAACAAGACAGAGAAAGAAGTGGGCTCTTTACTTAACGCAGCGCACAGATGTTCTGTTCCAGAAATGAATTACGTGCTTCAAAACAATGCAAATGAAACTTGGCTTAAACAGGTCACTACGTGAAGACGTGTTTATCTGCTAAACTCACACATGCAAAAGAAATGAAGCATCTTTACTTCCACTTCCTTAAACTCGCCTCGTCATGCTTGGAAGCCCTCATTCCTGAGGCTGTGGGGACCAGAAACACAAACCTAACAAGGTAATACCACCAGTTACTTCCACAGAAAAAGTGAGTTTTATTCAACCTAAGAAAGCTGATTTTTTTTTTTAATGAAGTTTTAAAGGCCAGGGTAGTGTGGTCATTTTCCTGAAGAGAGGAGTACCTTTTGCCTCATGCCTGTTACTGGACACAGCAAGTTCCCAGAAGCACCTGATTATCTCATAGTACAACACCTACATGTTGTTTACTTTTCCAGGTAATTTGGTGGTTTGAAAGCATCCTATAATCTTAGGCCCTATTAAAAAAACAGTGCCCTCTGAATGATGCTATGAAAAATTATATCACTGATGGTTTTCCCCCGTGATATTATGAGCAGTGTTTGTACATTTCAGTATTTGTGTATTTCATCAATCAACACTAAGTTATATTACCTCTTAAAAAATGTCATCACGGTTTCATAAGTCGGAATTGCCTGAATCTTGTAGTTCAGTTGCAAGAAGACCCACAAAAGCATTGTTTTCAGAAGATGGAATTCACTAAAGGTAAATAACCTGGCCAAAATAAAAAGATTGAGAAGAAATTTCAGAAATAGCACAAAATCACGCTGCTTGTAAGAAGCTGGTTAGAATGAGTTTGGGAATGAGGTGACACCACATTTGAGTCTGAAGGTAGCCTCAGACATCAAGCAGGTAAACAGCTTACTCAAGGCCACTCAACTGGGAAATGGCAGAGCTAGGATTTGAATCTCAGCAGCCTGACACTAGGGCCTGTGTTTTCACCCACCCTCTGTGCCCCGCAAAACAATGATCGTCATTTAATGAGCTCTTACTATGTGCCAGGTGTTCCCAAGATGTTTTCTGTAGATTTTTTCATTTAATTCCACACAACCATCCTGCAAAGTTAGGATATAGTCCTTACTTTTATAGATGTAGAAATTGAGATTAACCCTACATTTATTTAAAATTTTAGTGTTTTGTTCATCATGGCATTTTTTGGCATCAATTTTAATTCTAATATATTACACTAAAATAGACTGCATCTCGATGACTAAGTTTTTTCATGCTCCCTTAAATTTCGCACCAAGGTGCCTCACTCACTTCACCTTAGCTCTGGCCATGATTGAGGGCTGAAACCTGAATAACTTATCCAAGGTCACACAATTCTGGGCTCAGACCTGGGTATAGGGCAGGTTAGAATCTCAGTTCCTCACCAGACTGGCTGTGGAACCTCCTGTGAGTTGCTTAACTGCCCCGCAGCTGCAATGTCCTCATCTGTGAAAGTGTGATCACAGCAGCTGCTCAGAGGAGAGTGGTACAGAGTGGATGAGGTGAGTGGATGAGTTTCCTATCGCTCCAATAACAAATTGTCACAAACCAAGTGGTTCGAAACAACACGAATTTATTTTCTCATCATTCTGGAGGTCAGAAGTACCAAACAAGGTAAGATCAAGTTGTCAGCAGAGCTGTGTTCCTTCTAGAGGCTCAAGGGAGAATTGTTTCCTTGCCTTTTCCAGCACCTAGAAGCCACCCACATTCCTTTGCTTATGGCCCTTTTCTCAGTCTTCAAGTCAGCAGTTCAGCATCTTCAAATCTCTCTATGGTTCTGACTCTTTGGCTTCCCTCTTCACATTTACAAGGTCCTTGTGATCACCATGGGCCCACCCAGGTCATCTAGAATAAGCTCCTCATTTTAAAGCCCGCGGACACTATTCACAATAGCAAAGACATGGAATCAACCTAGGTGCCCATCAGTGGTGGACTGGGTAAAGAAACCATGGTACATATACACCATAAAATACTATACAGCCATGAAAAAGAGTGAAGGCATGTCATTTGCAGCAACATGGGTAGAGCTGGAGGCCATTATCCTAAGCAAATTGACACAGGAATAGAAAACTAAATACTGCATGTTCTCACTTGTCAGTGGGAGCTTAAACATTGAGTACACATGGACACCATTAAGGGAACAATAGACACAGGGCCTACCTGATGGTGGTGGGTAGGAAGAGGGCGAGGATTGAAAAACTATGTATAGGGTTGTACTGTTCTGTTGTTGAATTGCTACAAAGAAATATCTGAGACTGGGTAATTTGTAAAGAAAAGAGGTTTACTTGACTCACAGTTCCATGGGCTGTACAGGAAGCATGATGCTGGCATCTGCTTGGCTTCTGGAGAGGCCTCAGGAAACTTACCATCTTGGCAGAAGGTAAAGGGGGAGGAGGATGTCACACAGCCAGAGCAAGAGCAGGAGAGAGCAAGGCAGGAGGTGCCACACCCTTTGAAATGACCAGATCTCAAGGGAACTCACTCACTATCAGGAGAACAGCACCAAGAGGATGGTGCTAAGCCATTAGTGAGAAATCCACCACCATGATCCAATCACCTCTCACCAGGTCCCATCTCCAACACTGGGGATTACAATTCAATGTGAGATTTGGTGGGGACACACATCTAAACTATATCAAGGATATTATACTGATCACCTGGGTGACAAAATTATCTGTACACCAAATCCCTGTGACATGCAATTTACTCATGTACAACCTGCACATGTACCCCTGAACCTAAAATGAAAGTTGGAAAGAAAGAAAAGAATCAGCTGATTACTGACCTTAGTTCCATCTGCAGCCTTAGTTTCCTTTGCCATACAACCCAACATATTCACAGGTTCCAGCCAGTGAGATGTGGACATCTGTGGGGCCATCATTCTACTGACTGCATACATACAAAGTGCTTAGTACAGTGCCTGGCACATCATGACATGCTCAGCGGATGGAAGCTCTTATGGATATGTGGCAGGGTCAGGTCCTAGCTCCAGAGCCTGTGCAGTACCTGCTGCAGCATGAGGCCTCTCCTCCATAAATGAGCATTGCCAAAGAATAGCTGCTGGCCAGGCGCAGTGGCTCACACCTGTAATCCCAGCACTTTGGGAGGCCGAGGCGGGCAGATCACGAGGTCAGGAGATCAAGACCATCTTGGCTAACATGATGAAACCCCGTCTCTACTAAAAATACAAAAAATTATCCGGGCATGGTGGCAGGCGCCTGAGTCCCAGCTACTCAGGAGGCTGAGGCAGGAGAATGGCGTGAACCTGGGAGGCAGAGCTTGCAGTGAGCAGAGATCACGCCACTGCACTCCAGCCTGGGCGACATAGGGAGACTCTGTCTCAAAAAAAAAAAAAAAAAAAAAAGAATACCTGCTACCCCGTAATGTCAGCTCTGTAAGTGTGGCTATCTCCCAACCCCCTTCTCTAGTAGCCTCTGATGGTTATCTATGGAGCCATTTCAACATTTCTTAAACCCGTTGACATTTTCAGTCTCTGACCATGGACATTGCACCCTGGCCTTAAAATACATCACCGCTTCCACATTCAACCACTCTATGTGGTTATGGTGGGTGGCACCAAAGACAAACCGTGACTCTAAAGGACAATGAAAATGTCACCCACCTCTCATGCTATTTCTGAACAGAGTAAAACTGTCTCTTTCCTCTCCTTTGGTTTTCAGGCCACCTACAAATGCATGGACTTTGACTCTGGCCAGACAGGACCAAGTTTGTCACCATCTGGCAATCATCGTGAGGCCGGAAGGGGAGACTCTCCTCAGAGCACTTGGTATGATGTCCCTGTGAAGAACTTTGTCAGCTGGGCTGGCGAAGTGGTGTGATTTCCAGTGTAGACTCCACACCTGAGGTCCTCAAGCCCAGAAGGCCCTTTGAGGTCTCACTAAAGAGGGGCTAGCAGCAACATGGGGGAGTCCTTGGGAGCTCCACGAATCAGAATCCTGGTTCTATTATTTATGAAGCATAATTATTAAAGTAAATTCCTCTGTCTTTAGGTCAATATCAGACCTGAAAGTATTCGTTTGTGCAACAGATAACCACACCAAAGACATTCACACACCTTTTCATTTACCTAAGAGCTCTGATGGCCTCAATCAAGACAGAACCCACAGGGACTTGAACCTCCCTCTATGGGCTGTACCATGTGTGTTTACTGGCACTCGCTAGCAGCCATTGGAATGTAAATGGTAATTGTTCTTTAGGGGAAAAAAATGCTTTTCATAAGACACTGTCCTCTATTTTTCACTGAGAAAATTATATATAAACAATAAAAGTCCTCTTTCGTATGTAGACCATAGAGAAAGCCATGACCATGTGAGTAAGATATGAACAAGGATGCCCACTGCTCCATCGCTTGTCACAGCAAACAAACAAAACAAAACAAAACAAAAGGCCATTAGGAAGGGAGTGAAAAGAGATCGTTGTGCATTCATTCAATAGAACCCTTTACAATTAAAATTTTAAATGCTCATTAGATATGCAAATATCAACATGGAGAGAACACAACACACGATGTAAGTGAATAAGTTGCAGAACGTTACAATCACGATGAGAACATGTATTTCAAGTTTAAATCTTTTAAAGCAATATTATTCATGTGGTAAGAGTAAAATTACATAGATTAAATCTGCACAAGTTCCTAACAGTGGTTTAATTGTCTTTAGGAGGGGAAGGAGGCAGAAATGAGGAAGGGAATGGGACTGGGAGGGAAACATAGGCGACTTCTGCTTCATTGGAAATGTTTGATTTCTCAATTTAAGACAAAATATTAATATTCGTTCATTTGGGGAGATGAGTACAATTGTGTTTTGTATTATAATTCTACCTTTATACTTTTTTTTCAGAAACTACAAGGAGATATACTTTTTTTAACAGTAAAAATATTAATATTCCTATTGTTCTTGACCATCAATAAGGAAAAAGAAGGCCTCATGCAGAGCACGTCAGTGAGCTGGTAATGACCACAGGCTTTAGGCCACTCAGACGTGGGTTCAAATCCCAACTCTCATGTTGCATGAGGAGACCTTCAGCTGATCCCGTCATTTCCTATCATCTCTATTCCACAGGCAAGAAACACCAACAGTATCCATCTCATTAGGTTGCTATAGGAATCAGTCTGGGTAACTCACTCAGAATATTCTCTATACAACAACAACTGTATATAGCTGAATAATTGGTGGGTATTGTTAGTGTTAGCTAAAAAAGCATTGGATTCAGGAACTATTATATTTGAGATGGGTGCCCAGGGGTGTCCCAGACACCCATAGGAACCTTGTCCCATGCTGGAGGGCAAAGCCATGGGACAGATGCAACAAGGAGGACATGCATAGCTCTTCTTAGGGAATTCCTGAGACCTCGAGACTTCTCGGGTTATAGGCGGGAAGTCAGGGAGAATTGGAGACACAGGGATACAGTGCCCCTGGTCGCAAGGTAGTCTTTTGTTGAGATGGGAGCTAGACAGTGCTCTGAGGTCTCCATCCTCCTAAGTCCATGAGCAGCTTGGCTTCCAGAAAAACAGAACTTGGAATGAAAGCTTCTTAATATTAGAGTTAGCAGAACAGTGTAACCCAACAGTGACCTATAAGAAGAAAATTAACTGGAAACCAAATGCCAGGCAAATAAATTTAGACTGGAGGCCCAGGAGGTCAGGAAAACTGTTGCATATTTTACCCCAGGTGGTTTACAAAATGGAAAGCAAAAGCTGAAGGAAGATGAGCTCGAGGGACTTCAGATGGAGACGGCTGAATGGCCCAGAAGCTGCAGCATCTGCTGAGAAATGGACGTTGTTCCAAACACATGTGACCACAAACAGGGAATTGGCCCCACAGCTGGAGGGGCTGATAAGTCAAGCCAAGGGCCACTCCACCCCTGACCTTGGAGTCTGCATTTCCACACATCCCACTCCGGGGCCACGTGACTCCTTGGGACCACTCGGTTCTCACTATGTCCTTTTAGTTGCTGGTAGCCTTGGCCTCCATGACCAACGACGAGGGGTGCAGCACACAGGGCAAGACGTGGACTTTGGAGCCAGTGGAGGCCCTGCCCTGCCCATCGTTAGCCCTCTTATATCAGGGATAATAACTGTGACCACCACGTGGGGTGGTGGGGATAGAAAGGGAGAGTGCACATAGCACACAGCACACACCAAAATGTTAGTTGGAGAAAGGTGCATTCTGAAACAGCTGTGGGTCATGGTGCCAAATCCACCGGCCAGCAGCCTGAAACTCACAAGCACCCTAATATGAGAAGCCCTAGCCAGTGAAACTTCTAACAAGCCCCCCTCTTCCTGAACCGTTTCCCACCTCCCTCAAGCTTTAACAAAGGCAGCCACTGGAGATCAACCTCAGAAGATGTGGGCAGAGCCTGGGGAGTGGTCAGCGTGGGCACATGGCTGATGACATGCCTGAAGCCACACAGGGCTCTTTTCCCTTCAGTGATAGCCCTGGACTGTCTGTGCAGACAGCTCCTGGGGAGGGGCCGGAGGAGCAGGACCCATTTTCCACATCAGTCATGTCTGCCAAGCTGATGAGTCTAGACACTTGACACGTAATGCTCTTGACCTCTTTTTCTGCCCAGCATACGTTTGTCAGGCTTATCCCACCGCTAACCTTCCGGTTGTGGTCAGACATTTTTTTCTCCTTTCTTGGTTAATGCTGCCAGGGTGTGACAGCTCAGCCTTTCCAAGGGAGGGACAATGTTATGAAAAGTCTAAGGGATGCCATGTTTATCTTTTCCTCAACAATTGCGCAACCTTTGCTCCGCTGGGGAGTGGGGGAGCACCTGAGTGGGGAAAAGCAGAGAACACCACGGAATGACTTTAGGAGTGAGCCAGTGCCCTGGGCTGGCATGAGGCTGGGACTCCTGGAGGCTTCCTAGAGAATATGGTCTCCTTCCCTCTGTCCCAGAACTCTGTTCTACCTGCCTCCCATCTCTGTAAACGTGAGGGCATTGCATGCTACATAGCCAATTCACATCAACAGTAGAATAAATCTTTCCAAATCTAATTTCTGAAATCAGAACACTTTCCACACATACACATGAGTAAACCCTCATTTTCTAATATTCTACTAGGATTTTCAGCATAATTTAGTTTTCACTTTTGAAATTTACTCAGAGGTAATAAAATTTTGGTAACTTGGAAATGGGTACCAAGATCCTTTTAAATAGAGTCCTAAAGAGATATGACAACTAAGTGGTCCTAAACAGCACTGAAGAAAGAAAAAATGCTATAAAAGGCAGTATTGGGCAAATGACATTAAAGTATTACATCAATGTAAATTTCTTAAAGTTGATAACTGCACTATAGTTATATTTTTCAAAAATTCTTTTTCTTAGGAAATAAACACTGAAGCATGTGGAGTAAAGGAACTTAATAAACGCAAATTACTCCCTAATATTAATAGTTCAGAAAAAACAAGTGTATATGTAGATACACGTAGAGACGCAGATGATATAGCAAGCAGGGCAGAAATTGAACTCTAGGGTGATTGGCAGTACTGGGTGTAACTATATATTTTATGCATTATTGTGTATATATTCTATGCAAATATTCTTTGCATAGAATATATATTCTATGCATTATTGCATATATTCTATGCATTATATATTGTATATATTCTATGCATTATTCTTGCAACGTTAAATTTGAAATTATTTTCAAATAAAAATGTTTAAGAGACTAACACAAAATAGAAAGTTCTTTTGACTTAGTAACTTCATTTCTAGGAATTTAATGTGGGAAAGAATCTGAGATGAAGACAAATGTTGAAGGATGTTCACCAGTGTGCTATTTATATTGGTAAAACATTAGAAATAACCTAAAAAGCCCGGCATTGGGAAACATCTCCATGAATTTCTGTAAGGGAGAAGGAGCCTGGCAGGGGACAGGCATTTCAGGTAGGAGGATGGGCATGAACCAAGGCCCGGTATGGGGAGGTGTTCATCAGGGAAGTTTCAGGGGGGGCCCCGTGGCTGCACTTATGCTGTGTGAGTTGAAGGAGCCAGGTCACCAGAGGCAAAGGCTGTTGGCTAGAGATGCGATTAGAAGGGGGTCCAGACCAGAAGCAAGACAGTTAGAGGTCACCTTGGTCCAAAATAAGAGACATTGGACCTCCGATCTTGGGCTGGGGCTGCTACCCATGGAGCGAGGCCCATAGCGCTGGACTTGATTTGGAAGTAGAAATGACCTCAGGGTTGGGGTATGGTCAAAGTGGCGTCCAGGACTATCAAGGGTCTAGCTTGATCCGCTAGTCAGATGGTGGAGGAACACTGGGGGCAGGGTTGGGGTGCAGGACAGGGCAGGGGCACCGAGAGATGGCTTTTAATCTTAATTGTCAGAGAGGTCAAGCAGGCGATCAGATACGTGGGTGTAGAGTTATTCAGCAGAGGTGCCAGCGCCGGAGATGTAAGCTGATTTAGGGTGAGAGATTTCATTTTCTAAAATGAATGTGCATTGATGTTGTCAGGATTTTTTCTAAAAATTACTTAGGTAATTAAGTCTTTCATTTTTCGCACCCAGGTGAAAATACCTGAGACAGCAGGTACTCAGAGGGTTCCTACCCACAAGAAGGAGCGAGAAGGGAGCCCTCTCCCCAGCCCCACACACAGCACCCTGAGTTCCAGCCCCAGCCAAGGCTCAGCTGTCCAGGAGGGCAGGAAGCTTAAGGTGGGGGTGCAGCCTCCATCAGAGCACCTCCCTCCCCAGCCTGGCCCCTACTTTCTCCCATCCCCCTCTCAGGGGCCGCACCCTGGGAGCCAGCTCTGACCTGGGGGACTTCAGCACTTTGTGGAGCAGGTCCTGTGGGATTTTGTGGAGGTGGATCTGCGTCCCCCCTAGAGGAACCAAGTTCATTTCCAGCCACTTCTCGCAGCCGGTGGTGAGCTGCTCTTCCTTGTACTAAGACAAAAAAAAGCCAGTTGATGAAGGAAGTCCTGAGCTCTTGGCACCCTCTGCTGGCCTGAGACGACACTACACGTGTGCTCAGAGGGAGAGTCACTGCAGAGGCGCTCAAACCTTTTCTACAAAATACATGAATTACAGCAGATACCTTTTCTAAGTGTTTTCTATGCTCGAGGCGCTGCACTCAGTTGATTTAAATCAATCCTCAGCGAAAACCTATGAGGTGGGTTCACTGTTATCCCTAGGTCACCGGTGGGGAAACTGACGCTCCCAGGTTCCTGCTCTTGCCTGTCGTCACACAACTCGTAAGTGGCAGAGCCGGATGCAAACCCAGGCAACCTGACCATAGGCTTTGCCCACTAGTTCAAGTCAGTGGCTGATCATGGAGGGCCCAAGGGGTGTACCTCGCAGGAGTTCTGAGGCTATGAACACACCCAAAAAGCAGGAATTGAAGGGCAGAGAAAGTGGAAAAGGCGTCTTAGAGCCAGGGACCTTGAGAGAGCTTCAGTACACCTCGAATAGCTTCTGGGCCTGGGGTCCTTCTGCAGCCCAAGCATTGCTGAGAAATGCTGACCAGGATGCAGTTTCCACCACAAGTGGCCTTGGAATTACCAGTGGGGCGAAGGGGAGGACGCGATGATGGGAGAACTGTGGCATGCTGCTTGGTATCCCCCCCCAGGTCACTGGTGGCCATACAGAGAGAGCTGAAGTCAGGAGGCCTGGGCTTTGGACCCAGCTGGTTCCCCTGGGCAGGCTGCTGCCCTCCTTGGCTCTGTTTTCTCCTCTGAGAATGAGGTTGGATTCTATCATTTATTCCTAACCCTGACACACTGATTAGACCCAGGTGAATCTAGACCTCACAACTCCAGCAAGAATGTTCTGGAAGGTCTTCGGCTGTTTCGGTGAGAAAGGCTATGCTGCTTCTTCCCCCATCTAAGATTAAAGTCTTTCTATTTTTTTGGTGTTAAAACATCCTTTAAAAAAATAAAATGATGGTTTAAAAAAAAAAACACACAAATGTGTTCATGTGGCAAAATAAAATATTTGATGACTTCAAATAGATATTCTGGGGGGAAGTAGGCCTGGTGGGTAAAATCCCAGCATCTAGGCTGCTCCTGAAGGCCCCCCCAAGGGGCGATGTGCCCCGTCTGGGTTGTTCTCACCTTGCAGCCGGCCTCGTAGAATTTCTTGATGGTGCTTGGCTTGAGTCTGGCTATCATCACATCCACGCACCTGGAGAGAGAGAACTGCAGTTTCTGGAGGAACCCCACACTGCTTTTGGAGAAGCGGAAAGTCCCAGAGATTCTCATTCAACTCCAGGACAGCAGCAGACTTTTGAACGGAAGGGAGCCTCGCTTTAGGGGTATGGACATTTGGCCAGAGGACAAGACCAACATGGCTTGTTAGAAATAGCTCTGGGCTGGGAGATGAGGCCAGAAATCAAATCCTTCAGGAGAAAACAAAGTAACCCTATAGCAGGGAACAAGGATTATTGCTCAAAGCTGAAGTGCCACCAGGTGCTGAGATGAGGTTTGATTTTAGCCAACATAGCCATCTGGTCATCCCCCTGCCTGAGGACTGTCTTCCTGTACAGACCCTTATGGTGCCACCAGAGGGGCCTCAAGTCCCATTCCTCTCTGTGCACAAATGGAATCAAAGAGCAGCTCTCAGATGAAGGTCTCTGCGAGCTCATGACTAGGACCTGTTGATTTGGCTCACCCACCCATGAAGGATCTATTCATTGAACACATACCGTGTGCTAGGCACCTGGAGAGGTCCTTGGTGTGCAAAGAACAAAACTGATGGGCCAGTGAGGTGACATGTTAAGTCAACTTTCAGACAGATAACCACATTTGGCAGTCATGTTAAGGGTTAAAAAGTTAAAGAACAAGGTGTGATGGGAAGGCAGATGATGGAGACTTCAGCCTAGTGTGGTTAAATCAGAAAAGTGACCAGAAGTCAGAAGAGAGGCACTTAAAACCTGAAAGAGGAGGAAAAAGAACAGGCCAGGCCAGGGATTCAAAGACCAGCATTCCAAGAAGCGGAAACAGCATGTGCAAAGGCCCTGGGGCAGGAGCAGGTGCCACACTTTGAAGGAATGTCAGGGCTGGCACAGCTGCAGTGCCGTTGTTTAACACTGCTCCACACTGTCCCCTCTCTCTCCCTCTTTGACTATTGTAGTTCGTCTGGGCTCAGCTCCAGCATCACCTCCTCTTGGAAGTCTCCCTGATTGCTCCTCTCCACATAATCCCTTAGCTTTGATTTGCATGACTTCCTTCTACCTGGTTCCTTGCCTCCCTCCAAGGAGGGCATGAGCCGAGGTGAATGGAGTGTGGTAGACGTGCTATGTGGCAGGTAGGGTCACAGATGTTTCAGTGACTGAACTTTCACAGCTAATACTAACCTCTCTGCAGCAAAATTGCTTTGAAGTATGTTCACTTCATTGAGCAGGGCACCCGAGAGTAGCCACTGGGATCTCATACGGAAGCACAACCTTAAACTCATTATGACTCAATGGTTGTCCTAAACTCAGTTGATATACACACCGCTCATGGGCAGAGGCTTAAAGGACATCCAGTACCTCTTGCACTTATTCTAAAATGTATCCTTCCATAAGGCCAGACCAGAAGGCAGATGGGGTCTTGTTACCACCAACAACCACATCCCTGGAGAGTAGCTTTTACTGAGTTGCATTTTGGTGTGCCGCTTTTGCCAAAACCAAGAAAAAAACATTATAAGATTTATTATTGCATTTACTCTACAGACATTCTTGAGGACATTGACCATTAGGTTGCTTGGGGTCATCTGCTGAAGACATCCACAGTTTTCATACTAATAGTAGTTGTACTTCTCCCAAGTGAATTGTTTTTTAAACTGTTATCTAGTTTGCATCGAATATCACTGATCAAGTTTCCCTTTTTATCTGCCGCTAGCAAGTTCAGAGCTGAATGTATGGCCTATCTTAGGAAAAAAGTGTGGTTATTAGAGTTAGTATACAATGGTAGCTTCTCCATCTTTTTCTTCCTCCTTAAAAAAAAGAAAATTGGTGTTCTGTGGCTTCATTTCATGTATTCATGGAAGCCACTCAAAGCCTTTACTAGAACAAGGTAAGAAATGATAAGTGAATAAATAATCTGGTCATGGCCAAGGCACTCTACCCCCTTGTGTGCTAGGATCGGCCCTTCAGACAGGGAGACTGACTCTACCCATTAGAAGGAGTTGTCTTGAGTACTGGGGAAACCTGTACTGAGTAAACATGAGGCGCTGCTGTCATCCCCTGGGCATTTTGCCTTCTAAGACTGCTGAGTCCTGTCAATCCTGCATCTTGGCTGTCTCTTGAGCGTGCCCCTCCTCCCGCTCCCACTTCCCCTGCCTAGTTCAGACCCTCCTGGTCTCTCGGCTGAGCCTCTGCATAGCCTCTCAACAGCCAGCCTCCCTGCCCTGCAGCCTCCCACATTTATACCACATCCTTCACACAGGAGGGGCTCAGCCTAAACCACAGAGGCTCTGCCACTCTCCCCTCCCAAGCCCAGGCTTCCTGCTCTGCTGACTGAACCAAGACCTGCTCATGTGGCTACAAGATCCTGCATAACCTGGGCTCATCCAAACCTCTGGCCATTGCAGCTGCATTGGGTCTTAGTGGCCAGGCTTATCCCAGTTTGATGCTGCTCCACCCTGTCCCCTCTTTCTCCCCCTTTGACTGCTGTAATTCTTCCAGGCTCAGGTCCAGCACCACCTCCTCTTGGAAGTCACCCTGATTGCTCCTCCCCACATACTGCCTTAGTTTTGATTTCCATGCCTTCCTTCTTCTACCTGGTTCCTTACCTCCCTCCACCTCCCATGAAACAACAGACTGCCGGGAAGCAGCGCTCCCCATACAAATCCATCCTGAGTGCCAGCTCTGTGCTGACCTGTGCTGCTGGTTCTGGAAATGCCACCAGGGACAGGTGGAGGCCTTTTCGTCCTGGAGCTCATGGCCTCACCGGTCAGCAGAGGGTGAAGCCCAAGCTGTGACGAGGCTGAACAGGAGGCTCGGGCCCCACCCTCATCGGGTCCAGGAGCCTTTAGGTGCCAGCTTTTGTCTGTCGAAACCTACAGGGAGCACTAGCTGGGCTTGGAGTTGCAGGGGAGAAATGAGTGCCCCAGGAGGCTGGCACCTTCTCTTATGCTTCCCCTTCCTCACTGTGAAACCCATTGGCTGGGCTGGACTGGAATGATCAGACTTCCCAGACCAAAGGAAGCAAAGAAAGCCATCCGGGCTCGCCTCTGGGCTCAGGGAAGTGGGGGGTTTCCTCTTCTGGAAATTCTAAAGGACCAGGAAGTTGCCCACAGAGGAAGTTCAGCCCTGCATGGAGGCAAGGAAATGCCCCTCTGGCCCTGTGAGCCTGGAGGAACCCAAGTGACAACCAGGGAGATGCTCCATGTGTATGTGTGTGAGCGTGTGTGTGCATACACATGCATGCACATATGTGCTGGTACACGCATGTGACAGCCACAATCCCTGCTGTGACTCCAGCCCAAGTGCCAATAAAGATATTGACATGAGAGTCAAAGGAACATCACCCAGTGGAAGCTGTGTGCACACACACTGCATCTCTTCAAGATGGGAGGCCTCAGGTATGTGTGATTCAGAATTAAGCTGTCATCTGGCAATTTCCCACTGCCTGGGAGCTCAGCTGAGATAACCTGTGAGGTCTCACTCAGCACCTGAACGTTGTGATGCTATCAGAGTGACCTGGGGCACTTCCGTTACACAGACACACAAACACACATGTATCCTATGATGCCACACCCTGCCAACTGCGCCATCAGCCTCTCAAAGGCAGGCAAGACCCAGCCCAACTATGTGCAGGCCCGCCCTGGCCTCTGACCTAGAATCCCAGCCCCACCACAATTATCTGGAGAATCTTGGGCAGGTCCCATCAGCTTCAGGCAAGCCTATGTTTGCTCATCAGTGGAATGAAAGGTTTGGCTCATTAGCTGCAAAGCCCCTCCTGCTCTGGCATTCAAAACAAGGTGGGGGGAGGGGAAAGGAGGATGAAGAAGCTGCCCTTCTTGGTTCATCTCTGGATAAGCCAGGGCGAGAGTTCTGAAGGTTAAATGCGGCTTCCAGTCTGCTCCTAAGGTAGGGCAGCTGAGGCTTGGAGACAGAAGGTGGCCAGAGGCCCCACTTCAAGATGGAAGCTACCCTGCCAGCATTCAGGTCAGAGATAACTTCCTGGACTGCACCAGGAAATAGCTGCTCAGAAATACTCTGTCGAAAGGAGCTATGATTTCATAGTTATACATCACAAGGCTATGCTGGGCTGACAGTGGGTGATATATACAACGGAAGGGACACGGGAATCTCAGGAAAACCTGGACTTTTCACCCCACGACCTTCAGGGTCAAGGCCAGATTCCTTAGATGGTTCTAAGACGCTACACCAGTTGGCTCTGCCTGCAACTATTCATCTCCCATCTACCACGGCCACCTAACCCCACAGTCTGACCATGCTGACACACTGGAGTGCTTCTTCAAGACTCCAGGCCCTCTTCAATGTGTGTCCCCTGCAGAGAGGTCCAGACACCTGCGTTCCCAACGAGGCTGCCACATGCTCCAGATCAAAGGCCTGGACCTAGTCATTTCATGAGTCCCCAGAATGAGGCACCAGCTCAAAAACATCCATGGGGTTGAATCTGACTGTGTGAACTCTACAAAAAATGAATTGAAACCTGTAAGATCCCCAGGAGATATCTGTCTCTCCCCTCTGCAGAGCAGCTAATGTCTTCTCTTGGCTTGGATGGTATATTCATTCATTCCTTCATTCAGTCAGATAATGAGCCTGAGGTTTAAGAAGTAAACAAAACAGGCAGACCACCTCCTGCCCTGATCTCTTCTTTATACTGAATTGCATCAGGAATTAGGGAAAAAAAGCTACAAGATACCACCTCTCTCTTCAGGACATCAATGCAGTAGGCACACATCCCTCAAAAAGCCCAGGAGATGAAACAAAATATTCTAGAGAAATGAATCCCATGAATGATTTTCCACTTGGTTCACTTACTCTTTCATAAGCATTAATGGAATGAAGGAATATTACAGGACACACAAAAAAGGGAGGAGAAATTCTAAGAAATGCTCTTTCTTATTATAGATACTAATTTTGCTTGAACTTAATAATACATAGCACAACATTTTCCAGTTAGGAATTCCCAAACTTCATTCCATCCACCTTTATTCACTTCTGGTGTCATGGAGACTGTTGGACAGGAGACTTTAGAGGGCAGGGATCCTGCCCATCTGGTCCCTCACTGTCTCCTTGGCCTCCCAGAGGAGCCTAAGAAGTTGTCCTTGAGGCAGATGAATGAATGAGTGTAGGTGTGAGTGAATAAACCAACAAGTGAGTGACCCTAAGCAAACCTCTCCTGACTAAATGCCATTGAAGGGAGGGTCAGAACCACAAATTAGCAAGTGACAACATTACCACCTCACCCAAGCGAAGTGGAATAGTACAGTGTTAGAGGTCCAGGCTCTGGGGCCCCCTGACCTACGAGTCCTGGCTTCTCTACTTGGCAGCTGCGTGGCCTTGGCCAAGTTACTTACTTCCCAAAGCCCCAGTCTTCTCATCTGTAAAATGAGCATAGTAATAGTTCTACCTCCTAGGGTTGCAGGGAAGATGAAATGAGGTCATCCCTGCAAGGGGCTGAGAACTGAAAGGCAAACACTCCATCCTAAAGCCCTATGTGCTGACATCCCCTAATCCCCAACAAAGTCCTGGGAAGTAGATGGGACAAATGTTATAAGCCACATTTTATGTCAGAGACTGCCAGTGTACATAGAGACTAAGGGGCACCTTATTGTAGAACTGAGCACAGACCCTGCACGGACCCAGGTTACTTTTGACTTTGCAGGAAAAGCCCAGTGCAAACTGGGAGCTCTGAGTCTCACCCCTCCAGGGTGTGTTTCCTCGGCTGCTTGGATGCAGGTGGAAACACCAAGCAATGTCTGTTACCCCCTCATGCTCATGATTTCTGCATCCATGAGCCCAGGCAACCCTCGTCAGGATGAGGAAGCTTTCACATTCAATGCCAACCCACTTTGAATGCCTCCTGGTTCCCCACCACCTCCTCCCCACACCCCCAACACACCCTGATGAACCCTCCCGATGGGCAGCCCAGGTGGGCCAGCGGGGTCTGAATGTCCAAAAGAGAGGCTATGCCTAAAATGGGCAGGGGGATTTGAGGGCAATTTTAACTTTGATCTTTGCATTTTCCTCTCTTCCAAAAGACCTACAATGACTGTATGTAACATTTATAACAATAAAAATATTATTTACAAGAAAAAACAAGACTTTATCTCAAATGAGCAGGAAAATGTAGGCCCAACAGTGATGGAAAAGTCAGCTTGTCCTCCAATGGCCAGCTTCTGTGTGTGTGTATGACTTAAAGGAGAGAGATTTTTTTTTTCTTTTAGCCAACAATGAGAAGAGGTGAAATTGATAAGCAAGCCTGGTTTGGGGGCTACTAGGAAGTCACTGTGTATACACATGAAGTCTCTCCCAGTGGTAGAAATCCTCCCATTTGCATTTCATTCCTGTGAGTCGAGAATCGTTTGGTTAAAACTAGCGTGTTGCTGGAGAGATGGCTCACCTGTTAGTGTGAATTAGTGTCTCAGTTCCTTTCCAGGCTCAAGGCCATGCTTGGCACAAAGACACCTGAGGTGTCTTAGCCCAATGAAGAGGAATGTTCCAGCAAATGGGCCAGGAATTGCCCTTCCGATTTCCCCCAGGCCCGGCCCTGCCCAAAGTCAGCCTTGTTTCCTTACCTTTGAAACAGGCCACTGAACTGGAGGATGTGGGCGGAAGCCAGCACTCCCAGTAGGTCTTCCAAGTTAATCTCCACCTCACTCATGTAGAGGTTCTTCAGGGCCGTGGCGAAGGCTGGGGAGGCACAGCCAAGCGAGCCATCTGTGTGGGGCTCTGCACACAGGACACCACCCAGCGCCCTCCCTCACTCCTGCAGCTGGGCAGGCAGAGGTGCCCTTAGAGAAAATGCGCCACCTCTCACCTGGATGCAGGCACCGCCCAGAAGCTGACGATCTGTGCTACCAGCCTTCCCAAAGGAGTTGAGGCTGAAGCTAAAGAAAGCTGAGCTTCTGCTGAAAGGATCCTCCTTTAAGCCTGTTCTCAGGGGTGAGACCATCCTGGGTTCTCCCCTAACCTGGGGTCTGTGGCCTGCGCAGGAATGTGACTGCCCATATAGGTGTAGAATTTTGTGTGCACGTCGTGTATTTTTTTTTTCTGGAGACAACATATATCTTACAGCAGATTCTCCTTGGAGTCTGGGGACTTCCAAAAAGGTTAAAGACTCTTGGAAAGAGCCAGAATAATTTGATGGTTCAGGAGCTGAACTGCCTTGGCTAGGGGCCAGATGGACTTAGCTGATTCACCGTCAGAGTGTCCTCTGGCGACAAATGGCCCAACGAGTGCTGAAGTTTCCTCACCGAGCGATTCCTAAACAAGTGCCATCACATGACATCACGGATGTTGCACAAGCAAAGAAGTCTGCCCATGAGTGGCTGTGAGGGGATGGGGAGAGAGTGAGCCCAAGTTGGGGGAGGTAAGGGGTGGTCCTTGGCAGGAAGAGGCCGGTAAAGTGTTATTTGGGAGCAAGGCTGGGCCTGATGGCTTCCCTGGGTGGGTGTGAGCCTAAAGCAGCAATTCCTTTTGTGCTTGGTCCGTCTCTGAGAAGCCGCTGTCTTCTCCCGGTCTCTGCATCCTTCACACCCTTTCTCAATGACAAGAACCTCTCTTTAGTAGCATTCCACCTTCTTCCATTTCCCCAAGTCACCCTAGCCTTCTCGCCCCTTCTTTCTTTGCACGTTCGGGCCTTTTTAATAAGAAAGCACTGAACACTGTCTACTGTTGGTTTGTTTTGCTTTGTTGTTGCTTGTGCATTTTTAAATCTGGGAGGACCATTTGTTCAATGGCATTCTCAGAATATAGACGGGTATATACATACCGACTTTAGTGACCAGTGGGTCATTGATCTTCAAGGAAATGATGATCCTCTTTGCAGGGGATTTTTCTTTGGTCTTCTTAGGTGATTGAGCTAGTAAAGGAAATGAGATGATGATGGCAGGATGTGATAACCGTGGTGAAGACACAGTGGGAGGCACCCACCACCCTGGCATGACCATGAGGTATCAAGATATGTATCACACTATATTTTATTTGTTTCATAGATGTAATTAATTAATTAATTAATTAATTTTTGTGTGTGAGATGGAGTTTCACTCTTGTCGCCCAGGCTAGAATGCAGTGGCACTGTCTAGGCTCACTGCAACCTCTGCCTTCTGGGTTCAAGCTATTCTCCTGCCTCAGCCTCCCAAGTAGCTGGGATTATAGGCATGCTCCACCATGCCTGGCTAGTTTTACATTTTTAGTAGAAATGGAGTTTCACCATGTTGGCCAGGCTGGTCTCGAACTCCTGACCTCAGGTGATCTGCCAGCCTCAGCCTCCCAAAGTGCTGGGATTACAAATGTGAACCACCGCGCCCGGCCTATAGACGCATTTTTAAATACTTATTTACTTTGAAATAGTTTAAGACTCATAAGAAGTTGCAAAAAGAGTGCAGAGTTCCCACGTATCCCTCGCCTAACTTCCCCCAACGATCCTACATAGCCCTGTGCATGGTCAAAACCGAGAAACTGATGCTCACACTGCATTTTACATATTTATGACCTCCCCCATCCTTTCTCTTATTAGGCTTTGAGCAGTTTAAGGGCAGACTGAACCTCAGTCATTTCTGTAACCCGAGCACCTGGAGCAGTGCAGGCAGGCAGTGGGAGTGCCACCTGCTGCAGGGTGAACATGGGACTGAGGTGTCCCTGTGGTGGCTATTGTCACTCTGCCCCAGAGAGCTCCACTCTGGGGACCCCTGCCACCAAGGATTTCCAGGAGGAAGGGAAAAGGTAGCCCAATTCATTGCTAGCCAATGCCATCCACTCAGTCATCCTCGAATGTGAGCTACAGAGTGGCACTGCTCTCAGGTCTCCAGAGGTGCCCCACACCCTTGGCACAAAAGCCAAGGCCCCACTAGCAGCCCCAATTCCCACATGGCCTGCAACCCCTGCCCACCGCTCTGCCCATCATGCCCCCACCTAGCCCCTCACCGGCATGCTCCTCGGGATGGTGTGGGGCTTCCGCCCTCCCTTCCTCATCGGGGGTCTTCTCACATGTCCCTCCCCCCGAGAGGGCTTTCCTGACCCCAAATGTAAGGTAGCACCCCACTCCCCTGCTAACTGATTTTATTCTTCTTCAGAGACTAATTTGACCACGACCTTCTATTTACTACTCTGTGTCCCTGTTGTGCTTTTCCCCCAAGCAGCTCAGCTGAGGTGGTTCACTTGCCGCTCCACCCACTGGGCCCATCCCAGGCTCACACACACTGGTGCTAGTAAATATCAGCTGAATGAACGCAGCACATGGATTCCATCACCAGGGAGCTCAAGGTTCCAGATAATGAAAAATGATGTGAGCCAGAGCCAAAAAGCCCATCATCCTGTGCAACTATAAAGAAAGAGAGAGCAAAGGATCCTTTCCCCTCCATCTCCCCTCGCTGTCATCCGTCACCTGGCTCTGTGCTGGCTCTCACTGAGTAAATACTCACTGAGAACCTACTAAGCACCAGGCTTGTTCCACTCTGGGTCACATTCTTCTCCAGTATGACTACACGGCCTCCCATCTGCTCACGCCAGCCTGCCATCCACCCCGTGGCAGGGAGTAAATGGGAGGATGCATGTGAGTGCCTGGCACACAGTAGGCATGCAGGAGGTGGCAGTTAATATTACAATGTGTCACAATATTTGTCATGCTTTCCCAGCATTTTGGGCTTGTCTGTCCCCTCAGATGGTAAGCTCCTAGCACAATGCCTGGCATAAGCTAAGCATTCCACATAGGAAGGAAGGAAGAAAAGAAGGAAGAGAGGGAGGGAGGGAGGGAATCAGTTATGTCAGAGTAAGTGAAAGATAGGAATTCAGTATTCCCTCCAGGTTGAGTAAAACCCCAAAATTGGATAAGATATCAATAATTTGTTCATACTCTTCCCCAAAGTTCTCCAAAGCCAAGGTGGTTAGTTTGTTTTTAGTAAGTGGGCCACTTCCTCCTTGGATTCCACGCTAGAGAATAAACACGTCCTCTCCAGGACAGCTGCTCCTCCAGTCTCCATGGAAGGAAATCAAGCAGCTGGAGAGCCTGTGCATCTCTGCAGAGTCCAGCAATCCAGGGTCTGGCCAGAAGTTCCAGGATAGCAACACAGATGATATTGAGAACATGAAAGTGATAACCGTGAGACAGGTATGCAAACCACCATTGTGAGATATTTTCGCTTTTAAAGGCACATGAAGGACTGTGACTGTTCCTATTGAAAGACGTGAATCCCATGGCTTGATCGGTCCATGGAACTTGCGAGGAGACCCTGGAGTTGTGACAGTCCAGGGCACTGGGATTTCATCTCTGCACCTTCCCTCTTGTCTCTCAGCCAGGCGTAGCCTCTAGCAGGGAGGCTTGGATCAGAGTGGCTGTCTTAGCAGGGCTAAATGTTTTCATTTTAGGGACCCATTCTAGACATGTTAAAGACCGTAACGTTAATGACTCCATTTCCACTTCCAAATTCTCCTGCTTTTCCATGAACTCACTGTCTGGCTCACCAGAGCCTTTCACTGATGGCCTGATGAATGTTTTGACTTGGGTACAGGGGAGATGGAAGAGCCCAGTCTGGCCCTTGAAGACACTGGGACAAAGGCTTCAGAAGAGCACAGAGGCTCATGAGCCAGCACCAAGCTTGTTGCAGTTCTGCAGGAGCCCAGCTGGCTCTCACTGCCTGCACAGCGGGGAAGGGCTGAGTCAGATTCCCGCAGGCAGTGGGGCTCTCCCTCCAGGCTCAGGCTCAGGGAGGGGGAGTGACTGGGGGCTCCGGCTGCCTGTCTGGCTCTAGAATAACAGGGCTTTGCTGTCATGTCTTGGAAATAGAAAGTCCGTCATGACTGGTATGCTGGCTGGCTTTGGGGGCCTCGAATTTTCCGTGGCACCTGCTTATGAGTCAGCCCGAGGGGATGCCAACCTGTAGCCCAAAGCAGCAGCTGGCAGTGCAGATGGAGACGACTTAGAGACCAGGTGAGAGGAGGCTGGGGTGGTCAGGACTGGAAAAGGAGACAAAGAAAGAAGTGGCCTACATTCTTTCTGGAATAAGGTGGAAGAGAGACGAGAAGAGAAGAGGAAAGAAAAGCAAAGACAACAACAAAATAGATGCACACATGTGGGCCTCAAACCAGCATACTTAGGGCCAAACAAGCCACAGATATCAGAATTCCACCTTCCTTCCAGAAAGCTCTTCAGAAAATTCCACATAGCCTATTTTTTCTTTTCAAAGAAGTAGGTAGAGTCTCTATGTCTGGGCTGGCCAGACAAGACTCGGGTTATTACAAAGATAATAACTGGCATGTACTGAGAGCTTGCTGTGTGCCAGGCCTTGTTCTAGAACCTCACACCTAGTACCTCCTCTACTCTTCAAAGCCGCATCCTAAGAACTATTATCCCCATTTTACACTTGAGGAAACTGAGGCTGTCATGGGATGAGATAACACTGTGGAGCCTTACTCTTGACTGCTAGAGTGACCGTGGTCTCAAAACAGATAACCATGTTCCAAGCTGGGACCGTCAAGCTAGAGGGCACTGGGGCTCCAGCACTGGGTGCCAGGGAGGAAGTACCTCGCAGAAGCTCCTCCAGCTCCCTCAGGGGGTGTGTGGTGCCCTGCGCCAGGGCTTTCAGGTAGAGCTTGGCCAAGGTCTCAGACTGAAAAAGCTGGGGCTGATGGAGCTCCCATTTGAAGCCCAGGCACTCGAGAATCACATCTGAGGACAGAAAATGATGCTGAGCAAACACATCAGTAACGTCCCCACCCAAAGATGCATCAGCTTCCTCTCCCCCAGCTCCTTTGCTCGGTGGATCATTAAGCACATGAAGCAGGCAAGCAGCCTCCCCAGGCATCTCAGAAAGGAAGCAGTGAAGTGTGGGCCTCGGGGGCTTAGTGGCTTTGAGGGGGACACCAAACCAGTCTTACAGGGTCACCCAGGACATGTCACGTGTCCAGGACAGCTGTCGGCTAACAGCTGTAGGACTTCAGAGGCACTTGTGCTGCCCTCCAATGTGGGGAATGAGGAAAAGCTTCATGGAACGAGGACATTGTCTGGGGCACTCTTGGGGGGCCTCATTCTGGCTTCCCCTATGACAGTGTTTCTCAGCCCCGGCACTGTAAACATTTTGGGCCAGATACGTGCCTGTTGGGGTGCTGTCCCGTGCACTGTGGATCCCCAGTAGCAGCCCTGGCATCTACCTACTACATGCCAGTAGCACTCCCTCCCCAGCGGTGACAACCAAAAATCTTTCCAGACATTGCCAAGTGTCCGCAATGAAGCCAAATCACCCCCCAGTTCCCTGTTGAGAACTACTGGGCTATGAATACAAAGCATGACCCATCTGAAAGGCAATAGCAGGCCCACCAACGAGGGTAGGATTCTCATGACCCTCTTTGACAATATAAAGAAGGCTCTTTGCAAACTGTAGAAGACTTTCTTCAGGGGCATCTAACCTGAGGATAAAATCAGTGATCACTAAAAGAAGAGGCTTTTTGATAGAGGAGGGCAGATGGCGAAACCAAGGATGCCAGGCCAGGTGAGGCTCAAGAGGCCATGGGGAGAGGACTCTGCATGGCTCAGCTCCTGTGTTGTTAGTACAGAGCTGGGGGGAGGAGAGGTGCCTAGAACCCTCAATCTGAGTGCCAGACAGGACCTGAAGGGTCACTAGCCCCATCTACGTATTTCTTGATTTTGCCATTAGTTTCACGGTGTGACCTTGGGTACCTGATTCTTCTTCCTGCTATTATTATTGTTATTCACCCATGTTATGATATTGTTTAGTGCTGGGGTTCCGGGGGGTTTGCATCTCAAATATTACATTGCCTTAGGTGGTCTGGTTATGCTGAGTTAGAAAAAGTCTCAGCCCATCAGGGTGATTATAGGCAGGAGCGGAATTGTGGATACAGCATATTCACTCACTGGATGTCAATTTCCACTTTCAGGATGGCCAATGCATGGCAGCCATCACTAATCAATCCAGAGCTCTTTCTCTCATGCCAGGAGATGGTCTCAGACTACTTCTCCTGTTCAGAGTTGAAGGAGAGAAAAGAATTTATTAGCCTTTCTTTGGAAAGGAGTCTGGCTCTGATCTCAGGCAGTCACACCATGCAGTAGGCTTTATCCAAAAAAAAAAAAAAAAAAAAAAAATCCACTTTAAGAAGCTGCCTCCTCATGAGGCTCAATGAACCTTTTTCTAGCAAAAAAGGACCTATCCTGATTCTTGATCCTGCCTCAGAAAAGTCCTCTTGAACAAGTGCAGCTGTGAACGTCCAAGTCATGACTGGTTAGAGCCCAAAGAGACAAAGAACAGCTGCTTTATGCTTGCTGCACTCTGTTTAGTCTTTCAATACAAAGACTACTTTTTTTTTTTTTGAGATGGAGTCTTGCTCTGTCACCCAGGCTGGAGTGCAGTGGTGCAGTCTTGGCTCACTGCAACCTCCTCCTCCTGGGTTCAAGTGATTCTCCTGCGTCAGCCTCCTGAGTAGCTGGGATTACATGTGCATGCCACTACAACTAGCTAGTTTTTGTATTTTTAGTAGAGACGGGGTTTCACCATGTTGGCGAGGCTGGTCTTGAACTCCTGACCTCAAGTGATTCACTCGCCTGGGCCTTCCTGCTGGGATTACAGGTGTGGGCTATTTATTGACATCAACACATTTGTCTTTATCATGGCGAGGAGCATATGAAAATGTGTTTACCAAGCTTGACTTCACTCACTGCACATTTGACAAATATTTACCGGGCACCTATTATTTCTTAGACGCTGGGAAGTGGATGAGAATTGCAACTTATACACTAGCGCCCTGGTTTATGGACTGGTCTCCTTCCATAAAGACCACAAGATGCCCCTGAAATCAGCAACATTCTGGCTTAATCCATGGATAACACAAACTCACCTGCTTCCCCACTTTGGATGTCCTTGTTCTTGAAATTCTCAAAGAAAAACTTCTGGATTTGTGAAATGCATAACCTCAAGGGAAAATGCAAATATAAAATCCAGGAGTTAATACTGACATTTTTCTCCAACTACAACATGCATTATTCTAGCATAAATGTCCTTAAAGCACCCATTGATCAAGCTAATCATATCTCGCCCTTTGGAAGAGTTTCCTCAGGTCACCATTTGCCGATCTGAAAAACTGTAGGCTTTCTGATAGCTGGCTCATAATGTGATTGCTGTGTTCAGTTTGTGGGTAGGCCTTACCGAGGAGATATTTCAGGCCATAATTGGCTGCCTGAATGACACCTTATTCAGTGTCTAAAACATTATCTAGCATATAGTAGACACTCAGTAAATATCTGCTGGGAGAAAAGAATAGAGGGTTCTGCTCATTTCTGGGATGTGAACTCACCAACATTTTTCTTTAGAGGTCATACAGGTCCCATTCTCAGTGTGTCCAAAAACTAAACCTAGCATCTACCCCAAATCCTACCCTGCTCACTCGGATTCTCATTTCAGGAAATGGCACCACCAGCCTGCAGTTGCCCAAGCCAGCATGCTGAGTGTTGTTACATCTCATCACTTGCCTAGATCTTTCGAATTTGTCCATCTCTCTTTGCTGTTCTTGCTATAGCCTTCGTCTAAGCCCCTGTGATCTCCCTCCAGTCACTGCCAAAGTCTCCCAGCCTCCGGCCCTGCTCTGCTCGGAGGCCTGCCTCCCACAAAATGCAAATTTGGTCTTGTCTCTCTCCTGCTGAGAATCCTCCAGTGTTTCCCCATTGCTCTTGGGGGAAAGCCCAAACTCCTTAGCACGGCTAACCAGCTCCTGCATATTTCTGCAGCCTGGTCCCTCAACGGTCCCCACTCCAGCCCTTCTCAGCAGCCTGCACCTGGACCTGCCAACTGCTGCTTTCATCTCTTGCATGCACTGCTCCCTCTCCCAAATGCTCTCCTCCTCGCCTTTCCCCTTGCTAAGCTCCTACTCATTCTTCAGAATAAACTTCATTGCCGCTTTCTCTGGGGATGCTGGGCCAGTGGCTTTACCCCTGCCCGTCCTGGGATTTTCCCCTTAAAACTCCTTCTGGAGTGTCTTGTGGCTGCCTGTTTACTTGTGTATCCTCTGCAAGACAGATACGGCATGTGTTTACTGCTATGACCCTGGCACAAGCCATCATGCAGGTGCTCAGCAATATTCATTAATGAATCCATGACCACATAGATAAACACCATGGACTCATCGTGTTAAGCCAGGAAGTGAAACAAAATTTGAGTCACATATTCGCAGCTTAAAGACAGTCATCCCAGAAAGCCAGCCAGCCAAGAGACATTTGTGACCACAGCTGCTCTGTGTCATGCAGTGTCAACTTCACCACGCTGTCTCCAACAATCCCAGGAGACCCCATGGGTCAGGGTGCATGCAGGAAGCATGGGTGGGAGCCCGTGTCCAGAATATTGCCAACTACGTGCTGCCCTTTCCAAGGGGGGAGGATGGCTGCCAATGACTCAGCCTAAGGCAGGCAGTGGGAGCTGGACTTGCTTATTCAACAGGAGCAGTGGAGATCTGACCCAAGCCACCCTCGCTTCCTCCCTCGATCCCCCTCGTGGCTTGGGTGACACGTCTGGAAAGAGCTGGCCAGAGTCAAGAGTTCAGACCGTGATCCCAAAATGGAGCCACAGACTTTGGAAAATATGGCGCAAGGTCCATGAACTCAACTACTCTCACAAACATCAGTGTCATCGGCTGAGCCAAGGGATGCCGGGAAACAGAGGTGAGCACACTGCCTTCTCCTGGGTGTGAGGGCTGCTTGTCAAGATATACCATTCGTCATGTAGGCTCTGCTGTTCCCAAGGGCTGTGGTTCATTTTAGGATCACTGGAAAAGTGAACGGAACACATGGCATCTGTGAGTTGTCTCACTGTTTGGGACTCAGTGGTCCCATTGCAATGCTTGGTGCGGGGATGCTGGGAACGTGCTGTTAGGCTGGAGCTCACGCCCCCAAGTCATGACCATGATGGAGAAAGGCAGAAGGGGAAGAAGAGGAAGTAAGTTTCTCATGGACATACGGACTTCCTGGAGCAAACTATCCAAAGGGCAAAATGCCAATTTGATTAACTAGGAAGAGTTACATAGACCTGGGGCTGGACCCCAGTCCTTCCATTTTCTGCTTCTTGGTCCCAGAGGAAGGGAGGAGTGAAAGAGTGAATGTTTGGAATAACTTGCAAGGACATGCCTTCAGTTAGCATTCTCTCTTTCATTGTCTCTGTGAAAGGTATCAACATAAAAATGGAGTTATGATGTGTTAAATACCCTGATGGAGCCTGGCATGGTATCATGCTCCTATAGTCCCAGCTACATGCAAGGGTGAGGGAGGAGGACCGCTTTAGCCCAGGAGTTTGAGGCTGCAGTGAGCTGTGATCATGCCTGTGAATAGCCATTGCCTTCTAGCCTGGGCAACTGCGCGAGACCTCATCTCTAAATCTCTTTAAAAAAACAAAACAAAAAAATCCACCCAACAAATAGAGGTGGGGAAGGCCAGGAAGGGAGAGTTCTCACACATGAATGCCTGATAATAAGAACTATCACAAAAGACTCTGCAAAACCTACAGCCACACACAAAGGCCATCACAACCTCACACACAAAAAAAGTACTGCGAGGACATCTGCCTTGCAACTCAAACTGGTGTCGCCCTTGTTATGGATCCTTGTAGCCAGGGATAATTATCTCAGAGCAATGATGTAATCCTCCTCACTTTTCCTTTAAAAACCTTTGTCTTGCCAGGCACGGTGGCTCATGCCTGTAATCCCAATACTTTGGGAGGCTGAGGCAGGAGCATCACTTGAGCCCGGGAGTTTGAGACCAGCCTGGGCAACATAGAGAGACCCCATCTCTACAAAACATTAAATAAAAAATTCAGCATGTGGTGGCCATGTCTGTGGTCCCAGCTACTTGGGAGGCTGAAGCGGGAGGATCAATTGAGTCTGGGAGGCTGAGGCTGCAGTGAGCTGTGATTGCACTACTACACTCCAGCCTGGACAACAAAGCAAGACTTGTTTCAAAACAAAACAAAAAAACCTTTGTTTTCCTTTACATCCCTGAATATACACGTAGTTTACAGTGGCACTGGTATTGCATTGCAATGCCTGTTCCAGAATAAACATCAGCCTCTTTTAGAGAGTCTTCCTCTCCTCTCTGTTTGTTATTTAGGTTAACGTGGGTCATTGTTCTCTAGTCCCACTATCCCAGAACTACTCTCTGGTTAAAAATAAATAAAATAAAATAATATAATATAATACAATATAATATAATATAATATAATATAAAAATATAGGGGTCCCTTCTTCCCATTCTTACCTCTTAAGCATGACCTCCTCCCACCCTTGAATGGACTTGGCATTGCGGGCAGAAAGGGAGAAAACCACTAGGCAGCCTCACCAGCTGGGGACAAGGAGGGCTCTGGGTCTTTCCTAGGGCCACAACCCCCTGAGCCTTCGTGGGGGTGCCCCCTCCCCAGTCTGGCCTGAGACACACCTCCCGTGCTGGATCTCTGGGTTTCCATGACAGCACGCATCCATACACGCCTGTGGACCCCAGGGACATGCTTGACACATGTGCATTGAGCGTATATGTGCCAGACACTTTTCTAAGCTCCTTACATGAATCATGTCATATAATTCTCACACAACCCTGTAAGACAGTATCCGTGATTTGCACATAAACTAAGGCACAAAAAGATTAGAGTACTCGCAAGGAAGTTAACATTTCCTCCTCTCAGCCTCCTCTCCCACACTCGGTGCCCCAGAGCCTGCAAAAGGACCAAGGTAAGACGATCAGCAGCCTGAAGATCAGCACCTCTGAGTGGCTGACCAGGAACTCCCTGCGTCATGAAAACCCAGACACGGCAGAAGGAAGTGTTGGCCAGCTGGGCACAATTACATACCCGAAATAGACGAGAAGCTGGGAGCCTGTTCCCTCAGCTTTCCATCATGAATGACCCTTTCCGTAACTCAAGAAATAGACTGGTCCAGCTCCTGTCCAAGCAGACAGCACCCCCAGGTGGGAAAAGCAGCAATGACACCATCCATGACATGAACACAGCTTGCCAGGTGGGGCAGAAACAGCCATGTAGTGCTTTGGGGGATATAACGTATGTTGCATGGGGCATTCCAGGCCCTTACTGACAGTGGAGTTTGCCACCTGAGAGTTGCCTGATGCCTGAAGGTTCACAAGAATTACCAGGAATAAGCCCTTCATGTTATACACACCCTTTATTCTTTCTAAGAAGTTACTCACAATCACATGGAACAAATTCCTATTGTGAACACAAAGAAAAGATGTGTGTGTGTGTGTGTGTGTGTGTGTGTGTGTGTTTCTCTTTCTCTGTCTCTTTTTTATTTTTAGAGACAAATCTCCCTCTGTCTCCCAGGCTGGAGTGAAACGGCACAATCATAGGTCACTGCATGCAGCCTCAATCTCCTTGGCTCAAG
This sequence comes from Homo sapiens, assembly GCF_000001405.40. Classification (NCBI taxonomy): domain Eukaryota; kingdom Metazoa; phylum Chordata; class Mammalia; order Primates; family Hominidae; genus Homo; species Homo sapiens. The sequence goes on along the minus strand of NC_000010.11, from coordinate 122,279,394 downwards.
TGATCCTCCCACCTCAGTCTCCCAAGCAGCTGGTACTACAGGTTCAAGCCAGCATACCTGGCTAATTTTAAAATTTTTTGTAAAGACAGGGTCTCACCATGTTGCCCCATGCTGGTCTCAAATTCCTAGCCTCAAGCAATCCTCCCACCTAGACCTCCCAAAGCACTAGGATGACAAGTATGAGCCACCATGCCCAGACAAGTTTGTGTTTATTACAGAACATCAGTTTCTCCCATACTCAGTAGACTGCACCAGTGACTTCAATTCTTCATCCCTCCCTCTGTCCAAACCTTTTGCCTCCATACTGCAAAGTTTCTCTCCATAAGGAGACGGAGTGTGTTTTCTGTCCCTTGACTGGGAGTTTGGCCACGTGACTTGCCTCAGTTCATGGGGCCTAGTGAATGTGAAATGGTGGAAGATTTGAAAGACACATGAGCTCCTGGGCTTACCCTCATGCCCTCTGCTGTCACCATGATAAGCATGTGCCCAGGCTAGCCCACTATCTCAGGAGGAGGACAAGAGGCTCATGGAACAGAGCCCAAGTGCCCTGGCAGAACCAATCCTGAATCAGCTGAGCACCAGATGCGTGGCAGTAGACATACCCAGAACACCTGAGAGTATCTGCTGCCTCTGGACATGCAGCTTCCCAATATCACAAAGGAGAGGGCCAGATGTGTAAAAGCTTCTCCCCAGAAGACCGGCTCCTCTGCCCCTGTTGTGCTGGAGGAAGGTGTTGTCCTGGAGGAAGGAACTGGGGAAGGTGCAAGGAGGCAGAGTGAAATAAAGGGGGTGTTGACTGGCAGAGCACAGAGCTGAGACACCCCAAGATGAAATCACCGGGATTAATTACTAAAATGCTGCCCAGGCAATAAAGAAAATAGTTCTGTTTACTAAGCATCTACTATTTGCCAGAAACAGTGCAAAGCATTTTCAATATATGGCTTCATTTAATCCTCAAGATGACTCTTCATCTTGAAGAAGGTGCTCTATAACCATTTGAAAGATGAGGAAACTGAGGCCCAAAGAGGGTTAGCCACTGACTAAAGGTCACAGAATTAGTAAGTGAAGAAGTGGAGATTCCAGCCCCATTGATAGACTGCTTTTAACAGTCCAAATGCCCAGCACCAAATGCCATTTCAACACCCCACCCCTCAGGCCACTGCCTCCAGTTTAGCTCAGTGACTCACAGAGATTTAGTTCTTGCTGCCCAGACCCTCTCATCAGCTTTTGGGATCATTTTGCCTCTGTTCCTAGGCCTAGCTCCAGCACCTGCATCCCTGGCCGAGCCCTGGCACTAAGGAACTCGGCAACGGAAAAGTGTTGGCCAGTGGCTCTAGAGAGGGAAGATTTGGCTACTCGCTGAAGAAAGATTGAGCAGGCAGTTCTTCTGTGCCAGGTGCTGTCCCAGGAGTACAGTCCATGCTCACTTTGATTTGGCTGTGAGCTCACAAGACTGATGCTGCCAGCCTAAGGATGGTAACGGCATCAAGCCAGGTCCATGGCACCAGGGAAATGAGGTGTACCTTCTGCAATAGGGTTGCTACAAATTACATGTTTGTTTCCTCCAAACCTCGTGTAGAAATTTGATCCCCAATGTTGGAGGTGGGGCCTAATGGGAGGCATTTTGGTCATAAGGGCAGATCCCTCATGAATAGATTAATACCATCCCTCAGGGGTGGGTTCTTACTCTCTTAGTTCCCACAAGAGCCGGTTGTCAACAAGAGCCTGGGACCTCCCCTCTCTCCTCTCTCTTGCTTCCTCGCTTGCCATGTGATCTCTGCACACTCGGCTCCTCTTTGCCTTCCACCATGAGTACAAGCAGACTGAGGCCCTCACCAGAAGCTGAGCAGATGCTGGCGCCATGCTTCTTGTACAGCCTGCAGAACCTTGAGCCAAATAAACCTTTTTTCTTTATAAATTTCTGATCCTTAGGTATTTCCTTATAGCAACACAAACAGACTAAGGCAAGGGTCCAGCTCTGTGTTTCCAGGAGAGGCAAGAGAGAACTCATCACATGGAGAAGTGGGTCTAGCCTACTGCTCGGAATGCCATGAGATTGAGAGAGGATCAATTCATTGGGTGAAAATGGACATTTACAAGCTGTCTAAACACTGAGCCAGGACTAACTAAGTTTTGTTTGTCAAAAAATCAGTTGGTCCCTGGATAATAAACTCAGAATCCTGTTTGGGTTCAAAGTTCCCACTGGGAAGAAAAATTGTAAAAAAAAAAAAAAAAAAATTCAATCTTTCTCTGCACTTTTGTAACCACCCACATTCTCAGAGGTAGTAGTCACTTATGACCCTGTCCATGCCTGAGAGCTGGCTCCAGAGGGAGCCTTCCTTGCAGATGTGCCCTTGACAGCCACTGCAGCCAATCAGAGTGGCCCGGTCATCAGGCACCTCCCCTCCCAGGAATAATGGGCCATTCCCTCCCACAAACCTTTGAGTCTCCATACCTGTCTGGGTTCCTCAAAGCTTCCTCAAAGTCTATGCTCAGAGCCTTGCACATCTGGGAAAGTGAGAGCAGGTCCCCAGAGAAAGGCTGTTTGGGCAAACGCCACCGGTTGGTTGAGCCAGTGACCCGGCGTTCCAGCCGAGCTTTGTGCTGCTTGGTAATCAAAGAAAGAGAAGACATCTTTTTTTCTAACTTCACATAAATGCCAGATTTTCCAAATTGTATAGCAAGAAGGAAATCAAGACAAATTTTACAGTGCTGGTTAATTTTTGAACATGGCTAATATTTCTCACAAGACAACTCAAGGCAAAGACACTGTATTCCATAGACCAAGGATCTCAAGCTACAAAGTAATTTGGAATTTAGGATCTAGGACAAGAGGTGTCAGAGGGTAAGAGGTCAAGGAGAAAGACTGTTTTTTGCAGGTAGCTCTCTGAAGAATCCACAGGCAGGGATAGTATTAGGCTTTAAGTACTGTCCTTTGAGTACGTATCCTAACTTGTCATACAAAGAGATATTAAACTGTGGAGATCTTGGGCAAGGAATTTTTTTAATGGTGGTAAAATATACAAAACATAAAATTGTATCTATTTTACAGTGTACAATTTGGTGGCATTTAGAACATTTACAACGTTATGCAACCAATACCACTACCTAATTCCAGAACATTTTCATTATCCCCAAAAGAAATTCCATACCCATTAAATTGTCACTCCCTGTTCCCATGTCCCCAGCCCGGGACAACCACTAACCTGCTTTCTCAGATTAGCCCCTATGTTCTGACTTTATGTTTTCACCTGTTCTGGGTATTGCATACAAGTGGAATCACACAATATGTGGCCTTTTGTGGATGGCATCTTTCACATAACATAATGTTTTCAAGGTTCATCCATGTATTGGTACTTCATTCTTTTAAGGCTGAATAATATTCCACTGTGTAAATATTCCACATTTTGCTTATTCCTTCATCAGTTGATGGACACTTGGGTTTTTTATACCTTTTGGCTATTGTGAAGAGTGCTGTGAATATTCATGGGCAAGTTTTTTTTTGAACACCTGTCTTTTTATTCTTTTGGTTATATGCCCAGGAGCAGAACTGCTCAGTCTTAGACATTTTCTTGAGGCTCCAGGGGAAATTCAGCAATTTACATAAAAAAGAAGGACGATACCCAGCATGGATGTAAACCTTAGACTGAAGGCTCAAAGCAACCTAGCAAGGAAAAAAGCACGAGGAGGGACCCACAGGAATGGATGTCATTGATCCCAAGCCACCCAGGGCACCAATGGAGAGGTGACGAGACCATGGGCCACGGACTAGAGCATATGAGTTCAAATTTTACTTTCTAGTTGTGTGACCTTGAGCAAGTTACTTAACATTCTGAGGCTCTCAGTTCTCATGTGTAAAATGGAAATAATGGGTGGTGGTGGTGACGGTAATGGTTATCGTGACAACGACAGTGAGGATGGCGATGGTGGGGATTGTGGGGATATCATCTTGTTTCCAATGCTGTAAAAAGTATAAAGTAGGATAAAGTTTGGGAAATATGCCTTAGTATAGTGCCTAGAAGATGGTGGGTGATTAAAAACTGTGGAATCTGAGTCTAGATGTAGTCCGGCTGTCACGTAAAACGTCAAAGTAAAACATCGTCAGCTCAGACCACAAGCCTGCTCTCTGCCCTCTGGACGGTGCTGCCTGGACGCGCTCTTTCCAGCCGAGTCAGCCAATAATGCTTGAGGTCCTCGGTGGTGCAGAACCCAGCCCCTTGTGGAAATTTGTCAAAATGACCATAAGCAAATGCTTCTTCTCATCACCTACCTTCTTGAGAAACTGATCTACTCACCGTGTTCGACATTATCATGAATGAAAGTGGAAATTACGCAGGAGAGAAAAGACAAGCAACCTAGAAGACAAAAGAGGTAAAGGTGACATTTTCCATACTTTTCAAAATATTATGGAGGAGATTGGCCTAAAGAATCTATACTTTGCCACAGGAACAATAATGAATAAGCCTCGAATGTGGGTTATTTATCAATCAAGAGAATATCTTGTTGTTGCTGGGGTTTTTTGTTTGGTTTTGTTTTTTGTTTTTTTTGTAAGCAGGTGAATAGAGAGATCTCTGCTATTGTTCTGGGAAAGTGGCTCAGATAAAGCAAAACAGAAGATAATCCTTTGCCAAAGTGAGGAAGACCAAAAGATAGCTATAAGTAGGCTGATCACATAATTGATCATTCAGACGAGGAGACTAAAGGGATGATATTAATAATTAGGCCTGGACAATGGCTGTAGGCCAGGGCTGCCCTGGAGCTCTGTAGACTGATGGTCACCCTAGCTTACAGGGTCATGAAAGAGGAAGAGTGCAAGGACTTTCCAGTTATCTCTGAACATTATCAGGGCTGTTGGGTTACAAGCAACAGAAACCCATTTGATTATGGGGTTGCGGGGAGGTTAAGATTGATTGGAAGGATGGTGATGAGAGGAGGGTCTCATAGACTCAAAAGGAAACTGGAGAACTCTCCGGGAAAGAACAGGAAGCAGCTGCAGGGACCTGGGTGGCACGCACCAGGAGTTGGTGGCTGTTGTTGTCAGGCGCTGCCTCCAGCATGAGTCGGCTCTCCCACAGTCCATCTATGCAGGGTTCTTTTCAATCCAGATTCTCAGCAAGAGGCCCCAACTGGCCTGGCTTAGCTCAGGGGCCCACTCTTTGGCCCCTGAGGGCAGACACCTTGACTAATTCTCCCAACAAGAACGTGCACTGGGGACTGGGTAGTTCCCCAGAGCAACATCAGAGAAGAGGAGAAGTGGGTGAGCTGGTGAAACCAGCAGAAGCCACGGCACTTGATGACCAAGAACCTCAGCTGACCTCCCTTTGCTCCCCAAACAGCACTTCACCTGCATCACAGCCATGGCTATGTTCATCCATTCACCAACAAGCATCTCCTGTGCAGTCGCCATATGGAGAGAGGCGTTAGCCGTTTCTGAGAGACAGCAGTGAGCAAAATGCACACGATCCTTGCCTCATAGAATTTCCATTCCACTTGGGCAGACAGGTTTTTCTTTGCCTTTTAATTGCCTTAATTGGACTTTTTAATTGCAAAAGTATTAATAATATATGCTTGTTGTAACTAGTGAACCAATACAATGACAGGAAAGAAAAATTTAACATAGCTGCATAATATCACTTTTTCTTTTTTTGAGACAGGGTCTTGCTCTGTTGCCCAGGCTGGAGTGCAGTGGTGTGATAAAGGCTCACTGCAGCCTCAATCTTCTGGGCTCAAGTGATCCTCCCACTTCAGCCTCCCCAGTAGCTGGGACTACAGGTGTCCGCTACCACACCTGGCTAATTTTTTAATTTTTCTAGAGCCAGGGTTGCCCAGACTGATCTATATTGCCCAGACTGGTCTTGAACTCCTGATATCAAGCAATCCTCCTGCCTTGGCCTCCCAAAGTGCCAGGATTATGGGCATGAGACACTGTTTCTGGCCGCATAATATTTCATACAGTGAATGCATCATTATTTATTAAAATATTCCTCTGCCAAGTCATTGAGGTTATTTCCTATATTTTATTCCCATAATAAAAACAATGGGAACAATATGCATACACATTATTATGGCAGTTTGTGTACATGTGTGTATACATATATCTATACATGTTACCTATATCTGCATCTGTATATATATGTATGTATGTGTGTATATATATATATATATATATATATCTTTGTGTTGCTGTTTTTATTTCTATGAAATAGTCTTCCAAGTGGTATAGTTATGTCAGAGATCTGTATCTTCAATTGAAATAGTTAATACCAATTCACTTGCCCCAAAATTGCAGCAATTAACATTCCTATCACCAATTTATAAGTGTTGTCATTTTTTTCACAACATCTTTAGTACTAGGTAGTATCATCGTATTTATTTTTGCCAAGCTGGTGAGTGTCAGATGGTTTCAGATTCTTACTTTAATTTGAACTTTCCTGGCTACCAGTGGGGTTGAGCATTCTTTTATCTATTTATTGGCTGTTTAATTTTTCTTTTCTGAAAACTGCCTAATCATAGGTTTTCCGCAATTTTCTACTGGGTTACTGTAGTCTCACTAGCATTTTTTAAGGAGCCCTCTATGTACTGGGGACACTAACATTTTGTCTGCCATACATGCTGCAGAAGTGTATCATTTGTCTTTTGACTTTGTTTATGGTAAACAAATTGTTTCATTAGTATGAAAATATGTCCTGTGTGTGTGTGTGTGTGTGTGTGTGTGTATTTCCTTTGCCAGTCTCTAATTTGAAAACATATCTGGGGCCAGGCCCAGTGGCTCATGCCTGTAATCCCAGCACTTTGGGAGGCCAAGGCAGGTGGATCACCTGAGGTCAGGAGTTCAAGACCAGCCTAACCAATATGATGAAACCTTGTCTCTACTAAAAATACAAAATTAGCTGGGTGTGGTGGCGCATGCCTGTAATCCCAGCTACTTGGGAGGCTGAGGCAGGACAGTCACTTGAACTCTGGAGGTGGAGGTTGCAGTGAGCCAAACTCTCACCATTGCACTCCAGCCTGGGAAACAAGAGCGAAACTCTGTCTCGAGGGGAAAGAAAAAAGAAAAAGAAACGTGTCTGGGTACAAACATGGCCCTGGTGTTTGTACCCAGCTGCTGGTGTCTTCATCTGCAATTGCATCCATGTATGCATGTGTGTTAAGAGCATCTTTGGCTGTTCAACCAGCTTTCAGAGGTGCACTTGAGTTTACAGCAATGTGTGTTTTCCTTGATGGCTGAGTTTCCACCTTGCGTGAGGCTTCTCCCACCTCAGGTAACACATACATGCTTTTCTGATCCCTTTACCTCACAGGAGCCAGGATGATGAACTCCTCAGCTTAAAGCCCTTCACCAGCTTCCCACTGCCCTAGACATAGACCCCCAAATCCTCAACGTGGCCTTAAGGAATCTGAGAAGAGAGAAGAGGGTTCCATTCTAAAGCAGACCTGGTCAGCACAGAATAAACCCCACACGGGACTCGCTATGCCCACAGAGCACCGCTTCAGTTACAGAGAGAGGGAGGCTGGGGTTTGCACTCAGCTACCCAAAGCTCCTGCTTTCTTAGATCAATATCTAAGAACTTTTTTAGCTGATCTTGAAATCCAGAGACATCTCAATGGCCTGGAAATGTGTTCTTTTTTCATCCCACCAGGCAATCTGCCCCTTCGTGTGTTTTGAGAGCCTGTGCCAAGGTCCCTGTGGGCGGGCAGGAGCTACCTACAATGGTCTCTCAGCTCCCAGACCCCTCCTGATTCCCTAAACTCCCTCCCTGCCAAGTAGACCAGAGGCACCCAAGTCTAACACTGGGTCTAGACAGGTGCTAAGACAGCACCTGTCACTAGGACACATTTCTTGGTCTCTGAAGTGGCTGAAAAATACCCATTGTACTTACCGTTCCAAAGCCCTTTTGCCCACCACAGGCGTGTTTACAGGGGAAGTGTGCTGAGTGGAGGAACTCCCATCACACTGGCCTCTGAGTTACAGGAGAGCTGGGGGCGCCTTCTGAGCCTGAAGCCTGGAAGCGCTCATCACATCTGGGGCTCCCCCTTTTCTTCTTATGGGCCAAGGTGCTTTGACAGGGGGAGCTTGCCTTGGTTTCCTGGGTGGTTGTGAGCACCACGGCAACGGCAGGGAAGCTTCCAAGCACTTCCTGTTCCAGGGCCAGGTTTCAACTCAGGCTCGGGCTGTGTCCAAGGCCCTGGCTGATGGGGAGAAGCTGTGAGTGATGGCATCTCAGAGACCAGTGTGGGTGCCATGTGCCTCCATTCCTGTTCCTCACAGCACCTGGGGCAACCCAGGGCACAGCCTCAGTGAGAACCAACCCCCAAATCTTCAGGCTTCATCTGTCAAAGGAGAAGATTAGACTAGAAGCTTCTCAGATGCCTCCCAGCTCTGGCATTCTGGGGTGCTCTATTTCTAGCATTTTCTATCTGTGTTTTGACAAACATATTTCAATAAAAATTGAGCATTCCGCATTATTAAAAGCTATGCCTAATGAAGTACTTTGCTGATGATGATTTTTAATGCTGCTCTCTCTGGGAGCTAAGGACTGCCTAAAAGTCAAGGACAAGACCAAGAGCCTTCAAGCTGGCATCCAGAGTGGAAATGTTTGGGATTTGTTTGTTTTGTTTTGCTTTTTTTTTTTCTCTGAGATGGAGTCTCACTCTATCGCCCAGGCTGGAGTGCAGTGGTGTGATCTTGACTCACTGCAACCTCCGCCTCCTAGGTTCACCGGGTTCAAGCAATTCTTGTGCCTCAGCCTCCTGAATAGCTGGGATCACAGGTGCCCGCCACCACACCGGCCTAATTTTTGTATTTTTAGTAGAGACAGGGTTTCACCATATTAGCCAGGCTGGTCTCGAACTCCTGACCTCAGGTGATCTGCCCACCTCGGCCTCCCAAAGTGCTGAGATTACAGGTGTGAGCCACCGCACCTGGCCCTAAGTGCAATCTTACAGTGTCCTCAGCGACGTGGCCTGTGAAGCCCATGACCCAAACTAGGGGATGGGGAGGTGGAGGCCATGTGGGTCAGAGTCACATGGGTCACCACGGGTCCATCAAAGGCCTGGACCACCACCCCAGGGATCACAGAAATCCCTAGTTACAGTAATAGGAACCAGGAGGCAGTACAGCTTTTAAGACCCAAGGCCAGCCTCTCCTAGGCCACATACATCCTAAAGTAAAACGGGAAAGTAGCTGCGCTGCCTCCTGTGGCTGTGATCTAGAAACTACGAAACACTCTATAAATGGGAGGTACCCCTGAATTTGTCTCCCGCCTCAGCCCTCAAATCCTGTGATTCTACTCCTCCCAACACCATATTCTGCTTTGCACAGAAGCCGATCGCTGTGGAATGTTCTGTGAGTGGCTTACCCATCTCTGCATCCCCAGAGCCCAGCAACCAAACTTGGACTTTAGAAAGTGCTCAATAAACATCTCTGGAATTGGGTAATTGGATGTCCTAGTCCATAACCACCACTCTGCCTGTGTACCTGCTTGAGTGCCACATGCATAAGTGTGCACATGTGATTATGTATGCATAGGTGTGTGTGTCTGCTTCTGTGTTTGAGTACGAACATGGCCCTGGTGTTTGTACCCACCTATGTCCTCATTTGCAATTGCATCCATGTATGCACGTGTGTTAAGAGCATCTTTGGCTGTTCTAGTAGCTTCCAGAGGTGCACTTCAGCTTAGAGCGATGTCTCTTGGTTGTGCCTTGGATTTTGGGTTTGAGAGTGAGACGACAGGGTTTCATGGTAGTATACAACTGATCCCAGCAACTGCCACCGGGTTGGAGAAGCAGCTGATTGTCAGGCTTTTGGTGTTTAGTAGCAGCAGCAGCAGCTGGTGCTGCAGACAGGATTTGAGGTGGGGCCCAAAGGAGTCCACTGGTGCTCACCTCTCAGCCTAGCTCTTCTGGAGATCAGGAGGTAGGGAGGGACGTGCACAATGAGAGAACCAGTGGGAGAAGAATGTAGGCGACAAGGGGCTGAAGACACTGGCATGTCTTAGACAGGGGGGTTAGGAACCCAGTTCAGGGTCTGCCCACCATCCCTAGACGCTCAGGGGCAGCATGAGACCGGAAGCAGGCCTCTAACAACTGTTGCAGGGGCCTCAGGAGCCAGAGGCCGAGGCTGCATTCCTGAGCCAGGTGTGGGCCCTCTCTCATGCTTGAAAAACAAACACTTGTTGTTAATTTATTTTCCTTTTACAAACGCAATGCATTTACAGGCACAAATTCAGAGGCAAAAATTCTTAACAATAAAAATCATTTGGATTCCACAGCCGAATTCAGCACCATTAATAGTACATTGACATTTTGTATGTATACACACATTTTTGAAAATGCGGTCCTACTGTACTCTTTAACATGAGTTGTTCACTAAGTGTTAGACGCTTTCTCCTGCATTTTTGTACATGACTGTTAATGGCGACACTGTGCTTTTTTTTTGAGACGAAGTCTCGCTCTTGTCCCCCAAGCTGGAGTGCAGTGGCGCAATCTCGGCTCAATGCAACCTCCGCCTCCCGGGTTCAAATGATTCTCCTGCCTCAGCCTCCCCAGTAGCTGGGATTACAGGCGCCTGCCACAACACCTGGCTAATTTTTGTATTTTTAGTAGAGACAGTTTCACCATGGATGCTGTGCCTCTTGATGCAGAGGCAGATGGGGATTAGGGTAACCAGCCCCTTCTGCTGGACATGCGGCAGCTGGAGGTGCAGCCCACCCATCAGGCTGAGCTCCCCTCCGGGGCAGTGACAGAGGCTCATCCAGGCACCCACGCATGGCTGTGCACACACAGCTGCTGTGCACCTTCTCTCTTCCCCGACCATCATGTTGCTCTCCACTCCCCCTCGAGTCTGGTCCATGGCTTCCCTCCTAGCCCGGTGCCAAGAACATGGGGGCGGAGAGGGGCTGAGCAGAAGTCTGTGTACAAATGGACAGATTTCCTCTCTCTACGCTGCTCCTTCCCCTCCACCCCAAAGTTTTCCCTGCTAACTGTCCCTGGAATGTGGGACCCCATGTAAGATTTCAATTAACAAGTTTGAAAGACATTATTACCCTGGACCAGCTTGACATCCCACCTGCTCCACCATGGGCCAACCTAGGGATGCCCTCCAGGTATCACTTCTAGAGTGCAGCTGAGAGCGGGCCCCCTCTAGTGGCCACTCTGGGGAAGCGTCCCAGGATGCCACGCTCCCATCAGCCCCTAGGCAGAACCCTGGCCTTGGCTGAATCCATCGCTTTCTGCAGGGTCTAGTTCAAGGATCCGGGGCCTTCAGCTCACCCCCAGAACTCTCAACACATACATCCCCCACAGATCTCCCAGGAGCTGAGCTACTGTCCAAAGTCAAAGGCAGCAAATACAAATAAATGGAAATAGCTTTCAGCATGTTTCCCTGAGAGCCCTTTCCTGATGGTGTCAGTAACTGAGCCCCTTGGGCCCAGCCCATGAAGCAGCCAACAAGCTGGAAATCTGAAGAGCAAAGGTCATCAGTGACTCAGACATCAAATGTCGCTGAGCACTGCCCTTAGCTGGAAATACCTTATGCCAAAATCTCCTGTGTCACAGTTCCAGGGGGATTATGAAGGGATATCCATCTTCTTCTTGCACACTCAGGGATGGGGAGCTCATTACCTTGCCAGAGAGCCCATTTCAGCCCACTCCATCCAGTCACCCATATGGGGAGGTGGTGGAGTACACTGAAAAGAACACCCAATTCTGACCTGGTTCTGACTGGCTATAGCTGTGTGACCCTGGACACATCCTTAACCTCTATTGATGAAAAAAGAAAATCCGGAGCCTCAGTTGGCCTGGAAGATTGGACAGTCTGTGCCTGAGAGCCCCAGTGCACCCAGCCAGGGTCCAGGCTGCTGCTGGGAGTGCTGCATCCAGACCAGCCCCTGGCGGAGGCCTTGCATGAGCCAGCAGACAGACAGGGGCTTCCAGGAGGAAGCAAAGGGTCCTGCCCTGGAACTGAGTCCTATATGGCAACACAGCTGATCTCAGTGATAAGAAAGGAGAACACAGTCAGGCACGGTGACTCATGCCTGTAATCCCAGCACTTTGGGAGGCTGAGGTGGGCAGATCACCTGAGGTCGGGAGTTCGAGACCAGCCTGATCAACATGGAGAAACCCCGTCTCTACTAAAAATACAAAATTAGCCAGGTGTGGTGGCGCCTGCCTGTAATCCCAGCTGCTCAGGAGGCTGAGGCAGGAGAATCGCTTGAACCCAGGAGGCGGAGGTTACAACGAGCTGAAATCATGCCATTGCACTCCAGCCTGGGCAACAAGAGTGAAACTCCATCTCAAAAAAAAAAAGAAGAAAGAAAGAAAGAAAGAGAGAGACAGAAAGAGAAAGAGAAGGAAAAGAAAAGAACAGAACAGAATAAGACCGGGCACGGTGGCTCACACCTGTAATCCCAGCACTTTGGGAGGCCGAGGCAGGTGGATTGCATGAGGTCAAGAGTTCAAGACCAGCCTGGTCAACACGGTGAAACCCCATCTCTACTAAAAATACAAAAATTAGCCAGGCATGGTGATGTGTGCCTGTAATCCCGGCTACTCGGAGACTGAGGCAGGAGAATCACTTGAACCCAGGAGGCAGAGGTTGCAGTGAGCCGAGATCACGCCATTGTACTCCGGCCTGGGTGACAGAGCCAGACTCCATCTCAAAAAAAAGAAAGAACAAGATTGGGTCAGAACTGGCCATGAACTTGCTGTGGAACCTCAAGGAAGTCCTCTCTTTGGCTCTGGCTTCCTATTTTCTCATCTGCAAAAAAAGTTCAGATAAAACAACTCCTCCGCTCCATCTACTGTTGATCCTCTTTTCCAAGATGTTCTGGAGTGTGGTGATGCCAATGCCGCTAGCCCAGGGCTGCCTCATTCACTCCTTTAGACAAGGTCTGAGTGTCAAGATTGTATTGGGTGCTGGAGATAAAATGGGGACAAAGAGAAGGAAGTGCACTACCTTCACAGCCTCTGATGTTATTTGCTTAAAATTGTTCTTTAATACTGGACTTACATTTTTACATAACATTTTTGTTATGATGTTCTTAAATTTATTTTATCAATGAAGTAAAGTATTTGGTATGCTGGTTTATTTGGAATATACATTAAAATAACTACATAACTTAAAAAAAGTCATACATGAGCTGCCCCTGAAAATCACCTTCCGTGCCTGGGCACCTTACTTTTGGAGGTTTAACGTCTGCGTTGTAAGGCTCACAGTGTATTTAAGTCAGTGAGCTGCAGGAATTCGTAGGAGAGGCAGTCGACCGCATTAACCTGCTTTTTCATTCTGAGGCTTTGACATCTGGGGCCTTGCTCACCCTGGAGGGACTGCCCCTCCCAGGGCTAGCTATTAATAATTCCTAGAGATAGTAAAGGACTCCTACAAGCATGCCTTTCATATACAAACCAATTAAACTAGAGCCTATTCCCCAACCACCTCCCTTATCAAGCTGTCAAACTCAGGGTCACTATCCACTTGCCCTAATCACCCAGGGCCAAGTACTACCAGATGAGAGACAATCCCTATATCCCAGAGCCCACTGAAATTATTCAAACTCACCAATTCTAAACCTGATTACACTGCTTCACTCATTTCTTCCCATGGGATCCACAATAAAGGCTCTTGCCCATGTTTTCCCCTCACCCTTTCTGCCTCCTAACCCTACTGCTTCCCTGTGTGCCCTGTGCCCAGTGGTGGGGGTATGCCCCCTCCTCTTGGGAATTGTAACAAACTATCTTTTCAAAGGCAATTATCTCCTTATCTATTGGCCTCGCCATATCTCAATCATAACAAAATAATAATAAAACCTACATTTGTAAACACTTACCCAGGCCCAAGGCTTCAAGGAGGACTCCCTGGAGGAAGTGACATAACAGAAGAGAAGTTAGCTGAGAGACAAAATGATGGGGATAAGGGTGAGTGTCTCAGGCAGACAGAACAGCGTGTGCTAGGCTGGAGTGGAGAAATAAGGAGCCACTGAAGGAATGGCCCATGCAGTCTGATTGCAGTATAGGGTGAGAACGGAGGAAGGAGGAAGGAGGAAGGAAGGGGAGAAGCGGCTCGATATCCCAGGGCTCATAGAGGCCAAGGAGTGTGAGTTTTATCTAGTCCTATCTCTTTTGATCTCCAAGTTGCTTTTTCAAATAAACCCAAAAGACAGTCCGTGAACTCTCCAGATTCTGCCATTGAGAGTCCGGCCCTGAGAGCGCCGAAGCCCTGCCCGGCTGGTCACCACCAACCTGGGGAGGTACCACTGGTCCACTGACCACCCAAGGGAAACAAACAAGATGAGGAAGAAGAAGTCCACTCCAACGCATCTAACAATGTACACCCTAGGTGAGCCCCCCTGCCGCTTCCATCCATTGAACAAGAAGGATGCTTTCTACAGTCCATAAATGCAATAGAGGAGTCAAGTCCAGACTTGAAGGCAGCACCACCAACTAGACTAAAGAATGGACGTAAGGACCCACCACATGTGCTCGGTAGCATCCTCACCCCTGTACCTCATCTCCCCACCACCTTCCTTGTAAAGAAAACACTTCTCCAGGGATTGTAAAGGATGTGGGCCTTTCTGTCAAGACCTGGGATGGAATCCTGGCTGCCTTGTTTCCTGATTGACCTGAGCAAGTCTTCTAACTTCTCTGAGCCTGTTTCCTCCTTGTAAAATAAAAATAGTTTTCATTCACCAGATCATTTCAAAGCTAAAAAGAGATAGCACTAACTTGAGTGAGTCATTGTGGGTACTCAAATGTTAATATCTTTCCTCCTTCCAACAATCCCTGTGCATACACACACTTTGACCCTGCCCATATGCATCTCCACCCTGCTTTAATTTTTTCTAGTGAGAATATTGTGGAAAACAAAGAGGCTTTGCTCAGGATCTGGGCAAGATGGCAGAATAGGAAGCTCCCGATCTTGTTCCCCAACAGGGAAATTAACTTGACAATACACAGCTCAAAAAGCCTTTTGAGACCCCAGAAATCATTTAAGAAGCTGTTGTACCCCCATGCAAGCTCAAAGCAAAGAATAACCACATTGAAACAGGCAAGAAAAACCATTTCATATAAAAACGAGATAGCCCTTCCCCACAGCCAGCACAACTTGGTGCAATCAGGAGCAAAAATGTCATGACTTCTTCATTGGGAAAGAAAAAGAAGAATGGAATGTACACTCAACATTTCAGCTTTTTGGCATGATGCCCACAGGACTAGTTTCTGTCTCATCTTACTTGGAGCAATTATGAGGAACTGGCATATTTTGGATGCCTGGGGGTCACTGAGAGCAAAAGAGAGCTCAGTGTCTTGTTGCAGTCCCAGAGAACCTGCAGCACTACCAACAGACATTAGAAGGAACAAGAGCCTACAAGCTCCTAAAAAGAAACCAGCAAGCCTTTCTATTTGGGAAGTTATACACACAAGCCCAGAGAAGACACACCCTCAGAAAATGTTTGTGAGGTCCCCAGAATCACTGGCTGAACTGACTGGTGAAAGTTTTTCCCTGTAGGATGCTAGTCTATAAAGACTGGGAAGAGTGACTGCTGTGACTGTTTTTCAAATGAACAAATCACAGCAAAAAATAAAATAAAACAAAAACCCACGGCACATGAAACAGGAAAACATAATCCAATCAAAGAAATAAAGTAAATCTGCAAAAACTGCCCCTAAAAAATAGAGATCTATGAGTTACCTGACAAGGAAATAAATATAATCATCTTAAAGAAGCTCAATGTGCTACAAGAGAACAAAAAGAGACAACTGAACAAAATCACAAAAATGATGTATGAACAAAACGAAAATAACAAAGAAATAGAAACTTAAAAAGAACCAAAATAAAATTCTGGAACTGAAGAATACAATAACTGAAAAAAAAAAAAATCACTACAGGGATTCAATAGCATACTTGATCAAGCAAAAATAAGAATCAGGGGAACTTGAAGAGATGTTATTTGAAATTATCAAGTCAGACGGGGAAAAAAAAGAAGCAATGGAGAAAAGTAAAGAAAATCTAAGAGACCCGTGTACCCCATCAAGCAGACCAATATACATATTATGAGAGCTTCAGAAAGAGAAGAGAGAAAAGGGCAGAGAGCTTATCTGAAGAAATAGTAACTGAAAACTTCACAAATCTGAGGAAGAAAACAGACATCCACATTCAAGAAGCTTACAGGATTCCAACTAGGCTAAACCCAAGAGGCTCACACAAAGATATATCAAAATCGAACTGTTACAAGTAAAAGACAAAGAAAGAATCATGAAACAGCCAAAAAAAAAAAAAGTAATTCATAATGTAAGAGAGCAACTATAAGATTATCCACAGATTTCTCAGCAGAAACATTATAGGCTAGAAGGTAGTGGAATGATATATTCAAAGTGCCGAAAGAAGAAAACTGCCAACCAAGAATACTACATCTGACAAAACTTGTTTTTTTCAAAAATGAAGGTAAAATAAAGACCTTCCTAGATAAACAAAAACTGAAGAAGTTCATCACTACTAGACTTGTCTTATAAGAATTGCTAAGGAGAGTTTTCAAGTTAAAATGAAAAAACAATAGATAACATGAAAACAAACAAAAATATAAAGCTCTCTAGTAAAACTAAATACATATACAAATTCAGAATCCTGTAATACTGTAATTGTTGTGTAAATCACTTAATTCTTGTATCAAATTTAGAAGATAAAAGCATAAAAATAATCATAACTATAAAACTATGTTATGTTGGGCATGGTGACTCATGCCAGTAATCCCAGCACTTTGGGAGGCTGAGGCAGGAGGATTGCTTGAGCCCAGGAGTTTGAGATCAGCCTGAGCAACATAGTGAGGTTTCATCTCTGTAAAAAACAAACAAAATTAGCCAGGCATGATGGCATGCACCTGTGGTCCCAGCTACTCAGGAGGCTGATGAGAGAAGATCACTTGAGCCCCAGAGGTTGAGGCTGTAGTGAGGCAAGATCGTGCCACTGCATTCCAGCCTGGGTGACAGAGCTCTCCCCACTCCCCACCCGCCCCTCCAAAAAAAACAAACCTATGTTAATGGTTACAAAATATGAAAAGATATAATTTGTGATACTGAGGGCATCTAACTTGAAAAGGAGGAAGTATAATTATCTCTGTTCACAGATAACATGACCTTATATTTAGAAAACTCTAAAGATTCCAAACAAAGATGCTGATAGAACTAATAAATGAATTCAGTAAAGTTGCAGGCTACAAAATCAACACAAAAAACCAGTTGCATTTCCATGCAATAACAGTAAACAATTAAATAGAAAATTAAGACAACAATCCCACCAATGGTGGCATCAAAATAAACTTAACCAAAGAGAAAGACTTGTACACTAATCCAAAACATTGCTGAAAGAATTTAAAGAAGACAAAAAATAAATGGAAAGAAAACCCATTACATGGATTGGAAAACTTAATACCATTAAAAGTAACCTGCAGATTTAATGCAATCCTATCAAAATCCCAAAGGCATATTTTGCAGAAATAGAAAAAAGGAATCTTAAAATTCATATGGGATCTAAAAGGACCCCAAGTAGCCAAAACAATCTTGAGAAGGAAAAACAAAACTGGAGGCCTTATCCTTCCTGATTTCAAAGCATATTACAAAGCTATAGTAATCAAAACAGTATGGTACTAGCATAAAGACAGACATATAAGCCAATGGAACAGAATAGAGTGCCCCAAAATAAAACTACACATATATGGCTAAATCATCTTCAACAAAGGTGCCAAGGCTACAAAATGCGGAAACAAGTGGTGTCAGAAAAATTGGATATCTACATGCCAAAAATGAAGTTGGACCCTTGCTTTACACTATATACAAAAATTAAGTCAAAATGGATTAAAAACCTAAATATATAAAACCTGAAAACTATGAAACTCCTAGAAAAAACATAGGGAAAAACTTTTCTTTCCTTTTTTTTTTTTTTTTTTTTTTTTTTTTGAGCCAGGGTCTCTGTAACTCAGGCTGGAGTGCAGTGATGCGATCATAGCTCACTGCAGCCTCAAACTCCTGGATTCAAGCAATCCTACTGCTTCAGCCTCCTGAGTTGCTAGAACTATATGTACACACCACCACACCCTGCTAATTTTAAATTTTTTTTGTAGAGACATTGTTTTGCTATGTTGCTCAAGCTGGGAAAAACTTCAGGCTAGGCACAGTGGTTCACGCCTGTAATCCTAGCACTTCAGGAGGCCAAGGCGGGCGGATCACCTGAGGTCAGGAGTTCAAGACCAGCCTGGCCAACATGGCAAAACCCCATCTCTATAAAAATACAAAAATTAGCCAGGCGTGGTGGCAGGCACCCGCAATCCCAGCTACTCCTGGGCAGGAGTAGCAAATCTCCTGAGGCAGGAGAATTGCTTGAACCTGGGAGGCAGAGCTTGCAGTGAGCCAAGATCGTGCCACTGCACTCCAGCTTGGGTGACAAGAGTGAGACTCCAACTCAAAAAAAAAAAAAAAACAAAAAACAAAAAACATAAGACTTCATTACATTTGAATGGCAATGATATTTTGGATATGACGCCTAAAGGACAGACAACAAAATTAAGAACAGACAAATGACACTACATCAAACTTTAAAACTTCTGCACTGCAAAGGCAACAACCAACAGGGTAAAAAGGCAATGCATAGAATGGCAGAAAACATTTACAAACTATATTTCTAATAAGGATACGTACTCCTGATTAGGAGTTAATATTCAGAATATATAAAGAACTCCTACGACTTAACAACAACAAAACAAATAACCTGATTTTAAACTCAGCAAAGGACCTGGATAGACATTTCTCCAAAGAAATACAAATGGCCAAGCAGCATGTGAAAAGATGCCCAATAGCCTTAATCATCAGGAAAATACAAATCCAGATTACAATAAGCTATCACCACACACCTGTTAGGGTGGCCACTATCAAAACAAACCAACAGAAAATAAATGTTGGTGAGGATGTTGAAAAACTGGAACCCTTGTGCACTCGTGGTAGGGATATAAAACAGTGTAGTTGCTATGGAAAACAGTATGGAGGTTCCTCAAAAAATTAAAAATAGAACTAGCAGATGATCCAACAACCCTGCTTCTGGGTATACATTCAAAAGTACTGAAACCAGGATCTTGAAGAGATATTTACATTCTCATGTTCATTGCCGTGTTATTCCTAACAGCCAAACAGTAGAAGCAACCCAAACGTCCACTGATGGATGAATGGATATAGAAAATACGGTATATACATACAATGGAATACTATTCAGCCTTTAAAAAGAAGGAAATTCTGTCATATGCTTCAACATGGATGAACCTCGAAGACATCTTGTTAAGCAAAATAAAGCCAGTCACAAAATGACAAATATTGCCTGATTCCACTTAACATGAAGTATCTAGAGTATCAAACTCTTAGAAGCAGAAAGTAGAATGGTGGTTGGTGGTGGGGAGAGAAAAAGGGGGTTGTTCAATGCATAGAGAATTGCAGTTTTGTAAGATGATAAAGTTCTAGAGATCTGTTGCACGATAGTGTGCACTTAGGGTCAGGTACAGTGGCTCACGCCTGTAATCCCACCACTTTGGGAGGCAGAGGCAGGAGGACTGCTTGAGGCCAGGAGTTTGAGACCAGCCCTGGCAACATAGCGAGACCCTCTACAAAAAATAAAAAATTAAGCTGGACATTTTGACACACACCTGTAGTCCCAGCTACTCAGGAAGCTGAGGTGGGAGGATCACTTGAGCCCAGGAGGTCGAGGTTGCAGTGAGCCCTGATGATGGTGCCACTGCACTTCAGCGTGATAAAGCAAGATCCTTTCTCCAAAAAAAAAAAAAAAAAAAAAAAAAATGCATGTAGTTAATCCTGTACTGAACACTTAAAAACAGTTAAGATGGTAAATTTTATGTTTAACCTTAATAAAAAAAGGACAATGTTAAAAGTAACAGTAATTTGAAATGTTGAAATTCACATTTCAAAACAAAAAAAAAAAAAAAAAAAGGAAGAAACCTCAGCACCTTACCAGGGCCAAGAAGTAGTTGAAAGGAGCAATTGCCAGTGAGCCAGGCAGTTCTTTCTGTCCCCGTCACCTCCCTCGCCTGTCCCACGCACAGCACTGATGGCTTCTCTCTCCCAGGTCAGCAGCCTGGAATGGGGAGGTGTCTGCAGGGGGATGTTCCCTGGCATGGCCCTTGGGCCCCTCAGATCTTACACCCAAGGGGCTGAGAAAAGGAATCCCCAAGATCCCCTGGCCCCGGCCCTGCTATCCTCAGTGCCCACCCCCCTCTTTCCTAGCTCCCTCTCCACTCACTTCCACTCCCTGTCCTCACAAGGTAATCTTTGTATCTCAAGAAAGCTACCTTTAATTTGAGAGCCCCGAGGAAATGCTGAGCCACGAAAAAACAAGTTAGAAGCTCAAGATTGCAGCTGACTTAGCAAACCAAAGTTCTTAAGAATGCTGAGAATCCCAAAGCTGCTGGGGTACGGGGGAAGGGGGAAGCCTCAAATGGGGTCAGGTGCCTGCTCTTGAGCTCCCACTCAGCAAAGCAAAATAACATAAACAGTTCTCAGCTGCCATCCCGAGGGTGAACACGTGCATGAGAGAAAGTAAGTGCAAGGGGAAAAAGCGACTCATCTGAGCCCATGTGGGTCCTGGGGCCAGGCACCCCTCACAATGGCCCTGTGGTTAAGTAGGAATCCTCACTGTGGGCCCAGAGACGGTGTGACCTACCCCCGTCACAGTTACAAGGTGGCAGAGCTGAGATCCTACAGCTCAGTGCTTCACCAGGGGCTGGTGCAGCCTCTAGCCGCTGGGGTGAGCTTTCTCCTCTCCACCTTCCAGCCAGATCGCCCACAGGGGAGTGGAGGAGGAAGAGGGCGCAGTCATCACCCCAGCCCTCTCTCGTTGGGGGGTCCCCCATCTCATATCCCTGCTCGCCTTGACACAGCCCTTTAGGGTTTCAAATGAGAAGCCAGTTGAATAGAAACGTACACTGCTCAGGGCCCACTGCAAAGCGTGCTAACAAACGATGGGTGAGCTGATGCGCGCCACTTCCCGAGCATCCCAGGGACGGAGCCGCAGCCTGGGTGATGCTGGGGTAGCGAGGCAGCCAAGCATGGAGGTGGGCCTGAGGCCAAGCCTCGGATTCTGGGATTTAGTTTTCCATTCGTTTGTGTGGGCTATAATTGCACACAGTGCAAGCTTGATCCAACCTCCACGTCTCCATCCACAAAGGCACCTACATGCAGCCCCTGGGGAGGAGGAGGACTGAGGCAAACCCCTCTCCCTATGGAGGAGTCTTTCTATAGCTTGGCCCCTGCCCCCAGGACATGAGGCAGGCCTGGCCAAAGCCCTCGGGGCCAAGAGAGCTGCCCCACTTCTCCAGGGCCCCAGGTCACAAAGGCCCTTACCACTTCTTCGCCAAGTCCCTGTAATCTTCATTGTCATGATCATCTCCACCATTGATTAAGCTTTACCACCTGCCCAGCAGCTGCAATCATTTTCTCTAACCTTCATAGTAGTTGCACAGGATGGGCGTTGTTAGAGCCATAACATAGGTCTCCGGCGGCAGGAATGATCCATTATATTCTGGGGCCACTTGCTTCTCAGCCTGAGTTACACTTATCTAGAGAGACATAAGCTCTGGTAAGACACAATTCTGCAGGGGAATTGACTGCTTCCCTGAGTTCATCTGCTCTGGGCACTATAATTTGGACGGCAGTCAGGCAGGGTCTCTTCAGTTCAGATACTTACCTGCAACAGCAAGTAGAAATGTTCTTTCACTGCAGGCTTTGTAGACAGCCCAACAAATCAGTTGAGAACAAGTGAAATCAGAGCATGGAGGGAAAACAATAAACATTTTCTCATAGTCAGTTATACTATTTACTCCAACTACTATTCTGGATGTCTCTTCCCTCCTCCTCGCTAGGCTGGGCTGACAGGTAGAGAGAGTGCAGCCCAGTGGCTGGATCACATACCCCAAAATGTACAGACTACTGAGAGCAGAGGGAAGGGCCATGTATCAGTACAACCTTAGAGGAAGGCTATTTGGCAATGAGCTTCGCAAACTTTAAAAATGTGCAAACCCTTTGAGAAAGAGAAAAGCAGCCGTGGCATGCAGGAGCTGACCTGGCACTCATGGCTGGGGCGAGGCCATAACCCATTTCACAAAACATCAGCACCAGACAGGCCACTTGGACTGCAGTGAATTAAAAAACAAGAACCAGCCCACTCCACAAATGTCTGCACCCACATGGGACATCATCCAAACCACAGCAGGACCAACTATCTCTCAATCCTGGCTAATATGTATGACTGTTGCTTCTTTACCAGTTGCAGCTTTATCTTACTCTAGTCCTTTTTTTTTTTTTAATTTTACTATTATTATACTTTAAGTTTTAGGGTACATGTGCACAACGTGCAGGTTTGTTACATATGTATACATGTGCCATGTTGGTGTGCTGCACCCATTAACTCATCATTTAGCATTACGTATATCTCCTAATTCTATCCCTCCCCCCTCCCCCGAGTCCTGTCTTCTTGTAGGTCAGATTTATCGAGGCACCCAGTCTTAGAATTGCCCAGCTTCCTGCAATCCTCCCTGCAATGACTAACCCAAGTCCGAATCCTATGCCTACAGCCTTCCTAAGAGCCTCCAACTGAGATGCTCAGAGCTTCCTCTGGAGTGTGCCCTGGCTCACTTTTGCAACAAGCAATAAACC
This sequence comes from Homo sapiens, assembly GCF_000001405.40. Classification (NCBI taxonomy): domain Eukaryota; kingdom Metazoa; phylum Chordata; class Mammalia; order Primates; family Hominidae; genus Homo; species Homo sapiens. Next base: position 122,256,696 of record NC_000010.11, on the reverse strand, counting down.
CAACTTGCTCAGCCGCAGGTCCCAGTGGTCTCTGGCTGGAGTGCAGTGACACCTTTAACCCAGGTGATGCACTCTTAGGAATTTGACCTAAAGAATACTCACATTCATAAATATATGTAAGGACACTCATGTGGCATGCATAATGATAGAGAAACATGGACACAATATAAACGCTCATCAGTACCGGGGTGAGGGTTGGTTAAACACATTTTGGTGCATGGAATGCTATGCAGCGTTCAAAATGATGAAGGGCTATATTTATTGATATAAAAAGTTTACCATAACATGATGGTCACATTATAGTATCAGGTGAAAAAAGTCTCCAAAACTGTATGCAGGACCACCACAGGTGGCTGCACAGGGTGGTACGGGTGGCACTTTTAAAAATACAAATAACAAATAACATATTTTACAGATGGAGAAAAAGGCCATTAAACATACAGACAAACATTAACAGTTTCTTAGTTTGGGGGTTATAAGCTTTTTTTCTTACCTGTTTTCTGATTTTTTCACAATGGAAATGTTTTACTTAATGAGAAAGAAGTTTCCAAGAGATGCAAGCTGGGCATTTCTGAGAATGCAGTCGAGGTCAGAATCCAGAGCGAGGGCAGAGCAGGGATTTGGCCTTGAGAAGCGAGCACCTGGGTAAGGGGTCATGGCTGGGCCCTGGAACATGCTGTGACCAGGAGGCTGGACCAAGCAAAGGATGCTGGCAGTGGGAAGGAGGCAGTTCCCTACCCTGGCTTAGGTTGCCTGGCAGGTGAGGGTCTCAGTGGCACCAGAGGCAGGCTCTGCTGGATGGATTTCGAAAGTGTAGCAGAAAGAAAACAAAGGATCTCAGAGCATAAAAGACGCCGCGCATCCTGCCCCCCCGCCCCCCAACCCGGAGCAGGCTGCCAGGCCAACAGCACATGTGCAGTCCTCTCTCCTTGGAGCTGTCTGGCACAGCCGAAATTCATCCACCTTATAAATCACAGAAAACACCCCACCCTGTCCCCGAAAAGCTGAGGCTGCCTAAGGCCTGTCCTGTTATGGGTGGGGGTTGTCCTACTGTGAGAGGAGTTGCCCGTAGCCACCGTGCCGAGGCAGAAAGAGGGACAGTCAAGCTCTGGGCCATCAGGGGCTCTCATCTGCCTTCCAAGTTTACAGCCCATACCACACATCCCATTGACACACATGTACCCAAAAAGATATGACTACATCCTAATCCTTCCTACCTGTGAATGCGACCTTATTTGGAAACAGGGTCTTTGCAGATGTAACTGAGGATCTCGAGCTAAGATCATCCTTGATGGGGGAGGGCCTAAATCCAATGCTGGTGTTCTTATAAGAAAGGAGGGAAATCTCAAACGCAGTGAGAAGGTCACGTGAAGACAGAGGCAGAGACTGGGGTGCTGAGGCTACACGCCAAGGGACGCCAAGGAGAGCCAGCAGCTACCAGTTGCTGGAAGAGGCATGGGACAGACTCCCACAGAGCCTCTTGGGGGAACTAACCCCACTGATACTTTGATTTTGGATTCGGCCTTCCAGAACTGAGAATAAATTTTGCTGTTTGAAGCTGCAGATGTCTGCAGTGATTTGTTAATGGCAGCCCTAGGAAATGATCACACCTTTCCACCCCCGACTCCCCTCATCCACCCACCCTTCAACCTGGGAACCCTGAGCAAGTCGGCAGCAATGAAGCGATCTCAGGCCAGGCACACTGCTAGTTTAATCTCCAAAGTGCCCTAATTACCTGCCGGCCACTGGCAATTGTGCACCCTTTCCCAGTGCTTTCTTTAGAGGGGAATGGGGGTTTCAGGTTGACCTTCAAACACTAAAGGATTGAACAGAAAGAGTGGCAGTCTGTTACTTCCTTGACTCAATAAAATGAAATAGATTTGCTTCCTAAAGTCATGAGGCTTTGTAAAAACCAAATCTCAGCTAATCCAGTGCTGAGATTAATTAATTTCCACTTAATTATTTAAGTAGAAAGTCAGTATTTCTCATTAGCTTCATCCTACAAATGCAGCCACGATAACAAAGGAAATATTATTTAAGTCTATGGACAAAGAAATGAGCCCAGACAGAGAAGAGCACGAAGCCAAATCTGGTATTTGACAAAGGTGAGAAAAGACTCAACCCTTCCCAGAAAATAAATTCGAGGCACACTTATTGCCAAGATCCAAAGAAAAAATTTTATTTACAATAGAGAATTTTATTTGAAACATGCATTTCTTGTTTTTTTAAAAACAAATCAGCAAATGCAGATCAAGTTTACACTCCTTAAGGCAAGAGTCCCTATGCACGCTGTACATGTTCATATTAAATCCAAAAGCTGCTCACCCTGGGAACTTGTGTACAAAGGGCAAGGCCAAGGTCAGCAATGTGTCTTTTATTAGAGAATCAGACAATCTCCCTGATACAGGAACTCTGAGGTCAACTTGCTATGAATTATACTAGGAAAATGCAAACCAATAGCAAGAAATTCTGATAGTCTCCTTAGTACTGCATACAATCAAATCAATTTTATTTAGAAAGGAAATACAGTAGTGCATACGAAAAAGTGAAAACAGAACCTGTCCATGGAACTGGAGGAACAGCAGTGTGCCGACGGTCATATTGCACGCAACAGTTAAGTCCAAAACATTCGGTTCAGAGTTAGCTTTTCCCCATTTTGGCAATCAGTTCGTCACAAATCTTGGTGAGTTCTTCTATTTCTTTATTCTGCAAGTGAAGACAAGGAAGAAGTTGCTGATGTTTGAAATCTGGCCAGTCAGAATGCTCATGGGGCTTTTTGGGGAGATGGGGGACCACCAGGCCCCTTGGTCCCCACTAAAGCAGTGAGACAAATGACTTGGAGCCAAACAATCTGAGTATATATCCCAGCTGTAGCTGTGTGATCTTCCACAAGTTACACAACCTCTCTGAGCCTTGGTGTCCTTATCTCTAGAACATAGGTGATAACATGTTTCTTTCTGAGAAGTAAATGAGGTGATAAATGTAGTTTCCTGGCAGTGACCAGCACAGAGTGAAGGACTAACTAGTCTGGTTCCTTTCCCTTTATTTGCCCGGGAAGGATGTGATCTGAGGTGAGGAGCGTCTGGGGTAAACCCCTCGGTGGCTTTTTTGAGATGTAGCATAAGGAGGGTTACGCAGTTCTACGTGAATGGGATCACTGGCATTGCTCAGAGGGATGCCAAATAGGTGATGCTGTGGCTACAGGGTCATGGGGGGTGGGGGGCAGATGCGAGCTGGCTTTAAGGTGATTCTCCCACCACACCTTGCCTGTCTAATCAAGGGGAACCAACCACAGGTTTGTCTAGCACAGATGATCCTACACTGTCCATCTTCTCAGAAAGTGAGGGGATCCAACGGGACGATCCCTCCATCATGGACGTGTGGCTTTGCTTTCAGATAGGTTACATGCTGGCTCTGATGCTGATCAAGTTCAACAGCACGACCGATCTCCAATGGCCTTCTCCAAGGGGGCTGGATCCCTCCAGCATACTGGGGATGTTTTGCAGCCAGCTTTTCCTTGAGATTCCCATGGAAGATCAGTCTTCACCAAAAGCCTGTCCCTGAGGCTGTGCAGAGCCCTTCCCTGAAAACCTCAGAACTCCTGAGACATGTTCCAGCCCAGAGCCACGTGCCCTCTGTTTCTAGGTTAGAACTCCTGGTGTCATTCATCATTGTGTCAGTGCTGGGAGGAAGTGGCTCTCCTCAGTGGAGGGGAAGTTCCAGTCCTTCCCAGCAGCAGTCCCCACTGTGGGAGAAGCCTGCCTCAAACAGAACCCTGGCCCACCTCCTGGCTCAAATTTGCATCTGAGGTCAACAACTCGAGAGAGGCACTGAAATGCCAGCTGGACGATGGGGCTCTGAATGGGATACAGCACTGACCACTAATCTTAAAATTACTATTATTGGCCGGGCGTGGTGGCTCACGCCTGCAATCCCAGCACTTTGGGAGGCCGAGGCGGGTGGATCACCAGAGGTCAGGAGTTCAAGACCAGCCTGGCCAACACGGTGAAACCCTGTCACTACTAAAAATACAAAAAAATTAGCTGGGCGTGGTGGCACACACCTGTAATCCCAGCTACTAGGGAAGCTGAGGCAGGAGAATCGCTTGAACCTGGGAGGCGGAGGTTGCAATGAGCCGAGATTGCGCCACTGCACTCCAGCCTGGGCAACAGAGACAGACTTCATCTCAAAAAAAAAAAAGAAAGAAAAAAAAAACTCTCATTGCCACTATGGCCCCTGCTGGGGCTGCTAACGGTGATCTTCCATCTTATTGGAGTGCCCACCGTGAGCTGCTCACCATGCTGAAGACATCCCAGGCACTCTGGCCTCCCCTGGTTCCCTCAATAGTGCCTTCAAGGAAGCCAGTATTATCCTCATTTTTCAGTGAGGAAATGGAGGCTCAGAGAAGTTAAGGGTTGTGTATAAGGTCACACAGCCAGTCAGATGTGGCAAGCCTGGAACACAAATTCAGGTTGCCCCAGCTCCTATATGGCTTTGCCATTATAACTGTTAAACAACGTTATGTACAGTGACTGATGGCTAAGAGGCATCAGCAGACCCGTTAGAAAGTGATTCCCGGAGGTTTTCCAAGCTCTCTCTTGGCGTCATCAGCCACCACTAAGCAAACTGCCTCATCATAAAGCTCAGCTCATGGAGCAAAAGCCTTTACAGAGCGCTGATTGGGCGAAATGCCCAGCGCCTCCATTCAAGAATTGTCTGGGTGAATCATGTTTCTGAATCTCTTTAAGATGGGACTATCCCCTAGATATCACTCAGGTCTTTCAGGGAAGAACCTGTGTGATTTGTTCATTCCTCTGGAAGTTCAGTTTAAGATAATGCAATTTAAACACCATCAAACCCTGATGGAAATGGGGGAACCATCTCAAACACACACATTGCTACATTTCTCACCAAGAAACATTGTATGTTCAACTGCTACAATAGCCAAAATGACTGTGAAGTATGGTTTTTATTTCTTTATTTTAGAGACGGGGTCTTGCTGTGTTGCCCAGGCTGCAATGCAGCTGGCTACTTACAGGCACAATCACAGTGCACTACAGCCTCGAACTTCTGGGCTCCAGCAGTCCTCCCACCTTAGCCTCCCGAATAGCTGGGACCACAGTCGCATGCCAACATGCCTGGCTTCTAGTATGATCTTTATTTTAATGAAACATTCCATTTTTCAAGTCACCAAATATGCCATACATAGATTATCAAGAGACAAGGAATAGAAAATGCACACTCAACACTAAAACCATAATGATGCTCAATAAATACTGGGTGAGTGAGCAAAAACTTGCACTTGACAGTTGTGACCGCATATGTCGTTCTGAGGATACTGCTAAGAACAATCATCAGAGCCTACAAAACAGGTAGTTGAACATATGCATATTCCAAACTATTTTCTAATGCAATTTTGATATTAAAACTGTCTAGTAGCCATCTGTCTTTTTCATCCTAAGAAGAAAGGTAAAAAATTAAATTAATGTCACACCTATAATCCCAGCACTTTGGGAGGCTGAGACAGGAGGACTGCTTGAGCCCAGAAGTTTAAGACCAGCCTGGGCAACAAAGTGAGACCCCATCTCTACGAAAACAAAAATTAAAAAAATTAGCCTGGTAGGGGGCACATGCCTGTGGTCTCAGCTACTCAGGAGGCTGAGGCAGGAGGATCACTTGAGCCCAGGTGGTTGAGGCTGCAGTGAGCCATGACTGCACCACTGCACTCCAGCCTGGGCAACAGAATAAGACCCTGCCTCAAAAAAAAAAAAAAAAAAAAAAAAAAGAATGAAAATAATGATCTGTAATATGAATAAATTCTGGATAACCAGGAACATCCAATAGGGCACAGGGCCTAGTGGAGACTGGGTGAGTATCAGATATGGACCTCAGGGAAATCCATCTGCCCAACGATACAGGCTTCTAATTTTCAGGGCTAGATGGAACCTAGACACTGAGGTGGGGTGCGAGGCTTGCCCAGGGCCATGACAGATGGTGCAGTGGGGACAGGAGCCCCATTTCTTGCTCCCCAGGGCTCCTTCCCCAACATTACTTAGGTGGAGTGAGGACTGGCACCTGCCCAGGGCAGAGATCACCACTGCTTGGCCCAAATGCCCCTAGAGACCACCACCAACCACAGTGGGCAAAGGAGGACAGCCAATCCCCTGGGGCTGGCTGGGTGCTCCTGCGGTAGTAGAGGCCACTCGGGAGGCACATGGATTTCTGATGCCAACAAAGGATGCCCCATCACTGCCTATCAAGGCCCAAAATGCAAAAATTGTGCTGCCAACCCAGGCTGCTGGGCTCGTGGATGACTACGCAGGGGAACCCCAAGGCTCAGGAAATTGACTGGAAGGAGGCTGCACATCTGGAAATCCTCTCCTTGAGAAACACATCCAAGGAGGGAGGCTGGCCCTCACTCACACACACGCAGTCTCAACAGCCCAACGCTCAGAGGGCCCTCCTGGGCTGAGGGAGCTTCTTATCTGGACACCCAGGGAGACAGTGCTCACAGTGGATGGAGGGGTGCCAGATCCAAAAGGAGGAAACCTGCGCACAAGCTCAGTGTCCTCGGGAAGATCACCCCTGTCCCTGGAATTAGAGGCCACCTGGGCGCCCTTCCAGCCCTGACACTGCTCATGTTCTGCATCAGCTGGCCACCACTGCCAGGGCCTGGTGGGCACCCCATCCACTCACCCAGTAAGCATGCCGGATGCAGAGGTTCAAGGGCTACGCCTAACACATTGTAGGCACTTAATAAATATCCAACAAATAAACGAATGTTGAAAAGGAATGAAAATGGCAGTAAACACACATGCAGGCTGCAGTTCCAGGAACGGTGGAAAGGAAGCTGGTCTTAGGGCTGGCATGAAATTGGAACTTCTAGAAGGAACCAAGGGTATGCTCATGAAGCATGAATTCGTCTTCAGGAGCAGCAGTGGCCAGGGAAGCCCAGCCTGTCTAGCTGGACTGGCCAGCAGCACAGAGAGCAGCAGCCCGGCCCACCTGGAGGCCACACCCCTCCCCTATTACCTTCTGCTCCAGCGTCCTTTCCAGGGCGTCCACTCGCAGCTGCTCCTTCCGCAGGCTGGCCTGGTGGGCGGCTTGCTCCTGCTGGGCCTTGCCTCGAACCTGAGCAATCTCAGCATTGGCCCTGCGGAGACAGGGAGCTCAGAATTATCACTCTTTTGTGGATCACTAGAGACACCTCCTGCTTCCCAGGTCCAGGCAGGGAGAGTGGCCTGGTCTGGCCCCAGCTGCCACCAACTGGAGCTGGAGCACAGGAGCCCATGAGAACACCAAACCCAATTCCATTGCCATGAGACCAAGGTGCCGGGGCACCCTGGACATTGCAACACGCATCCTCCACTGATTAAATGATGCTAACTGTGTGCCTTCTCTCGAGTCTTATTGAAACACACACTTGGATGATGCCCCCTTTCCAAGCCAATGTCACAGGCGCTGCCAGAGGTCCCAGCCTGCCTGGGTAAAAGGGCTGCTGGGAGGCCCCTGGGAGCCACCCCCAGTGGCTAAATGTTACCTGTCCAGTTTCTCCTCCGCGTGCACCTTCAGGGCCTGGTACCTCTGCTCCTCCTTCTTCACCCGGGACAGGTACTCCTGCGCACATCTCTTCAACACCTCTTCATTCTGACACAGCAGGGCAGAGGACAGGCGTCAAGCCCACGAGAACAAATGCCCAGCACTGGTGGGAACCCCAGGAACTCTCGGATGCAGGTGTAACCCCAGGCGGCCAAGTCTGCCTCCCCAGCCTGCATGGACCCCCTCCTCGCAGGTGGCTCAAGACCAACTTCTGGAATCCTACCCCCTCCCAGTGCTCCCACAATCTCTCCCAATCAGATCCTCCTCCTCCGTGGCCCCCAAACTCAGCCCTACCTTGCGGAAGCCTTCTAGGACCTCCTTCATCTTCTCATATCTTCTGAAGAGGTCGGCCAGAGACTTCTCCACGGAGTTCAGGTCGGCCAGGGCTTGCTCCTTCTCCAGAACCAGCTGCTGCACCGTCTGGTGGGAGACTGACTTCTCTCTCTGTTCGTCCTCTGGCAGGAGAGACCAGGAGCCAAATGATGGAGCCCAGAAAGTCCAAACTGGGTCTCTGGGGCCAGCCGAGGCCTCAGATGCAACTCAGCCTCACCAGTGGGGGCATCTCAAACCCCAGCTTTTCCTTGGGACGAACCCACGCCCCAGAGCCCTCCCAGACTGTCTCTAACAGAACAAAAACCAGAGCCCTGGCTTCCCAGACCCGGGCCTGTGCAGCCTCGCGTGAGGTAGAAATGAGCCATTACTATTCCTTAACCTGATCAGTACGGCCCCTTCACAGGTCTATATTGGTGTCCCTGGTGATTCTATGTGGTTGTTGACAGCAAGCAGACAGATCCGTAAAGTAAAAAAGAAGACATCGCTAGTGAATTTTGCGTTGGGACGATTAAAGGGTGTGAGGTCTGGGCTGTGAGGGATGGGCCCTCCTATGTATCAGGACAGAGAGGAGGTCTTTGGAGATCCTTAACACATCTGGAAACCCAGAGCCCAAAAAAGCATCTCCTCTGAAATTCCATTCACGCAGGCACAGATAGCGTCTTCGATACAGCAAGTGTTGTAACTCCAAGAAACACGGAGCTATTTCCGTCAAGGTTAGCTTCTCAGTGATGTACAATATTAATTCAGTGTTGGCTCAGTTCCGAGTGGCTGATCCTGGTGAGAGGAACCATTGTCCTCTGCCCCACCTCTCCGGCCCTTGGCCATCCCAAGCTAATAATCTGCCCCAAATATCTAGAAAATGTATATTTTTAGATTTGGGGCACATGTGCAGGTTGGTTACATGGCCATACTGTGTGACTAATGCTGGGGTACAGATTTCTAATGAGCCTGTCACCCAGGTACTGAGCATAGTACCTGAAAGGCAGGTTTTCAACCCGTCTCCCTTCTACCCCCACTGTGAACTCCCCAGCGTCTTCTGTTCCCATCTTTGTGTCCGTGTGTACCCAATGTGTAGCTCCCTCTTATAAATGAGAATGCTCAGTGTTTGGCGCTCTGTTTCTGCATTAATTCCCTGAGGACAATGGCCTCCAGCTGCATCCATGCTGGTACCTAGGACATGACTTTGTTCTTTTTTTATGGCTGCTTAGAAAATCATTTCTACACTTATGGGAAAGGCCTTCTCTGACTACTCTACACAAAACACCCCTCTGTCCTCTGTGCGGATCCATCCCCGGCCCAGGTGGGTGAGGAACCATTTGCTCTCTTGGTGACAGCAGAGTGGGGAAGGGAGAAGCGCCCACTCAGAGCTCCTGGGGAAGGAGCTCAGCAGACCTGTCTTTCTACCAGGCCCTCGTCACTGGGGAGGGGGCTGCCTGCCACCTGGAATGACTCCGAGGGCTGGCTGCCATAGACAGATCACATCTGGAAATAACAGAACAACGGGAGCCAGCGCTGACTGGACCCTTCCATGTGGCGGGCACCCTGCTGATTGCTCTAGGTGTTGACTGTCCCTAAGCCAGCACTCAGCAGCCAGACTGAGCTTCCTAATGTGCAAACCAGGCCACCTCACTCCTGCTCAGAGCTCCCCCGCAGTGACCTCCCTCTGAAATGGAAATAACACCCAAATCCTTGCCCACATGCTCTGCCCTCTACCCTCCCAGGCCTCTCTGCTCCAGCCACGAAGGCCTCCAATGCCCCAGGGGGTCCCGCCCCAGGGCTTCCAGGGCTCTCCAACATTCTCTCAGGGCTCTGATCCCATGTCACCTCCCCAGAGGTACTGGAAATGGCTCCTCTTCCTCTAGAGTCCTTCATTTTCCTCTTTGCAGCAGCAGCCACCCCTTATCATTGTATCAGATGTGTGCACACATGTGTGCACGTGTGTGCGTGCGTGCCTATGCTGGTGTATCAGCGGCTCATCTCCCTGATGAATGCACGCTCTGTGAGGGCAGGCACCAGAGTCTGTTTTGTCCACTTGCTCTGCCCCAGGGCCTAGGATAGTGCCGGGCATACAGGATGTCTTGATACATGTCCATGCGACGAGTGAACAACTTAGAGCATCACAACCACCCGGGCAGCTTTTCTCACCCTCATTTTACAGAAGGCGGAACAGAGGGTTTGAGAAGCTAAGTCACTGTTCACTGAGAAAATGGCAGAGCCCAAAGCCAAGCCTGAAGCCGTGATCATAACCACGTCTCTACACGGGCCCCATGTAATGACAGACCTTGGAGGATGCAGCTCCCTTAGTAGCAGGGAGATTTTGTTGTATGAGTTTCTTTCCCTTAGGTTCCGGACATATCTGCACCTTGCCATACCCCAGGACTAGGCACACTGTTACCGTGTGGTGTGGTGGGGTCATTTCCTCGGTTTCAGCTCCGGTCCCGACATAAGCTTGCTCTAAAGTTCTGACCTCTTAGGGTCCCAGCACCTCATTTCCAAAAACTCTCCCACGTGAGTGTGGATTTATTCAGCTGAAGGGCTTGTTCACACGCAGGCTGCTACACCCCACCCCACGGCGTGAGATTAGGAGGTCTGGGGTGGGGCAGAGAACGTGCACAGGTCACAAGTTCCCCAGTGACGCAGATGCTGCTGGGGCAGGGACCCTGCTTGGAGAACCACTGGCCCTGAAGATGCCGAATATCCTTCCCACCTGCCTCTGCGATCGTGGGACTCCTAGAGCGCTCACCACCAGCAGCCCAGAGCTGCCCAAGCCAGTGGCTAGGAGCCTCTGGAGCCCAGAGCTGCCCAGGCCAGTGG